>NC_000017.11:55060980-55685980 GCF_000001405.40 Homo sapiens | reverse complement strand
GCAATGAAAAAATTAAAACAGGGATATGAAATGGTGAGTAACGAAGGGAGGGGAGAAGAAGGTTCTTTCCAAAAGGTAGTGAAGAAAAGTCTCTCCAACCAGATAGTAAAGAGCTGATCATAGAATAATCTTGTGGAGTCGAGTGTGCTATGCTGAGAGAATGGCAAGAGAAAAACTCTTAGAAAAAATCTTCCTGTATTTGCAAAACATAAAGCAGGCCAGAGTGGCTAATGTGCAAGAAAAGACTGATAGGACATAAGATCTGAGAGAGAGAAGAAAATGAGGCCAGATCATGCAGAGAGGGCCCTGGCGGCCAAGAGATTTTTGATAGTTTGGATTTATTTTGAATGCACTATCAAGCCACTGAATAGTTTAAAGTGACAGGATATGGTCAACAACTTAATATCACTCTGTCCGCCATGTGGAGAATGAGTTTAGTGAAAGTAGGAAGCGGGTAATAATGCAAGCAAGGAAACCACTTCAGAGGCCATTTCAGCAGGCTGGCTGGTGATGTAAAGTGAAGTGGAATGTTGGAGATGGAAAAAATGTGAACAGGTTGAGAATATGTTTGAAGTAAGGTTGAAGGGACATGCTGGTAGATTGAATGTGAAGGTTTGAGGGAATCAAGACAATGAAGAATCAAGGACAATGTCTGTCTCTTTAGCTTGGACCACTGGATAGTACCATTTACAGAGGTACAGCTGAGGAAGGGTCAGACTGGAGCAGAGAGTGACAGGGAGTTCTGTTTTGACTGTATAAAACTTGACATAACTACTAGACATCCAAGTGGAGATACAAAGTCTGTAGGTGAAGATACAATTTCAGTCCTCCAAATTGAGATGACGACTGGAAATATCAATGTGGGAGTCATTGGATATAAAGTGGATAGAAGCCATGAAATGAAATGAGATCTTCTAGGAATTGAATAGAAAGAGGGGGAGAAAGAAGGTTCTGACGTGCCCAGAGGCAGGTTGACATTCAGAGAGCACACAGAGAAGAAATAGATTGCAAAAGACATTAAAGAAAGACAACCAGTGAAATAAGAGTTTGTGGGATCACAGAAGCCAAGGAAAGAGAGGCTTCTAAGAAGGAGGAAGAAATAAATCGAAATGAATGCTGATGAGACATTGAATAAGACAAAGACACAGAAGTGACCCCTGGTCTAGGCAACACGGAGGATTTTGACAATTCTGCATGAGTGGAGTCATGGGGACAAAAGTGGAGGATGGAAATAATGGGGGTGAAGTAGGTAAGACCATTAATAGAGATAAATACCTCTTTAAGTAGTTTTGCTGTGAAGTGGAAGGGTGAAACTGGATATCAATTGAAGAGAAATGTCCAGGAAAAAGATATTTCTCTGCTGTTTTAAGATGGAAGGCACTCTCCCTTATGTCTGTGTACAGATTGCAAAGGGATACAGAGAGAGAAAAAAATTGATGAGGCAGGATGTGGGGTATTTGGGAATTCTGTATCATCTTCCTTTTTTTTTTTTTTTTGTAAATCTAAAACTATTCTAAAACAAAAGGTTTATTTTTTAAAAATGAGGCAGGAGAAAGAGAACATTTAGGAGCAAAATCCTTGAAAGAACCTGATCTTCAAATCCCAAATAGAGGAAGCCTGTCAGAAAATATTGTTCACTTATTAGTAAATAACTGAATGAATTTTATTACATTTTAGAGTTTATAGAACTTATACCCATTCACTCATTTGTATCATAACCTTAGGAGAAAGTTACTATGATGCTTATCTTCTAAGATGAGGAAACTGAGGTTCCAAAAAGTAAGACTCTGGTTGAGCACAACACTTTTCATTAGCTGGAGCAATTTGGAGGACAAAGGTTTTTGAACACTTCATTTCCTTGGGATGGGCTTCAACATGTTGGTCCTGTGAGGGTTTATCCAGTCAGGCATTCCACAGATGTTTATGTTGGGTCTCAGTTTCCTCTTCTGCAGGATGAAAAGATACAAAAATATATATATATTTAGGGATCCTTTGGATCTAGAATTCCCTCACTTTAAAAATTGTATTGCATAGCTGCTTGTGATTAAAAGTGAGAATGGTTAGGAGTGTTTCCCAGGAAGAAAAACGTTAAGCAGTAGAGAGGGAGGTCTGAGAGCTCATCACGCCATGCCCACTGCACGTTGCTTGGAGGGACTGTTTACAGCAACATGCACTGTGTTGGAATCTTCCATGTTGCTCCATGAGGAGGTGTTGACAGCATCATATTTGCTCTTCTGCATATGTTCAGTGATTGTGAATAGATGCATTAATGCTGAGTCAGCCTTCTTTGCTGAGTCCCTAAAGCTGAGAGACTAATGCTGAGTCCCTCCTCCCCGGGGAATGACATGAGGAATCAAAAAAAACTCTGTCTACAAATGACAGGTCATTCTTGAGAGCCACTCACAAAATCTCTTAGTTATCCAATTACATTTTTTCAGCTCCTTATTCAGTTTCTAGTCCTACAGTGAGCCTGGAAATCTGAGAAATTTGGAAGCATCGCCTGCCAGATGACTATTATATTTCTAAAACATTTTAGATTGATAACCCTCAGGTGGCAAAATTCCTTTATTAATTCAAGTCAATTTAGTAAGCATGTATTAACAGCCTGCTAACATTCTAAGCTTCATGTTCAAATTGGGAATAGAAAGACGTATGAGATATAATCCTTTAACTTGAAAAACTCAGCCTATCAGGACAATTTGGAAGTTCATTGTTGTATGTAGGAATCATAGCAATATCAAGCCTAATGGTCTCAGCCAAGGCACCGTGATGCTATTTCCCATGTTCCTCTTCCTTTTATTTGCAGCCTCCTGAAGATCTGCCCTGAGCCAAGTCAAGTTTGGCCAATGGAGAGCACAGCAAGAGATCAGTTGTTGAGTGGAATGTGGTGTCACGATATTTATTCCCATGTCTCCCGCCGTGCAGGGTCATTGTTGGCTGGCTGCATCCTTCAGTTTCATCCTTCAGGTGGTCCTTTCCTCACAGCTCTCTGCCTCAGGTCTTGGTGACCACTCCCTCCCCTACACCTTCAGCCTAGGGTTGAGTGGCATCTTGCTGTTACTAGCCCCCAGGGTACTCTGTCATTCATTTCTTATCAATGACATGATATTGTTGCCTATGGCTTTATAAGGAGTTCCTTTATTCAACTCCCAATTATTTAACTAATTGTGCCCTGTGTTTCTCATGGGGATCATGACTGATCTGCACCCACTTCATTTGAGTTTGCTACTAACCCAATTCTTCTTTAGTAAATGCTGAGGCTCCTTAAGAAGGAACCCCTTGAGGTAGGGCCAGAAATCCAGAGGTTTAAATTCCAGTTTCGGCTTTTGCTGCCTTCTGGGGCAAGAAGTTGGCCAAGTTAATTAACTTATTTAAACCTTAGTTTCCTCATCTGTAAAATGGAGGTTAAAAAATATCTATCTTATGGGTTTCTTGTAAATATTAAATAGATAATGTACTGTAGCATCTTGTAGCTCCTGGAACAATAGTTTCTGTACATACACTAATCTTCTTCACCTTTGGAGTTTTAAAGAGAGGTTTATGAGGTCTCTATATAGAATTTCTGACGGAAGGTATGAGGCAGCTCCAAAACTTCTCCTACAGAGAGCCTTTTTTGATATTGAAACTGGAGTTGACCTCTCCTTATCCCTAAATCCCTGGGCTCTTTGTTTAAATTCCTTTCATGGCATGGTTTATATTTTGCCTTATATGTCAAATATTTGCTCCCATCTTATTCCAATTGTAAATTTTATTTTTCTTGGAAGTGCTTTCTTTTTATAACAATTTTGTTTATTATACATAAATATATAGATAGATACAGATATAAATAGGTTATATAGCTATTTTATGTTTATATAGCATATATGTGTGTATATATATATATATATATATCTTTATGACATTTTGTTGTTTGAAAGAAAAAAAGAGATTCTTTCTTCTTAGCTTGTTAAAAAATTATTTCCAACACTTCTAGGCCCTTTTCACCAAAGATCATTACACATTCTATGGATGCAACAAGATATCACATGTACCCGCATAAATATGTAAAATATTATGTATCAATTTTAAGAAAAGCAGTTTCAGTTTCCTTTTCAATCTGGAGTTCACTGAAAGTTCCATATTATATCTACAGATTATGTTGCAATGTAATTGAACATCCATCTCCCCACTGCATAATTTCTCACTCAATATCTGCCCTTATCCCAGAGTAAGCCTACATCCCCAGATCTTCAGAGGGTGACGCTCAAGACCTGAGAGCAATGCCTGCAAACCTCCTCCCACAATTTTATTTATTATTCTTTGGCCTCTCTCTGCCACTTCTCCCAGGTCCCTGCAGCTTCCACAGGTCTATCCCACACCATACTCAGATCTGAAATTCTGTCCTCTGTCTTTTCCACAAGAAATTCATTCATAAGAAAGGCATGTTATTCAACCACTTTATGCAAAATATGGGAATGTCACAGGACAGTGGATCTCATTGCATGCCCATCATTCTTTGCCAACTTTTTGGCTCTCTTTCCTGCTCTGCTACTTCCCATGATGGGGTTCTTTGGAAGATGTGTTCTAAGTTCCCTCTCCTGACCTCACTCCACTGCTTCTCTCACAAGGAACAGACTCACCAGGTCGGCTCACCTCCCCCATACTGGAATACAAGTTAATCACACGCTTTCCACCTTCTTACAAGGTCATCATCCTTTAAATAAGTCCTTTCGGAGTTCTCTCCTCATAGAAGCCTCTCTCTTTCCTTGTCTCCTAATGCTCTTTTTGAAGCTGAAATGCTTATATGAAGTTTTGTATGTTTGTAACCCTTATTTTCGTTTTGTGCTTCTTCTTTCTTCTTGGATAGTTGTATCAGCTTTCTATTCTCCTGCCTAAAGATTTTAACCTTGTCTTTATAGATGGTACCTGCCATGTTTTTGGCCATCCCAGCCAGGGTGTGCAGGTGGTTCCAGTCTATGAATATCTCACTCCTGAGCACTGTTGCTACTGTTGCTGTTGCTTCTTCTCTGCGGTGACTGAAGCTATGCTACCCCTTTCTCTCCAGATCTGCCTCTGCACAGATTGCTGCATCAGAGGCTTTTCACCACCATTCTTCATGCTTTCTATGATTGATCACAGAGTGAAGCACATTTATTTCTCATATAACCCAACCCATGGAAACAGAATGGATTAGCATTCCTGACTTACAAATGAGGGAAAAATGTGTGACTTATATCAGTAACTTTATAACAGATGAAGGGCTCAGAAAGCCCAGGTCTCTCCTCCTGTCTTATTTCCTTTGCCTGCCTTCTCCCTGCTTTTCCTCTTTCTTCCTTCAAACAAATTTTCAGTTGACTTAACTCTGAGCTAGGCACTGAGGATAAAATGGCAAGCTACATAGGCATGGACTCTACCCTCAAATGATACATTATTACAAAGAGAGGTCCTTTGAAGAAAAGCAATGTGCTTTGAGAAAGGTTGACAAGGAGTTCTAATTTTGGCAAAGAAATCTCCCGAGTTGTGGCCTAAAACAGAGTTCCCTCACCTTAGAGGTAGTGACATTTAAGGCAAAATAATTTTCTGTTGTTGCTGACCATCCTATAGGACTGGGAGATATTTAGCAACATCCCCGTGCTCTACCCACTAGATGACACTAACACCACCAACCTATTGTGACAACCAAAAATGTCTCCAGACATTTCCAAGTATTCTCCGGGGAACAATCCAGTTTTCACACACACACACACACACACACACACACACACACGAGAACAGCTGACCTAAAGTATGCATAAGTTCACAGCCATGGGTGTGTGTTGGGACAGCGGAGCGTCACATAGAGGAAGCTGCAGTATGTGCGAAGGCCCTGAGGCGAGAGGGGACACAGGAGGTTCCAAAGACAGAAAGAATCTAGGTTGCTGAGGGCTCAGAGCAAGAGGGAAGGGGGCAATATGAGGCTAAGAGTAAATGAGGAACAGCTTCCTTCCTGGGTTCTTTCTTACTTGTGATACAAAGTGAGAAAGTGATACCAGTGTATCACTCACGGAGCAAATGTAATGGTTGTATTAAAACATACGGTATTAGATAAAGTCTACATAGAAACTTACACTTTGAATTTTTATTTTATTTGGCTAAAAAGTAGCCGCTTTAAGTTCATATATTTTCTATTCCCAAAGAATTTCTATGGAGAATTTTGTAAGTACTCCACATGCCATCTTGAGATTTCATTTTGTGAGTTGATCACTTTTGTAATTACAAGTGTAATAAAGGGTCATTGTAGGGAATTTGGAAAACACAGAATGACAGTCCCTCTAATTTTGTATATTTTTGCATTCTCCTGTTTTACCAATTCTTTACATGTGAAGTATTGAAATTATTTTTTTAAATGAACATTTTGTCCCCATGAGATCCTGAGTCTTCTAAGGCTAGGAGTTGATTCTATACACATTTATATCCCCGGTGCCTAGTATAATGGATGGTACCTCAGAGGAGCTCAACAAAGGATTTTTGAGGTGACTACATGGCTAGAGGAACAAAATGGATGTGATAGGTAGAATAATAAGGAAAAAATATCTGGGGTTCATGAATGGGCTTAGTTCTATGGGGATACTAAATATTATGCAGAAATATTGAGAATAAATGAGAAATGCCCAAAAGGAAGTCCAGTTTTATAAAGTAGAATCAGTCCTAGGGAATGCAGAAGAAGATAGAAAGTGCTATGACTTGTAGGGTCTCTTACATGCCCTGGGCCTCGTTGGCTGCAAAAAGTATGGAGACATCTAAAAGTACAGCAGTCACAGCTGGGCTTCCTAGTCAACATAACAACATAAACAATCCTGACATTTAAAATGTTAACTCTAAAGATAATTTGAGTTGAAGAGGAAGATTTGGGGGACAAAGAGGCCATTAAGAAGATTGAACAACATAGGAGAGAAGAAGAGAAATCAAAATGAGAAGAGGATAGAAAATATGAAAAGGAGAAAAGAAAAAATAGATTTGAGAGGTACTTAGGAGATAACTATTTGAATGTAAAGAATGAGAAAGAAGAAATGGATGAAAAAGATTACAGAACTCCAAGCTTAGACAAGCGCATGTATTGTTTTTATCACTGTATTAGCCAATATAGGGAATACAGTACAAGATGTGGGTTTGGGATATTGGGTGAGTGTGGGATGGAGGAACTCATTATTCTCACTTCAGCATATTGAGTTTGTGGCGACTGAGAAATATTCAATTAAAGATGTTGGAAATATACATGTGAAATTAAAAGGGAGATGGAAGCTAAAAGAAGGTGTTTTTCTGTGTTCACGTAGTTCTTTAAGCATAATTCCATTTATGTCTCTGCCTTTATCCCTCTGTTTGTATCTGTTTCCACACTGAACTTCGAGGTCCATAAGTCAGATACCCTGTCCTGTTCATTATCTCTCCATTGCCTATCACACAAAAGTTGATCGATGAATGTTGAACGTATAAATGGTCGTTGAACTTTGGGAATCATGGGATGGAAATTAGTATTTGTTAAACCCATGGAAGGAGTGAGCCTGTTCCTAATGGCTGAGTAGAAAGCTAGGACGGAACCTACTGGAATGTTGACGTCTAAGGAAGAAGAAGGGAAGCCCACATAAAAAAGGGTGGGAACCAGAGATAGGAGGAGACCCAGAAGGAAAAGGAAAAGTTCTCCAAAATTCAAAGGAAAAGAGGATTTTTCAAAGAAGCCATGATATTGTTAGTACATTAGAGATCAAAGAGGATGAGGATGTAGGGCACTCACTGATTTTGGCATTTGGAAATTAGGAAGTCATTGGTGACTTGAGCAAGAGACTTCATTGTAAACATAGATTTTAGCCAATTCAAAAATATACAGATAAGGAAATACATATAACAAAAGCATACTAATCTTTCAGACATTTAAGGATGATAGGAAAGAATAAAAGCAATAGCTCTACAAATAAATTATCCTAACAGAAGCTCTAAAAACAAACATTTTCACAGGTTGAGAGGAAGGAGCGAAACTGAAAAGCTGAAGACACAGGCAGGGAAGTCTAGAAAACAGTTGTAGGTTTCTATACTATTAGGATTTATAGAAAGTATGTCACATTCCTATTCATATCTACTATCCGTTTAATATTTTTCTGGAAACCTTATTTTGGTATTTTGTTGGTTCATACCCACCTCAATATTTGAGCTGCTATATCACAATATCCAGGGTCACTGAGATGTCTTTTAGTGTCATCTTGTTGGAGAAAGTTACAGACTTTCATGAGACTCACTGCTAATGAAAACATTTCTCAGTCTTTCCTCACCACTTTTCTTGTTTCCTGCAGCAGTAAGAGACTCCAAGGATAAGCTGCCAACATAATCATCGGTTTGTGGAGCCCAGTTTCACTGTGATCACAAATAGCAGTCCATGTTATTACTTACATCACCCAGCAAAAGAGCATGTCCATTGGGTTTTGATATTATTATTAATTGCAGTGGTTTGTGAGTACCATTAGGAATAATTTTCATTACACATGCATCAAGACTGACTTCAAATTAGACTCTGCTCCATATTAAACCTTATGTTTCACCATGTGTCTCTAAGTTTATTCCACAACACTTTGAAAGAACTGACTAATTATAGACGATTTTTGTACATTGCTAAACTCTCTCAGCACGTCTTAAATCTGGTTTTGAAGATAATCAGCCAGCTTGAAACAAAATGATATCTGAGCGTTTCTTTAATAATGCACCGAATAACATCAAAAGTTTACCTCATTAATGCTAACATGATAACTATTGTTATTAACAGCTTTTAGCTCTCCTTTTGTGGTCCAGGATAAGTTAATAAGGTAAGGTCAAAACGTTCTTTGGGAGTTGACCTAATTGGAAATCTTTCCCATTTCTCTCTCTTCTGGGTAATAGAGTTGTTTTCCACCAATATTTTATTTTGTTGGCTCAAAAGTAAACAACATTAAGCTTCTTACCATTTTAATCTGTTCCAGATATTAGGTCCTGTTTGAAACTAAGAGACCATTTCTTCAACTCAATAAGGTTTAGTTCATTCAATTTGAGTTTGGAAAAAGATAATGTGTGCACTCTCTTATTTCCAATATTTAGTGAATACACCCATTGCTTAATTTTTAAATTCTGAAGTGGAGCATAAATTCTTCTGGAATAAAAAGTACAAATTGGTTTCATGAGAACTTTTAGCCTATTTGAGGTGACAGGACTGGGATTTCCATGACTAGCCTGTGTTATGATCTTCCTCTTTAATTTTAAATAGTTAACACAATCTAGAACCTTCCCCTCACCTACAAATACCGCATAGGCTAGTGCAGCACAAACATATTAGAAATTAAATTTTTGGACCCACAGGTTATAGCTAGCTCTTGGTGAGCTGAAAATCAAGACATCCACTAAACCATAATCGAATCAACCTACACACTTGGTCAAATATCAGGATAATCAGACCTGTTGGTGCTGCACAAAAGGCTGCTGTTAAATGTCAATCTTTCTATCACCAACAGGAAAGTCTACTTCCATAGTGTTTACAAGTCCCACTTTGGAAAATCTGGTCCTAATCCCAGACTAACTTCCTCTGTGATAATTGCTAACATAACAGTACAACACAGCAACCTTGTTAATGGAACTCTTATTTTAGAAATCCATCAGATACCCAGCTGCCTCCCTAAAAAGGGCTTCAATTTATGCAGATGCCAAAGGTTGTGTTTCTTGAGACCCAAATTAACCCAAATGGCTTCCTTCTCCCAGTGATGTGACTGATCTGAACCACAAACTCAGCATACTCTGAGCCCAAACTCCTCACTCCCCAGTATGTGATGTACCTGAAAACCATTGAAATACTTTGTCTGATATAACCACTATAGAGAAACTGGATTTGGGATATAGAGAATTTAGTATGGGATGAGCCAAGGCAAGGTTAAACAAGTCAAGCAGAGGGATCTTTGCCTCTCAATATTGGAATCCACGGTTAGCAGTAAATATAAAGAGGGAATGTGCTTCCTTTAGCACACTGTCCAAATCTCTTTCAGAGCATTAACTGGAGGGAAGGCAAGAGGAAATTTTTTTTTTTTTTTTTAAGACAGAGTCTCCCACTCTCGCCCAGGCTGGAGTGCAGTGGTGCGATCTCGGCTCACTGCAAGCTCCGCCTCCTGGGTTCGCACCATTCTCCTGCCTCAGCCTCCCAAGTAGCTGGGACTACAGGCACCCGCCACCAAGCCCGGCTAACTTTTTGTATTTTTAGTAGAGACGGGGTTTCACCGTGTTAGCCAGGATGGTCTCGATCTCCTGACCTCGTGATCTGCCCGCCTCAGCCTTCCAAAGTGATGGAATTACAGGCGTGAGCCACCACGTCTGGCCAGGCAAGAGGAAATTTTTCAATCCCTTGTCTAGTCGACTCATTAGACCATACATTTATTTCTTTAATTTTTTTACTTTTAGAAACAGAATCCTGCTCTGTTGTCCAGGCTGTAGTGCAGTGGTGCAATCATAGCCCACTGTAGACCTCAATCTCCTGAGATCAAATGATTCTTTCACCTCAGCCTCCTGAGTAGATAGGACTATGGGAGTGTGCCACCACACCCACTAATTTTTTTTGGATAATTTTTTTAGAGTCTCACTATGTTGCCCAGGCTGTTCTCAAACTTTTGGCCTGAAGCCATCCTACCTCGGCCTCCTGAGTAGCTGGAACTGCAGGCACAAGCCACCGCTCCTGGCTAGATATTCTTTACATAGTTTATCTACTCTTAAAACAAGTAATTTAAAACAACAGAAATGTGAAAATTCATATATTAATGAAGAAAAATAGTCATGATACATCATTTAGTGAAAAACAGAGTTAAAGACTAATAAAAGGTAGGGTATTTTCAAATTTTGAGTAAAAACATTACTTGTATTCATCTATTTGTGTATACTAAGTCACTGGATACCTCCCACTGTGGGACTGGAGGAGGAAGACATAAGACCATTAATTTGATTGTAGAGCCTTTTATGCTTTTGAGTTGTTAAAACATGTACCTTTTACTTTTATAATTCAAATAACCAAAAAATTTTTAAAGTAAATCCCCCCAGATATATACATGAGTATGTCTTCTTTAACGGACAGAGGAAGAAGAAACTATACATGTGTGTCAATTTTAGTTTAAATAATTAGGTTTTATATATATATGCATATTTATATTGACGATCATATGGAAATGGAAACTGTTATTCAAATACTTCAATGACTTGTGTGGCGGGTTAAAAACTACAAGGATTTGGAGAAATTGCAGGCAAAAATTCACACATTGTCTGATGACAGAAGTGCAAAGGGCAGAATAATTACTGAAAGAAAGAACATCTTGGAAGTATATTTCTTTGATTTTTTCCCCTTGGGGTCTATGCCGTGAAAGGAAAACTCTATGTCTGGAAATCCTGGGGGTATAACACAGAGAAACTTCCAAGTCAAGAATTATTTTATTTTGAGGAGAGCTGTCTTGCAGAGACACAGCCTACGAAGTTGAGATTCATCTAGAAAGACTCTTGTTTGTCTTTGATAGCTGAGGATGAAGGGAGAGCATAAGAGAGATTTCTCACTTAAGAGGCAGGAAAGGGTAGTGGAGGGGGTGGTAGATAGCATGGAATAGGAAGTTGAAATGCAGAGGATGATGAAACTATCCCTGCAGCAACCGGAGCTGAGCTGAGTAATGAGTGCAGGCGCATCCTTACTCAACAGGAGAGTTATAGCCTGATATTTTCACACACTGTAGTAAAGTCAGCTCTGACCATCTGGCCCAAGAAACAATGGGGAGGAGCCACAAAAGGGGTAGGGTGATGTTCCCAGAGGCCTTGTCTTTGAAGAATAAACCCTTAATGGGAAGAGTGACAGCAAAGGCAGGAAATTACTCAAATAGCAGCAAGAACAATTAAAGAAATGTAGCTTTATGGGGCTTCCTGGAATCTCAGGTGTTCTGGTATTGGTTTTCCTAACAGTTAACAGTCTTGCACATATTACTGCCCAAGCATAGTATCTACACTCACCTCAGTGTCCATTTTGACTGTAAATTATGCACCCTGGGATATTGGCAGGACTTTACAAAGGGAGGTTCTGAATGAGAACATGTATATCTAACATTCTTCCACATTCCTGCATTTCAAAGTAGGACAAGTATCAGAAAGTTGCAGCATTTGATAGTGTCTCATTTCTAATACTACCCCAGTGTATCAAGTCATAAAAAGTCACTTGGCCTTGTTTTTTCACTGTGAAAGAAAAAAAGTTTATTGACATAAGTCCAAGAGATCTGGGGGGCAGTCATGATTATTACAAGGCATTTGAAGGAGAAATGAGAGGCCAATTCTGTTCTATCCCAAGCATTTGTAGGCATAGTAAAAGGTGTATTAGTTCATTATCACACTACTGTGAAGAAATACCTGAGACTGGGTAAATTATAAAGAAAAGAGATGTGATGGACTCACAGTTCTGCATGGCTGGGGAGGCCTCAGGAAACTTACAGTCATGGCAGAAGGCACCTCTTCACAGGACAGCAGGAGAGAGAAGTGCCTTCTGCTGTGAACGTAAGTTTCCTGAGGCCTCCCCAACCATTCAGAACTGTGAGCCAATTAAACCTCTTTTTCTTATAAATTACCCAGTCTCAGGACTTTATTCATAGCAGTGTGAGAACAAACTAAGATGGTAAATTGGTACCACAAAGAGTGGGGTGCTGCTATAAAGATACCTGAAAATGAGGAAGTGACTTTGGAATTGGGTAACAGGCAGAGGCTGTTTTTAAAAACAGTTTGGAGGGCTCAGAAGAAGACAGGAAGATGTGGAAAAGTTTGGAACTTCCTAGAGACTTGTTGAATGGTCTCGACCAAAATGCTGACAGTGTTATGAACAATGAAGTCCAAGCTGAGGTGGTCTCAGATGGAAATTAGGAACTTCTTGGGAACTGGAGCAAAGGTGAGTCTTTCTATGCTTTAGCAAAGGACTGGTGGCATTTTGCCCCTGCCCTAGAGATCTGTGAAACTTTGAACTTGAGAGAGATGATTTACAATATCTGGCGGAAGAAATTTCTAAGCAGCAAAGCATTCAAGAGGAAGGAGAGCACAAAAGTTTGGAAAATTTGCAGCCTGATGATGCAATAGAGAAGACAAATTGAGAAATTTAAGCCAGCTGCAGAAATTTGCATAAGTAATGAGGAGCTGAATGTTAGTCACCAAGACAATGGGGAAAATGTTTCCAGGGCATGTCAGAGACCTTCACAGCAGCCCCTCCCATCACAGTCTCAGAGGCCTAGAAGGGAAAAATGGTTTAGTGGGCCTGGCCCAGGGCACCCCTGCTCTGTGCAGCCTCAGAACATGGCACCCTGTGTCCCAGCTGCTTCAGTTCCAGCTGTGGCTAAAAGGGGCTCAGGTACAGCTTAGGCTGTTGCTTCAGAGGGTGCAAGTCTCTAGCCTTGGCAGCTTCCACGTGGTGTTTGTCCTGAGGGTACGCAGAAGACAAGAATTGAGGTTTGGGAACCTCCACCTAGATTTCAAAGGATGTATGGAAACACCTGGATGTCTAGGCAGAAGCCTGCTGCAGGGGCAGAGCCCTCAGGGAGAATCTCTGCTAGGGCAGTGTGGAAGGAAAGTGTTGGGGTTGGAGCCCACAAACAGAGTTCCCACTGGGGCACTGCCTGGCAGAGCTATGAGAAGAGGGCCATTGTCCTCCAGACCCCAGAATGGTAGATCCACCAACAGCTTGCACTGTGTGCCTGGAAAAGCTGCAGACACTCAATGCCAGCTGTGAAAGCAGCCAGGAAGGGGGCTGTACCCTACAAAGCCACAGAGGCAGAGCTGCCCAAGGCTGTGGGAGCCCACCTCTTGCATCAGCATGACCTAGATGTGAGATATGGAATCAAATAAGATGATTTTGGAACTTTAAGTTTTAATGACTGCCCTATTGGATTTTGCACTTGCATGGGACCTGTGGCCCCTTTGTTTTGGCCATTTTCTCCCATTTAGAATGTCTGTATTTACCCAATGCCTGTACCCCCATTTATCTAGGAAATAGCTAAATTGCTTTTGATTTTATAGGCTCATAGTTGGAAAGGACTTGCCTTGTCTCAGATTAGATTCTAGACTTGGACTTTTGGGTTAGTGCTGGAATGAGTTAAGACTTTGGGGGACTGTTGGGAGGGCATGTTTGTGTTTTGAAATGTGAGGACATGAGGTTTAGGAGGGGCCAGTGGTGGAATGATATGGTTTGACTCTGTGTCTCCACCAAACTCTCAACTTGAATTATAAAAATCCTTATGTGTCAAGGGCGAGATCAGGTGGAGATAATTGAATCATGATATTAGATCATGGAGGCCATTCCCCCATGCCTTCTCATGATAGCGAGTGAGTTCTTATGAGATCTGATGGTTTTATAAGGGGCTTTCTCCTCTTTGCTCTGTAATTCTCTCTCATGACAGTCTGTGAAGAGGTGCCTTCTGCCATGATTGTAAGTTTCCTGAGGCCTCCACAACCATGTGGAACTCCAAGTCAATTAAACCTCTTTTTTTAAAATAAATTACCCAGTCCTGGTTATTTCTTCATAGAAGCATGAAAACATGAGAATGAATACAGTAAATGATTCAATTATCTCCACCTGGTCCCACTCTTGATATGTGGGGATTATTACAATTCAAGGTGAGATGTGGGTGGGGACACAGAGCCAAACCGTATCACAAGGATAAGGGCTATATCTCCATTAATCTCTTCATGTAATAATTTATGAAGAGTGTAATGTTTAAAGAGTTACAGAAGTATGAACATCATAGACGTCTGTTGCCAATGCTCTCCAGGTACCATCAATCAAAGAATTTGAAGTTGAAATACATTAGAAAGAAGAAACTAGACCAGGTCATTTTACAATTTAGTGAATCAGGAGCAGCATCTGTTTTCTATCCTGATTCATTTCTTCTAAGATCTCCTTCCTCACAATCCATTTTCTCACCCAAGTCATTTGCTTTAACTTTTATTTTATTTTTCTACAAATGGGCATCAGCTCTGAGCCCCACTCCTTTCCCCACAGCTCTTGGCAGCACCTCACCACAGAAGTGGAGCAAGGACCAAGGCTATAACTGACACCCCTCACATAGGTCTGGCTCATATCAGGGCAATGGGAATGATCTGTTATGAACAGGGACAAAACAAAGTCGGATGACAAGAAAACAAATCAACAAGCCAGTGATTCTTTCCCCAAATGAATTCCTGAATTAAGTTTTCCATCCCTTGACACTTCACTGGCCATGGAACAGAAAGGCTGATATTTTCTTCATTTTGTATCCTACAGAGGGAACTAAGACCAGAACCTTGGTCTAGGTGGGCAGAGTCTGTGGTAAAGATCACCCTCTTCTCTGCAGAAGGAGGGTGATCTTTGGTGGGCCCCTGACCATTGCCCCGCATTCAATAGATGACTCTACTTTTGTAAACATTGATCATATTCCCATAAGCCAGCTTTGGGGATTGTCAGAAGTCTTGTGGTAACACTGGAATTTATCTTCCATAAAAATTGGAGGAAGCAAGTCTTCCAAGACAGTCTGAAGATCTCATCAGATCTGGAAACTCAGTTGGCCCCCAAACAACCTAAATCCAGAGTTTATCTGGGCTTGGCACCCAAATATATTCGGAAGCTTGAATTCAGAAAGACCTTTTTTCCCCTTGTAGTATTGCCTTTAGTAAATATTCATTTTTTAACCTCCAGACCTGCTTCTGAGTTTCTAAAAGGAAGATTCCCCCAAAACACACACACACACACACACACACACACACACACACACACACACACACAGACACACACACACACAGACACACACACACAGAGACACACTGGAGAGAGGAGGAGGTCAGCATTTTCTGGGGCCAGTGGGTTGTGTCAGTAAGAAAGGGGCCACTGGGGTGGGAGCCAGAGACTGCAGCAGCTGGGAAGAAGACAAGGTGGAATCTGCAATCCATAGTCCTGGGGTCAAATCTGCTTCCCTATCTCTGCTTGGAAATTCTGTCAAAGCCACTCTCATTATAAGCCTGTTCATTCGTCGAAGAGGATAACATTTATTACGTGGGGATAAAGCCTGAAGTTTTATGGCAATGCTAAAACAAAAGGGATCAGAAATTAAGGAACTGGTAAGGCTGTTTGAGTCCAGCATTATTATTTTTGCAGCTAGAACTCTGAGGTGCGGAGAGGGAAGGTGCCTACCCAAAAGCTCACAAAAAGGAAAGTAAGGATCAGATCACAGGTTATCTGATTCTCTCCAGGTTCCATGCCCTCCCTCTCCTTAACGCCTGCCCCAGGGAGTCTACCCAGCGATTTCTGCCTCCATGTCTCACTCTTGAAGTCTGTCCAGCTTCTCAGTGGAGAGATGAGTTGTTAGCAACTTATCTGAGCTCAGTGCTCAGACTCATGAACACCAGAGGAATGAACTCTTCCCTCTCAGTTATGAAGGACCACTGGACTCTGATCAAGAAGGTGAGATTCTAGATTAAGTGGTCTTGTGCCAGCCTCTGCCAAAGTGCAGCTCTGAGAGGATCAAATGTAAGAGAGAAGAGGAGGGAGGGGAGAAAGAAAAGAAAGGAGGAGGGAGAAAAGTGTGTGGGAGGAACTAATGGTAGGAAGGGGAGAGGGAGGATGAATAAGAGGTGGTAAGAAGACAGAACATAAAGGAGAAAAAAACAAAGGAAAGGAAGGAAAGAGAAGGGAAGTTACTAAATAAGAAGCAGAATTGAGCATTATCTTTTTGTTGTTGGTTCAGAAACTCCAAATCTGAGCATCACATAAAGTCTGCTGTGTGCTCCAAGGAGCAAAAATAGACTCTGGGTTAAATGCATTCTGGGATCCCATTTGCATCCTGAGCAATCAGGAGTCCTTGCCATTTGCATGCTGAGAAGAGGGTGGACAGGGACCCTCATTTCCTGACCTTTGACGGATTTCACTCTGGACACTGCATAATTTCGCTAAGGGTGCTTCCCAATCCTATTCCAAACCCATCTGAGTTTGGGCTCAGAGCAAATGTTGCAGGCATGAATTTTCTTTGGTGACTTTCCATCTAGAAACTCTACCGAGAACCCTCTAAGCCCCTTAAACAGACATACATGTTAATATCCTTTGTCCAGCCAGGAGCTGACTCCAGCTTTTCTTTGCTAAAGTCTGTGGGTGCCTTTGAACTCCAAATAGCTTCCAGATCTTGTGTGAATGCTGTGAGTGGCAGCATTCAACCAGAAATGCCTGGGGCTGCAGGAACAAAAATAGCTGCGGGGACTAAATAGCTGCCACTTTCCCTGACTCTTAACATGGTTTGCTCTGGCTCTTGAATACACAGTGCTAGTAGGACAGAGATGCCAATTTGAGACCCTGACCACTTCTGGAGTCTGTTAAATCTGTGAAAACTGGCCAGGCTCCTGGGCAGGGCCAACCGTGGATCTATTTGCTTGAGAGCTTGAGGAGACCCCTGGGAAAGGACTGAGGGAGGCAGACAGATGAGCTTACCAGAAACAAAGTCCCAGTGTCCAAAGGGGTCTGGGGTTTGTGAGTACAGCTTTGTATCTGTAATTTGGATGTCTTCCCTGTTAAGAGGGATTCTATGAGTAGTAAAACAAAATAAAAGTGAAAGAACTGTTTATACTGAAAACTCCGCTTTGGTAAGCCTTCAACAAACTGTAAAGCACAGGGGAGGGAGGCATTCTCCCCTTGGTGAGAACACAGATGGGCTGGTGTATAAGGCCTGAAATTCAGGGTCAGTGTTACGTGCTTCTTTGACATTTGGTGAAACCAGGAGCACCTCAAAAAGGCGTAACTACACGTTCCTCTCTTCACTCTGCTCCCACAGATAATGTCCCCCAGCCAAGCAATATTCATCAAACGGACCACATGCAGTTCCTGCTTATTCCTGAAAGTGGATTTCAGATCCCTGCCAGCCCAGGGAGTTATTTAAATAAGCCAATCATTTTCTCCCATAAGAAACAGGGGCACCTTGCCCTTTTGTTACTGCAAAGCCTGTCTCCCATACCTTGGTCATTCACTCTGTTCTTAAGGGCAAGCACTGGGTGGTCCTGCATGGTATGTGTTGTGGTCCTTTGCCAGACTGTGAGTGTATGTAGCTACTGAACTGTAAATATCATCTGTCCAGTGCCAGACACTCCCCAGATCCTAAGGTGGTAATTCCTCCCTCACCAACAAGGGGATTAGGAGGTGACCAAACCAAGGTTTGGGGCTCCCATTGTACTAGCAATGATGGTGGAGGTGTCCCGTGGTGGCGGTGCCACCTGGATGCAGCAGAAGGAAGGACCAGCATCAGGAGACAGGACAAGCAGCTTTGGGAACAGCAGTACATAACATTCCTTTTATGGAAATCAACATACTAATGGTGAAAACTTGGAGAAGTGTGTGAGGAGGTAGTCTTTGCCATTTCTTGTAAAATAGAAGACTTCACTGAAAAAATACCTAGATTCTAGCTTTTATTAACTAGTTATGTGACCTTGGGAAATTCATTTCACCTCTCTGAGCCATGGTTTCATCTCCTATGAAATGCACAAAGCAAACTGGACT
This sequence comes from Homo sapiens, assembly GCF_000001405.40. Taxonomy (NCBI): domain Eukaryota; kingdom Metazoa; phylum Chordata; class Mammalia; order Primates; family Hominidae; genus Homo; species Homo sapiens. The sequence continues at coordinate 55,667,451 of NC_000017.11, read as the reverse complement.
GCATGTGCATGGATGTAAAGGCTGATGTAAAAGTTCTGGTTGAGGAAATGGAAACAACAACACACACAAAAATCTGGCATCTATCTATTAAAAATCTGACATCTATCTATTCATCAACTCCTGTCTGAACCCCATTCCTAGTTCTGTTTTTTGTTTTTGTTTTTGTTTTTTTTTTTTGAGACAAGTTCTCACTCTGTCACCCAGCCTGGAGTGCAGTGGCACAATCTTGGCTCAGGGCACCCTCTGACTTCCTGGGCTCAGGTGATCCTCCCACCTTAACCTCCCAAGTAGCTGGGAGGCTGGCATGCTCCACCAAGCCCGGATAATTTTTGTATTTTTTTGTGGAGACAGGGTTTTGCCATGTTGCCCAAGCTGCTCTCCACCCCATAGGTTCAAGTAATCCACCCACATCAGCCTCCCAAAGTGCTGAGACTACAGGCATGAGCCACTGTACTCGGCCCCAGCCCACTTATCCCTGTTGTTACATCTCCTTCCTTCCTCATTTAGAGCCCAATGTAAGTTAGGGTTTTTAGAAAATATTTGCTAATGCAGGTGACCTCTGTGCCAAATTATAAAAGCATGAAGTGGACAAGGGAGAAATGAAAAAGTACTCTAGATAAGGTGCCTGAGTAAACTGGCCTGGCTTGAGTAAAAAGTCTATATTGGAGAGAAAGAAGAGATTCATTTAGACTGAGAAGAAACAATGAGTAGAGAAGATGTGGCTGGAAATAAAACTCTGGCAAGGATAAGCACCAGTGAATCACCTGTTTCCTGGGTGGTCTCATGCAAGTCACTTAACCTGGATAGGTCTGAAAAAGAGACTAGAATGTGTGCATAGGGTTGGTCACCTGGCTACATCGTACCTAGGTTGTGTGGCAGTGTGGAGAGAAAGGAGTCCAACTTTCCCTGGAGAAACTTCTCTCAGAAACAGGTTTGCTCCAGCAATGTGTTTTATCACCCCAGGCATATGTTACAATGTTGGGATTTCCATCTGGATGATAACCATGTTGTGTGCAAAGGATTATGATCTGCTAGCTGTGGAGCAATTGGTGGTGTCTGTTCTAGACTCAGGCAGAATGCAAGCTCTTTGGTCTCCACATCATTTTCTTTTCTACCTCTCTCTAGATGCCAATGATGGACCAGTTTCTGGATGGATAGAGTTTGTTTCTTCAAATTCTTCTGTTCCCTTTGCGTGGTGTTTCTGGGTGTCCTGTGATGCTGATATTTCAATGATAGGCAAGTATGTATGTTCTTTGACACAACTTGAAAGTATCCGGGTCAAGAGATCTGGTCTCACTCACACATGGAGGCTTAATGAGATCCTGATGCTTAGATAAGCCAAAGCGCAGGCCCCTGGATTCCTTCTGGAAGGCCATGAATGCAACTGCCAAAGGGTCAAGCCCCTTTACCATCCTTTATCTATATACATGGAACATCTAGATTAAGAGCCATCAGAAGGCAGGCAGAATGACACACTCTTCGCTGATCTGGCAGCACCCACATACAGGTAGATACTTAATAAGAATCCTTGATAAAGGTCACATTTTCTTTCCAAAATCTCATTTCTCAAGTTCAATCAAGCCTATGGCCAGTTAGCTCAGTTAAGCCAAAAACAGGCCTAGTGGATATAGCCAGAAGAGGCTCAGTTATATCCTTATGAGGTACGGTACATAGAGTGGTTAGCTGTAGGGTTGCTCTTATTTCTGGGTCCTTGGGCTGATTAGGATCTCCAATGAGTTGGACCATATATAGTGGCAAAGAGAAGCCTGCAAAGGACATATGTAAACATTTCCGGGAAATAGTTCCTTCAAACCAACAACAACAACTACAACAACAACGATCTGGTTGAAACACTTCTTACCTGCAGAAAAATGGCATAGCATTGTTTCCTTTCTCTACATATTTTTTATGTTTCTTAGGGTTCAGCGTCTATTGTTTTGCTAAGTTTTCTAATGTGACGATTTCCATTAGATTTACACTACAAACATAATGCAAGCTGGGATTTTCAGATCAATTCCTTCACTCTGTTGTAATGTCAAAAGTTGAACACCCCTTGTGTCCCCGAATCTCTCTACATTTCCCACTTTCCTTACTGGATTCTGGGCTCTTGAAAGCATCAATTCTGTCTCTGTCTTTGCACTCCTGGCATCTGCTATCGTGGCTGGACCATACTCGGTTTTTAATAAGTGTTTCTTGAGAGAGTGAAGTACCAGACACCTAATGAGATCCTGATAAAAGGAGACCAAAAGAAATGAATCATCAACCATCCATTTATTCAACACATTTCTAGTGGAGGATATAGCAATTTTTAAAATCCCTGCCTTAAGACACCTTGCATTCATGATATTTTGTTGTATATAACCAGGGGTTGGGGGGTGGATGAGAGACAGGCTTTTTGCTGTATATGTATGATGCAGACATTATTTTTCCTCCACTCAAGGAAAAGTTGAAGACCTCTTTGGAGGTAGAGGAGGAACAATAAAAGGAGTATTAGCAAAGAAACCCCAAACTATTGTGGGGGAATTTGGGTTAAAATTATGCCTTTCTTCCCATCCTAAAGAGCAAGTAATGTTGTAGAATCGTTTATAGGAGAAAAACATGAGCTTTGGTTTCTGTATTTAGACAGCTTCATTCTTACCCAGACCATTTCCCCTTGTTTCCTCAGGCCTCAGTTTCTATGCTTGAAAATCGGGGAAAATAACTTCTCAGACATTTTGCAGGATAGATGTGAGATTGAGGAAGGAGAGCAAAGAATGTAAGCCCTTCATTAGATTTTAGGACATAGAATAATAGATAACTCTTCCCTGAGCTCTACCTGTAAATAGCCACTGTTCTAAGTCCTTTAAGCATTAGACTTCACTGTGAAATCAGCAATATTACTAACTGAGGAAAACGGAGTCTAAGGAGATAAATAATTTGCTCAAAGTCACCCGGCTAGGAAATAAGAGGTTCAGGGCAGAATGAGGAAGTAGGCAGCCTGGCTCTACAGACACTGGCCTCAGTGCTAGGTTGTACTTCCTCCAGGGAGAGCATGTGTACCCTGTCTTCTATGCTTCACCGATTGCTGAATATGGTAGAAGGACAAGATCTTTTCAAGGCTGATCCTCAATAGACTTTCTCATCTTCTTCACATTTTAGAGCATGCTCATCTGCCATGAAATAAAGTCTGGATGGAAAGACTGGGAGCCTGAGAAGCAGCCTCTGTAACAGTTTCATTTGTCTGCCTGGGAATGTAATGGCTTGGGGGTCCTTCTACCTCTTGGACTGAAGAGCAACTGACCTCGCTCCTTCCTGTCAATGATGGCATTCAACTCCAAGATCCAGAAATCAGTGCTTATGTCCCAAACACAAAAACCTGTATTATAAGGAGCTCACTGGTGCTTGCATCTGCACTTAATTGTAGAAAAAAATATAGAGGCCGACCTGTCCACTCACATACATAGCATGACATACAATGGCCATACAGGTGCAGAAACTTCCCAAAAGACATTGGTACACCTCTCTACATTGATTAGTGACAGAGATAAAGGCAGAGACAGAGACAGAGACAAGATGGAGAAGGAGATGGAGATGGACATAGACTAATACATAATGGGGTAAATGTCCCATTTGCCTTTAAAGATCAAGGACAAGGATATTTATTTAGTCATAGTTCTGGAAGGTAGAGGATAAAAGCCAAATTGTTGAAAACCTGGGCTCCTTCTGACATACTCTTTTGATTCCATGTCTTGGAATGCACTCTTGGCTTTTTTAACAACCCCTCAAATTGCTTCTCTTTCTTGATGCACCCACACTGCTAGTGTGTCAACAAAAGATTACAAATTCCTCCTCAAGAGAGCATCAGGGTCAGGCTCAGGCAATAAGGAACCACTTAGACCCAGATGACTAAGGCAAAAATTAGGCACACACAAAGGCAGTATAAAATCCTTAAGGTAAAAGTAAAAAATAAGATAGCCAGAACAGTCCTACTTGAGACTGTTGGAAATGATGTAACACATCATGAGTCCTTTCTTGCTGACCTTGATTCTTTTGGTATTATTATTATCAATACCCGGATTGATGTCATGTTCAACTGTCAATGAGTTAGCTGCAAAATAATTGGCATGCATCAGACTGGGGGATACTTCAGTGTTCCTGAGATGAATTGAGAGAGTGAACAGGAAATAATCTTTGAAGACCAGGAAAAAGCATCAAAGATAGGTAAGCCTGGAATGTCCTTAGGAAGGGGCCTTCCTAATCCTTCTGCCTTAAGAAGAATATCACATTGACACTCGGGCCTGGGAGGAAACTGAGGCCACATGAGGGAGAGGTGAGAGAGGAAAGAACTGCTATTTTTTTAATGTTATCTTCCTCTGAAGCGCTTATACATACATTGATTCAAGTTTGATTTTCACAAGCACCTGAGGTAGGTACTACCTCCATTTTTACAGATGGGAAAGTAGGCAAAATATAGGTAAAATCCATTATCTGAGATTACGCATTTGGTAACTGCTGTACCTGGAACCCAGACACCTCAATCCCATCCTTCTTTACTTATCCAAAGTCTCCCTCCCTAATGGAAAACTGGGGACCTGCCTAGGCTGAGAGTTTCTTAGAGAGGAAGCCACCTTGTGGGAGTTCTTTACTTGAAGTCGTACATGACACTCAGGTCAAGTAGACAGAAACAGCAGAGAATAAAGGTGGAAACAAAGATCAGATATGGGCGCCACAGCCAGTCTCTAGACCTGAGAAGGGTCAGGCACAGAGACAGAAACCAGAGTAAACACAGGGGCTGGAGAAGCAAACTGAGGAGTATGGGGACCATGGGTGAAGGGAAGGAAGGAGGGTGTTCTTGGGTGGATTTTTGGGAAGATGCTTTGGCCAAAGTGGGCTTTCATATGACCCTCAGCATTATGTGAGGCAAGGTCATCCGTGTTTAAAATTCCAGAGTTTGGTTCTTCTTGTTTGTTTTTGATAATTTACTCATTTCATTGAATTCCCACCCTTTTCAGGGTCACGCAAAGATATAAGTTCTCAGGGGTGAGGTTCCAAGGGACTTTATCACTACCCTAGCAGCTTGCCTAATAGTATGCAGGATCAGATATCGAGCAGTAACTATTCAGCTATAGATACCAGCTTCCTGTGTTTGGAAAAGGTAAGGAAATTGTTCATTCATTCTACAAATACTTGCGGAGGATGCAAAAATGGAACAGGGCCATCATGGACGTTCAGATAAAATGCTGGGGGAGTTGAGAGGAGGAAGCTGGCATTTGAGCTGGGACTAAAATCCACCCTAGCTCTCGTATGTGTGTGCAAGTGCATGCTTTCAATGCCTTCTTATAGGAATGACGTTTGCACTAATCCCACTGTATTACAATTATCCAGTTACTTTTCTGCCTCTCTCGATCAAACTGAAAACTCTTAAAGGGCAAGGACTGAAGCTTGTTCATCATAGACCATATACTACTAGTAGTAATAGTATACATGTGGAAAATCTTTACTCAATTTTAATTGATTTTAAATTAATCATCAGACCTAGAGTTTGGAAAACTTGACTCCAATGACAAAAGCCAGTCCTAGGATTTGCAATGCATAATCCTATGCTTTCTCTATGAAATGGCAGGGCTTCTGATGTTACCCTCCTGAGCAGAGTCTACAGCATGGTTTTCTTGAATTTCCCACAGAATCAAAAACAGTGCCACAGACATGGGAAAACTCGACAAATATTTTATCAGAACAATCAAGTGATTTGACTTACAGCAAAACACAAATTAGTGTGACTTCAGAAAATATTTTCATCATATCTTGGTCATATTTTTTCATCATATATAATCCCTAGCAAAGAAACAGAGGACATGCAGACCATATGACATGAGGTTTCACATTAGCTTGATTTGACAAAGATGCAAATAATGCACAGACCATCTGTACATGAGAACCAGATGTCTCATTTGCATTTGGATTTTTCCAGTAGAAATGAATGTGGAGGCTTTGAGAAATGCATTAAATTTATTTTAATTGACATAGACTTAGAATGTTGAGACAAATTATTTTCCAGGCATCAAATGCAAAGGTCAGTGTGTGCACTTGAAGGGATAAAAATAACAATGAAAGAAGGGCAAGGCAGCTGAGGTCGGCACTAGAAGCATCTGGAGGATATGGAAACTATAAGGAGGCAGATATTGGAGGCACAGATAAACACCCAACTTTAACTAATATTGCTTGAGACCATCTCATATACCAGTTGTTGTAAAAGCAACTTCTGTATTCATTATTTCATTTAATTATCATAACATCCATATGGAGAAACTCATGAAACCCCGCTCTGCAGATTAAAAAATAAAAAGACATAGAGACTCAAAGAGGTTAAGCTGACTTGCCCATGCAGCCACAACTTTCAAATCTCTGCATCAGCAATCAAACCTATGACTTGTCGCTTACTGACCAATGCTCTAAAGCAGACAAGGCAGGGAGGAACAGGCAGGTTCCCTGGTGTCAAAAGCTAGCTTGTCACTTACTGACCAGTGCTCTAAAGCAGACAAGGCAGTGAGGAACAGGCAGGTTCCCTGGTGTCAAAAGCGAGACTCCAGATTCACAGAGTCAGCAAGACCAGCCTAACTAACAAGAAGCACCAAGGTGGAGTTTGTTAAAAGGTCTACCTAAGAGAGTAGTCCAGGAATCACAGGTATCAAGTCCTTGAGGCCTTTAGGTAAAACCTGAACCTTGAACCCTGGCAGGGCAGAGATACCGTGGCTGTAAAGTGTGGATGTACTTTTATCCTCTGGAGTCCTGGTCATTTTTGTTCAGTACAAATGGTGAGTCAGAGATTTTGAAACAGCAAAGAAGAGCCAAGCTCTAAGGAAAACTCAAATGGTCTATTTTATCCTGTTCTGTTTCCAGTTTTAGAATGAATACACTTCAGCTAGCTCAGCATTTGAGCCCCCTTGAGCAGAAAGAGTTAATCCATTTGGAATTTCGTGGGAAGCTGGGTTGGTTAGGCTGTGGGGGAAAAAAAAAAACCACCAGCATTTAGCTCATTGAAACAGAGAAGGGGCCTGTGGGTCACTGTTGTTCAGCACCAAGACTAGGAAATGGTTTATTGTACAACATTCAATAAGCATTTTCTCTGAAGGAAGTGGGCTGTAAATGTGTCAAATGACAGTTATGGATTGGTCTCTGGGGAGAGGAGATGTGTTGAATTGCTTTACTTGATAAATTGACTTAGGAATTAAATGAAAACTTCTACTCTGAATCACATGGACCTAGTGCAGTTCTTAATTCTATTCCAGTAATGCTCTATTGAGAATGGTATTCCTTAATATTTGTGTGGTTCTTTATGAATTTTCCAAGGTATGTTTATACTTATCATTCCTGAATTTCTTGTTGCTTGTGTTGAATTGAACCAAATTTGGCCTGAGAATGACTCTATACTTTGATTCCTTATGTAACAACTGCAACCTAACTTAGTACAGAAACTAACTGAAAGCCGACTTTAGGAGTATACTTTTGTAACAAATAGCTGAGTCTTGGCCCATCACAGCAGCTAAGCTCCAATCCATCACTGATCAGACCTTATTCAAATAGGGCAAACACCAAGCTATAACCAATCAAGCTGTTTCTATGCCTCACTTCCATTTTCATAAATGCTGTCCGCCCATGTTGTAAAGGGGAACTCTCTGAACCTCTTCTGGCTCTGAGGTTTGCCCAATTTGTGAATAGTTCTTTGCTCAGTTAAATTCTGCTGAATTTAATTTGCCTCAAGTTTTTATTTGAATACATGGGAAGAGCAAAGCATTATTATTCCCTCTCCCTTTAAAACAAATTTTTTTAGAGATGGCGTTTGCTCTGTTGCCCAAGCTGTTGTGCAGTGGCGTGATCATAGTTCATCGTAACCTTGAATTTCTGGGTGTAAGTGATCCTCCTACCTCACCCTCACAAGTATCTGGGACTATAGGCTCATGCCACCGTGCCCCTCTCCCTTTCATTTTAGATGAAAGAGCAGTGGTACAGGCCAGGCGCAGTGGCTCACGCCTGTAATCCCAGCACTGTGGGAGGCCAAGGAGGGTGGATTGCCTGAGGTCAGGAGTTCGAGACCAGCCTGGCCAACATGGTGAGACCCTGTTTCTATTAAAAATACAAAAATTAGCCAGGTATGGTGGTGCATGCCTGTAGTCCCAGCCACTCAGGAGGCTGAGGCAAGAGAATCGCCTGAACCGGGGAGGTGGAGGTTGTAGTGAGCCGAGATCATGCCACTGCACTCCAGCTTGGGCAACAGAAGTGAGAATCCATCTCAAAGGAAGAAAAAAAGCAGTGCTACAGATAGAAGAATGAATTATCAACATGACCAGCGTGAGGCTGCTATGGATAGTAATAATAAGAAGAAGAATAACAAATAATTTGTTGAACACCTCATACTCAGTGCCAAGCATTGGGCTAAGCACCCGATAAATACTATCTCATTTAATTGTCATCTCAGTTCTATGATATAGGTACAATTATGATCTCCATTTGAATAAGAGAAAAAAACTGAGGTTTACAATGGTAAACATTTACCTCTACAAAGGTTTACTCAAGCAGGCCCCACAAGCAAGAAATGACAGAGCTGGGATTTGAGACCCTGCAGTCTAGTTTCGGACTCATACTTCGAACCAGTGTGCTCTAGCTTCCCTTTCCCTCTCTCCTCCTGCTCCTATTTAGCCCCCTCTCTACTGTGTCCCACCTGGTAGTTTAGCAAGCATCACCTGATTCCAAGAAAGTTGGGTAACATAGAGCTATTGAGCATAAATGATAATGGGTGTAAAGTTCAAGACATGGGAGTTAGCACATTGTAAGTGCTCAAAACAATTGCTAACCAGTATGTAAATGTATGGAAAACAATGTTACTTTTCTTAGCATCAGGATTCCTTTTAGGGAGAGGATTCTAAGTCACTGGAAAGAAACTTTGATCATTGGTTTAAGGGTTAGAGGACTATGTCCAACTGGCAATTAAGCGACCCTACTTCATTCTATGGAAGATGGCTCCACTTACTTTTGGGGCTTTATTTGCTGAAAGGGGTGTGCAAGTTTTCAGTGAACTTAATTCCTTCAGATCATAGGACAGAAATTGAGGGAAAGGAGAATCTAAGTACCACTGGGAAGAGAGAATTTGGAGAGAAGGGAGCAGAAATATCTAAAAGGGGATTTCTATTAAATATTTTGCTGTGTCGCATGGAAAATAGACTCTGTCCTGCATCTCCTACAAATCTACAATGTAGTCCTCAATGCTCATTGATGATCTGTGGAAGGTATGTTCTTTCTGAAGAAGTGAAGTTTCCTAGTTTGAGGAAGGTGCAGGAAGTAAGAGGTTACAATTTTATTGTGTAAAGTGCTGAGAAGTGCTTGGTACAAGATCAAGCATGGAGCAGGCATTGAAGAAAACCAAAATTACTCTCTCTATTATCATTATAACCAATGGTACCTTGATTTCTAACAGAATAATAGGAGACACAACAAAAGAGCGGAAACACTGGTTCTGCTGTTCGTTAATCAATTCATTATTCAATCATAAGACTGAGGCAAACGCTGCTGCCCCTAGGGATGAGAAAGACCAAGAAGCAGATGTTGGTTCTTACTTGATGTTTGAAGCATATTGTAACTCATGATAAAACCTGAAGAACAAATTCGATGACATCTTACTGTTTACTGCTTCCCTAATTAAGCTTTGATACCTTACGGCAGAGTTTGTCTGCAATTATATTTCAATTTTAAACATATATATGTATACATTACAGCATACATATACATAAGATGTGTATGTTACAGCACTGAATAGTGACATATATCCATACGTATATGTATATCTACATGTATACATACACACACACATACACACACACACACATATGTATATGTCATCTAATGGCTGGTCAAACAGCATGGAAGAATGAGCACCCTTACCAGCCAGTGAGAGTATTTGTTGTTGTTTCTTTTTAATCTTATCCTCATATAGTACTTATTATGAGTCAGGTATGCTTTATCTGTATTAATCTATTTAATCCTCAAAATAACTCTATGAGGTAGATGCTATTATCCTCCCCACTTTACTCATGAGAAAACTGAAGCACAGAAAGATTAAAAATTTGCCCAAGGTTACACAGTTGGCCAACAGACAGAGGAGCCTGTTAACAGGAAGTCTCTGTTCTTGAGGGATGTTCTGGGAGTGCCACCAAAATGCCAAGAAGAAGTATTAAGCAGGATGACAAAATTCATACGTTTTTCCCAGCGTCAAGGCATCTCCCAGGAAATGGCTGAGGAAGGAGAGGATAAAGATAGGCAGACAATTGTGGGTTGAGTGAAAATCCTTTTGCAATGGCCAGCATAAGCCTTACTGTAGCCTCAGAGGAGGGGCCAACAATCCAAAGTACAGTAGCTAAAAGAAAAACAATTGTCAGAGGCATGTCACGACTTCAAGGAATTTGAAGAAAAAAAAATGAGGGCATGCAGGTGCAGGACGTCTGGAACACCAATTCAAAGGTACTATGCTAGAACCACCGGGAACAAATGCTGATTCGGTTTTCACTGTCATTTCCAGGAACCCATTCCCCAGACCCCAAAGGGACACATGTAATGTGCCCTTTTCAACTTGAGTGGCACAAGAAAGCAGCCAACAGGATTTGCAGGGACATACCCTATTCCTTCCAGCTCCAACACCCACAGAAGCAGAGAGAGGGAATTCTGCATAGAGAACCCCAGACCAGGTCACAAGGGTAACCTGCTGCAGTGTATGAAAACAGACTACTTGTTGACAATGTCCTGAGCTCACACTGATGGACATGCTTAACCTGCACTGTCCTTCTCCAAGGATATATTTCTCCTGGGAGAACATGACATCTTTATTCTGACAGAATGTCCTGAGTGGGAGATGAAGACAAACTAGAGTCCTCTGGCTGCGGCTTCTTTGAAACTGACTGCCTGTTCATTTGAACAAGAAGTCCAGTTCTTTTTTCCCTTGAACCAATGATGTAAGGATTTTCCATAATTTGAACATCATTTTAGCATTTAATAGACACACAAGCTTATCCCTCTCCTGATTTATGTGTGAAGATCCTCTTGAGATCCTTTAAGGATGTGTAGAAAAGATACGTATTCTATGTGTGATCTAAGTTTGAACCCAGAAGGATATCAAAAAATGAAATGGTAGAAAAATGGCAGCAACGTCACTATCTTTTAGTTGATATATTTCTATAGTTGATATATTTCTATGCTAACCAACTGAACTGAATTTGGAATAGACACAGAGTTCAATGAAAGAGCAGATCTAGCCATCCAATCTGCACTACTCATAAAAATATGACTCTGGAACTGGGGCCAGTGCTTTCTGGGCACCACTAAGGAGAATTGGCTGCATGACCCTGGGCTTTTCTGAATAAGTTTCCTAATGTATGATATTGAAGATAGTACTATTGAGTTAGCAGCACTATTCTAATTACTATTCTTGCAGTGTGATCCACATGCATGGCATCTTATCTGAACTTCTGTTGTGCCATAATCATTTTACTTTTATAATGATTAGTGGTTTTGTATGCATCATCTCCTGTTTAGGCCAAAATAACCTAATAGCTTCATAGTTTACAGAGGTGTTCATGCACATTAAATCAATTGATCCTCACAGCAATCCTGGTAAATAAGACAAGTAAACATTATTTCATTTTAGAAACAAGGACATGAAGCCAAAGGAGATTTCAATAATTTTCCTAAGCTCATGCAGCTAGAATGTGGTATAAAAGAACACAAGTCTGGCACTTCTGACTTACAGAAGCCGAGTCCCCAGGTCAAATGTTGGCTAAATAGGAAGGGCATAGACTTTCACTAACATAGGACTTTTATTTCATCCTTGATCCATTTCCTTTTCCATCCCCACTCCCAGGGCCTAGCACCATTCTTCATGAATATTAGGCTCTTCACAGATATTTGCTGAATTCATTCACTCATCCATTCATTCATTCATTCATTCAATTATTTATTGAATATCTATATGCCAGGCACTCTGTTTGGTGCTAAGATACTGTGACAAAAAAAGACTGACTTGATTGTGCCTTCAAAGGAGCATATAACGTAGTGGGAGAAAGAAAAAGGGAAGGAAGGGAGGGGTGGAGAGAGAGAAGAAAGAAGGAAGGAAGGGAGGGAGAGAGATAAACTGGTCATAAATAAATATTATTTATTTTTTAATCTGGATAAAATACAGTTTAGTTCAGCCTGGGTAATTCTCCTTAGTGGTGCCTAGAAAGTACTTGGCCCCCCGCTCAGAGAAGTATTTTTATTAATACTGCAAAGATTTCCTAAAGGTGGCTGTTGCAGGGCTTCTGGATTGCTGGGGAGGAAATGTGAAAGGGTGTCCAGTGTGGCTGGAGAAGGTCACGTAATGAATTGCAGTGAAATCATGGGAAGCTTGCTAGCTTCGTCTTCTGTTCCTTCTCTTTGTCTAGATGAGAAAAGTGTTTATTTAGGAATGTTCTCTCTGCCCTTGACTTAGAAACAAGTCATAAATTTTATAATTCCCATAGAAGCCTTCAACTTTTTGTGTATTTTCTCTTTGCTACAAACTGATGGACACTCTCTGAAAATCAGCCCTGAATTCACACCACGGCTTCCAATGCATTTCAGTTACATAACGTTTAACGATTCTGAATCATAATTTTTTGGCACAGTGATTTCATCCAATAGCAAGGGAAGGGAAATAACATGTTTGAGCTCCTGCCTTACAGCAGGTTCTCTACCTTCTACTGTTTTATCCTTGGTCCAGGACATAGCAGCCCTCAGTAAATAAATGTTTAATGAATATATGAATAAATGATGTTAGGGCAATAGCGTGACTCTACTTATTTTACTTAAATTACTCAAGGTATACCCATTAGAAAATTACTTTCCTACATACCATGAAAATATTTGTAAAAGAATAAAACCAACATCTTCATGCAGAATGCGCTTTTAAAAGTAATGAGTTTTAGTCTTTTGTTAAAAAAAATCAGTCTTTTTAAAAATATTTGCCAGATAATAGACACTGATAAAAATTCATTTCTTCCCAGGCACGTTCATTATGGCATATTTATAAACCTGACTGCATAACCAGTAGATAGAAAAATAGCAAAGTATACATCTTCTAAGAATTCAGTGCTTGAGTAGCATGAATAATTTCAGAACCCAAACCATGTTACAGATAAATAACTCAGGCTGTTAACACTTCTCCACTGATGGCATATAAATCAACAGCAGTGACGATAAGCAGGAAAAAAATGCAACAGTCTTGCAATCCTTTGTAATGTCATATTTCTATTTCTACTGCATCCATTTGGGAAAAAATTATATTCATCACTACTGGAAATTAGTTACTCTTGTTAAGGTAAATCATATGATAAAATTCTTAAATAATTTTGATGAATAAAGGAAATAATGACAAACAAACACCAAAAGACATAAGTTTGTTTCTTGGCCAAGTTTGTAAGAAAAAGTTTACAGGTAGGACTTAAAAAAAAAAAGACTACTTAGTTCTGGAATCCTTATGTCTTGACTTATTCTCTCAGTTTCTTAAATATTTGGGGGGAAATCGTAAACTTCTTTCAGAGTTGGAAGCCCTCTCCTTAGAAGAATGTGCATCTGGACAGAATTTTGAAATTTTTGTTATTTTTAGTTTTTTGGGTACATAGTAGGTGTATCTATTTATGGGGTGTATGAGGTGTTTTGACACAGGCATGCAATGTGAAATAAGCACATCATGGAGAATAGGGTATGCATCCCCTCAGGCATTTATCCTTTGAGTTATAAATAATCCAATTACACTCTTTAAGTTATTTTAAAATGTAAAATTAAGTTATTATTGACTATAGTCACTCTGTTATGCTAATTTGCATATAATCTCACAGGGTTAAATCACATTTGAGCCTTTGATGTCCAGGTTCACTCCTTTCTATAGGACAGCAACAACAAAGCTAACAGGAGAGAAAGGAAGTCGCCCATGTGAACTCATGAAAACTCACCCAGTTTCAGCTTCAGGTTCCCACCAGCTGCTACCATCCAACACGACCTTTCATTTTGGAGACTCCAAAAATACCTCAAGTTTCCAAATGAAAAACTTTAACAAATTATTTCCAAGAGTTCCTACAAAATATTGTTGTGGGAACTGTCTCCAAGACGGCCCCATTTGGCAAGCAGGCCTCAGCATGCCTGAGTGTGCCATGGGTGAATAATAGTGCCAGCTCTTGTTTGTTATGTGTGTATAATATGCCAGGCACTTGCAAAACACTTTACCTTAAGAGGCAGGTTCTATTTGCATTTTACAGAGGAAGAAACTGAGGCTTAAAATGTCATATGACTCGCCTGTGGTCATACAACCTGGACATTCAGATCCAAGTATTCTAACTCTGCTAGGAGCCATGAGTACAGGCTGCCTGGAGGGATGGAGATGGGGCGCCACTTGTAGAGACTGTGGACTGAAGGTGAAAGGACACCCTTGATGAATACTGCTTTGGGATGAGGCATGCAATCTTTTTTTAAAAAATAGCTGCATTTAGATATAATTCACATACTATAAAATTCATCCATTTAAAGTATATAACTCAATGTTTTTTAGTTCATTCACAAATATGAACAATATCATGACAGTCAATGTTAGAACATTTTCGTCACCTCAAATAAAACCTGTCATCTCTCTGTACCCAGCCCTAAGAAACCATGAACCTACTTTCTGCCTCTGCAGATTTTACTATTCTGGACATCTATATGAAAAGAATTACATAATATATGTACTCTTTGTAACTGGCTTCTTTCACTTTGCATAATGTTTTCAAGGTTTATGCAAGTTGTAGCATGTATCAGTACTCTGTTCCTTTTCATAGTTGAATAATATTCCACTGTATGAATATACCACATTATGTTTATTCATGAGTCCATTGATGGATACTTGAGTCAATTCTGCCTTTTGGCTATTGTGAACAATACTATTATAAATATTCAAGTTTATGTATCAATGTACACTTTTATTCCTCTTTGGGTATACACCTAGGATGAGAATTGCTGGGTCATATGGTAACTCCGTGTTTAATCATTTGAAGAACTGCCAGACTGCTTTCTAAAATAGCTGCACCATTTCATATTTCCATTAGCAGTTTCTGAGGCTTCCTATTTCTGCATGAGGCATGCAATCTTTCTCATGTTGTACCTTACTTAATGACTTCCTGGGTTGAGTGTGCTATGATGCATTCCCCTCATGACTCTTGGGTTGAAAAGTGACAATCTTTTTTTGGAGGGGATTTAATTTTTAATTTTTGTGGGTACATGGTGGGTGCATATATTTCTGGGTTATATGATATAGTTTAACACAGGCATTCAACGCATAATAATCACATCCGGGTGAATGGGGTATACATCACCTCAAACATTTATCCTTTGTTTCAATGCAATTATCCTCTATTAGTATTTAAAATGAATGAAAACTGACAATCTTAACACTGAATTCTCTCCCTTTCTCAATCTGTCAGAACCTTAATATTGTTTTAATGGCACTTTTTATGCTTGGTTTCCTTTTAGGTTCTTTGGTGATGTTAAAACTCACACACAAAAAAAGTTCACATATAGACACACACAACACACACCGATTCTTAGTTGTCAGTCACTGACACAAAGCCTGGGGCTTTGATGAGCATCCACAAATTTTGTCTGCCATCTCCAACCAGCAAATATTGATTGAGAACCCACAAGTATAAGTGATTTGCATTCTTGTAAAACTCATGGTTCCCAAAGCACTTATTTATACATACTCCTGTTTGATTCTCTCTGATTGTTTAGTGTAAAAGGTTTTGACATTGGGTTTGCACAGCTCAAATATAAAAGTGAAAACAACATTCAGCATTTGCTTTTTGGGTTTTGTACCCTCTGATCTGCTTCATTCTACTTCATTTCTGCCTGATCTAAATCTTTCCCTTTTTAAAATCTTTATACTTCAGAGAAACACTATTTTCCCATAGGTGTTCCAAAATCCAAACTGTGGTCCCTCGTCAGCAGCATTGAGCTCCTAACAATACCTGGAGGGAATATTACAAGTCCCTTTGCACTGATGCCATGCCTCAAATTTGTCTGCTTTCTGTATTCATACTAAAGTGAACACAAAGCCATAGGCTGATGCCACACCAGGCTGTGCTGTCAGTGAAACCCCTGAAGAAGTATACCAACAAAGATACAACAGAACAATAAAATCAGGCTTGGTCTTTTCTCCAACAATAACTTTAAAACCTCTGGATAGCTGGTTCTCTTCTGCTGCCTTTTTTTCTCCCCAGTTAAAAAATATATTTTTGCACCTACACTCTTATTAACGTTTTATTGTCTTTGCTTTTTAAAATAATCTATTGTGCGTTTGCATTTTTAAACTCACTTTGGTCCATTCAATAAATGTTTATTGAAGAAGAAATGTTATTTTGGTCCATTCAATAAATGTTTATGCTTTACAACTTGAGCATCCAAGGGGAACAAAATAGACACTGACCTTGTCCTCATGGAGTTTATATTCCAAGTTCTCTGGTAGAATCCATGTGCTTTAAATGCTGCTATTGCCAGAAAGATTGTATCTATACATGTTGTGGCTGGACAAACTTATGTCTCTCCTATCTCTGTCCTTTATTTACAAACCACTTCTTTGTTGTCTGATATATGTAAAGCCTACTCCATTATGAAGACCACATGGGGAACTTTCTCTCTTGCCCTTTATGGTTTTAGTTTCTTTTCCTGCCCATTGAGCATAAAGATGCTAATCACATAACATCAATTTATATTCATATTTTCTCACACAATTATATTTTGGTTTGTTTATTTATACTGTTTTTGCAAAATGAATTTGGTAGTTTTCAAAGACAAAATAAAATATGTTTAAATCATTTCATTAGTCCGTTCTCACACTGCTATAAAGAACTACCTGAGACTGGGGCATTCATGAAGAAAAAAGGTTTAATTGACTCACAGTTCTGCAGGCTGTACAGGGAGCATAGCTGGGATGCTTCCAAAAACTTACCATCATAGAGGAAGGTGACAGGGAAGCAAGCATGTCTTACCATGGTGGAGCAGGAGAGAGAGAGAGAGCGAAGGGGGAAGTGCTACACACTTTCAAACAACTAGATCTCATGAGAACTCACTATCATGAGAATAGCAAGGGGAAAATCCACCCCCATAATGCAATCATCTCCCACCAGGTCCGTCTCACAACATTGGGAATTACAATTTGACATGAAATTTGGGTGAGGACACAGAGCCAAACTATATCAATCATTAACATCAAATAAAACACAGCAGTCAGATACTAACCCAAGGTTTAGGAAATTTGCAAACACTGATCAAAGAACTTTTCTCCCAGTTCCCATTAGTATGATGACATCATCAAAAAAAATTTGCAGAAGCATTTGAAGCACCAAATCTTTTGCCTGGTCCTAAGCTTTATGGAAATCTTTTTTTATTTTTCTTTTTTCTGTATTATTTCTTGCTCCCTCTCTTCTTTGGCATGCTTGATAGTTTCTCAGAAGCTTCTCAACAAAAGAGACTTTCCCTGATCTTTTGGGAACATTCCCATATTCTTCTTTAGGACCCTTCTCATTTTAATCAGTCTTTACAGCCTATGATAGACACTGCATATTTTCAGTCACATTCAGTATCTAATATTTTCAGTGGAAAGAGCCAAGCTTTGGGGTCATAGAGAATTGGGTTCTATTCTAAGTCTGCTTCCGAAAATAACTGTGTCCTTGGGTAAGGCACCTCCCTTCTGAGTGGGCTTCTTTACCCATAAAATGGAGTTAATGGTATCTTGAACTAGGAGTTCCGATAGGATAATATTTGTGGCAGGGAAATTAATGACCCTCACCCAAATATATCCATGTCCTAATCCCCAGAACTTGTAAAAACGTTAGGTTTCAAGGCAAAGGAGAATTAACGTTACAGATGGAATTGAGGTTGCTAATCAGTTGACCTTAAGACAGAAGATTACCCTGGATTGCCTGGGTGGGCCTAATGGAATGACAAGGGTCCTCGTAAGTGGAAGAGGGATACAGAACTGTCAGTGTCAGAGTGGTGCGATGTGAAAAAGACTGGACTGACCTTTACTGGCTCTAAAAATGGAAGGAAACCACGAAGCAATGAATACAGGTAGCCTCTAGAAACTGGAAAAGGCAAGGAAATAGATTCTGCCCTATAGCCTCCAGAAAGGAATGCATTCCTAACAACACCCTGAGTTTAGCCCACTTAAGCCCATTTTGCATTTCTAATGTCTAGGACCATAATATCATACTTCTGCATTGTTTTGAACCACTT
This sequence comes from Homo sapiens, assembly GCF_000001405.40. Lineage (NCBI taxonomy): Eukaryota > Metazoa > Chordata > Mammalia > Primates > Hominidae > Homo > Homo sapiens. The sequence goes on along the minus strand of NC_000017.11, from coordinate 55,649,151 downwards.
CATTTATGGTAATTTGTTACAGAAGCAATAGGAAACTGGTAGGCAGAATAACGCCCATGCCCCAAAGGTGTCCACACATCAATACCGGGAACCTGTGGATATGTCAGCTTAGATGGCAAAAGGGACTTTGCAAATGTGATAATGTTGAGGATCTTAAGCAGGAGAAATTACTCTGTATTATTTGATGAACATATTGTTAACAGCAGGGATCCTCATAAAAGGGTGGCAGAAGGGTCAGAGTCGGAGAAGGAGATGCAACAATGGAAGCAGAAATCAGGGTGGTGTGGAGTCACGAGCCAAGAAACACATGCAGCTTTGAGAAGTTGGAAAAGGCAAGAGAACAGATTCCCCGTTAGAGCCTCCAGAAAGGAACACAGCCTCCCAACACCTTGATTTTAGCCCAGGGAGACCCATCTTGGACTTCTGACCTCCAGAACTGTAAAATAATAAATTCATGTTATTTTAAGGCAGTTTATAAGTTTATAAGTTTGTGAGTTTATAAATGTGCCAGTTTATAAGTTTATGACAATTTTTGATAATTTATTACAGCAACAGGAAACAATAAAATATATACTTCCCTTTCCATTTAAATATCACTCTTAACCTTCCTTGTTACATCAAGCTTGTTCATCTCTTCTCCCTTAGACCATTGAATTCTGCAATCTAAAATCTGCTCCACAAATATATACAAATATTATGTATCGATAGAAAACATTTTTTAAATAATAAAAAATAATAATTAACAAACCAGGGCTTAAAGAAGAAAACTGCTCTGACAGCTCTCTGAAATGCATTGCTCCCTGGGAGGTCAGCAAACCCCAGGGACCAGTCTCTCCTCACTGACAATCGAGTCATGGTTTTCACATCTGGAGCTGTGGGCTCTGCTCTTAATCATGTTTATTCTTTGAGGACTCCATCTTTATCTTTCTCTTTGCTCTCTTTGTTGCCTCAGACAAGTTCTGGAAAGAAGAAAGACTCTTAGTTATCAACAGATTATTTCTTGGCACAATTTTAATCCATTCTTTCTAAAGAGAATCCTTACCCTTTTTCCTCCCCACCTCCATGGACTCTGGAATGTGTGTATTAGGCAGTCTTTTGTCCCACTTGATCTCTTTCTTCCCTCGTCACCTTGAACTTAACGGATATGTTTCAGTGAATTTCTGATTTTCAATATCTGGTCTCATAGTTCTTCACCATCTTCCTCTCTTTTCTTCTGCTGTCATGCATATCTGTGTTTGTTCTTCAAAGGCATCAGCATTTCCTTTTATTCACTTGAAAGCTTCCTTTATAAATCACCCAAAAATTCCTCACTTATGATACATCAAGAAAAGAGACTACAGATTCCATGCTTTTGAGATTCACCATTTTAAATATTTATCTTTTTTCCTTTCTATTCCCAAAAGATTTTTGTAGGATTTCATAGAAAGAACTTCTTAGCTTTTGAGAAGGTGAAATGAATTATTGTATGATCAGAGATTACAGCGGCTTTCAAGTTATCTATCACAACCTTAATTGTTCATAAACAATAAAAATTCTACTGGCTGACTTGTCAGCAAGCAAATACAAATCAGCACTATCTAGTCCTTTATTATTATGAGCATTTTTAAAAAGATTTCAGTGTATGTCTTTTAAAATATTTTATATCCAACTTTCTTTTCCTACTTTGACATGCTCGTGAAATTCACCCCAGCAACAATCTTTTTGCTTGCATTGAAGTTCTCTGTATCATAAATCAAGTTTTCATTTATAAATATATATATTTATACACCTACATTTCTATTTTAAAAATACATAACATTAACTTTTTTCCTTTCCACATATCACCCTTTAACAAAACTTCTCAATAGCTTATATTCCAACTTGAGTACTGTTCACATTCAACAGTTTCTCACCATGAGCCATAAGCTTCTCTTTGACCAGCCACTATCAGTCCAGGCATTTCATAAGCAAAAATTTCCCCCTTTTACATGAATTCATGTATCTTTCATAATAATTATTTGCAACTGTTGAAGGAATAGAGGGTCTACAGGTATTTTACAACCAAATAAACTACATTCATCAATATTTGATTATTGACCACCATCTCTGGGCTAGGCAAAGCGCTCGTGTTAGGGATAAAATAGTAAGCAAAAAACAGCATCCCTGTCCTCATGCAACTTACAATCTAAGTTTATAAAATCAAGATATACTTATTTCAGCTTGTTTTCTCATGTGTAAAGCAGGAATTGAAGATATGGAAAATAAAATGCTTAGAATATAATGCTTGGTACAAACTGGATGTTCAATTAATATCTACAACAATGACAGTGATAATAACCATTATGACTATTATGGTGAAGAAAATTATTGGTCTCTTACTTCACAGGCTATGGCTGTAACCCCAAAGCCTTTATACTATCAGCTCCATGATGCTTTTTGGAGTAGCAAAAAAAAGCTTACACAGTTCTGCTACTGTATTGCTTCCATGAGAGCTTAAGTCCCAGGATTAGATGGGTATGGATTCAAACCCTGACTCCATCCCTGAATGTGTGATTTTAAGTCTGATTTTAAACAAGTTACTAATTTTTGAGCTTTATTTTCCTCATCTATAAAATGTGTATGAGAGTTTCCATCCCATAGGGTTTTTGTGAAGGTTAAATATGAAAATAAATACAATGCATTCAGCAGAGTACTTTGGATCTAGTAAAGTGCTTAATAAACAATTAGTCAAAAATAACATTCTTAACTCTTAATTCTAGTCTTCCAGGAACCTGGGGCCTCCAGGATGGGAAATACTACCAGAAAGGGCCATTAAAGAGGTGAATGCTTTTGTTTGTTTGTTCTTTAGGTGTGTGAATTGAAAGCAATTTTGAAGCAAACAGATATTTTGGAGGGATTAATTTGGAGGCATTCTTCAGAATAAACTAGGAGTACAAGACACAAGAGAGCAGTAAGAAAGCTATTCACATATAGAGATCTAAAGGGTCTAAATTGATGAGTTCAATATTCCTTTAGTCAAATTGCTTGATTGTATACAGTACAGTACTTCAGGACATTCTTTGAGTTTCTTTTCTCATGGTTTGCCTTTTTTTGTTTGTTTTTTGACACAGGGTCTTGCTCTGTCACCTAAGCTAGACCAGGCTAGAGGGCAGTAGTACCATCACTGCTCACTGCAGCCTCAACCTCCTGAGCTCAAGTGATTCTCCCATATCAGTTCCACAAGTAACTAGGACTATAGGCACATGCCACCATGCCTGGTTATTTTTGTATTTTTTTGTAGACACAGGGTTTAACTGTGTCACATAGGCTGGTCTCATGGTCTCGAACTCCTGATTTCAAGCAATCCACCCACCTCAGCCTCGCAAAGTACTAGGATTACAGGCCACCACACCCGGCCTCTCATGGCTTTCTTGATTCTACACCTTACCCATACAGGCAGGTCAAAACTCAATAAAAATGAATTGTAACCTCGCTTTCTTGTCATCAATAGTCCTGGTCCTTCTTACTTGTACCTTCAACTACTTTGTTCTTCTATCACTTGTGTAGTTCCTGTGTCTACGGTTATCTAATCTGTTTAACATAGACTTTGGAGCCAAGCAGTTTCCCAAAGCCAGGCAAAAGATGCAACTCAATCATCAATGTCAAGAGGCCAAGCTGAGCAAGAGATCCCAGGTACCAGGAAACAGGCCAAGAATCTGAGAAACCAGACATTTATTTGTTGCTCCATGATCCATCTAACTGATGTAACAAAGAACCTATACAGCTCCATAGGGTGAATTAGGATCTGGGTGTGCAATGCTCTGCAAATAGGCATGGCTTTGTGCAGCCTACACACTATGGGAGAGGCAGGCACCAATAAAATCATTGTAAAACCGGGTAAGTGTTACACAGGCAGTGTCCCCCAGGGCTGTAAAAGGAGGATTTGACCTGGTCAGGGAGGTCACAAAAGATTTCCCTGAGTAAGGGACGACTGAATTGAGAAGGATCATTGACTAGTGTTGAAATAGAGGGCAACCTAGGTGGTATCTGGAGTAGTTTCCCAAGTCCCAGGTGCCTCTTATAGGACCTGGTGGAAGATTTGGTTGAAGGTGTGATTGGAAGTATCTAGAGCCCTTAGATGCTCTATATCTTTAAATCTGAATTCTCTTGACTTTGTTTGCTCTTCTTCCCTTAGACTTCTACTTCCTGGAATAGCAAACCAGGACTTGTCCTGACTGTGGCCTTTCCAAATCTTGGTGGCTTTGAGAAGACACCAAACAAGGAACAAGGACAGTGAACCCAGCTCCATGTATCTAGATCTCACCCCAGCAGTGATCTGTCTGTGCAGATATTCTCTCTACCTGGCTTAGCCCTTGCGTGGAAGGGATTGTACACATTTGCTTTTGATCCATCTCTTGTAACTCTTCCACTTATCTCACACTCCTCTCCTATGTTTTCACTGTGAGACTTGGGTAAGGTCTGTACTTCATTGATATCCCTTAGGTATTGTCTCTTCTAATATTCTCTTTAGTTGTGAGCAGATCCCCTACTCTACTGACTCATGCTAAAGAATGAGCAGCAAACAGAGACCGAGTCTATTTGAAACCCATGGGCATTGAGATGCATGATCATCTCTCTCCGATGTGCTGTCTGGCAACTAGGCAAGAACAGCAAGCAACCACAAACTGAAAATAGTTAGTGTTCCTTTTACCCGGGAATAAACAGAGCCTCCCTATCTTCTCTTGTTAATGCTTACATCTGCAGCTGTCAGTGAACATCCCCCAATGCCTTGCTGAACATGAGAGGAGAGGAACGTCTCGGGGTTTGGCTTAATCTCATAATTTTGTTCCTCCTGCCCTTATTCCTTCACCATCAGATTATGAGTGTCCCCATTACTACTCTTCTCCCTCTTCCTAAGTTACAGCACCTGTGGCTGCTTCCTCTCCCCCATCTCCTTACCAGGGCTCCAGCTGTTCTTTTCACGTTCACCACTCACCTGTACTGATAAACCCTCTTCATCCACACAGCACCCTAGAGAAGGGAGAAGGGAAGGTACCAACACATAGGGGTGCCACGTGGCCAACCCAAGACTTTTTGGCAAGTCAGTAGCAGAGCTGGGACTAGATTAGAATGTTGGTCTTCTCAATCGTGGCTCTATGCTCTTTCTACTAAATCATGGTGTTGTTTTTGTTTGTTTGGTTCTCAAATAGGATATTTTAGACAACAAAAATATGCTGGATATGTTCCATTTTCCTGTCTGAAAGGTTCTCGCCCCCCGCCCCGGGACTATGTGCAGCCTCCACATTTGTTCTTGTCTTTTGGCTTCCTGTTAGGTTCGGCCAATGGGAAGCCCTGGAAGGAGAAAAAAGGGTGGGAAGATAACGAGATAGGGTAGCCGTATCCCTGCTCCCTTGTTGCTGGACTAGGGGTTTTAGTCACTGTGTTCCTCCACCCAAGCCTTCGGTTCCTATTCAGTGTCTCTCTCCTACACCTTTCTTTGTACTCACATAACCACTCTCTCCCCTTACCCCATCAGATCTGAGGATGATAATGGCTCCCAGCTATTGCTAGCTCTTAAATGCTTTCCTATCCCTTGTTGATTTCCTTTAACTGTTCCACTTCTTTGTAAATAGTCATTTCATTAAATTTCCCTCAATTGCCCCACTTAAGGGTGCCCTCTCTTTCCTACAACAACTAGGAGTGAGACAGAGGGTTGAGAAAGAGCCTTCTGAAGTTAATTCTTATCAGCCATAGGCATCTATTTCCTGAACTCCTTTGCCGTCCTCAAGTTTGTTAATGGATATATTTCACATCTTGTAAAATATGCTTACTGTGGTGGAGCTCCTGAGAGATGAACAGTACCCATAGAATTCCATCTTTCCCAACACTGACATGTCCTATAGAGCCTTTTGTGGGATTTGTACCAACTTGAAGGAGAAAATACCCCCCACACACATAAAGAAACAGGATGGGCATTCATGGACAGGAACCTAACTTCAGGGTAACAGAAAAATGATGGATTAGTGAAGGAAGGCCCTCCTGGACCTGTCTTTGGGAAGACTAGTCTTGGTCCTGTACCTAAAATTGCACACAAGCCCTTTAGTTTTAATGATTAGGTCCCCAGTTATAAAAAATGGTATTTGCCACTGAACCGGAAGTTCTTGTTTTTTTTGTGGTTAGCCTGAGGCCATGGAACTGCAGGGTCTCTTTCAGGGAGGTCTCCATGGTATCTAATTCCAGGGCCCCTCCCACTGCCACAGTAAACACCCTTGAAAGGCCCTGAAGGAATGTTCCCAGTGACCACCTGGGGATCTCCAAAAATCTGTGGGAGGCTCCTAGGCATAGTGGTTTCAGGGTTTTCATACCACCATCATCCAGAACCACATCTTACTCCTCCCCACACTGTCTGAACTGCTTGAAAAGTGTCAGTGAATGCAACTCCAAACAACAGAGGGCCCATTTAAGCAGAAAGCCTGGACAATGTCAGTTTGCCATGATCATGGCCCACTCTCTCAAAAGACTGCTACAAGACCATCACCTGGTTTAGCCATTGTAGCCCAGATAACGCCAATGTTATTGTTATTCTCTGCAAAACTATTTTAAGTTCCCCAAACTTTTCCAAATCCTCTGTTTCCTTAGATCCACCTTGCAAATCTATACTCTTGGCAGGATAACTACTGTTATCCTGTTTTTACAGAGAGATGAGGAAACTGAGATCATGATTTAAGTTCTCAGAGCTAGCTGTTGGCAAGACTGGAATTAGGAATCAGATCTGCCTATGTTCCCTGCCATCCCACTCCCTCTTTTTCACTACATTACCTTTCATCCATGATGTTTGTATGCACAGTTTATCAGTTTTCTTATTGAAAATGCTTCTAACAATATCTTAATGGTGTTCTTATTCTTGCTACTATGATATAAAATTCCAAATAAATTGTGTATTCAAAAAATTTGTATTCTTTAAGTTAAAATTTTTATTTACAATGCATTTTACCATTGCAAGTTTGAAAACACTGTGGTTAGAGTTTCAAAGTGGCCCAAGAAACCCAAAGATAGTAGAAAACGTAGTACTAGCAGTAGTACTAGTACTACAATCTACTTTCCTAGCCTACAGCAAGAATCTCTGCAAGTCCACAGCCCTGTTGAACTTGAAGCTTCCCAGAGGGAACTGTAGGTTCACTGAAGATGAAGTGTCTCCATGTCACAATGCCAGCAGGGGGCCCCATAACAGCTTTCACAAAGACTGGCTTCTGCTAAGTCAAGTATCGTAAGTGGATAACCAGCCTCCCTAAGTCAGATCCAAAGCTTCCTGCTTTGAAACCCTCCCACTCACAAAGCTGTGCATATCATGTGTCGTGGCACTAAATTAGCAAGGAATAAAGAAGCTTCATTGCTGTTGATTGTACTTCCCTTCTGTGATGGGGCCAAAAGGAATTACTTGTTGAGAGAGCTGGCACCTCCTCTAGAGATGCTGATTGAGTGTAGAAGAGATATGCACGAGCTGTGGGAGGGAAAGAAAGAAGGTATTTCCATTTAGCACTGGTTTTCTTTTCATTTCAGGGATGGTCACATTAGAGAGGTGAAGTTCAGACATAAGCTCCACACACTCCTCAGTGTTCACAACCTACATGGAATCTCAAGAGCTGGGAAGAGTCTCAAGCAATCCTCTCTCCACATCTGCACCAAAATAGGAAAACAGCTCTTCAGTATTCCTTGATCATCAATAACGTACCCAACACTGTCCTAAGCCCTGAAATATAGATAAAGGAGTTTCAGTCTGTGTTCTTGAAGAAAGTGGTTTTGAGATGGGGCATCAGATAGAAAAATATAATAAAGGGAAAATAATTGCTATTTTTTAACCAAACCTGCCTTCCAAGGTCATTCTGGAAATGTACTGCTCTTTGTTTTTCCTTCTGAGTGCTTCAGTTGATATGCTTGAGCAAAGGTGGACACAGATTCGAGTTGAGGGAAAGGAGGAAGGCAGAAATAAACACAAGAAGGTGAAAATAAATTAGATTTCTTGGAGCTAATCCCAGAGGGAATAGGTGAGGTGGAGGCAAGAGAGTCAGGGACAGAGAGAACCACTAGTGTGGCTGGTGCTGCACCGGGAGCACAACATGGGAGGCAACTTTGGAAACATCTGCTGGGTGAAGTGGCTGAAGCTTTTAGAACTGAGATGTCCAGTGTCCACTTTGAAATTGTTTGCATTGCTGCAGAGCAAACTGCCTCCCCACCTCCTTCCAGTAAAATTTACTCTGCTAAGATTGCCTTGTGTGAGTAGGGGTTTTGAAAATACGGAGGAAAGGCCTGCATTTCCTCCTGTTTGGGCTGAGGTGGTGTAGCACTGACTCTGGCACACACAGTATGGTGACAACCCACAAGCCAAGGATGCAGCCAGCTGAGCTCAGTGTGACTTCAATCCGCAGAAACCCTCGGGACAACGGGGTGTGGTATGAACTCACACCAAACACAGAATTGGAGGTTTAAGAAGATTTTCTGAGTTCTAAATGAGAAAGTAACCCTTGTTGTCTATTCTTCTTTCAAAAAAAAAGTAAAATGTTTAAAGTATTTTAATAGAGGTTAGGACATAATATTAGACCTTAGGACGTAATATTACTACCATATTGGACCAAGAAACTAAAGCAGCTGGGCGCGGTGGCTCACGCCTGTAATCCCAGCACTTTGGGAGGCCGAGGCAGGCGGATCACGAGGTCAGGAGATCGACACCATCCTGGCTAACATGGTGAAACTCCGTCTCTAATAAAAATACAAAAAATTAGCCTGGCATGGTGGCGGCGGGCGCCTGTAGTCCTGGCTACTCAGGAGGCTGAAGCAGGACAATGACATGAACCTGGGAGGCGGAGCTTGCAGTGAGCCTGGGAGGCGGAGCTTGCAGTGAGCCGAGGTCACTCCACTGCACTCCAGCCTGGGCGACAGAGCGAGACTCCATCTCAAAAAAAAAAAAAAAAGGGAACTAAAGCAACAAAAGAAGGGAAGTGGGGTTGAGAAAGGCTTCACAGAGGGGGGAAAATTAAAGCAGGGCTTGGAAGATGAATAGCATTTCACCAGTTTGAGAAAAGACAGCAGGAGAAAGGAACAAGGAAGGGTATTTTAGGTAGAGTTAAGTGCTTATGTCAGAGTTTCTGTACCTTGGCACCACTGACATCTTGGGCTGAATAACTCATTATTTAGGGCGAGGTCCTGTGCATTGTATAATGTTTAGCCGCATGCCTGACCTCTGTCCACTAAATTTTCAGTAGCACATTCCTGTCCAGTTGTGACAAACAAAAATGTCTCCAAACATTGCCAAACCAAATGTCCCCTGAAGAATAAAGCAAATGGCATGTTTGGGGGATAAAGGGCAATGAAGTTGAAACCCAGTGTTCATAGACAATGGTGGCCAAAGATAAGGTTGGTAAGTAAGTTATGACCAGATGGTGGAAGGAGACTAAATGCTTGCCATGGAATTGCCATAATTCTCTATGTCCTGGCAATTCAGATGTGAATTTTAAGCAGAAATAACGCAGTCCAATCTGTGTTATCAAAAGATAACCAGAAGTCATATAGATAATGACTTAGAAGGGCAGAGAATTTAATTAGACAATTGCTATGTCCTGTAAGAAAACAAACACAGCTACCTTGCTTCTTTGTCACTTTGGTCTGCAGAATGGTCCATGACCGTCCATGACTATTACCCTAAGAACTTTCTCTTAGGCCCAGCCAAACTTGCCCAGCCTTGACTCTGCACTAGTAGCTTGTTCTGAAGGCTGAGAACACCTGTAGCTTTGACCCCCTTATTTTAGCAACCATTCTTGAAGCAGCCAGAAGTTCACACCCAGAAGCCCTTTGTTTGTTGTGTTGTTGCTAACAGAGCCTGAGGTCTAACAGGGGTTTCCCGGGTGTGTTGATTAGCTTTCTGCTACCAGGGGAGCCAGGGACACAATGTGCGCAGGGGCTGCTCAGCTTAGGAGCCCACAGTCAGAACTGGTAGTTATTTAAAGCCTCCAAAAGTAGTGTCAATGTCGCTGCGGCAGGTTTTTTTTAAAGGTGCTTTAAGGGGCCAGGAGTAATGGCTAGCTGATTCTTCCACTTTGCCTTGCTAATTTGGGATTTGGGTTGCAATTATAAACAGCTGTTGCAACATCACCAGATTCCTAAGCACAAAAAGGGGTGACAGAAAATCTGATTTGGGCCTGTTCAAAATTTTGATAATTGAATTTTCTCCCTTGGGAATGAGACCCTATGGGTAGTAGGCTCAGAACTCCTATCACATTTGAAGCAAATAAAATGTTCCCTGATTGCGAAGAACACTTGCGTTCGATGAATATGTATTGAATACCTACCATGGTCCAAGCTATGAAGACAGCTTATTAAAATCCCATGCTGTTAGAGTTTACAAAGTCACCTCCAAATATGGCCCACAAACGAGTCCAGTCCTTCATTTACTCATTAAGTTATTTAATCAGTTATATGTTGAGCACATCTTCTGTGCAGGCACCATAGTCCTAGGTCTAGAGAAGCTTATAGGCTGGATTAATAAACCTAGAGGCAAAAAAAGAGCTGTTATACAATGGGGTAATGATTATAATGGATCTGTCTCATATGTGGGTTGAATAGACAGGTCATAGAGTTGAAGTTCTAAAACTCTTCCTTGGAATCAAGGACAGCTTTACAACATGACTGGCTCACTGAGAAGCTGAGAGCAGGTCTGTTTTTGTATACCACTTTATTTCTGGTGCTTTGTATAGTGGCTCTCACATAGTGGGCACTCAAATACCTGTTAAAGAATTGAATTAATTAATAATTAATTAATGCTGACATTTGAAGAATCCAGATGGTCTTGGCACCAAGAAATAGTATGCTCAATTCTAAAGTCCTTCTAAATCATCTGGTGATCTGAACCATCTAATGGTCTAATGCCATTAGAGGGGTACCTTCAAAAATGCCAAGAACCCTAATTTCTCTAATAAGCTCAGATTAAATTTGAACAGCCAAGATACTCATGAGAGTGAATGCCTTTGAAATAATGCCTTAAGGCAACAAGTTTGTCATTTTGATCTTATTATAAAGCAAAGGAACATTTTCCTTGATTATCTTGTCCTTCAGAAATGGAGCAGGAAAAACAAGCACGTAAGTCCTAATGTTCTGGAAAATACAAAATGGAACTCAAAAGTCTCGGCATTGTTCCCCTTGGTTTAGAACCATCAGAACCCTCAAGGTCTTTTGCAACAAAATTCCACTCAAAGTTAAGATACTTTACATCCTAATCCTTGTCGTGGAGAAAGCGCTAATGTAGTGAAAGCATACTGGACTGGGAATTATGAAGCTGTAGAGATTATTGCTTTTAACCCCAGGCAAATCTCTTCTCCTTTTTGTGCTTTAGCTTCCTTCTCTACCCTATCTCAATATCTTGGTCGCAGTGAAGCTCACCTGAGATCAGGGCAATGAATGTTTTGCAGAAGACCAAATGCTTTACAAATGCAATTCAACCCAATAAAAAAAGTTTTTTTTTTTTTTGGTTTTTTTTTTTTTGAGACAGGGTCTCGCTTTGTTGCTCAGGCTGGAGTACAGTGGCACAATCATAGCTCACTGCAGCCTTGATCTCCTGGGTTCAAGGGATCCTCCCATTTTAGGCTCCCAAGTAGCTGGGACTATAGGCATGCACCACCACACCCAGCTAATTAAAAAAAAAATTTGTAGAGACAGAACCTTGCTATGTTGCCCAGGCTGGTATCGAACTTCTGGACTAAAGAAACCCTCCCACCTTGGCCTTCCAAACTAACAAATATTTATTAAGCCCTACACTGGACTATTTAAGGAGGAACAATGAGAAGAACTAGACTCCATCTTCAGCTAGCTTACAAGCTATTTAGAAAGACATGCGTGAAAATACATATCTATAATACCTGGCAGAGCTGGGTAAGTCCCGTAATTCCGAAAGGCCATTGAAAATCTTCAATGAGACTGATAAGAGACCCAAACAGATCAGATTAAAAATACTTTCTATAATTTTCTATTGCTGCATAATAAATTACCACAAATACAGTGACTTAAACAACCACTATTAATGTCACAATTTCTGTAGGTCAGAAGCCCAAGCACGACATAGCTAGCTTCTCTACTCCGGGCCTCAAAGGCTGAAATCACTGTATCATCTGGGCTGCATTCTCATCTGGATCTCGTGGTCCTCTGGCTCACATGGTTGTTGGCAGAATTCAGTTGCTTCGTTCTTGCTGACTGTCAATGGGGGTTTCTCTCAGCTGTTAGAGGCTGCTGTTACATCCTAGAGATCTCCCTCAGATCCTTGCTACCTGGGCCTCTCCATCTTTAAAGTCTCGTATGACACCCAGACACCAATCTAAATATTGTTAGGCAGATTCTTTCTTTACATGGTTAATGTATTTTTCTGATTGTGATTATCTGAGATCTTAAGGAATTGAAATACTTCATCAAGAAATATAGAGCTATTATCTAGGTGAGCTAATATCAGTGTGAGTTACTCAAACTTAATGTTATCCAGAGAGGATCATCCAACCTAGTCCAACTTTCACATCAGGCTAAACAAAGAAAATGATGACACATGTAGGAGCACACTAAAGTGGTTAGATAAGGCTGCTTACAGGAGGAAGCCTCTGCCTCGGGGGCTCTGTCCACTTTCAGAAAAGCTTCTTAACAACTAAGGAAGGCAGTGTATCTACATATCCCTAGCTCATTCTACATATAAACACACTGGGTGGGGAACTCTTCTTGACTCAATAGGGAGTGCTTAATCAGCAATTGAGCATTATCAGGTGTTCTGTTTAATAACTATTTACCGAGTATTTATTATGTGTCAAGTACTGAGTCTGCGTGCTAGGAACACAGAGGTGAATAAAACCTGTCATCACCCTTAAATAACTCACTGTCCAATGTGAACATATATACTCCATTGTTAGGATAGAAAACCTTATTTTACTTTTTTAGAGAAAACTAATTGGCTGATAATGGCTACCCGAAGAACTGGTTGAGAAGGATTCAACCAGTGGACAGAGCTGTGAAGCTTTCAGGTACAGATACGAAAATACTGTGATTACTTAACAATTTTTGCCACATGAGGAAACAGGGAAAATAGCATAAGCACGCAAGCCACGTACCTCCCAACTCCGTTCCTTTAACTGCAGTAAATGATATTAAAAGCCCATTATAGGTTCTACTTTCAATTGTCACATATTATTTATACAACTATACTGTGTTTTCATTATCCTCCCTAGTAATTACCATTGTGTTTAGTAATCAACACCACTGATTTACGCAAGTTACTTTCAAGTCAATCACTCTAGCACTTAAAAACAATAGCTTTGAATGGGGTTATTTCCTGGGAGAATGTTAAATGTTTCCAGGTTCAGATATCCAAGGAAAGGCGGCTCCCTGCATGTAAGGGAAGAGAATGAAAGTTTTCTGGCAGCTGGACCAAGATAAAGTGTTCAAATAAGTGCTATAGTTGGTAGGGAGTGAATGGGAGTAACTCACTGTTTCCTGCCTGAAAGTGTACTGTTGGATGCATTCAGCTGCCTAAGGCAGCATGCTTTTAATTACTGATATAAATCCTGATAAGGTCCCTCAAGGGATCAGAAATAACCTTTAGCCATTCTGTCTGCAAACAATAGCAAGGCTGCAAAGGAAAGGTAACTGGTGCAAATGGTTGCACGGGAACTCTGTTATGTCCAATTTATTGTGTAAGCTTCACACCCCTGAGCTGGCTGCCCACACATCTGGGTTCCAATCCAAGATTTTTAACCTACGAAGACAGACTCTAAAGTCTCATGTCTCAGCAGACTAAAGGCTGAACCTAAATCCTGGAAAGGGATGAAAATGAAAGTTAGACATGATCGTGGACAGAGCTGTGATCTTGTGCTGTAACTGAAGGAGAGGAAGTGGGAGAAAAGATCCACTCCTTAGTGTATACTTTGTACCAAATGCTTTAGTTCTCACTCTAAATGTAAAGGGGTCAAGCTTTTAGGTTCAGATAAATGGATTTGAGGACATTCTCAAACATGGGCCAAGAAAGAGACATGGCATCCCTTGTCGACAGTTGTGGAATAAAAACCCTACAAGGAAGATATCAGATGCACCATCTGAGAAGGGAGGCAAGTCAGAAACAAACAGATCATATGAAATCTAGACACCAATCTAAATATGGTTAGGCACAAAAGCAAGTTCAGGTTTGCAGATTAAAATGGCAGGGAGCCGTGAAAGCTCTTGCCAGATTTTCTATCTCTCACCATCCTAAATCTGACTCCTAGAATCCCAGCCAAAGCCAGAAGCGGCCTCCCCATCTTCATGTGAGAGAAATTCAGTAGGTATTTGGCCCTGTCAATGTAAAAGCTTTTCAATGAGACTGCAACTTTATCAAGGAGAATGATGAAATGAATGAAGACATATGCTTGTCTCACGAACAAGGTCAAACTTGCTTTCCCATTGCATTTGACCTGGGGTGGTTGATATTTCCTCTATTAAAATCTTGGTAAAGATTGAATTTATTTTCTTCCTGAGGGAGTAATCCTTCAAAATAAAAACAACAACAACAAAAGACAAACCAATTTTAGAAGAAGAGGAATGTGTGGGAAGAAGACTGTGAGAGCTATGTTTCTTTGGAGTTGATTCTCTTAGGCTTTAGTCGGGGACTCATAAAGTTGCCTTTCATCTTAAATATGAAAAATATAGCAAGTTCACCCCATCTATCATCAGTTCCAGGGAGGCATGTGTTTATGAAAAGAGTTTATTAACTGGATGTCACTGGATTTTCTGGAAGAAAATATGGTATTCTCAATTTAGGAACTCTCTGTTCATTTATGCCCTAACTAGATAAAATCTGCAATATTAATTTTGGTAAACAGAAACTCTAACTCTACATTGGACAGAGATTCAACCTATTACCTCACCTTTGAAAATAAAATAAAAACATCTCTTTCCTCAGGCATACAAATTTGCAAGGTACAAATGTCTTTATAACTGCCATCAAGTATAACACTCAGCCTAATCCCCACGATACAAAATAAGTAAACTGGGGTTCATTCAGGCTAAAAAATGACTATTCAAGGTCACTTAAAGCTAGAATTTTAATTCAGTTCTTCAGACACTGCTATGGTCTAAATGTTTTGTGTCCCACCAAAATTTACATGTTGAAATCCTGAGCCCCAATGTGATAGTATTAAGGAGTAGGGCCTTTGGGAAGTGAGTAAGTCATGAAGACTCTGCCTCATGAAAGCCATTAATGCAGTTATAAAAGAGGCCTGGGGGAGTTTGTCACCCTTCCACCACTTGAGGACACAAGTAAAAGACCCTGTTTATGAGGAAAAAGACTCTCACCAGACACCGAATCCGCTGGTGCTTTCATCTTAGACTTTCCAGCCTCTAGAACTGTGAGCAATAGATTTCTGCTGTTTGTAAGTTACCCAGTATTTTATTATGAGAGCCCAAACAGACTAAGACAGACCCCAAGTCTGGAGCTCTTTCCATCACACCAGAGAGATCTTCAGAAATGTCTAGCATCCCATCTTCCATCTCCCTGGGAACACAAGCAATTAATGAAATCTGTATCTTTGCCATTTGCTATTTGCACTAAATAAAATGGAACTGGGTCCTTTCCATTGAAAATTAAGTGTGAATTGAAGAGCTGATTTCCATTTAACTGCAAGCAGAAAGAGAAAAGATTGACTTCACCTACAGCTGCAGGGATTTACAAACTATAAGGCAGAGAAGGTTGAATATAGATCATGAGCATGCTGAGATCATGGTGCTTGGAAAGATTTGTGGTGGGTAAATCCACAGAATGTGGCATCTGGCAAACGGAATACTTTTGTTCTTCAGGTCCTAAGGACTTATACAAAAACCCACACAGATGTTATCAGGGGCCATTTATGTACTTTCAGTTATCATAGTAATTCAGGTTCAGAACAGTCAGCCAACTTGGGTGGACACAGGCCCAACTGGGTGTCCTCTCTTACTCTTGGGCTTTGGAGGGCTAAGTCCAAATGACTTTGGAAACCACAGGCACGTGCCCAGCCTCCTTGGAGGATGCCGGCCAAGGAGGCAGGCCTTGGACACAAAGGGAAAATGGGGAGATGGAGCCAACAGCCAGCTGAGATGAGTCATCCTTTGGAAGTCTTCACTTGCCCCATGGCTTGCTAAGTACAGGCCCACACCTTGAAGGACTGCAGTTTTCCCAGAGAGCCCAAGCCTTACTGGTGGTAATAAGACTCTCAGCCTGCTGGGAATGGATATAGGTAAGTTATGCATTTCCCTCATCCCTGGGGTAGGTAGGGGTAGTCCCAAATGATGACTTACATATCTGATCTTTTGCCTGGGGGACCCAAGAATATATTTCCTCTCCAGTGGCAACAGACCTAGGAAACACAACTGAGATATACATATCAAACCATCCCTTCTCATAATTGCCAATATTACCTAGATGCTGATAACTCCACAATGTTTATCTTCCATCCAGACCCTTTTTCAGCACTCTAGACCAGGGGTCAGCAAACTTTTTCTGTAAAGGGTCACAGTGTTTTAAAAATATAAAAAGCATTCTTAAACAGGCTCTGGCCCTGTTGGCCCTCAGGCCATAGCTTGCCAACCACTGCTGCAGATCTCCTCTACCCCATTCCTCATTCCTCCCTCTTCTCCCTAGCTCATCTGCTTCTACCATCTGCCACTTATTTTTTGCTTTTCCTCAATAGCAGTAAATCTTCAAATCTGAAAGCAGCATGATTTTTAGAGGTACCACATGTCATGCCAGGACACGCTAAATAAAGTTGGGTGGTTGTATTAGTCATCTGTTGCTGTGAAGCAAATTACCCAAAATTTTGTGGCTTAAAATAAAAACTAACATTTATGATTATCATCCCTGACGGTTTCTGTGGGTCAAGGACCCAGAATAACTTAGCTGACAGTTCTGGCTCAGGGTCTCCCAGGAGACTGCTGTCAAAATATTGAGCAGGTTGACAAGCACATCCTAAAATGTATATGGAAATGCAAACACCTAGAATAGACAAAACAATTTGAAAAAAAAGTTAGAGGAATTTCCCATCCTAATTTCCAAGCTTACTTTAATAAAGCTATAATTATCAGGAACAATGTGGCACTGTTCCATAAATAAATCCTTAGATTTATGGCCAAATCACTTTTGACAAGGGAGCAAGGCACTTCATTGGGGAAACAGTAGTTCAAAAATGGGGCTGACACTGTAGGGTGACTATAGTTAGCAATATTATGTTATAAAATTTCAAATAGCTAGAAGGAGGATATTGAATGTTCCCAACACAAAGAAATGGTAAATGTTTGAGATGCTATGTATGCTAATTAACCTTATCTGATCACTACACATTATATACATACATCTCAACATCACTGTGTATGCCAAATATGTGCAAATATTATATGTCAATTTAAAAAATTAAAAATTAAAAAAATTTAAAGTGGTGCCAAGGAAATTGAACTTAGACCCTCACCTTATACAATACACATAAATTAACTCAAAATGGATCACAGATTTAAATGTAAGTGCTAAAGCAATAAAATGTTTAGGAGAAAATATTCAAGATCTTAGGTTAAGCAAATAATTCATAGATACAACACTAAAAACATGGTCCACAAAAGAAAAAAAAAGTATACATTGGACCTCATGAAAATTTAAAACATTGGCACTTCAAACAAAAGACTCCACTCAGAAAATAAAAAGATAAGCAACAGACAAAGAGAAAAATATTTGCAAAACACTTATCTGATAAAGGACTTGCATCAAGAATTTACAAAGAACACTTCGAACTCAACAATAAAGACAAACAACCCAATCACAAAACAGATAAAAGATGTAAACAGACATTTCACCAAAGAAGATATATGAATAGCTAACAAGTGCGTGAAAAGATGTTCAACATCATTAGTCATTAGGGAAATGCAAATTTAAACCACAGTGAGATACCATTTCCCACTCACTAAATAAGCTACGATAAGTTAGACAATTAATAATAAATGTTGGTAACAATGTGGAGAAATAGAAACACTCATACACTGCTGGTGGGATTATAAAAGGATGCAGCACCACTGTAGAAAACTTTTGCAATTCTTCAAGTAGTTAAACATAGTTATATTGGGAAAACATGTGCACAAAAAGACTTACGTGTGAAAATTCATAAGAGCAAAAAAGTAAAAATCCCAAATGTCATCAATAAAATAAAATGTGATATATTCATAGAATTGAATGCTATTCAGCAAAGAAAGAAAGGAACAAACTACTAATAAACACTACAATGTGGGTGAACCTCAAATACATTATGTTAAATGAAAGAAACAAGACACAATTGACCACATGTTATTATCCCATTTATATGAAATGTCTAGAGAAGGCAAAATTATAGATGCAGAAAGTAAATTAATGGTTGCTTAAGGGGAGATGAGGGAAGGGGTATTATTATAAATTGGCATGAGGAATATGATTGAGAGGATGAAATGTTCCCAAATTGATTAATTGTGATGGTTGCATCACTCAATAAAGTTACTAAAAATCATTGAATTGTAACACCTGAAGCGGTTCAATTCTATAATATGTCAAATATACTCCACTGATGCTGTGACTGGGTGGGGATTTAGTCATTAGAAGTCTCAACTGAGATTGAAAGATTTACTTTCAAGGTGGCTTACTCACCAGGCAGGCAAATCAGTGCTGGTTGTTGGTGGGAGGCTTAAGTCTCTCCACAAAAAAGGCTCTACAAAAGGCTGCTTGAGGTCGGGAGTGGTGGCTCACTCCTGTAATCCAGCACTTTGGGAGATCAAGGTGGGAGGATCGCTTGAGCCCAGGAGCTCACGGCCAGCCTGGGGAACATAGCCAGACCCCATCCCAAAAAATTTTTTTTTATTTAAATTTTTTTAAATGCTGCTTGAATATCTTCACAATAAGGCAGAGCAGAACTCAAAAGAGAGAGTGCCAGATGTCATCTGTTATTTTAATGACCTTTCCAGAGTCAGAGCCTCACATCTGCTACATTCTACTCATTGGAAGTGAGTCACCAAGTTCCATCCTAAATTCGAAGGGAGAAGACCTAAGACGCACCTTTTGAAGTGCGGCATGTCGGAGAACTTGTGTACCCATTTTAGACCCTCTTCCCTCAGTCTCCCATCAGACCACGAATTGCTTATATTCATCCCACATGCAAAATACACAGACTCCCTTCCAGGGCATCTAACATTTTCATCCCATTACAGCACCCAGGTCTAAGATTTTGTCATCTAAATTGTGTCCCAGTGCAAATGAGGCTCCCTTGGGTATGGTCCCAGAAGATCAGCTGCTCACTCAAGTACAGGTCCCTTTGATCTATAAATCTGTGAACTATAGAGACAAGTTTTTCCACCCCCAACACACAATAGTGGGATGATATAGGATGATCGTAATAGACTTTCCCATTCAAAAAAGGTGGGGGGAAGGAGGCTTACAGGAGTATCCATACATAGCAATTCTAAAATCGATTAGAATACATGTTAGCAGTTCCTTGATTAGGCTCTAGGTCTAATCCATGGTTCTTGGAGTATTATCAAGAGCTTTTGGGCTCTTGATTTCTGGCCTTCTTTTTCCTTGAAAAAGAGCTCAAATTTGCAATTCACTAGTATTCTCAGGCTATTTGCTGCTTATAGAAGTTTTGGGGTTCAGCTGATTTTTTTTCATTCCATATTATCTATTCCCCTTTCACTCTAAGCAAACAGTGTTTCTGACAATGTTATTATCTTAACAATGTTGTGAGTCTTCTATAAATTTTATTAGGCTTTACTCCATTAGACAAAAGCCATACTCACAAATGTCTTCGAGATCTGCCCTTCTCTACCTTTGGCTCTGATGAAGTTCCTGAGGGGCAACAGCCTTAGAAGCACTATTGTTTGATGAAAGTGTCCTTGAATTTTTTTGAGATCTTAAAGAATTTCATAATTCCAGGCTCCGCTTCATATTTAGATGATGTTTTCCTGGAAGTGCCCTAGATTTGATCTTGAAACCATACCTTGATTTTAGCATTGATTTCCATTTGAAGGGCTGGTAATTTTAAAAGCCAGCGACTTCTGCCCTTTTTTGCTTATCAGTCTTTCCTTCAATTTATCTCTTTCTAATTACATATAGCATCTCTTTTAGCAATGACAATCATTATTATTGTTACTATTACAATCATTAAATTAGCTGAAAGTTCAGAGCAGAAAGCATTATGCTAATTGAATCTGATCAGTATAAATTATGTATTGAGTTCTGACCCCAGAGATTTTTCTGAATTTTATTATCTTGATAGTCAAATATTAGACATTTTATAGTGCTTTAAAATTTACAAAGGCCTTCTTAAAAATCACTATCTCTTTGTTATGATAGGTGTAATTTTCTTTAGTTTTATTTATTCATTTCCTACGTCATAAGTTTTTCTTAAATTCTACTCATAGCCCTTTTCTTCATCTCCATTTTCAAGTCACCATAAATTGAAGCCATTTGAGTTCTCCTGGAAATGGATACAGGCTTTGCCAATTCCAGGAATTTCTGATTGATCAAATAACTTCCATTATGTCAAGTCAGAAGAATTTTAAAGTAAGAAGAAGCAAATCCTCAAAGACCACTGTAATTTCATAAATGTCTTAAATGGAAGAGATAGGGAGTGCTTTTGGTTTAAAGAAAACAAAATTAACCCATTAACATGTTTCCTTAAAACTTTAGAAATCCAAACTCTGTTATAAGCCACATATTGAGTTTGCTGGATTCAGAATAAATTGCTTATTAAACAGACACAATAGAAATAGCCTCTTAAATTTAAATGGTGCCTGTATTAGTCAGTTCTCACACTGCTATAAAGGACTGCCTGAGACTGGGTAATTTATAAAGAAAAGAGGTTTAACTGACTCACAGTTCTACATGGCTGGGGAAGCTTCAGGAAACTTACAATCATGGTGGAAGGCAAAGGGGAAGCAAGGCATGTCTTACATGGTGGCAGGCGAGAGGGAGAGACAGCAAAGGAGAAACTGCCAAACACTTATAAAACCATCAGATCTCATGAGAACTCACTCACTAACATGAGAACAGCATGGGGGAAACCGCCTCCATGATCCAATCACCTCCCACCAGGTTACTCCCTCATCATGTGGCGATTAAAATTCAAGATGAGATTTGGGTGGGGACACGAAGCCAAACCATATCAGTGCCTTAAAATTTCCCAAACACTTTTACAAACATTCAAAGCAAAGTACACATCTAAATATCTCTGGTTAGGTGTAATGGTTCACACTGTAATCCCAGCATTTTGGGAAGCCAAGGAGGCAGGAGAATCATGCGAGCCCAGGATTTGAGACTAACCTGGGCAACATAGGGAGACCCCATTTCTACAAAAAAAAACCTAAAAATTAGCTGGACCTGGTGGCACGCCCTGTAGTCCTAGCTATGCAGGAGGCTGAGGAAGGAGGATCTCAGGCCCAGGTGGTCGAGGATGCAGTGAGCCACAGTCATGCCACTACACTCTAGCGTGGGCAACAGAGAAAGGCCCTATCTCAAAAAATAAATATCTCTGCTTCGGTGCTATATTCCCTCATTTTAAAGATAAAGAATCTGAGAATCAACCAGGCCGTAGAACGACTGTAAGTGGCTTGCCACAGATGCCACAATTAGTCAGGCCCACATCTTCTGACTTTTCCTCAACTCTGCAACTCAGATTTTGGTCCCAGGACCAGCAGGCTGCAATCCCGGGAAGCTTATAAGAAAGGCAGAATCTTAGGTCCCACTCCTGACCCTGAAAATCAGAATTTGCTTTTTACCACCACCCCTGAGAGATCCGTGTGCACACTAAAGATTGAGAAGGTGCACTACACCATGCTGCTCCACTGTGACTGGACTCTGTCCTGCGAAAGCCTTCTTCACCCTCACAGTAGGAGCCATCTAGTCTCTCCTCTCACCAGGCACAGCCAAGAGCCTTCTTAACTTTCTTCCTTTGCCTCAGTTCCGGAAATCCTGTAATATCTCAGAACCCCCTAGTCCCACTGCCCTGACTCCTCAGCAGTTAGACCCTAAGCAGATACTGGAAGTCCTTGTGTGGCATAATCCCTATTTTATGTTTGTTATGTCTACGTGAAAGATGTTATTACCTCCATCTAGCAGGTGGGAAACCTGAAGTAAAGTCATTTGCTCGAGATCTATAGATAATGTCCACTTTTAATAAAAGCCAGATCATTTTTACCTCTTAGCCCATTCTAAGGCCTGATACATACCGAACCATGTGATAAAGGATTTCCATAGTAGATTTTTTTTTTTAACTGAGAACAATCAAATCTTCCCTTAAAAAGGGAACTAGGCTTGAGTTAGGTCCAGAGGTCTGGGTTGGAGTTCCAGTTCTGTGGTTTTTTACCCATGTGACCTTGAGTAGACATCTTCACCAATCTGATTATGTGCTACTTTATCTGAAAAGTAAGGAAGTCTCACGTTTACCTTTGTCTTAAGGCTGTTTTAAACCTTAAGCCAAATAATAAGTCTGCATGTGCCAATCATAATGCCTGGCACATAAAAGACATTTATACATTAAAACCTAATTCATACCTACAGTTTTGCTTTGTTTGTTTTTTGAGACATGATCTGGCTCTGTTGGCCAGGCTGGAGTACAGTGGTGTGATCTCTGCTCACTACAACCTCTTCCTCCCAGGCTCAAGCCATCCTCCCACCTCAGCCTCCCAAGTAGCTGGGACTACAGGCATGCACCACCACACCTGGCTAATTTAAAATAAAAAATCATAGAGATGTGGTTTCACCATGTTGCCCAGGCTAGTCTCGAACTCCTGAGCTCAAGTGATCTGCCCACCTCAGCCTCCCAAAGTGCTGGGATTACAGGCGTGAGCCACTACGCCCAGCCCATACATACAGTTTATACATTTATTGGGATACATTTCTGATTCTCTCCCATCCTCCATGCTCCAATCTTCATCTTCCTCACCCAACTGACAGTGGCCCAAGATAACATTTTCCCATATATCTTAGTTTCATATTTGAAAGGTTGATGGGTCTCTCCTGGCTTCAACACCCAGGCCAGGGACAAAAATCTCTGGCCCACATGTGATGGTCCCCAGACAAGAGAGGTAACTGGATTCCCACTTCACACAAGTGATGAACAAGTAAGAGGCAAAGTGGAGTAACAACAGAGTAGTCTGAAAAGTAGACCTCCTGGGTTGCTCTGCCACGTACTTTCCAAGACTTGTGGTCTTGGAAAGGTGCTAAGAATTTTCTGTGGCTCAGATGCTTTTATCTCTAAAATAGAGGTACAGTTTAATAATAATAATACATTCCTCATAAGGTTGTTATGAGAATTAAATGAGACACATCACATGTAATTGCTTAGCCTAGTGACTTACACATCCAAAACATGTTGGCTGTGGTTTTTGTTTGGTCCCTGAATTGGAGGCACCCAGAGGACTTAGGCTGTATGTGACTCTGCCTGTCTCTGTGTGAGAAGTGAATCTGTGGGGCCCCACAGCAGCCAGGGCTGCTAGCTGCTTACACACTTTCTAGAGTAGTACTAAGTACACTTTTATCCTGCAGGTCAAAAAGGAGGGACTCTTCAGCCCACTCCTTGGATCTCCTCAGGGTCATCTAGAAGGAGATTGTTTTTATCTCAAAAGAAACACTCAACTGTTCCTCACCAGGGGAAAATATACAGGCAGATTTCTGGTTAAACATGTCAAACTCAACACATATTTACTTCCCTGCCCTTTCAAAACCTTAATAAAATGATGGTAATGGGGGAAAAGGTGAAAACTCATAAAGACAAAGAGAATAGAAAAAAGGACAATAAATTTTTTTAATGTTAACAACATTTTTGAAGATTAAAAAGGATAATTGTGTGGTTACAGATTTACTAAAGAAGAAAGTGAAACCGAAGACTGCTAAGAGAAAATCAAAATAAGCTAAGCTGATTTGGAGTCTAGAAAGGCTCTGGAATTTGAGATACTAGATACCTCTGAGAGCAGAATTGAGCCATAAGACTGAAAACAGGATGGGTTGACAGTCTGTATATAGGGCAGTTGATTCCCCTCACCCTCTCCTTACTCCTAAGCAACCAGGGGAGTTCCTCCCCAAGCCAGACTAAAAATTGGAGGCTGGATCTCTGGAGCAGTGAACCACAGTAGCTACGAACTGCGGATGTCAGGTGCAGATGGGAGCAGGGTGAAGTGTCATACCAAAAACAGGACTATAAAAATGAATGTCTGCATTTTGCTTGGTAAGACTCTTAGCTCTTTTTGACTCTGTAGCTCCCAGACTGTCTCTGTCAGGCAGTCTTAAGATACTCCCTAGACAGGATGTAGATATTTCTTCTCTCTGGGCTGATCCCAGAAAAGCACCTACAGATACTAACATTTCATCTGATGAAAAAGCTGGCCCAGACCTGATCACCCTATCATGATGCCTAAGAGTCAACATACTTGTCCTTTGCACCCAGAGTTCCTTGTCAGCATCTAAGCCAAAGAATGCCAAAAGTTTGAGAAGAGTCTCTAACATAAAAGACAAATTGACAGAAAAATAATAGGAAAAAGGGAGAATTTGCATGGAGCAGAAGAAAACCAAAACTAACAAACTGCAACCTCCATCCTCAGATAATATGAAAAAATATTGTGTCTATAGAGCAAGAACTGATGAGTTCAGGGACGAGTTCATGGAAATACACCAATATGGTTAACTTTTTTGTTGCTGTTAAAAGTCAATTGAATGGTTGGAAAATAAAGTTGAGAAAATCTAAAAATCTAAGGAAAAATCAGAAATGGAAAAATATGGGAGAAATATATAAAAATTAGAGGAATGAGTGCTATGGTAGATTAAAGATGGCTACAAATTTTTTGCTATTCCTCTCATTGAGAGGTAGAGTCTAATCCCCTGCCCTTGAAATTGAGCTGGTCTTAGTGATTTGCTTGACCAATAGAATTTGGTAGACATGATACTGTGGGACTTCCAAGGCCAGGTCATAGGAAGCCCTGCAATTTCTATCCAGGCCTCCTGTAATATCTAGAACCCAGACATCATCTCTGAGAAAGTTCAAGCAGCGCCATGGAGTCTCATGTGGAAAGTACCAAAGCCCCCAATCAAGAGCCACCACCACCCTGCCAGCCCTGTGACTGACCCATCTTGGAAGCAGATATTCTTTTCCCAATGGAGATAACCCAGTGATGCCACATAAAGCAGAGAAAAAGCTACGCCAACTGAGGAGTCTCTGAATTGCAGACTTGTGAGCCAAATAAACGACTGCTACTGTTTTAAGCTACTTAGCTTTGAGATGGTTTATATCAATAGATAACTGGAACAAGAGTCAACATTCGACTGATAAGAATTTTAGAAAGAGAAATGGGGGGAAAAAGAAAACAATAGAAGGAAGGAAACTTTCAAAATACAAATACAAGAGAAATTCCCAGAACTAAATGTCCAGATTTAAACCAAAAGAAAAACAAAATACTGAGTGCCCAACAGTAGCCCAAGATACATCATCCTAAAATTTCAGAAACTAGGCTAAAGAGAAGATCCTAAAAGTTTCCAAAGAGAAGGGAAAAGCAACATACAAGTATTAGGAACCAAACTTTTGCGTAGTAGTGCTGGGAGCCAAAAGACCATGAAGCAATGCTTCAAAGCTATTGGAGAAAGTAATCTGAACCCAGAATTCTATTCCCAAATTATCGATCAAGTATGAGGAGAGAATAAAGACATGGTTGTACATGCAAGGTCTCAAAGATGTGTTCTGTCCAAAGACAGAATAAATCAAGAATGACAAAATCCTGAGATTGAGGACACAAAGATGAGGCACCAGAGATGGGAAGCAATTCCCAGGAGAAAGATGAAGGGCAAACTCACTGTGCCTGCTGAGTAGCAAGCCCAGAGATCCGGCACTCTAGTGTGCAGAGTAGGGGACTCAGGGGCTGGGGGAGCAAGGTGAGAGGAGATGGAATCAGTAGGTTTCCTGGTGTTTAAGCCTTATTGAAAGGACTTTTGCAGTTCTGACAATGATTTATGCTTCAGTTATGGTAGGTAATTGAAAAATGAAGCAAACACAAAACGTTAAAGAAATCTTTAATTCTAAGAAAAGCAAAAAGTTATAGAGGAAGGAAATGCAAACACTATATTCTACAGACTTAGCTATAATAATGCTTAAGTGTTCGTGATAATGTAAACATAGACTGTTTAACCCAAAATTGTGAAATTGGGATGTGATCACGTTGTAAGAATGTAGGGAGAAAAGCATGTGTGCCTGGTGTAGGGGACAGTTCTAAGAGAGCTGAACTGTCTTGTGCCCAGGTAAGAGATCATTAGCTAACATCTTAAAATGAAAAATCAAGAGAAAGCAGTCTACACATAGGATTTGCTTGTAAAGCAGTGCAGTTATACTTAGATCGATATGAGTCATAACAGTCGTTCTCAAGAGGATTTTTCTGGGACAGCAGGTCAGGATGAGGACAAGGAGAGTGAGATGCCCAGGGCTCAGACCTGAAGTGCACAACCCTGAAAGTGAGCACTTCCTTACGTCTTGTACCCTAGGCACCTCACTTGCCTGACCCTGGTTCCTGCTCTAGGAGAGAGCACTGGATATCATAAAGGTGATGGTAGAAAGAGCAAATTGTGGAAAAGATATGGAAAACATAGAGGTAAGGAGGCTGAAGATTATGTACAACACCTCCTAAGGGATGGATTGAAGAAGGGTTCTTTAAGTCAAGCCTGAAGAGATGATAAGCCTTTTTGCAAGGCAAAGAGAAAGGCATTCTAGTTTCAACAAACAAAACCAAAGAAATGAGGATATATGAACACCTGGGTGTGAGGTTGGGAAAAAGTGAACATAACTATAAAGGTCAAGTGCAAGCATCTAATGGAATCCTGCTACACATTACAGATGCTAAAACACTATCTTGCATTCTTAATACATGGTTAGATTCTTGAGAAAGAATTTGCTTAGAAAGCAGAAGGAACTAATTTAAGCATACCCTGTAGTTGATTGCCTTTCCCTCCAGGTCTGAAAAACAAAATCTAGAGATTTCAATTTGTCAGCATCAGTTGACTGATAATATTAGCCCAGAGAGGGACTTGTCTTGAGGCATTTGGCATGAAGAGCATCTAGACAGATAGATAGATAGATAGATAGATAGATAGATAGATAGATAGATAGATAATGGTTTGGCTGTGTCCCCACCCAAATCTCATCTTGAATCGTAGCTCCCACAATTCCCATGTATAGGAGGAACCTAGTGGGAGGTAATTGAATCATGGGGGAGGGTCTTTCTCGTGCTATTTTCATAATGGTGAATAAGTCTCATGACATCTGATGGTTTTATAAAGGGCAGCTCCCTGCACACAATCTCTTACCTGCTGCCAGGTAAGACATGCCTTTGTTCCTCTTTCGCCTTCCACCATGATTGTGAGGCCTCCCCAGCCATGTGAAACTGAGTCCATTAAACCTCTTTTTCTTTATAAATTATGCAGTCTTGGGTATGTCTTTACTAGTAGCATGAGAACAGACTAATACCTATATATTAATATATATGAGATGCTTCCACTGAGAATTGAGTTTTATGAGTTTGCACAGTGGAGCTTGGTAGACAAGAGCTTGCTGAGAAGAGCTATCTCCCTTGCCATGAGGAGCACAAGGTATTAGGTGCCAATGGGCTCTCCCAGCTCCAAAGCCTGGTTCTCAAGAGTCCCTGGGAAATAGATCAGGAAGTTTAGGTAGGAGAGGCTCAGAATTTGCGATGACTGATGATATCATTGTGAAAACAAACAAACATTTAGCCCCAGATCCTCTAAAGAAATGGAAGACCATGTTTTGTTTGCCTATTGAATGGCTTAACATAATATTTTCTCAATCTCGGTCCCGTATCAATTTCTGACAGTACAGTTGAGGGCTGATGCAGGACTGCATTGTCTCCAGAGCCAGCCAAGGAAATTGGGAGTTTGGTCAGTGGCTGTAAATATCCTCTTGGTATTTCACTTTGTTTACTCTGAAGTACTCTCTCAGAGGCTGAGAGGGTTCTGGGACACACTGGCACCAGGTTTTCAGTGGGAAAGATCAGCTGCTGAGATAAGGGTTGGGGTCCGCCTTGAGACGTGCCATGAAAAAAGATCTGATTTAGCCATTAAATCCCTAGAAAGGGTGGTGAGTATGACTATAACAATGGGGTATTCAGAAGAACACTTGGAAAGCAGGAAAGGGATTTTCAAACATAAATGCAGCAGAGTCTTATGGGAGTGAAGTGTCACTCCCTCTTCTTACTGGGACACTGACCAAACTTCAGCAAGAAGACTCTTAGAAGTAGGTTCCTACTTTCATGGCCAAGAGATGGCAAAGACCAAACACTAAAGCCAGAAGACAGCAAAGTCTGCTGATGATTTGTTCCCAGTGGAAGTTTAGTCCTGATCCACATGATTCACCATTGGTGGTCCTGGCTGAACTTAGGGGGAATGAGCTCACTGATCCTTTTTGTTTCTAAATGTCCTAACAGACTTGCCTACTCCAGAAGCAAGGTCCTTGGCAAAAAAGAAAAAAAGAAAAAAGACAAAGAGAGACATCAGCACATAAAGAAGTCAATGGAAAAAAACATGTGCACACACAAAAAACCATATGTAGAAGGAGAAAGAACCCTGGAGATACATTCACCAAGATCTATGCAGGGCAGCAGAAGGATTCACACATATCCTTACTGGGTGGTCCACTGTAAGTCCAAGAGATACTCTAAAACTACACACATACACACATGCACGCATGTGCACATGTACACACACACACACACACACACACACAAACCCCAAGAACTAAATCAAAGGGATTATTCAGTATCTGCAATTCTTCAGTTTGAAATCTCTTGTTTGTATTTAGTGTGGAGTGTTTTCCCTAAAGGATATCCTGTTTGAGATTAGTATTGGCTGGTTCCTTTTAACATCCCTAAAGAAACATCCAGGGAAGCTAAATAAACCCCCACCCCTCCAATAGCAGGCCAAATGATTTGTCTAGAGGGGGTCAGAGAGAAAGAGTTAACATGAAGCAAGACATATTCTCGTCTCCTCCTGCAGCTTCCTGCTATAACCCAGAATCCCCAACAGCTTCCCAAAGTAAGAAGGAATCTCGATCTCAATATCGGCATAATCCAGAGAGGCAGTGTGGCATTGAAACTGAACCAATATAAGACTCATTCCTGGCTTAGCTACTGTTCAAGCAAATCTGTGCCTCAGTTATCTTGCATGTAAAGTGAGCATAAATGGACTTTTCAAAAGGCCATTGGGAGAAATCAAATGAGCAAATGTATATAATGGCACGCTATAGTTTCTAATGTACTTTAGCTCACATTATTATACACATTTCTCCCATCAACCTGAAAATATCATATTGACTTCATAGAATGAATGAACAGCTGAAAAAATAAAATGATTAGAAATACCATTTTTACCACTTAACTTGGCAACAGATAGTGTATTCTTTATATGCTAAAAAATAATGTTATTGTTGTTATTTTTATCAGATTTAAAATATCAAATTTCTCAACCAATGTTCCTATTGCCTCTTTTTTTAACAACATCCCTAATACTGCATAGGAAGTAGAAATTAAGAACTACAGTGACAGATTCTACGTAGCCCGGTAAGTGTACATTGTTATTTTGAAGGTTGTATCTCCTTCAAGTCTTTTTTTTTTCCTTTCTTTTTTTTTTTTTTTTCTTGAGATGGAGTTTCACTCTTGTTGCCCAGGCTGGAGTGCAATGGTGTGATCTCAGCTCACCGCAACCTCCGCCTCCTGGGTTCAAACGATTCTCCTGCCTCAGCCTCCTGAGTAGCTGGGATTATAGGCATGCGCCACCACACCTGGCTAATTTTTTGTTTGTTTGTTTGTTTTGTATTTTTCGTAGAGACGGGGTTTCTCCATGTTGGTCAGGCGGGTCTTGAACTCCTGATCTCAGATGATCTGCCTGCTTTGGCCTCCCAAAGTGCTGGGATTACAGGCGTGAGCCACCACACCTGGTCTCTTAAACCTGGCTTTTCTCACTTTGCCCCAGCCATTAGCTTAGACTTTCAACATAGTCTACCTGGATTACAACAGAAACTGCTTTTTTCTCTGTCTTTGGATTTCTTTCTTTCTTTCACTTTCACAGGGCTAAAGCCGGACGATATGTCTATTGTCCACCACCTCAGTCCCTTCAGCATTCCTCATGATATCTATGCTGAGTTTTGTTTAACAACTTTCACTTTCCCAAATCATGCTCTCTACCTCTGAGTTTTTGCCTGAAATGAAATTTCAAAACCCCTTTTCACCTTTGCATGTCAGGTTTCAGGTCAGGTGTCTGCTGCCATGGAAGCCTTTCTAATACTCCCTCTGTGTCATCCATCTCCTCCCAAATTCTAGAAGATGCCCATGCTGTGTAATCTGGAATAGACTGTGGGTATCTTTTTATCATAGCATGAATTCCATGGCACTGAGATTGTTTTTTTCCAGATTTTTCCTATTTATGAGCATTTTAAGGAAGGGGATTATGTCAAACATCTTTTTACATTTCGAGACCTTGCCTAGTCCTGGCACAGTATAAGTCCAATGTATGTTTCTTGTGAATAGGCAAATACATGAAAGGACAAATCTGGTGAGGTGAAATTATTTACCAAATAGTGGCAATTTGCTTGTTTGGAGATTTTTAAGACAAGGTGAGACAGCTATCCTTTTAGGGTGCTTTGAGGTACAGATTTGGCAGAGGTGGGGGAGACTAGATGGTACCCACATCCCATCTGGTCCTCTGCCTCTAGGCCTGAGCCTGGCAGGGGGGAAAAATTTCTTAAGAAAGGGAGGACACAGAGTGAGGGGAAAGTAACTGTTGTTGGGCACTCAGCACACCCCCAGGACTGTGATGGTCTAAATATACTATTTTGTTTTTGCAATAATCATGTGAGTTTAGTGTTTTTAATCCCCTTTTTACAAATGAAGAAACTGAAATTTAGAGAATTTAAGTAACTTTCCCAGATCGCATAATTCCTAAGTGACTCAGTTGGGATTGAACCCAGTTTCTCCTGGGTCCTTTTTCCGTGTTTCTGCAACTGGAGCTTAAGTATTCTCTTAGTTCAATAGTGTTTGGGTTACACAAAACAACAGGATGTACCTAGGGCACATCTTCCTGGGATGTTTTGCTTAAAAATTTTGGAGAAAATATTATGTCTGTGCTCAAAAACCACAAAATTAAATACATAATTTGTATAAATGTTTAGGATGAAGGGAGACATAAAACATTTTTCAGATCTAGGGTTGGCTGCTCTGGGATGGACTTCCAGACTGCTAGTTTCTATACACTCCTGCTCTGAGGCCATCAGAACCACTGTGCAGAGAAGTTTTGAGATGCTCTGGAGGACTGTCAAGAAAGCAGCAGAGGATGCCAAGAGTGAGGATGAGTTGATGACGCCATTGCCCTCCAAACTGTGGGACCTACTGCTGCAGAAGGGGCTCCCGCTGGGACACTCATGGCCCGGGGTGGAAGAACAAAACAGCAGGAGCTCATCTGGGAGCTTACCGGCTTAAGCTTGTCCAAGAAGACATTTCCAAACCCTGGGCCCAGGACATCTCCCCTTCCAGAATGAGCAGCAGACTTGAGCTCTGGGTGTGCTGTCTTCCCAAAGGGATGGAGCAAAGCCGGTGGTGTCTGGACCATCCAGAATGAGAACATTGAGAAGAAAAGTTTGAAATATCACTTTTTAAGCTGAACTCAGATGTTTAGTTAGCAAATAATCTTCTACTGGAGTTCCTCTTTCGTTAGTATTTCATTGGTCACCTTACCCTTTGAACAGAGTCAAAAAATTATCAAGCAAATCTAGGACTTTAATTCTAATTGATACCTAACAAGTGTATGCCATATTTATTCCACATTAAGATGCAACTATTTTTCACATTTTAACATCTCTGATATTGGTATGCCTCTTAAAATCTATGGCATATCATATTTTAATGAACCATTTTATTTCTTAGTGCCACATTGCATAATGATGTCTCTTGTTATCAAGGGCTTCCTGGAGTCAAAATAATGTATTGGGTTTTTACCACTGGATTTCTGTCCATGTATGTAAGTTTAATAAGTTTAACATTATAAGGACAGTTTACATAAGGACAGTTTAACACGGTCCATGTATGTAAGTTTAATAAGTTTTAAACATTATAAGCTGTTAAGACTTTTCTTCCTATAAAATTTTCAAATGAAATACTATATACAAAAGAAATTAGAGAAATTATCATGGTTGAGGCAGGAATGGGGGCTTTCCACCTAAAAGGATCCACTGAGAATCCCCTGGTCTTCCCTGAGGCAATTCCATGGCATACGTCAAAGTAAGGTATACATACAAGACACAGTATAAGTGTTAAAGTTAATTTTATTGCCTTTTTCCATATCTGCTTCCAACCATGTGCCAGGAGTAGGAATTCTTGTGTCATTAATAAAGCCTTATATAACTATTTGACCATATAGATAACATGAAGGCATAACTTTTATATATTTTAAAAATGCAAATATTTATAAAAATCTCAAAGACATATAAAGCTGTATTTAGAACAAAATTAATGACTAAAAATATTAATAAATATATTAATTAATTAAGCATTTGACACAAAGAAGCAGAAAATGAATAACTGAAAAAAGCTTAAGCAAAGGGATATATAGGAATCAATAAAAGCAAAGGCAGAAATTAATTAATTATAAAATAGAAAGAGTAGAACTGGTACATATACAATGTGATTCTTTGAAAGAAAACAGTAGCTAAAATAAACAATAATAGGTAAACCACCTATTATTATTACCTAAATTAATCAAGAGAAAAAAGTGAGAAGGAATAATAATAGAAAAACAACCATGGAGAAAGAGGAAATGAAAATAATTATATGAAATAGCTGCAAAGGTCTAAGCAGCAGATTTTAAAACCTGGAAGAAATGAACTCTTTTCATGGAAAACAGAAACTGCCAAACTTGACTCAAGGAAGAAAAAAATAAACAGACCAATTGTGCAAGCTGTCAAAGAGAGTCTGGTTTTTTAAATCTTGCTGGAATACACAGTAAGAAGTTTCCAAGTTATTATTTTACAGTCATCATAATAATAACAAAAATATCAAAGATAGCACTTAAGACCCAATCTAGTGCGTATCAATGCAAAAATTATAAAATAAGTCTTACAAAGACACTATAGCAGTGCACTGTGTAACAATATATCAGGACCATCTGAGACTTGTTTAGAAATCTAAGAATAGTTCAATGTTAAGAAATATGTTCTTACAAGTCACCCACATTAATAGGTGAAAGGGCCAAAAAGCGTACACTCATTTTAATAGATACTGAAAGTTATGAGGAATTTTTCTTTAATATGAAAAAAATTAGTATCTCAAACTATGCTACCTGTTTAATAGTAAACTGTTATAATAAAATTCCCATCAAAGGAAAAAACAGAGTTGGAAGGGCCATTATCACCACCTTTATGTAACATCTTTCTGAAAATACTTTCCAATGCAGTGTGACATAAAAAATAACTTAGAAGTTTAAAAAAATGGAGAAGGAAAAATGATCATTATTTACAGATAGTGTGATTTATACTTGGAAAGCTTAAGAAAGGCCATTTTAAAAATATTTTTTAAAAATAAGAGATTGATTTAAGTTCTGGAGTTCTGTTGCACAGCAGGTGACTGTAGTCAACAACGATGTATTGTTTACTTCAAAATAGCTAGAGGAGAGGATTTTAAATGTTCTCACCACAAAGCAATGACAAGTGTTTGAGGTAATGGATATGTTAATTACCCTGATTCGATTATTACACAATGTATATATGTACTGAAATATAACTGTGTACCCCATAAATATGTACAATTATCATGTGTCAATTAAAAAAAGTATAACATATAATAAATTAAGTTAAAGCCAAAAATAAATAAATAAGAGAACTGAGTCAATGGTTGATAACAATTTAACCAAAAAAAGGTTAGAAAAATGTAACAAAATTTTTAATCTAATTTACAAAAGGAAAATGAAAGATTAAAATACTCAGGAATATTTACTTAAGAAATGTGAAGGAACTTGACTTTAAAACATTAAAGTTTATCTAAGGAACATAATACACTTGATTATTCCTTAACTGGAAGGTCTCATGTTCAAAAGAAATGAATTTCCCTAAAGTAATTTGTAAATGCAATGAATAAAATCACATCACATAAGTGACTTATATCATGGCATCAGAAATGTGGGAAAATCAGGGAGATTCTGACAAAGAAAAATATTGAAGGAGCACTAGTGAGATGTTATTTTAAAAATTATAAAGCTTCATTAATTTACACTATTTGCTGTTGGTACTGAAAAAGACAGATATCACAGAGACCTCAAAAGCATACCAAAATACATGGGGATATGCAGTGAGTAATATGTATGAGTAGGGAACAAGTAAGGTATTCATTATATAATATTAGTATAACTACCTATTTAGAAAAAATAATAAAGCTAGATGCCTACCACCATAACCATTATTCAAAAATAAATTCCAGGCATATCAAAGATTCAAACGTTTTTTAAAATACCCTGAACATAAGAAATGAAACAAAAGTACTTTTTCAAATTAATCTTCTAGGGTGAAAGTCCCTCCTGATGATGGTACAAAACCCAGAGACCAAAAATATAAAAGAACAATAAATATAGCAATAAAAATACTTCAAATAGCAAAAATACCATGAACAAAGATTGAAAATAACAAATTGGAAAATATTTACAATTGACACCCAAATAATAGCCTTATAATAAGATCCCCTAAACATTATTTATTAAAAAGAGAGAAACAATCCTATATAAATGATGGCAAAGGACATAGATCTGAGGAAAAAAGAAAAATTAAAATAGTGATAAACATGAAAAGATGCTCAACATGACTGGTCATTAACGAAATGCATATTGAGCAATAGTGGAATTCCATTTCCATCTCAAAAGTGATTTAGTGACAAATGTGGGGAAGGAAAAGCATGCTCATAAATTGGTTGGTGAAAATAAAAATCGGTACAATTCAATTGGAAAGTAATTGGGTAGTATCTGTCAAAATATAAAGTGCATGTAACCTTTGTCTCAGTTACTACATTTCTAGAAATCTATCCCACAGAACTGCTCTCTAATGTATATAAACATAAATGTTCACAGGGATTTGTAACAGCATTGTAGCCATAGGAAAAGTCAGGAAATAAGCCAAATATCTATCAATAGGGAACACTTAGACTGTGACATATACACATACTGTGAGGCATTATTCAGCTATTAAAAAAGTAAGATAGGTTCATATATGATGATATGGGAAAATGTCCAAGGTCTCTGATGTAACAAAGCAAGAAAGATACAAAACCCTGTTTAGCATAACTCCATTCGGAATTTTTTTAAAGCATAGATATATATGTGCAGATGCTTGCCTACACGTAGAAAATCTCTGAAAGTTAGGCAAGAAGGGGTAAATATGATTACCTCTGAGGGTTAGGACTTAAAGCAAAGGGTAATAGCACTTTTACCTTTTACTTTATGCCCTTCTCAACTATTTAAATGTTAATCATGATCATGAATTTTTTTGATTTTAAGAAATTATTTTTTATAATATATGAGACCTTATTTTCTTGTGTCCTTGAGTTTCTAAGACCCAGGACATTTGTGCTTCACACATTATTTATTATTTAATTCTTATAAAGACAACACTGTGGGATAAGACTCACTTTGTAGATGAGAAAATCGCATTTCAAAATGGTTAAATAACCTTCTCAAGGTCACAGAGGGCCTCTGTCATGGCCAAGATTTGAATTTGAATTGAAGTCTGTCTAACTTGAAGCCACTGTAAAATACCAGACACGGCTCCACTTCTTCACGATTGGTATATGCATAAGGACACCCCTAGATCTATAAGGGCAAGCATCTTTCCCTCAGTCTTTCCTGCTTACCCAGGCTCTGGCAGAGAGTAGACACCACAAAAACTATCCACTGAGTGGTGGGTTGGTGAAAGGCACAATGGATTTAATAGCTTGAATCATGGATCTCACTGATTTCATTACAACAATTAGATAAAAATCAGAAAACAAAAATATAAGGAAGTAATTATAAAGCTTTTTACCTCATTCTATCCTTATTACTATCTTGTTTTATGGTAAAAATCACCAGCTGTCCAGCAGGGTAGCACTGTTGCTGAGAAACATCTTCCCCAGGCTGCCCCACTCCCTCGCGTAAATGGAGCCACATGGCTGAATTTTAATCAATGAAATACGGGGGGAGGTGAAAAATGCTCCTCTTGGACTGGCTGACGGAAAATTCCTGTGCAAGTTTCCACCCTTTCCCTTCCCTTGTCTGCAGGCTGGATGCAGAGGTTTCAGCAGAAAATTCAAGGTCTTATGGCAGAAACGCAAGTTGGAAGGAGCCAGAACCTCTTAATCACAGCCTGTGGAAGAAGTGCCAACTGACCAGGACCTTCACATGAACATGAAGTAAACCGTTATGAGCAGCCACTGAAATTTGAGAGCCGAACCATAACAAAGACTAGTCTTTTCTTAAATATATAATACTGACCTCTTCCACTAGATTATAAATTTCTGGAGGACAGAGCTTATGTTTTGTATCTACATCATGCCTCATATAATACTGAACATAAAGCAGATTCTCAACAAACATTTGCTGTAACGAAAGGATACTGAGATCTAGCAGGTAGAGATAGATGGAGCCTCTACATTGTGAATGGAATCAAAAAGGATTTCCATAAGAAAACAAAAATATTTTTTAAAACATTAAACTCATCTCCCTGTTGAAAATATATTACTCCAACATACTTAGGATCATTTCTACCTTGCTCAGGGCATCTTATATAAAAAAAGATATCTTTAAAATATATTTTAGTATTAAAGTTAATGCTTAATAATGTGGATTATTGTTTTCATTGCACATATATAATTTTCTTTATTATCATAAGAGGGATTATTGCTAATTAAAGGAAATTGCATGTGTAATAAAATATGCTAAGGTATAAAGAATGAAAATTGCACCCACATTGCCACCATTTAGCAGGGGTGTCCAATCTTTTGGCTTCCCTGGGCCACACTGGGAGAAGAATTGTCATGGCACACATAAAATACACTAACACTAGCAATAACAAATAAGCTAAAAAAAAAAAAAAGACAAAAAAACTAATAATGTTTTAAGAAAGTTTACAAATTTGTGTTGGGCTGCATTCAAAACTGTCCTGGGCCACATGTGGCCCAGAGGCCGCAGGTTAGACAAGCTTGATTTAGAGGTTGCCACTGTTACCATGAATATGTTTCTTTAATATACATGTCATTAGACAGTGTGCATGAGCATTCTCATATATTATTAAATATTTATTTATATCATTTAATGGTCATAGAGCATTCCATTGCAAGACATATGTAATTTATTTAATCAATATCTTTTGCTGGAAATTTTCACTACTTCCAGATTTTTACATTCATAAGTAAAACTGATGAATAACTTGTGTACACTTTCTTACTGTTTTTGAAGGAGAAATTCCTAAAAGCAGAATGACTGGGTCAAAGATTATGAATATCATTAAGTCTCTTAATATGGGTGGTTAAAATATCCTCCAGAAATGTTGTACCAATGCATTCCTGAGGAATATTCTTGTAAACACACGTAATTTACAAGCACAAACCTACTCAGCACATTTGTCTAAAATGATTATGTCAGTGAAATATAGAACTACTCCGGCAAAGCCAGTCAAAACTAGAAGGCTGTTAGAAGAAAAA
Organism: Homo sapiens; assembly: GCF_000001405.40. Classification (NCBI taxonomy): domain Eukaryota; kingdom Metazoa; phylum Chordata; class Mammalia; order Primates; family Hominidae; genus Homo; species Homo sapiens. Next base: position 55,611,411 of record NC_000017.11, on the reverse strand, counting down.
AAAAAGTAGCATTGAGGTGCAGCTAAAATAGCCTCCCTTCAACAAATGACCAGCGTCAGGAGCTCTTAGGAGTTTTGCTCATACACTATGCTTCCTCAGTCAACTGTGCCATTTAAAAAGCTAAAGGGGCCAGATATTTTTTGTGTTTTTTCTGCCCCCCACCTTCAAGCCAGATTTAAACATACTCAAAACATCTGGTCCCCAGGACCCATTTCAAAAATAAAAAATTCCAGATAGTGCAGAAGCATCAAGATCCGAAGACTGTTGGGAATGCAAATCTCATCCATAAATTATGTCCATTATCACAATACAGTACTGTATGAGGGAGGGAGGGAAAGGGCAGGAGGGAGGGAGGGAGGGAAGAAGGGAGGAAAGAGGAAGGAAAGGAGGAAGGAGGAACGAGGAAGGAGAGACAGAAAGAGAGAGAAAGAAAAGAAAGAAAGAAAGAAAGAAGAAAGAAAGAAAGAAAGAAAGAAAGAAAGAAAGAAAGAAAGAAAGAGAAAGAAAGAAAGAAAGAAAAAAGAAAAGAAAGAAAGGAAAAGGGAAGGAAGAAAGAAAGAAACTTTTATTAAAAATTTTAACATAAGTGGCCGGGCATGGTGGCTCACACCTGTAATAACGGCACTTTGGGAGGCTGAGGCAGGCGGATCACAAGGTCAGGAGAGCCAAAATGATGAAACCCCATCTCTACTAAAAACAATAAAAAAATTAGCTGGGCGTGGTGGTGCATGCCTGTAGTCCCAGCTACTCGGGAGGCTGAGGCAGGAGAATCGCTTGAACCCAGGTGTCGGAGGTTGCAGTGAGCCAAGATCACACCACTGCACTGCAGCCTGGCAACAGAGCAAGACTCTGTCTCCAAAAAAAAAAAAAAAAAAAAAAAAAATTCTAACATAAGTCTGAGAGGTGGTTTTACCTTGTGAGCCTTCTAAATCACTTCTAAAGCAGCTTAAGTCCCTCATTGCTTTCTTAACTGCAGCCTGTGTCTGAGGATCACAGGATGTCAGCTACCCAGCAAGTCATGCATTGAGCAAATCAGCCAAATGTGAAAGAGAGAATGAAGCCTCCTTCAGCTAATTTGCTGGATTCAATTTTAAAGTATCAGAGCTAGAATTCCTTAGAGGCCACCAAGTCAAGCTCCCTCAGTTGGTGGAGGTTGGCCTGCTGATTAATGCTCAGCCTGGGTCCAAACTGACTCAGGAACCAGAAGATGCATAGAGCAAAAGTTAAGACAGGCCGGATCTGACATCCTCAAAAAGAGTGAAGGCTCAGTCCTTCCATCTGCCCAGCTGCTTAGGAAACCACAACAGCAAACAGCTACAAATACCAGTTATGACCTGGAGTTGTCTATGCTTTAAGTCCCACAGAATAAACACAGAAGAGAACAGAGAGTCACAAGGATTAGGTCACTGGCCTCTGTGGTCCATGTGTCCCTCCCTGCTGACCACAGGGACCTGTGGAAACTGACCGTAGAATGCACTTTTTATTCTGCCCCAGTGCTAAGAAGCCAGCCCAGCCCAGGCCACTTGGACAACCTCCAATATGTGAATGGATTCATCATACTCATTCAGTTCAAGGACTAGAGTCTCAAGTGTATCACCAACTTGTCTTCCCCTCCTAAGCCTGTTCTTCGTCTTGGCTCTAACACTTTCATCTGTGTTTATGGAACTAAATTTATCCCTCAGGCCTGGTGTTTGACCCATGTTCTCTAGAACTGGCCTCCAAATTCCACCTTTACACCCACGCCTGAGTTAACGCCTGTCTCAAGGCACTGTCAAGAAACCTTCCACTCAACTGGGCCTGGTCTCCAAGATCTTACCCCAGAACAAGCCCATCATGGCTGTAGCAATAGTGAACTTCTCCCTTGGACCTAGTTAAGAGTGGGCTGGAATAGGTGATGGAAAGTAGTGCAGAATATAGTGGGATATTAGGTTAGAAAAGCAGTTTGGGACCAACTTGTGAAGAGCCTTGAATGCTAAGATGTTTAATTTTACCCTAAAGACAACCAGGAGCTTTTAGAGGTTTTTGAGAAAAAGGTACCCTTGATTAGATATGTCTGTACTTTTAAAAGACCTCTCTGGAAGCAATGTGGAGAATGGATATGAGTGAGACCAGAGAAATGTCAGATCAGTTCACAGGGTAGTAGAGTCACACAGGTGAATATTGCTCTAAGTCATGGCAGTGAGGATGAAGAAAAGTGAGCATAGTCCCCCCAACATCCCGCAAAAAATTCATGTCTACGCAGAAACTCAGAATGTGACCCTATGTGGAAATAGGACCTTTGCAAGTGAAGGATCACAAGATAATATCATATTGGATTTATTTCTTTTTTTTATTTGTTTGTTTGCTTGTTTGTTTTTGTTGAGATGGAGTCTCACCCTGCCACCTAGGCTGGAATGCAGTGGCATGATCTTGGCTCACTACAATCTCCACCTCCCGGGTTCAAGCCATTCTCATGACCCAGCCTCCCAGGTAGCTGGGATTACAGGTGCTCACCACCATGCTTGGCTAATTTTTTTCTTTTTTGTATTTTTAGTAGAGATGGGTTTTCACCATGTTGGCCAGGCTGGTCTCCAACTCCTGACCTCAAGTGATCCTCCCGCCTTGCCCTCCCAAAGTGCTGGGATTACAGGCATGAGCCACCATGCCCAGCCCCATACCAGATTTAGAATGCACTGTAAATCCAATAACTGGGGTCTTTACAGGAAGAGGAGAGGCCACAGCGACAAGAGAGAAGGCCATGTGGAGACAGATAAAGCTTGGGATTATGCTGCCACAAGCCAAGAACTGCCGGAAGCCCCAGAAGCTGGAGGAGGTAAGGATGAATTCTTCCCTAGAAACTTCAGAAGGAGCAGGGCCCTGATGACACTTTGATGTCAAATGTCTAGCCTCCAAAACAGTGAGGGAAAAATTCTGTTGCTTTAAGCCACCCAATTGGTGATATTTTCTTATGGCAGCCCTGAGAAGCCAATACAGTAGGAAAGCAGGAGAGAGAAGATTGACATAATTGGCACAGATAATAGCTAGGAGCAGAGAGAAAAGATAAAAATAGTTAAAGAGATTTACTATATGAAAAGTATCTCTATTAAAAGCTTTACAAGATTGGTTTCATTTAATCTGTAAAATAACCCTATTAGGTAGTTATCACTATTATCTTCCTATTATCTCCTTTTTCCATATGAGGCAACTGAGAAATAATTATCTCATTACAGATTACATGGCTAGTAATCCAATTCAATATTTGAGTCCGTATGACTCTAAAATCTCATGTAATGCTTCCAGATAGAAGGAGATTGGAACTTGGGTTAATATGATTGTATCAGTGAGTCATTAAAGAAGAATCATGAGATGAAATCTGAGAGATGTTTCTAAGACATTGTTAAATGGAGGAAGCTTTGAAATAAATAGGCACTTGGGTTTAGTTTATTTAAAAAGATAGTCAAAAGCCACTGTCATTTCCCACTTACTATTCTGTTTACTTAGGTAGGATTAACAGGCTGCCTCAAGTCATTCTTCCTCATACAGAGCACACAACCTTCTCATCAAGGGTGGGCAGGTGGCCAGGGAAGCAGTGTTTGTAAATTCAACAGAAGACTGTGTCCTCTCCCCCACGTAAGCCCCAGGAAGTGGCTTCCAGGAAAAAGACCTCCACCAAGCCAAGAGGAAATATTCACATCTACAAACAACCCTCTTTGCCAAAATTCTGTTCAGTTTCTTGCTGCACACATACACATAAAGATAGATAAAGTGAAGCAAATAAATTTTAAAAGGTTACCTTAGGGTAAGGAAAAGGAGGCTGTGGATAGGAAAATTAGAGGAAAATGGAGTAAAGGACCAGGCGTGGTGGCTCACACCTGTAATCCCATCACTTTGGGAGGCCGAGGCAGGCGGTTCACAAGGTCAGGAGATTGAGACCATCCTGGCCAACATAGTGAAACCTTGTCTCCACTAAAAATACAAAAAATTAGCTGGGCGTGGTGGCAGGCACATGTAATCCTAGCTACTCGGGAGGCAGAGGCAGGAGAATTGCTTGAACCAGGGAGTCAGAGGCTGCAGTGAGCCGAGATCACGCCACTGCACTCCAGCCTGGTGACAGAACAAGACTCCATCTCAGAAAAAAAAAAAGAAAAAAGAAAAGAAAAAGGAGTTAAGTTCTGATTGTCAACACACTACCTGCATGACACATGCACACAAAAATTCATGTATGCCCATTAAATGTACATATAAGAACCCCATGTGTGTGCACACATGAGCATGCATGGGGGCACACACACATGCACGCGCACACACACACACACACACACACCTGTCTCTCTCTTTCCTCCATGACTTATGGGATTGTTGTGGGTTTTTTTTTTCCTGATGGACTTTTCTTCTTTGACGGATGAAACACCTCTTATCTCAGAGCCCAAACTGTGAGACAGCTGTAGTGGGAGGGTGGGAAGCATGGAGGCTCAAGCTGAGTCCCTGAGAGCCTGGCAAGTGTGTCCTCAGGTTCAAAACTCAGCCTGCTGGGGTTCTTGGCTTAACTTTCTCTGGGTTGGTATGTGCATTTTCTAGTAGGGATTGAGTGAAAGGCATGTTATTTTTAAGAAGCAGGAGGAAGGAGGAGGTTGCCTCTTTCTACTAAGTGCTGACCAACAGCTGTAATTTTAGTGGTAGTAACTGACGAAGGAAGAGGAGGGAGGAGATTGCCTCTTTCCACTAAGGGGTGACCAACAGCTGTAATTTTAGTGGCAGTAACTGACAGGAACAGCTTGATGGCATCATGTTTAATGGGAAGAGACCAGCTCACCTCATGCCCTGGTTGCTATGTACAGAGATCTGAGGAGTCCATAACAAAGGCTGTGAGAGTCACTGCTTAGAGTAGAAGGAAACAGGGGCTGTCCCAGAAAAGGGGGGCTTGCTTTTGTCCAGCCCTGTTGGAATTTATGAGGTCTGTAGAGTGGAGTTTATAGAAGTGACTTGGGAGGCAACGAAAGCCCCTATGAATTTCTCAGATATCCTTCACTCCAAGAAGCTTCCTAAGTAATTATTGAACTTGGGAGAACATAATTAAAGAACACATGTCTCCTGCGGCCATATTTAGACATAGTGGAAGACTTTTTGGCATTTTGAAAATAGCATCAGTTTCTATCTTATGCACTCTGGGAATTCTCTGACCCATCAGCAATTGGCCACTTCTTGGAGGAGGATGAGAAATGAGCCACATAATTTTAGATGTGAAAACCAAAGGGAAAATAGGTTTCATTAGCCCTGAGGGAAAAAGAAGCATACATTTCAAGAATAAATATGCATAAGTTTAAGAAATAAGCAGACATATTTTCTTGGCTTCCCACTTCATATCCGCCCTGAGAAGAGAAAATTGAGGACACATGTTGCTGAGGCCCCACAGTGGATGTAGCTGACCATAATGTTGCCAGGTCCACTGCAGAAATCAATGTTGCTGACCACAGTGGAAGCCAAGTACCCAGGGCAGGGGGGCTGACAATCAAGTGACTCAGAGTCAAAGCTCTGTCCCCAAGAGCCCTCCAAGCAAGAGAGGAGGCAACAAGTGTTTGTTCTGTTGCGAGCAGGTATAGAGTGCTGGAGGGTGCTAATATTAACACAGATCATTTGGAACTAGAAAATGCAAGGCAAAGGTCCTGATCCTCCATCCTACAGTGAGGCATACTTTCCCTTAATGTCAAATCAGAATTTTCTATCTCCTATCTTGCTACTTTAGGAATCGCAGTCTTTTATCATGTTCCCCACCCCAAGTATTTCTGAGAATCCCTGAGGCCTGTTGGGCTGCCCCACAGGTCCACTCTGTTTGTCAGCTCAGTCAGTCATCTGAGATTGGACCAGCTTTTTGTAGACTCTTCTTACTATCTCATGATCAAACTTCTCAAGACTCATCATCCCCAAAATGGACAGTTATATCTCTTAATTACCCAAGCACAAGAAAGCCACTCTGTAGTATGTAATGTTCCTTTATTGAAGGCATTGGGCTCTAACAGAAAGGAATTGAAACAGACAAGAAGGAAAGTAAATGCTGGATCTGAATATGGCTATTCCCAATATCCACAATGGTCACCCACACCATTCCTTCTGCTTTTGATCATGTTATAGGGGTCAGTTACTTCCCCTCATAAGACAGCTGTCAGGTACATCTTCATTTCCTGGAGCCCGGACCCCCAAATCCTCTGAGTGGTTATACATAGCCCCAAAGGAAAAATAAACAATCTCAGTGATGTTATCCTAAACACAGTAAAGATGACCTTTTATACGAAGAGCACAGCAACATTGCATCCCATTATCCAGAACATCCCATTGCTGAACAGAAAGGCAGGCTCAGCTCTAATTTTCTGTTACAACAACAGTAACAAAAGCAATAATTATAATAGGAGCTATGGTTTATTGAATTTCTACTCTATGCCAATAACAGCACTAATGACTTATATGTTATTTCTAATATTTACATCAATATCAAGGTTAGGTATTAGTCCCATTTTATTCTAAGAAAGCTAAGGGCCGGGCGCGGTGGCTCACGCCTGTAATCCCAGCACTTTGGGAGGCCAAGGCAAGCGGATCACGAGGTCAGGAGTTTGAGACCAGCCTGGCTAACATGGTGAAACCCCGTCTCTACTAAAAATACAAAAAAATAGCCGGGCAGGGTAGCGGGCGCCTGTAGTCCCAGCTACTCGGGAGGCTGAGGCAGGAAAATGGCGTGAACCTGGGAGGCGGAGCTTGCAGTGAGCCGAGATCACGCCACTGCACTCCAGTCTGGGCAACAGAGCAAGACTCCATCTCAAAAAAAAAAAAAGAAAAAGAAAAAAAAATAAGGAGAAATAAAGTAAACTGTCCAAGATCAAACTTTTGGAAAAATTAGAAATAAGATTAAAATCAAGATATTTCAAGACGCTGAACCAGTATGATGGCTGACTCCTTCCTCTGAAGTACTGAAGAGGGAAAATACCTAGAAATTTGTCAAGAGAGCTGGAGTTATACTGTTTAGGACTGGTGTATGAGTGAGGCTTTGACTTTGAATAGAAGGAATAACGGCATACATTGGGAGAGTACAATAAGATAGGAACTCTTGGTGTTTTCCTCTTGCTCTTCTCTGTTGCTGCCTCGGACAAACAATTTCTGTCCTCATCCTTATGGCTCTCAGCTCTGGTCCAGGTGTGCAAGGTAATACAAACAAAGGAGTGCAGAAGATATGTATTTGTGAGGCATTAAGAAAAACAGGTAGAGACTAACCTTGAGCAGAGAATCCCCATTCATCCCCTTCCAAACTCTTTAAGACTGATTAGCTTTTACAATCTCAGGATGCTACTTCCTCTGGGCAAAGAATGAGGCCTTGACCTAAGGGCCAGAAGTAACTAATTGGTTTTTCTGTACCTGGCCTTCTCCCATGGCCATATTTAGGCATAGTGGAAGACTCTCTGGCATTTTTTAAATAGCATCAATTTCTATCTTATAGCCCCTGGGAATTCTCTAACCCACCAGAAATTGGCCACTTCTTGGAGGAGGATGAGAAATGAGCCACATCGTTTTATTAATAGATGTGAAAACCAAAAGGAAAGCAGGTTTCATTAGCCGTGGGGGGAGAAAAGAAGCATATACTTCAAGAATAAATACATGTGAGTTTAAGATATCAGCAGACATTCCCCCCTCCCTCCCACCACCCACCCCGTCCCCCACCTACCATGCCCAAGGGCTTAGCTCCCTAACCTGAGCTAATTAGGGCTGCTGCAGCTTAAGATCTACCCTTCTCGACAAAGTAGCCAATATCTCCTGGGGAAAATGATCTCACAAAGCAAAATAAAAATACATTTGAAAAGCACAACTATTTTAAATAAAAACAACTTACGGGTTACATATGGTGCCAAAGAAGAAACATTAGAACCGAAAGAGATGATAAAAGTTACAATTAATAATAGATATAAAAAAACCTAGTTAAAATAAAGAAAAAATCAAACAAATAGCATGAATTAGCTAAGGAATAGATTCAAAATGTGAAAAACCGGATTGAGAAAAATCTCTCAAAAGGAAGGATAAAAAGGCAAGAAAATATAAAACATAAAAGAAAATCTAAGAAGTGGAGGGAGAGCAAAATACAACTAGAATTAGTAATATGAGAATAATAGAAATCCCAGAAAGAGAAAGCAATAATAAGAAAAGAAAACATTTGAAGAAGTAATGGAGATAAATTTTCCCAAATAAAAGAAAAGAAGGAAGAAGAGGACACTTTACAGTAAAAGAGTCAGATAATTCCAAAGAGGAGAATAAAGAAAAACCCACATTAGACATCTTATTAAAAAATGTAAGAATATCAAAGGCAAGGAGAAAGTTACAAAAGCTCCTAGAGAATAAAAAGCAGATCCTGCAATACTGATCGAGAATCGGATTAATTTCAGATGTTTCAACACCAACACTAGTAACAACCAACAGCAAAAAAAGAATTTCTAAAAATAGAGTAGTATTTTTAAGTATTGGGGGAAAAATGTACTTAGAGCAAGAAGTTCATATTCAGCCAAACTGTCATTTAAGTATGACAGGATGCTAAACATATTCTCAGGCATACAAATCCTCAGAGTGACACAAAAATATTCATACTGAAATAAATTTTGTATTAAGTATTTTAATTAGAATACAGAACATTCCAGGAGATGGCACAGATTTATATAAAGTAACGACCATCTAATACCTTGGTAGATTTTGATGTTACCTTAAAAAGTAGCTATAGAGTGATATCAGCAAGATGGTGGAATACGAAGCCCAAGACCTCACTCCCCAACAAAAACCTTGACTCAACAACAATACATGCTCCAAAATGCCTTTATAAGAATGCCGGAAACCAGTTAGGAAGATGCAATATCCCAGGCAAACTGAAAGCCAATAACATCTCCCCTGAAACAGGTAAGAAAAGCTATTTCATGTCAACTGCATCAGACCTTCCCCAAAGCTAGCACAGATCATGATCAAAAGGAAAACTCCAATATATAGCTTCTCTTTGGGAAATAAAAGAGAGGAGTGGAATGCACATTCAACATTTCAGCTTTTGAAGGGAATGCCTGGACTGGTTTTTGTCTTGCCTAGCACAGAGCATTGATGGGGAAACCTACATACTTTGGATTCCTGGTAGCCTCTGAGAACAAAAGAGAGCTCAACAACTTAGAAGCAGCACCAGAGAACTTGCAATACTGCAGACAGAGCCAACATAGCTCATCAAGATAGGGAGAAAGTACCAAGATCATGGCTTTTCCCATAGGAGGAAAAAAGGAGAGAAATGTGTGTCCAACCTTCTGGCTTTTGTTGGGGGCTTCCTAAGAAACTGATTTCTGTTTCACCTGGCTCAAAGCACTGATGGAAAACTGGCATATTTCAAAGTCCTGGGGGCCATTGAGAAGAGAGAGAGCTCAGTGGCTTGTGGAAGTGCCAGAAAATTGCAGTGCCATAAACATCCACCAGAGTGAGTAAGAGACTACAGCTCCTGAAAAACCAGCAAACCTATCTAATTGAGAAATAAACCCAGAGAAAATGCATCCCCAAGAAAGGTTTGAAAGACCTCTGGAACCTCCAACCAGGCTGACTGATGAATGTCTTCTTCTATGTGAAGCCAGTCCTTAAAGACTGGGAGAGGTGGTTATTTTTTTTCAAATGCAAAATCACAACAAAAATTACAAAGCACACAAACAAGGAAACATAACCCAATCAAAGAAACAAAAAAACTCCAGAGACTGACTCTCAAGAAATGGAAATCTATGAATTAGCCAACAAAGAATTCAAATAATCTTCTTAAAGAAGTTTGATGCATTACAAGAGAACACAAGTAACTAAACAAAGTCCGAAAAACAGTGCATGAACAAAATGAGAATATCAAAATAAGATAGAAACTATAAAAAAGAACAAAACATATTGGAGCTGCAGAATACAATAACTACATTGAAAATTTTACTACAGGGTATCAATAGCAGACTTGATCAAACAGAAAAAAGAATTAGGAAACTAAAAAACAGTTCATTTAAAATTATAAAGTCCAAGGAACAAAAAAAAAATAATGAAGAAAATAAAAGAAAGCCTAAGGGACTTATTGGACACTATCAAGCTGACCAATATATGAATTATAGAAGTCAAAAAGTGAGAAAAGAGAGAATGGAGCAGAGAGTTTACCTGAAGAAATAATCACCCAAAACTTCCCAAATCTGAGGAAGAAAGTGGATGTCCGAATTCAAGAAGTTCAAAGGACTCTAACTAGGATGGACCCAAAGAGGCCCATGGGAGACACGTCATAATAACACCTTCAAAAGTCAAAGACAAAGACAATCTGGAAAACAACAAGAGGAAAGCAACTTGTCATTAAAAAGTGAGCTCTCATAAGGTTATCAGCAGATAACTCAGCAGAGACATTTTATAACAGAATGGAGTGGCATGATATAGTCAAAGCACTAAAAGAAAACAAAATTACCAAAGAATTCTACATCTGGGGAAACTGTCCTTCAAAATGAAAGAATAAGACCTTCCCAAATCAATAAATGTTCAGGGAGGTCACCACTACACCTGCCATATAAGAATTGCTAAACAGAGACCTTCAAGTTGAAATAAAAGAATGCTAACACCAGCAGCACAAAAGTATATGAACATTTAAAGCTCTCCATAAAGGTAAATATATAAATAAATACAGAAACAAATTGTAATGCTGGTGTATAAATCACTTTTAATTCAGGTATAGAATTAAAAGAAAGCATATAAATAACTAGCTATAAAACTATATTAATGAATATAAAATATTAAAATATGTAATTTATGACATCAATAGCATTAATGGGTGGTAGAGAATGAAAAGGAGTAGAGTTTTAAATTCTATTGAAGTTATAATCAGTTTAAAATATATTTTATAACCAGAAGACGTTTTATGTTATCTCTATGATAACCACAAGAAAACATCTATGGAATATACACAAAAGAAAATGAGAAAGAAATCAAAGCATGTCACTACAAAAAAATCAATGAATCACAAAGGAAGGCAGCAAGAAATAAAAATGGAGAGAAAACTCCAAGACATACCAAAAACAATAAAATGGCAATAGGAAGTCCTTCTTTATCAGTAATTGCTTTAAGTGTAAATGGATTAAACTGTCAAATTATAAGACATAGAATGACTGAATAGTTTCTTGTTTAAAAAAAAAAGATCCAACTATATACCCTCTACAAGAAACTCACTTTAGGTATAAAGACATACATTGGCTTAAAGAGAAAGGATAGAAAAGGTATTCCATGCAAATGGTAATCAAAAGAAAGCAGAAGTGGCCATATTTATATAAAAAATAGACTTTAGTCAAAAACTGTCTAACAAGAGACAAAGAATGACATTATATAATGATAAAGAGTACATTCACTAGGAAGATACAGCTCACAGTAGAGTACCCAAATATACGAAGCAAACACTGACAGAATTGAAGGGATAAATGGACAATAACACAATAATAGTAGGATAATTCAATATTCCACTTTTAATAAATGATAGATCAACCAGACAGAAGATCGACAAGGAAATAGAGGACTTGTACAAAATTATAGACCAAATGAACTTAACAGAAATATACAGAATATTCCATCCAACAGCAGCAGAATACACATTCTTCTCAAGAACACATGGAACATTCTCCAAGTAGATCACATTTTGAGCCATAAAACTAGTCTTAACAAATTTAAGAAAATTGAAATCACACCAAGTATCTTTACTGACTACAATGGAATAAAACTAAAATTTAATAGCAAAAGGAAAACAGGAAAATTCATAAATATATGAAAATTAACACACTCTTGAATAATCAAAGAACAAATCAAAGGGAAATTTTAAAATATCTAGAGACAAGTGACAATGAAAACACATTACACCAAAACTTATGGGATGCAGCAAATGTACTCCTAAGAGGAAAGTTTATAATGTTAAACACCTATATTAAAAAAGCAGAAAGATCTCAAATCAACAACCTAACTTTTTAACTCAAGGAATGAAAAAAAGAAGAAAAAAATAAAACCAAAGAAGGGAAAAAAATAGCAAACATTAGAGCATAAATAAATGAAATAGAAAAACATTAGAAAAATCAGTGAAAATAAGAATTAGTTCTTTGAAAAGATCAACAATATTGGAAAATCTTTAGGAAAACTAAGAAAAAAGAGAAAAGATTAAAATAACAAAAAGGAGAAGACATTACAACTAATGCTATAGAAATAAGAAAGATCATAAGACTACTATGAGCAATTATACAGCAACAAATAACCTAGAATAAATGTATAAATTTCTAGAAGGATGTAATCTACTAAGACTAAATAATAAAGGATTAAAAATCAGAACATACTTATAACAAGTAAGGAAATAAATCAGTAACCAAATCCTCCCAACAAAGAAAAGTCCAGGATCATAAGGTTTCATTGGAGAATTCTGCCATACATTTTAAAAATTAGCACCAATTCTTCTCTTAAAAACAAAAAGATGAGGGAACACTTCTATGAGGCATGCTATGAGGCTAGTGTTAGTTACACTGACACCAAAATGAGACATAAATACTACAAGACAAGAAAACTACAGACCAATACCCCTGATTAATGTTCATGTAAAACCCTCGATAAAATACTAACAAAGAAAATTCAACAGCATATTTAAAAATTATAACTTATAATCAAGTGGCATTTATTGCTGGAATGCAAGGATGGTTCAACATATGAGAATCAATCTAATAACCACATTAATAGAATGAAAAACAAAAACCACATAATTATATCAAATTGATGCAGAAAAAGTTTATGGCAAAATGCAGTACCCTTTTATGATGAAAAAAAAAAGCAATTAACAAATTAGGACCAGAAGAAAAACTGAAAACTCCCCCTTTACAAAAAGGAACAAGTCAAGAATGTCCACTCTCAACACTTCTAGTCAAACTAGTACTGGAAGTCCTAGCCAAAAACAATTTTTTTAAAAAATCAGGCAAGAAAAGAAATGAATAGAATAGAAATAGATAATGAAAATGTAAAATTATCTGTATTCTCATAATCACAGATGACATGATACTATATGTAGAAAACCCTATAGATTTCACAAAAGACTGTCAGAACTATTAAATAATAAACAAATTCAGAAAAGTTTCAGGACACAAAAATCAGTTGTGTTTCTATACACTAATAATGAGCAATCCAAAAAAAAATTAAGCAAACAACCCCATTAACAATAGCATCAACAAAAATGAAACACGTAGGAATAAACCTAAACAAGTAGGCAAAAGACTTGTACACTGAAAACTACAAAACATTGCTAAAAGAAATTCTAAAGACACAAATAAATGGAAAGACATCCACTGTACATGGATTGAAAGACTTAGTATTTTTAAATGTCCATATTACTCAAAGCAATCTACATATTTAATGCAATCTCTATCAAAATTGCAATGGTATTTTTGTAGAAATAGAAAACAAAAATTCTAAAACTCCTGTGGAATCTCAAAGGACTCTGAATAGAAGAAATAATCTTGAGAATAAAAACAAAGCTGAAGGCCTCATACTTCCTAACTTCAAAACACAAACCTACAGTAATCAAAACGGCATGGTACTGGCATAAGGGCAGACACATAGACCAACAGAACAGATAAGAGAACTCAGAAATAACCTTCACATATATGGTCAAATGATGTTCAGCAAAGGTGCCAAGGCTACACGATAGAGAAAAGATAATTTCTTCAACAAATGATGTTGGGAAAACTGTATAACCATGTGTATGTCCTTGCCTTACACCATATATAAATACTAACACAAAATGTATTGAAGACCTAAACATAAGACCTGAACCTATACAACTTCTAGAAGAAAACAGAGAAAAACCTTCATGACTTTGAATTTGGCAGTGGTTTCTTGGATATGACACCAAAAGTAGAGACAACAAAAGCAAAAATAGTCAAATAAGACTACATCAAACTTAAAAACTTCTGTGCAGCCATGGAAATAATCAGCAAAATGAAAAGGCAACCTATGAAATAAAAGAATATATTTATAGCCATATATCTGAGGCAGATTGAGTATATCTTATTTGAAATGTTGAGACCAGAAATGTTTTGAATTTCAGATTTTTTGAGATTTGGGAATATTTGCATTTACATAATGACATATCTTGGGGATGGAAACCAAGTCTATATATGAAATTCATTTACATTTCATACGCACCTTATACACATAGCTGGCAGGTAATTTTATACAATATTGTTAATCATGCATGAATCAAAGTTTTGACTGGTTTTTGACAGTCACCAGTCACATGAGGTCAGGTGTGAACTTTTCCATGTGTGACACCATGTCAATACTCAAAAAGTTTCAGATTTTGGAGCATTTCAGATTTTGAGTTTTTGGATTAGGGATGCTCAACCTGCAATAGGTTAATATCTAAACATATTTTAAAACCCCTGCAACCCAGCAACAACAAGAAATTCGATTAAAAAATAAGCACAGGGCTTGAAAGAAGATAAACAAATGAACAACAAGCATATGAAAAGATGTTCAACGTCACCAATCATTGGAGAAATGAAAATAGAAAGCACAATACTATATCACCTCATATTCGTTAGGATGGTCATTTGTTCTGTGGTGAACATGTCTATGCAAACCTACCTCCAAAAGACTGAGGAAGCTGAGAGGCTGAAGAAAGAGGCTGACATATCCAGTTTCTCAGAAAGAAACATTTAATAGGGATTTACAATGCCATGTCTGTGTCTCAGGCAGCGAGACAAGATGGCGGATCCTGGCACCATCTCTTTTACGATCCAGGGCTTATGTACCATAAAAAATGGTATTCATGGTTCAGAAGAGATGTGTAGGGCAACTGAAGTATGATAACATCAAGGTTGTTTAACCTAAGAGCAGGCTTTACAACAAGTACATGCTCTTACACAAGGAACAATAGATAAAATGAAAATTTATGAGGCCTTCCCAGAACTGGAGTTAATCAGAAGTCAACATGGCAGATTAGCATCCAAGATGCAGTTGCTTTTGCCCCCATGTCATTAACCACAAATAAGCAAACCAAACAAACAAACAGAAAAGAGAAAATAACAAGTTTTGGAGAAGATATCAAGAAACTGGAATCCTTGTGCATTATTGGTAGGAATTTAAATGGTCACTGGGCATGGTGGCTCACGCCTGTAATCCCAACACTTGGGAGGCTGACGCAGGTGGATCATTTGAGCACAGGAATTCAAAACTAGCCCATGCAACATGGCAAAACCCCATCTCTACTAAAAATATTAAAAAATTAGCTGGGCCTGGTGGCATATGCCTTAATCCCATCTACTCAAGTGGCTGGGGTGAGAGGATCACCTGAGCCTGGGAAATCGAGGCTGCAGTTAAGCCATGATCATGCCTCTGCACTCCAGCCTGGGCAGCAGGAGTAAGACCCTGTCTCTAAATACATAAATAAAATGGTGAAGCCACTTTGAAAAACAGTATGGAGAGTCCTCAAAAATTAAAAATAGAATTGCCATATGATCCAGCAACCCCACTCCTCAGTACAGATCCAAAAAAAAAAATACTGAAAACATGATCTTGAGAGAATATTTTGCATACCCATGTTCATTATAGCATAATCACAATAGCCAAGAGTTGGAAGCCACCTACAATATACATCAACAGATAAATGGATGAAGAAAATGTGGTATATACAAACAATGAAATATTATTTGCCTTAAAGTAGAATGAAATCCTGTCACATGCAAAAACAAAAGTGAACCTTGAGGACATTATGCTAAGTGAAATAAGCCAGTCACAAAAAGACAAATACACCAAAATTCCACTTATATGAGGTATCTAAAATATTCGAACTCTTAGAAACAGAAAGTTGAATGGTAGTTCCCAGGGCCTGAGGGGAGGAAGAAAAGGAGAGTTGTTGTTTCATAGATATAGATTTTCCGTTTTACAAGATAAAAAAAGTTCTAGAGAGCTGCTGCCCAAGATGAATAAAGTTAACACACTATACTGTACACTTTAAAATGGTTACAATATTAAATGTTATGTTATGTATTGTTGATCACAATTTTAAAAATAGCTACAGTTGACTAACTGGGTGCGGTGGCTCACACCTGTAATCCCAGTACTTTGGGAGGCTGAGGCAGGAGGATCACTTGACATCAGGAGTTCGGGACCAGCCTGGCAGACATGGTGACATGGTGAAACCCTGTCTCTACTTAAATAAATACAAAAATTAGCCAGGTATGGTGCCGCATGCCTGTAGTCCCAGCTACTCGAGAGGCTGAGGGAGAAGAATTGCTTGAACCTAGGAGGCGGAGGTTGCAGTGAGCCAAGATCGCACCACTGCACTCCAGCCTGGGTGACAGAGTGAGACTCTGTTTCGGAAAAAAAAAAAAAAAAAAAAAAAAAGGAGTAGCTACAATCCAAGACAAAGAGAAATTACATCCGTAATAACCCAGAATTAAAAGTCTAGATCAGTGATTCTCAAAGTATAGTTCCTAAACCAGCTGCATTGGCATCACTTAGGAATTTACTAGAAATGAAAATCCTCAGGTTCCACCCCAGACCTACTGAATCAGAAACTCAGGTGGGGTCCCAGCAATCTGTGATTTAACAAGTCTTCCAGATAATTTGAATATACCATTAAAGCTTGAGAATCACTAGTCTTGGTCAGCTATTTTTAAAGTGTGGTTTGTGAGACCCTTTCAAGTCATCCATGAGAGCAAAACCATTTTCATAATGCCAAAATGTTATTTGCCTTTTTGCTCTCCCTCATGAGCGTGTAGTGGAGTTTTCTAGAGACTAATTTATGAAATTATAAAAAAAAAGGAATGTAATAGCAAATATGAGAATCCAGCTGTCTTCTCTAAAGCAGAATTTTTTTTAATTGGCTGCAATGCAAAATGATGCCCCTCTTGTTTGGGAAAATATAGTTATTTTTAAATAAAAATATATTACTTATGCTCTCATGTAGTGGTTTTTTCAATGAATTAATGAATATTTTAAATTTTCTTAGTTTTACTTTTTAATATAAGTTTTCATAGATATAACTCTCATAAACAAAACGTTTTTGGAATTCCCAATACTTTTTAAGGGGATAAAGAGCTTCTGAGACTAAAACTTTGAACTATTGGTCTAAGTATTATCAACATAATGGAAGATGGGAAACAGTGTATATGAGAGTAAGCTAACATCCTGTTATAAAGGGGTATAAAATAAGAAAGGATTAAAAAGAAACTTTAGTTAGATAAACAGAAATTTAAAAATTTGATGGCAAAACAGATACAAGTATATTAATAATTGCAACAAATGGACTAACTATTCCAATTAAAAGACAAAGACTTTCAGACTGGATAAACAAAAGATACAAATCTGTGTTACTTATAAGAAACACAGATAATACCATTTAGAAATTAAGCAATTAATATTGAAAGTACAAAAATGGGGCCGGGCGCGGTGGCTCACGCCTGTAATCCCAGCACTTTGGGAGGCCGAGGTAGGCAGATCACGAGGTCAGGAGATCGAGACCATCCTGGCTAACATGATGAAACCCCGTCTCTACTAAAAAATACAAAAAAAATTAGCTGGGGGTAGTAGTGAGCGCCTGTAGTGCCAGCTACTCGGGAGGCTGAGGCAGAAGAATGGCTGAACCCAGGAGGCGGAGTTTGCAGTGAGCAGAGATCACGCCACTGCATTCCAGCCTGGGTGACAGAGCGAGACTTCGTCTCAAAAAAAAAAAAAAAAAGTACAAGAATGGGAACATACCATGCAAACACTAACCAAGAAAAAGGTGACATGGCTATATTCTCGTCACTCTAATCAGACTTTAAGGTAAGAATAACTATTAGAGATAAAAACATTTCGATTAATGATAAAAGGTTCAATTCAACAGGAAGATATGCCAATTCTTAATCTGTATACACCTAATAGTTGAGCCTCGATATAAAGCAAAAAAAATGACAAGACTTGCATGCAATATCTACAAATCTAAAATTATACTAGGAAATTTTAACACACATTTTGCAGTAAATGAGATCACAGGCAAAAATAAATGGGTAAGAATATAAGTGATTTGAAAAATGTAATTATCAAACTTGTCCCAATTTTTATGCATTGAGCAATTACTCCAAAATTTTCCAAGACCCATTCATTCTTCCCAGTTTTCTTGGGAATTTAACAAATATTGTCATATGCCAGTTTACAGAACAAGTTTCAAAAATTTCAAAGGATTGTAGTAATCTAGAGTATGTACTCTGGCCATAGTGGACTTAAGTTAGAAGTATGTAATAAAATCCCTATATGTTTGGAAATTAAGCAACTAATTTCTAAAAACTTAACGGAGCACAGTAGAAATCACAATAGAAATTAGAAAATATTTTGAAATTATACTAATGAAAATATGACATATCAGAATTTGTGAGATGAAGACCCTATTGAATAGAAATGTACAACATTACATGCACATATTAGAAAAGAAGAAAGGCTGAAAATCAAATAGCTAAGTATTAAGTTAGTTTTTAAGACTAGCAAATTAAACCCTCCCAAAATTTTTAGACACAATTTTTAAAAGAATAGAAATAATGAACTAGAAAACAAACAAACACTAAAGAGTTTCAACAAAGCCACAGGTTGATTCACTGAAAATACTTCTTAGTAAGATTGATAAATGCCTAGCTAGATCAATTTTTTGAAAGATTAAAAGCAACAGGAATGTTAAAATGGACATCGCTACATATCACACAGATATAAAACAATTATGAATAATTTTATACCAATATATTTGAAATTTTAAATAAAAGGAACAATCCTAAAAAAATTATATTGTGCAAGCTAGTATAAGAAGATATAGTTTCCAAAATAAATGCAAGAAAGATATAGAAAATACATCTTCTGGACATTGGCCCAGTCAAAGAATTAATGACTAAGACCCCAGAAGCAAATGCAACAAAAACAAAAAATAAATAAATGGGACCTAATTAAACTAAAAAGCGTCTGCACAGCAAAAGAAATAATCAAAAGAGTAAACAGACAACTCACAGAGATGGAGAAAATATTTACAAACTGTGTATCTGACAAAGGTCTAATATCCAGAATCTACAAGGAACTCAAACAAATCAGCAAGAAGAAAAACAAATAATCCCATGAAAAAGTGGGAAAATGACATGAACAGACATTTCTCAAAAGAAGATATATGCAAATGACCAACAAACATGAAAAAATGCTCAACATCACTAATCATCAGAAAAATGCAAATTAAAACCACGAGATACCATCTTACCCCAGCCAGAATAGCTATTATTAAAAAGTCAAAAAACAAGAGATCTTGGTATGTATGTGGTGAAAAGAAAATGCTTATACACTGCCGGTGGGAATGTAAGTTAGTACAGCCACTACGAAAAACAGTATGGAGATTTCTCAAAGAACTAAAAATAGGTCTACCATTTGATCCAGCAACCCCACTACTGAGTATCTACCCAAAGGAAAAGAAGTCATTGTATCAAAAGACAACTACACGTATATGTTTATGGCAGCACAATTCACAATTGCAAAGATATGAAAGCAATCTAAGTGCCCATCAACCAATGAATGAATAAAGAAAATGCGGTATATATATACACCATGGACTACCATACAGCCATAAGAAAGAATGAAATAATGTCTTTTGCAGCAACTTGGATGGAGCTAGAGGTAGAGGCCATTATTTTAAGTGAAGTAACTCAGAAATGGAAAATCAAAGACTGTATGTTCTGACTTCTAAGTGGGAGCTAATCTATGGGTATGCAAAAGCATACAGAGTGGTATAATGGACATTAAATACTCAGAAGTAAGGAGAGTAGGAGGGGGATGAGAGATATAAACTTACATATTGAGTACAGTGTACACTACTCGAGTGACGGGTGCACTAAAATCTCAGACTTCACCACTATACAATTCATCCATGTAACCAAAAAAACCACTTGTACCCCAAAAGGTATTGAAATAAACATATACATATATGTTTATATGTACAAATGTCCTGTACTCATTAAATAAGTTGAATACTAATTAATAAATGAAGAAAAACCTTAGGCCCTGGTATCTTCACCAGTGAATTTTTCCAAACATTTAAGAAAGAAACAAAACTAGTCTTAGCTAAACTCTTCCAGAGAGTAGAAGAGAAAACAATTATAAACCCATTTTTAAGCCAATAGAATCTTGATATAATACTAAGCTAAATGCACCAAGGATTTATGAAGAAGGAAATGTATAGGCCAGTCTCTTACTCATGTACACAGATCCAAACATCCTCAACAGAGTATTAGTAAATCCAATTCTGCAATCTCCCAAAAAGAATAACCAAGTTGCGTTTATTCTGGGCGTGCCCTGTTGTTTCATACTAAAGTTAACCAATACGATTCCGCAAATTAAGAGAATAAAGAAAAATAAACTCATATAATCACCTTAATAGATGAAAAAGATATCATAAAACTTTTTAGTATTATATGAATAATTTTTAAATCTTTAGCAAACTGGAATACAAGGGAACTTCCTTAATCTGATAAAGGCTATCTAGAAAGAATGAGAGGGTGAGCATCTACCACACACGGGGACAGGAGAGAAAAATGGTTCATAATGCCAGCTATGCAGTTTGGAACCTTAGGGTGGGTGGGACTTATTCTCAGCCAACACTCAGTTTTTCTGGACTACCTTTTCATCTCATTAATTCATATCCCTTCAGAAAACTCAAGGCCACTTTGATGGAAGATCAAGTGACCTATTTCTCTCTATTCTTATACATACCTGACCCATGCTTCGCATATAGTCACATCATGTCTGTTAGAAACAGTAATTCAGTAGATCATAATCCCTAAAACATCACTACTAAGTTTTATTATTCTTCCCTATCCACTGTCATTGGAGTGGAATGTTTCTTTTTTTTTTTTTTTTTTTTTTTTTTTTTTGCAAGTGGGAGTTAAATCTCTCATCTGGACCATAGTGTGTTGACTTCGCTCTTCCCTGTACCCATTAAATTAACTAAGCAATAATTTCCTGACTGGGGAAGTAATCGGGATAGCTTCACTTTCCCAGGTTTCCTCCCTCCTTTTTGGTGTGTTAGGTTTGTGTTTTGCTCTTTTCCCTTCTCTCCTCTTGTCCCTCTATCTGATTTGGCTGAGGATTATTTTTACTTTTTCCCATCATTCTTTCAGCTTTATCTACTTGGAAATATCAGTCAACCAAAGTTTAAGTGGATGGAAGTCTTATCCTATGATTTTAAAGCTTTCATAAGCTAAAGTTCTATGTCCAACATTATTACATTTAAAGAAAATAACAAAGAGTTTGAAATTACAAGGGAGAGTGTAATCTTCACATTCCTAGCCACCATAACTCTGGAAAAACACACATCTTTTGTTCCTGATTCAAAATATTAATTTCCTACAGAGCTCCCAGCTTCATAAATTCACAGCTTCCTTGGGAAAATCCCCATAACACTAGAAAGCCACTTTATCCTGTTTCAGTGAACATAGTTGTTAAGGAGGCTTGCATAGAAAAAAAGGAAACCAAAATATTTAAGGACTGGTTTTAGCATTAATTACATAATTTATAAATTATCTTACATAGTTATGAATTCTGAACAATTCTGAAGGGCCTAATCCACTTAGCCCTTAACTCTGCTAACATGCAGGTCTACTTATCTATAAAGAGAGGCAACAATTTGAACATTGCTATGGACATCTGTAGACATCTTTCAGTGGGAAGCTGAAAAATTTTCACTATAGGAAGACATTACCATTTCTGGCAATGGTCAGATCACCAGATTCCAGGGGGAGGTCAGGTAAGTGGACTTTTCTTTTTCTCTCCCTCTTATCCACTCCTTTTTTCTCTATCCCAACTCCACTAATTGAAAATGGTAGTAAGTAGATACCTTGGAGCCTCTAGCCCTCTGACTACAATAAGTCCTGAAATCATCTTTACATCACTAGAAAAGAGATATTTGCCTCCTGGTGGTTTAAAGCAACAGCATCAAGACTTCCTCTGCTTTCTTTGAGTTCTGTACAACTGGAGTCAGATTCCTTGAGGAGGAGGGGAGAGAGGACCATATAATGAGTAGATAGACCAAAGTCAGATCATAGGAAGGCAAGTTGGTGCAAATGCTTCCTCAGCCCTCTCTTCATTTCTTCTGCATTTGGAGATTTTGTTACAACTCGAGTTCCCTTTCTCTCAAATGAAAGCCTAGTGTGGAGCATAGGTTTTTCAAGATACGAGGGCAAAAGCATACTAATTAAACCCAGCTGTTGGCCTCTGCTCTCCCTCCATGAATCTGGCCTTACATCAGAAGTCTTACATTTGGGGAAAGGAGGGCTGGTAACTCCAAGTGCACAGGGGAAGGGAAGTTTGATTTTCATGTAAAAAGCACAGAGGGATTTTTGAAGCCATAATCCTTTGTTTAGCTGCGTTGTAATAGATAGTATACTTGCTTTGCAGCAAAAGGATTTAGGGCTTTCCAAAGGGTTGAGAGGTCTTGGAACACGTCTCCACTGCAGGCTACAAAATCATGTTGTCAAGAAACTTGAAATAATATAAACAATAATTATAAAATCCACATGCCACTTGGAAAAGGGATGTGGTAAGAAGAAAATGAGATAATATCAGTTAAGTACTTAGGAAGTAACAGGGACCTGTAATAGCAGCAGTAATTGTCCCTATTGTATAAATTTAATGTTTATTTTCCTATGCTGTTCTTCATTAGAGGTAACAAGTCTTGATGTTTTGTTAATACTAACCCTTCCAAGGCCATCAAGACACTGTACATAACTTATGTTACATCATCATCCTCATTTCCTTGGCAATATTCATGAATTCATTCAACAAATATTTACTGAATACCTGTTACATACCAGGCTAAGTACTAAATGCTGGAGGTTCAAAGATGGGCAAGATCTGGTCCTTGCTCTTAAAAGGCTTACAACTGAGTTAGAGAAACAGACACATGAACAACTAACTCAAACATAAAGCAGAGAGAGGTAAACACACCAATAGTGAAGAGGTTAAGGTGAAGATTCTTGCAAAGCAGCGCTGGAGAGTTACAAAGCAAGCAGCCAATTCAAACTAGGAGGGGACAGGGAAGGGAGTTAGAAAAAACTTCCAGGAATAGAGGAAGTTTGCACTACCTTCCTAACTGAATGAGGACTTGGTGTCCACCAAATCAAAGAGAGAGAATTGGGTAAGAGAGTAGCCTAAACAAGGTAGGGAAAGCCACAGGACCATGGGTCACCAAGACGTCTTAGTACAATGGCAAATCATATCTGTGCCTCGAACCAGGGAATGGGAGGAGTTCAGGCAGGAGTGGAGGAGTAGGCTGGAACCAGATCATAAAAGACCTTGTTTGTGCCTTGTCGTACTCCCACCTCTTCGTGGCCAAAGAGAGGCGGCCAGCCAGATACTAAGGAGCAGCTCGAGGCATGAGATCACAAGCACATAAGCACAGAAACCCCATTATACGAGCTTCCAGAGGGGACACCAAACAGTCCAGAGATACTCCAACTCACAAGTCCAGTTCCAAAACTCAGGAACTTGGACTTTTGTTTTTGCTGCAGGGCTGGATTCAGAGAGCACACAATGCCCAGTGTTGAAAGCCCCTTTTTGGAAGGAAGAACAGTTGCACATCTGGGAAAGGTTAGGGTCAAACATATAAATGAGGGGAGCGGAGCACATTACTCTGAGACACTCCGTCTGTGACGTCAATCACTGCTGGGTTTGGACAGAGGCTCTCTCTTGTGCAGCAGTCAGGGACCCATTAACTTTGCCCAGTGCCTGAGTGTTTATGTGGAAAATGTGAGGCCAGGAAGTCTCTCCTAATTATGATTTGGAGGTTGTCAAGCAGCTATTCTTTAGTAATTGGTTTCTGTCTTTTCTACCTTCCCAGCACCACTCAGTTTCTATTTTCTCTTTTGTTCTAGCCCTATTTCTCTCTTTCTCCTTCTCATCTGCTCTTAAAAAAAAAAAAAATCCATTATAGACCTTGGTGATTGCCTCCACTCTTCTCCTCTCCATGGCTGCAGGCCCAGCTGGGAAGTGAATTTTCAGAGCACATAGTCACATATAACATAGTGAGTGTCTGATTATCGATTACTTTCTTTTTCAAACTTCTGGGAGCAAGCCATACTCTACACAGGCACCAGCATGGCCACTCTCCACTGCCAAGTCATAAAGAGACAGGAAATTGGGCCAGCACCATCTCTTACCCTCTCTGGTATCAACCAAATCTAAAGAAAAGGATGGCAGATGCCAAAATCTGTATGTAGGAAAGTGTTCTCAGCCCGTATTTTTCCTCCCTATTCTTACCTCTATCCTATCCCAACACACCCAAGGCCATTATCACATACTCAGATAATAACTTGGAGAACTAAAAACCTGCATCTTGTCACTACCATTATTCTATGTTCTTCTGGGCCAGTGTGAGACACCCCAGTGCTCCACTGCCAACTCCAAGGGAAAAAATTGTTAACATCCCCTTATAACAAGTGATCATCTATATACAGATGACCCACTTTAAGAATGACTGACGATTGACAGTGCAGTTTAAGTTCAAGTCTACCTTTATGTTTGCTCAGCTACTTTCCCCACCACCCATTGATCAGCCTCCTCCTCACTAAGTGCTGCTGGGAAGCCTGAGAAAGGCAGAGAAGAGTAAAAACACTTGGAAAACACAAACAAAATTTAATGATAAAAATTTAATGATGCCAGCATCAACCAAGCAAGAACTGAAAGGCAAATAAGAAAGAGAGAGAGAGAGAAATATGTATATATTATTATTCATATTTCTATATATATACAATATACATTCATATATACAATATACATATATAGTATGTATATATACACATACATATACACACATGTATATATACACATACATATACACACACTATATATGTATATATACACACAATATATATGTATATTTATATATATGCACACACACTATATATCAGAGAGAGTGAGAGGTCTATACAGATACCAATATGGTTTGGCTGTATCCCACCCAAATCTCATACTGAATTATAATCCCCGTAATCCCCACATGTCAAAGGAGGGGCCTGGTGGGAGGTGATTGGATAATGGGAGCAGTTTCCCCCATGCTGTTCGCATGATAGTGAGTGAGTTCTCATGAGATCTGATGGTTTTATAAGGCAGTTTTCCCTGCTCTGGCTGGCTCTTCTCTCCTGCTGCCATGTGAAAAAGGTCCTTACTTCCCCTTCACCTTCCACCATGATTGTAAGTTTCCTGAGGCCTTCCCAGCCATGTGGAACTGAGTCAATTAAACCTATTTCCTTTATAAACTACCCAGTTTCAGGTAGTATCTTTACAGAAGTATGAAAACAGACTAATGCAGATATTTATTACCTAATTTTTAATTTATATTTTATTGATGTAAATGTTACATTTGATAATGTACACGTATCTTCAATAAACACCTTGGTAAATTTCCGTGCATGTGCACACACATGTGTATGTGTGTATGAATTAAACAAAGCTGTTTATCTATCTGTCTATCTAACTATAAAGCTTCCTTCATAACCTGCTCAATCAATACCCACCACTGGAGGGAACCACTATGCTGACTTCTGTCATCATGGATTAGTTTTGTCTGTCTTTGTCATCATATACATTGAATCATACAGTATGTACTCTTTTTGCCATCTGGCATCTTTTGGCCAATATAATATTTGTGAGATTTCCTCTTTGTTACATTTAACAAGATCTCTTTCATTGCTGTGTAGTATTCCATTATATGAATATACCACAATTTATCCATTCCACTGTTCAATCACTTAATTTTGAAAATATTATTAGTTCTT
Organism: Homo sapiens; assembly: GCF_000001405.40. Lineage (NCBI taxonomy): Eukaryota > Metazoa > Chordata > Mammalia > Primates > Hominidae > Homo > Homo sapiens. Next base: position 55,585,579 of record NC_000017.11, on the reverse strand, counting down.
TAGGACAACCTGGCCTACTCATCTCCTTCAGTCAGGTACTAACTACACTACAGTAGACTCTACACCAGTGGTTTACAACCTCAGTTGTATGTTGGCATCATTTGAATACATTTTTACATTACTGTGGCTTTTAACTGTAGCTAGATGCTCATGGGGATCACGGAAACCTCTGTGAGAAGACATATCTCCCAAGAATTCCTATAATAATTCAAAGATTTATTTATTTTGATTTGGATTAGAGAATTTAAAATGTAATTATTTTATTTACATTTTATATAAATATATTTTATAGAAAATGTATTTATTTTATTTGTAATTAATTTATTGAATTATTCTGTGCTTATGTAGCATGATGTGGAGATGATGATGATGATGATGACATACATTACATGTTCATGCTTCCTGTACACCAGGCACTGTGCTAAGCACCATACACTTGCACTCTCTAGGTGGCTCACTATTGAAATCCCAGTACCTTGCACTATGGCTGGCACATAGCAGGTGTTCAAAATTTACTACGTAAGCAAATTTAAGTTGATCTCCACAACAACCTTTTGAAATGAGTTTCATTCTCTCTATTTTAAGAAGAAGAAAATTAAATGTCAGAAATTTAAAAACTTACCTGAAGTTACTGAGCACAAACATGGGGAAAAGTAGGAATCAAATCCAGGTTTTCACCATTCTACTAGTGTATCCTTGCATAAGGCCTAAAGATATGGCCTTTCTGGTAAGGTAGGAATAGGAGGAGAGCAGTGTTGATCCCAGATCAGAATTTGGATGACCTGGGTGGAATCTGAAAGAAATTTAGATACGAGGAAAAAGTGGGGTGCTTGTTTTCAATAACAATTGACTATGGGCAAGGCACCTTGCTCACTGGAGTGGGAAGGGTGAGGATATCTATTAATTTTCAACAACCTCTATAAGTTTGTTTTATTATCTCCACTTTATAGGTGAGGAAACTAAGGCTTCAGGACATTAAATATTATACAATACAAGGCCATGAGTTCACAAAAGTTGTGTAAGCACAGTTCTGAACTAGGTCTATCACATTTCCAGGTCCATGCTCTTTCTACTGCATCCTGCTGACAAGAAGGGAAAGTGTGGGAACTGATGGAGGTTCAGCAGGCTCTGTTGTCAGCCCAACAAAAGCACCAAAGAAGGTAGGAGGAAAATAGAAATTGAAATAATACATAAAGTTACAGCTTTTGTTTACTGAACACTTATGATATGCTAGAGAATGTACTAGGATTTTTCATGCGTTATCTAATTAATCTTCACAACAATCTCTGAGGAAGGAAGTATTTTTATTCCCGCATTATAGATGAGTCACTGAGAGTTAGAGAGGTCAAATCACTTACACAATCACTGTTACTAAACAGCCAAGCCAAGATTAGAAGTCAACCATTTGGCACCCAATTGCACACTCTTAACCCCTATGCTACCTGGACTCTTGAGGCAGAGATTGGGTAGAAGCAAAGCACCTACCCATGTGGGTAGAAGCAAAGCACCAGGAGAAGTTCCAGGAAGCTGTGGTATACCAGATCTAAGAGAACTCTAGGTCCAAGGCCAATCCATGGCATGGAGGTTAAATCTGTAGACCTGTGGTCATGACCTAAAGGTGATAGGTGAACCTAGGGACCAAACAGTGTATTTCCAGGGATCAAGATGGTTGAAAATGAAATATAAACAGTATGAATACGTTTTCAAGAATAGATAATGACCTTAAAAGTTGCAATTAGGTGAGGTTCCAGCTCCCTGGTTCTCCCAAACAAAAGAAAATCAGGAATAAGTTAAAGAATGTTTTAAGCCTAAACCAATATATTGATTGTTGTGAGATGCTGAACTGAGGACACTCCTTTAGGCCACCTAATAGAAGTGGTGAGATATCCTTGTGTTCATCACCTGTGCTTCTCAGACTTAACAATTTGCACTTAAAAATGTCAGCCTTACCTCAGCTCGACTATCTACTAAGACATGTGTATTTGTAATAGGCAACCTTAAATAGCTACATTCCAGACACTTCGTGGGGTTTATAATCTTGGAGAAGATAGTCTTGTGGAGTACTCTGCTGCCAAATACCTACCAAAAGCCTATCAGAGCAAAACAAAATTTGAGAATTATTTTTAGAAATAAAAACAGAATCTTTAATTAATCTGATTATAAAAATAACACATTTACTGCATGCATACAATCCCCGTGCCAGCTGTGGTCTCCTGTATTTTAAGATTAAAAAAAGATTGTATGAACCCCTTCTTTTTGCCTTGAGGTAAAATCCATTATCTTCCCCGTGATTTCAATGAAATACTACAAGGTTTACATGCCTGTAATCACCAATGGATCTGTCTTCTGGCTTTCTCTGAATCTTTGTTCTTTACTGTGCCTTACTCTAATTCCAGTCTGGTGTTGATCTACATGCAAAAATCAGTTACATTCTTCTTGTACAAGTTCTTGGTGTGTGCAACAGACTATAATAAACAGACATGGCAGCAATGCAAATAACTAAAATCCACCACATCACTGAGTCATACTCATTTCTCCTTTCTCTTGCTCCCACCCTCAAATTTTCTCTACTCTTCTTCCACCCTCAAATTCCTTTGCATTTCCAATGCACAGTGAGTTAGTTGTCTCTTGCGCGATTTTGTATCTTGCTAACCCAAGTCCTCGGTGCCACACTTTCTTCTCCTAGCAGCTTATAAAGGTATTTTATGAAAGAAATACAACACTTTTTTAAAGATGAAATCTAGTGCCTGCCAGTATGATTTTTTAACCTCACTGTTAGAGCTATGCATTGTTAATCTCCAAGAAAGGAATCACATGTGGCTATTTGCAAATATTTGAACTTTTGTTTCCTTAGCGCATCCTTCAGCCCTAATTACCATGGAAAACACTGGAAAATGCTGGATGAATCCCATTAGTAAATAAAACAAAAACCCTAGAAAGAAACAGTTTTATAACAGTGGTATCCTATATCTCATGACCAGTCCCTTAGACAATAGGAAATTTGTTCACACTCAGTAGCATAGCCAAGGGACAAAAGCATTGAGAAAAATCAAAGGCACTATCACCTCTCTAAAAGTAAAATACTTAGAAAGGAAACATTCTTCCAAGCCATAATACAATGAGTATGACCTAGGTAAAATATCCTTTTCCTACTGGCTGTGATCTACTCAGTCTTAAAATTCTGGGAAGGTGATTTTCTTAATGAAGTCATCATAGAATTCTCTACTTCAGAAAGGTTAAGTGCTATAATTTCTTACCTCTACACTCCTGTAGTGCATTACTCATACAGCTAGCAGGGCCCTTAATGAATTGCAGTATTGTTCATTATCTGTTCCTCTTCTGCGCTCCTAACTAGATGGAGAGTTCCCTGATGTCAGGGAATGTGGTACTGCACTTCTCAATTGACATGAATGAAAATGAAATTATTATTTGGATTGTCCAGTTAAATGAAAGTATAGAAACTACTTTTACAGGCCGGGCGCGGTGGTTCACACCTGTAATCCCAGTCTTTGGGAGGCTGAGGCAGGTGGATCACCTGAGGTTAGGAGTTCAAGACCACCCTGACCAAAATAGTGAAACCCCATCTCTACTAAAAATACAAAAAATAAAATAAATTAGCTGGGCATGGTGGCACATGCCTGTAGTCCCATCTACTCATGAGTCTGAGGCAGCAGAATCTCTTGAACCCAGGAAGCAGAGATTGCAGTGAGCCAAGATCATGCCACCGCACTCCAGCCTGGGTGACCGAGCAAGATTATGAGAAAGAAAGAAAGAGAGAAAGTGAGAAAGGGAGGAAGGAAGGAAGGAAGGAAGGAAGGAAGGAAAGAAGGAAGGAAGGAAGGAAATTTTACAATAAGTAAAAAAATGTTTAAAACTTTCAGCTGCCTAGAAATCTCCACATCTTTTCAGTTTCCCATAAACTTTCAGTAAGCTTTTTTGAGGACTCAAAAAATTCAGCAATTAACTTCTTTAGCTTAAAAATGACAAGATAAAGTCCAAGTGGAAATAAAAAAGAAAAACTTGAACTTTCAAACATTCAACTATAAGCCAAAGGAAATATAGTTAGCAACAGATCAAATAAAAATAAGAGCAAGAGGAAGAAGTTGGAAATGCTAAATTATACCATTTTTAATTATTTCAAAGTTTAATTTTGCTAAATGCATACAGATATCATAGGTATAAATTTAGTAAACTAATAGGAGAAATTGAACAGACATTTTGAATAGCGGAATATTAATAATTAATGTAAAACACATATAACCAATAGCATATATTTTTTCATTGTTTAGAGAAGATAAATTATTTTCAGACTTCCAGAAAAAGTTTGGATTACACAAACTAAAATATTTTAAAATAAAGAAAAAATTATGAAACAATAGTTAAAAGAACAAATGAATGGAGTGTTAAGATTATGTAAAGGATTTATCATAAAAATTAGTAGTAGTCATATATTAAGAATTAAACACAAGCTCCAAATCAGCAAAATGCCCATATTAATAACAGAAAAAATGAAATACCCATATACCCATAGCAAAAATGACAAAAACAAAGTCATTTACTTAAAATATGTGGGGAAATCTCAGCTCTCTACATTTACTGGAGATGCAAATCAAACTTGTAAAAAGGTATCACTTTCAAAATTGGTGGATGGAGCAATGAAATGACAGTTTCATAGTCATAATAATAAGTCACAATAAATAGTTTAATGTGGCTGTTGTACAGAGGGCAGAGTGGCGGAAATGGTACTAATACTTTCTGTTTTTCCTCTCTTCCTAAGTTTCCTGGCTGACATTTTACTACATCATCACGTACGGCGAACTGGATTGTGAATGCCCTTAGATGCCATTGGAAGGGATTTAGATTTCACTTTCTAAGTAGGCAATGCGAGTCCATTCAGAGATTGTGAAGTGGAAGAATATCATGATCAGATCTGTGTGGCTGATGAATAGAGACAAATCTGATGTCTGGGGTTATATTATTGAGATTCAATAAATGCTAATTCTATACTTACTTATTGAGTGCCTAATATGTGCAAAACTTCATGCTGAGGAATAAAGCATAAAGAAAATAGATGAAGTTCCAATCCTCATGAATCGTCTTGTCCAGTGGGGTCATTACTGTAGTCCATAAAAAAGATTAATTAAATCAGATGAGAAACCTGAGAATCAAAGAATACTTGGCCTAACCATAGTGCCAGTGATTATTTTATGCAATCCTCTCACATTTACAGAAAATAAAGACGCAGCTAAGAAAGAATCACAGTTCTAACTTGAGTTTAGCGGCTGCATATTTGGATATGGGCTATAATTTCAGATAATTTCAGACTTGGGAATCTGTGATACAGAAATTTAGGCATGAACCTTAAACAAAGTATTCCCATGAATTATAGTTGCTCAGTGGTATTTATCTTATCAGAATTTCTCATCAGTGAGGAATAATATGCAAGATACAACAAAGAGCAATTTTGAAAAGGCACGCAATGGTGCTACTTTTTACCTTAAATTTACATAAAAATACACAGGCTGGGCACAGTGGCTCACACCTGTAATCCCAGCGCTTTGGGAGGCCGAGGCAAGTGGATCACTTGAGGTCAGGAGTTCAAGAACAGCCTGGCCAACATGGTGAAATCCTATATCTACTAAAAATATAAAAATTAGCCAGGGGTGGTGGTGTGCACCTGTAATCCCAGCTATTTGGGAGGCTGAGGCAGGAGAATCACTTGAACCTGGAGGCAGAGGTTGCAGTGAGCTGAGATCGCACCACTGCACTCCAGCCTGGGCAACAGAGCAAGACCCTGTCTCAAAAAAAAAAGGACAGATAAATGTAGATATAGATATAACTAGACTTTTCATTTGCATGGTAACATGATGATTGTAGAAGGCTATGCACAGAGAGGCTATGTCAGCCAGGAAGCTTAGGAAGAGAGGAAATACAAAAAGAGCACTGGAACATCAATAATATGTAGCACTGTAACAAACCGTCAACTGCACACACATGAGTATCAGCAAAAGCACACCCTGAGGTCTGAAAGTTCCATGTGAATTTTAAATTCTGTTTTCACTTCAATGATAATACATCACTGAACTTAATCTAAAAACATTCTGCCTGTTCTAGATGACCACTGGATAACAGAGTTTTTCCATACAATTTCAGGGCCCTTGCTTTTGTGACGCTAATTGCATTAGCACTAAGTGAAGGCCAAATGACCCCACAGAGCACTTTTTAATTGAAGGTTTACAGTTGTACAGAGAAAGGAATTGAAAACTGAAACATCACGTAGAAGAACATCACATAGATACCTTAAATGCAAAACTCCTTGTGCTGTGTCTGTCAGTAGTCTGTTAAGTTGTGAGTGGATGCTATGATATCCACTTCTCAGTATAAGTAAGAGTAATAGATTCATGTGAAGAAATGTCATTCAGTTTTTTGGGCTGTAATGCCTATAATAATTATTAAAAACAATTATAGGTTGGGTGCAGTGGCTTACGCCTATAATCCCAACACTTTGGGAGGTCAAGGCAGACCAATTGCTTGAGGTCAGGAGTTTGATACCAGCCTGGTCAACATGGCAAAGCCCCATCTCTACTAAAATTACAAAAATTAGCAGGGTAGGATGGCACATGCCTGTAAACCCAGCTACGTTAAGAGGCTGAGGCATGAGAATCGCTTGAACCCAGGAGGCAGAGGTTACGGTGAGCCAAGATGGCGCCACTGCGCTCCAGCCTGGGTGATAGAGTGAGACTCTGTCTCAAACAAACAAACAAGAAATTATAAATATATATTTATATATTTAGCCCAGTTAGAATTTCTCCTGGTTTTATATATATACACATATATACACACACACACATATATATGTATATATATAAATTATATATATAAAATAAACCAGGAACACACACACATATATATAATTATATATATATAATCGCATATACATATAATCTTGTTATTTCAACAGCTTTTGGGGTACAAGTGGTTTTTGGTCATATGGATGAATTGTATAGTGGTGAAGTCAGATTTTAGTGCACTGGTCACCAAGGAGTGTACATTGTACCCAATATGTGATTTTTCATCCCTCACCCCTGCTCACTCGCCCCACTTCTGAGTATCCAGTGTCCATTATACCTCTCTGTATGCTTTTGTGTACCCATAGCTTAGCTCCCACTTAGAAGTCAGAATATATATTTGGTTTTCCATTTCTGAGTTACTTCACTTAGAATGATAGCCTCTAACTCCATCCAAGTTGCTGCAAAAGACATCATTTTGTTTATTTTTTATGGCTGAGTAGTATTCCATGGTGTATATATAACACATTTTCATTATCCACTTATCAATTGATGGTCCATTATCTTTGCAATTGTGAATTGTGCTGCCATAAACATATACATGCAGGTGTCTTTTCAATATCACTACTTCTTTTCCTTTGGGTAGATACCCAGTAGTAGGACTGCTGGATTGAATGGTAGATTTACTTTTAGTTCTTTGAGAAATAGCCATAATGCTTTTCATAGAGGGCTGTGCTAATGATGGCGCCTGCAGCCCATCTGGGGCAGCCGCTGCCATTACGCTGGCTGCAACAGCGAAGCTCAGCCAGGGCTGCACACTCCGTGGAGCTGGCAACAAGTGGGAATCACAACACTTCCGAGCTGATGGGGAGGGAATTCCCCAGGTGCAGCCACAACAGCCCAAGTCATGGCTGCAGACTCGGGCCTCCCACTCCACAGAGCAGGAAGGAGCCCCACCCCCTCGGGCACAGCTGCAGCCACCAAACCCAGACTGCACAGTCGGGCATCTCTGCACTGTCGGGGCATGGGAAGGCCTCCCCTGAGAGGAGGAGAATCTCTTGAACCCGGAGGCGGAGGTTGCTGTGGGTCAAGATCGCGCCACTGCGCTCCTGCCTGGGCAACAAAGGCGAAACTCCGTCTCAAAAAAAAAAAAAAAATTTTTGAAGTAGGGACTATTATTATTCCTATTTTACAGATAATGAAACTGAAGTCTTCAAGGAGATTATATAATTTGCCTATGTTTACACAGCTACCACGTAGAAAATGTGGGATGCTACGCAGTCTAACAGCTTTCATTTTCAACCGCATGTGATACTGATTCCTGCTGTGAAAGAAAGAATGGTAATTTCTTGGAGTTACAGTTCAGGGAACTATAACAGTGGGCCCTGACACAGTATGGTGCGGGGAGAGGGTCCAAGAAGGCTTTTCCTGAGGAAATGAGGTTTCAGCAGAGAAATGAAGGGGAAAAAAGGAGTTAACTAGGCATGTGGAAGTTGGAGGAGCTTTGTATGTAGAGGAAACCGCATGCAGGGCGGGCCTGGGTTGGAAAGCAGCATTATGCTCTTGAAGAAGTGAAAGTTCATTCCACGGGCTGTTGTTCACTTCATGGTGGCGAGGCTGGAAGTGATGATGACTGTGTGTGCCATGGGGAGAGAAATGAACTGATGTGGGTCAGTGCATTTCTGCTCTGACTACCCGGGGGCCCATCACTACAGCAGTGGCCTTATTTTTCCTATTAAGTCTCTTTCAGTTTGAGTTCAAGATCACTAGCATATTATCCTTTTCTCAGCCCTGTGTCTGCCTTCTCATTAGTATTTGGATGAAGATGAAACTCCTTAAAATCCCTCCGAGTGCTGCGTGGGCTGGAGGCTTCTGCTCTCCGCTGTCCTTTTCACCCTGCTCCCTCCTACTCTCTGTGCTCCCAGCTTCTCACTACGCTGAATATTTTTTTTCAGTCCTTTATGCTCCTTTTGTCTCCTTTTGTCTGAGTGATTGTCCTTTCCCTCTTTGCTTGTTCATGTATTCAAAAATTATTTTCTAGCACCTGCTATGTGTTAGGCACTGTTGTAGGCACTGGAGTTACAACTAAAATTCAAGACATGTATGGAGGGGTTGGGTTGGGAAGGGCAGACAGAGAAAAAAGAGGAAGTAAACAAGAAGAAATAGCAGCTCATGATGACATCATGCAGAGAATTAAAGTCAAAAGATCTGATGGAGAGAAACTAGGTGTAGGTTGGATTGGGTGGTTAGGGAAGACCTTTCTAAAGATGTAATATTTAAGCTTGAGATCTGGATAACGAAAGGAGACAGACAGACAAAAGTAACAAGGAAAAATATGTCAGAAAGAGAGAACTACAAGCTCAAAGGCCATTAGCTGGGAATAAGCATGGAATGTTTGAAGAACTGAAAGAAGGATTGTGTGACCAGAGTGGAGTTAGGGGTGGGGCTCGGGGTGGGAGTGGAAATAGTAACAGTTGAGTCAAAAGTTATGAATGTCGGGTGTCGTAGGGCTGTGTGAGTCAGTGGGAGGAGTTTAGATTTTATTCCAGTTACCACTGGAGGGATTTTAGAAGAGCGACAGGATAGGATTTACCTTTTAGCTGAGATTTACCTTTTGGCTGCTAAGTGGAGAATGAAGTCTTGGTGGAAACACTGAAATAGTTCACGAGAGAGGGGATGTTGATGTCTTGGCCCTGGGTAGTGGTGTGAAAGTGGTGGATTTTGCATACTATAAGGGAGGAGCAGGCAGTGTTAACTGACAAACTGCTTTGGGGTAGGGGGAGTGAGGGAAAGAGGAAAATCGGAAAGAATTCCTAAACCTTTGTTTTGATCAATTGGAGGGACGGTGGTGCCACTTACTAAAACAGAAAGGCTATGAGAAGGGTTGATGTTTGGTGTGAGCAGGACTGAGAATTCTGCTTTGAACATGCCAAGGTGAGATGCCTGTGTGCCATCCAAGTGAACTCTCAGGTCTGAAGTTTTGAGGAGAGAAAGGACTAAATGTGTACGTGTGAGAGAAATCGTCACATACATGGTGCTCAAAGCCATGGAGAGATGTGTGGGTAGGGAAGAAATGAGGGCCCATCTGGTTCACTGCTGCCCAGTGTTCCCCAGTGTTTCCCCCTCTGGTGTCTCCTTCCTCACTGGTGCCTTCCTGATCCCCTGCTTAGAAAAATCCCTGTTGTAAACACTTATAACCATTGTGTACCCTCCTTCACAACTCTCAACACAGTTGAAATCTCCATGTATTTGCGTAATCAGTAATGCAATGATAATGTGACTAGGTGATAGATCCGTGAGCGTAGAGACTCTGCTTTTGTTCATCATGTGAAGAAAGATCACCCAAAACTTAGAAATAAGGAAAGAAGGATGACTGCGTGTTCTGTCCATGTCATAGAGCATTGGGTAATAAGCCTGTCCATGGGTCAACTGGTTTTCATTTGATGTACTTTTTACCTTAATAAAGGGCCAGACTCTGTAAAGTTAAGGTTGAACTTGTAGGAAACTGATAATATGTAAATGATTTTTGTCTAGTAGACAGAATTATTACCCCCAAAGTTATGATTTTACTATACTGTAGAAATTGACTGTTTTTTAATCCAATTTAGAAATCTTATTCCAGCACTTTTTTGGTTAAACTGACTCTCTTCTTCTATCTCTCTCTCCTTTTCTACATGTACATATGTATTCATATATGTATATATAGCATATATTTTTTTTACCCCATATCTTTCTTTGAATCGGCTTGATTATCTTGATGAATCCCTCATGAATGACTCAAATACAACTTTGACATTTGCTCTCTGTGTTTTTCATGAGAATTATGTTTTTAACATTTTGAAAATTGTACACTGACAGGTATTCTCATGGTCTCCCAGCATTTTACACAGTAAAGCCCCTGATGCAGAGTCTATACTCAATACCTATTTCCTAAATGAAAGAATAAACTGGCCTAGGACCTAATGAATATAACTAAGGTTTATGAGGCCAACTCTTATCTCTACTAAGTGTTTGGAAAAATACATGGTAATAAGGCTCTGAGAAAGGGCCCATGCAGGTCACCCATCAAGTACCTCTGCAATGTCTAACTCCTCCAAGAGTGATTATCCTTGTCAAGGCAACAATCTTCAGAGGGCACTGCTTAGCTTAGCAACAGAATCTTCAATATAATTTTTTATAATGCCTATTGCAAACAAGTGACCCAGGTATGGATTTGATCTGGGACTCCTTAAAGACCACAAAATTATTAGTTAAGAATGACTTAATCCACAATATGGGAGAAACAACATTCACTTTACTAAGTTGTTAACCTAAGCATAAATCTATACATATGATATAAAAGAAATATATAGTGTTCCAGTATTAAATTTCATTTCCTCGTTTTTAAGAAATTAGTGAATTCTTATTCAGGTGTAGCTCAGGGCAAAACGTCTGTCTTGGTATGTCCTAGAGTCTCTTTTTTCTCTCCTCTTTCCTTTTCCCTCTCATCTCTCTCACCTTGTTCATGTTTTGAATATTCTCCCCTCTTTCCTTTCCCCTCTCATCTCTCTCACCTTGTTCATGTTTTTAATAGTCCATTGATCCCATTCTTTGTTTTAATTATTGATCCATATATTACTTGTTGTCTTAATATATACGGATCCATATATTACTTATTGTTTTAATATATGGATCCATATATTACTATTGCTTTTTTTTCTTTTTTTGAGAGTGAGTCTCGCTCTGTCGCCCAGGCCGGAGCACGATCTCGGCTCACTGCAACCTCCGCCTCCCGGGTTCAAGCAATTCTCTGCCTCAGCCTCCTGAGTAGCTGGGATTACAAGCACCCACCACCACACCTGGCTAATTTTTGTATTTTGAGTAGAGATGGGGTTACACCATCCTGGTCAAGCTGGTCTTGAACTCCTGACCTCGTGATCCACCCACCTCAGCTTCCTAAAGTGCTGGGATTAAAGGCGTGAGCCACTGTGCCTGGCCACTATTACTTTATTCTATCAGTGGCTTTATATAAAATGCAGAAAATTCTTTATCTATTTGCAACTGCTGAAAGTACTGAATTTAAGTGTATCAACATCATTTCTGTAGTTTCAACCGCTAAGCTGTTGCTAAAAGTCTGAAATTCTAAAGGAAGAGTTCACCTTCAAATAGCAGAACACAAGCTGCAGCTGTTGCTTATTTCTCTCTCTTTTTAAACAACTGGAAGAACTACCTCCTCTAATTTTCATTTTGTATTCACTACTTCTACTTGTCATTCGTAAATCACTTCAGAAACAACGTGTCCTAGTGTTGCCTCTCTGCTACACCTGCTCCTCCTCTTGCCCTTCTCTGTTCTGTACTGTAGAAAGAAGAGGTTGTTGGTTACCTCCATGGCTTTTGTTGACAGAGAGTGACATTCAGGTGAGTTCAGCTTGAAAATGCATCTCTCATTGCTTAAAGATGTGAACTCTTACAGAAAATTCATTTTCTATACCTTCTAGTGATAGCGGTTCAGGGACTTGGTATTTAATCATCTATGCTCATGTGAGATGCCCTTAGTCATGGTCATTCATTTGATTGTGTGGGAGCCTTTTTCATTTATCTCAGAATCTTTGGCTGTTTTATCAGCTCATTTACCTCTGTGCAGCTGAAGCAGTATGTTATATATTTCTGGATGATACGGCATAAGGGCATGGACAAGAGGAAAGTTGCCTAGAGAGGATAAGTTAATAAACTGGGTTGTAAATGAAGATGGTATAAGAAGGAATGTTGGTGCAGAAGAATAAGGAGCATTTAAAAAAATTATAGTCTAGGCAAAGATGCAAGGACAACATGTCTATTCTTCATTGGTTCAACACATATGGATTGACCACTTCCTACAAGTTTGGCATCTGTTCAAGGTAATGGGGAATAAAGATCAATAATGTACCATTCTAGGCAAATTCATAAGGATAGAAAGTAGATTAGAGATTACCAGGGTGTTGGGGAAGAGGGGAATAGGGAATTATTGCTTAATGGTTACAGAGTTTTTGTTTGGGGTCATGAAAAAGTTTGGAAATAGATAGAGAAGGTGGTTGCACAACATTGTAAATGGAATTAATGTCACGGAATTGTACACTTAAAATGAACAAACGACAAATTTTATTATATATAATCACAATTTATAAAAAGTAATAATGTTATATGCACAAAACCACTGAATTATACAAATGAGTGCTTTATAGGGTATGTGAATTTTACCTCAATTAAAGTTGTTAAAAAATTAAGACACTATTTTTGCTTTACAAGAGTTCATGTCTAATGGAGAAAATCAATCTATACACAAATTATAGGTATTACTAAAGGACAAGCTATCAAAAGTTGATGGTTAAGAGAACATATAGAGAGTCATATTGTTTCAGTTGAATCCCTTCTCTGTGTCACTAACCCTATAACCTTGAACAATTCCCTTTTTATCTTTGAGCCTCGCCTTGCTTACCAACAAAATGGGTCCAGTATTAGTGTATACTTCATAGAGCTATTGTTATAATTCCATGATGTAATCTGCATATGTATATTAAACATAGTAGAAATGTAGTATATTTTAGATAAAATTTTGATAAACGCAGTTATAGCGAATATGCATTTCAAAGCTAAAAGCATTGCGTAGATAGACTCATACATGTTATGCATATGCACTGTGCATTTGGAGGGGAGAGCTTCGAAGTGATTATTGTTCAAATGACAGTCATTAGTATGTAGTGCCAGTCAGTATATCATCGATGAGTAATTTTGATATAGAAAAATTAAAATAATATTGTCATCACAAAATTCAGTAACAAATAGTCTCCCATAAAGAGGGGAAAAAAGTTTCACAGACACTAGTGTAAATCACTAGTGTAAAAAACTAGTGTTGATTTACAGTATTTTATTTTTATCATAAGGTTACTTAAATATCTACAAATATAAAATAAGCATAAACTCTTTATACTTATACAACAATATAACGTACACCAATTTATAAAATAAATATGTCAAACTCTACTCAGCTAATAAAGTTCAAATCAGAGGCATTACTTTAATGTGATGGATAATATTGTTTTGCTGATATTAAACTACTAATCTTTTTTTTTTTTTCTTTTTTTTGAGACAGAGTCTCACTCTGTCACCCAGGCTGGAGTGCAGTGGCGTGATCTTGGCTGATTGCAAGCTCCGCCTCCCGGGTTCATGCCATCCTCCTGCCTCAGCCTCCCAAGTAGCTGGGACTACAGGTGAACACAGCCACGCCCGGCTAATTTTTTGTATTTTCAGTAGAGACGGGGTTTCCCCGTGTTAGCCAGGATGGTCTGGATCTCCTGACCTTGTGATCTGCCCCCCTTAGGCTCCCAAAGTGCTGGGTAAACTACTAATCTTAAAGTTAAGAGTGGAAAAATAAATTTTGAGTTTTATATTTTAATTGTGGCATTGGTTCTCTTATATTTGAGCATAATGGGCCATAGGATTAATCATCATTACATCATTCACCGCCTTTCTGTTTCAAAAATATACTAGCTTTTCTCTTCTGGACATTGGCGTAGGCAAAGAATTTATGACTAAGACCTCAAAAGCAAATGCAACAAAATCAAAAGTAAATAAATGGGACCTAATTAAACTAAAAATCTTCTGCACAGCAAAAGAAATAATCAAAAGAGTAAACAGACAACTCATGGAGAGGGAGAAAATACAAACTATGTATCTGACAAAGGTCTAATATCCAGCTTCTACAAGGAACTCAAACAAATCAGCCAGAAAAAAAAATAATAATCCCATCAAAAAGTGGGCAAATGGCATGAATAGACACTTCTCAAAAGAAGATACATACAAATGACAAAGAAACATGAAAAAAAATGCTCATCAGGGAAATGCAAATTAAAACCACAAGATACCACCACCTTATCCCAGCCAGAATGGCCATTATTAAAAAGTCAAAAAACAAGAGATCTTGGCATGGATATGGTGAAAAGGGAATGCTTATGCACTGCTGGTGGGAATGTAAATTACTGTTACGAGATCTTTGGGGTGTCACTTTTCTGGCTAGAAACCTGTGGCCAGTGACGCCTTTGCCCGAGTTTTACTCAGGCCCGCTGGGCTTGTTCCTCTGTTTTGGCCTGGCAGGCTGCACTCAGCTCATGCTACCAGCCTGGATCCCATGTCTCCAAGGGAGACTGAGAGTCAGGCATGGAGCAGCGAGGGGTGTGTGAGTGAGCGAGGGGTGTGTGAGGGAGCATGGGGTCCAGTCACTGTGTAGTCAGACACGCCTGCTGCTGCCACAGGGTAGGCAGCTCCAGGTGCCAGCATGGGCACCAGCTGTCTGTGAGGCTGTGGCTGACCAGGCACACTGGAAGCAGCTTCTCCAGCTGGCACCAGGGAATGCAGTGGTGCCTGGAAGCTTGGAGATGCCAGGAACTGCAGGGCCCCAAAGAGGGAGTCATAGCCCTGACTCAGGGAGCTCCCAGGTCTGGGCTCCCTGAAGGGCTGCAGCTTTTCTCTCCTTCTCTTCACCCACAACGTGGTGAGCAAGGGGCATGTTTCAGCCACGTTTGTGTTACAGCTCTTTTAGCCTCGCCATTTGGTGGGTCCTGAGTTCTTGTCCTGCAACCAGGAAGAATGAGGTATGCAAACATGTGGAAGGTGAGCAAGATGAAGAGAAGCTTTATTGAGCAATAGAACAGCTCAGAGAAGACCCACACTGGGCAGCTCCTCTCTGTAGTCAGGGTGTCCTGACAAGAGTTCAGCTCCTAGCAGAGACAGTAGCTCCTCTCTGCAGGCAGGTCATCCCAACAAGCGTTCAGTTCAGTGTTCTTGTATTTTTAGTAGAGACAGAGTTTCTCCATGTTGGTCAGGCTGGTCTCAAACTCCCGACCTCAGGTGATCCACCCGCCTCAGCCTCTCAAAGTGCTGGGATTACAGGCGCAAGCCACCACACCCGGCTACCTGGCTACTTCAATTTTAAGAATATTAAATAACACGCGCAAAATGCTTAGCACAATCCCTAGCAGGCAGTTATGCATTCAGTAAACGTTAGCTACCATCATCATTATATTATGATTTGTAATGATATATTTATTCATTTGACTAAGTAATGATGCCTCTCACTTCCACCAGACTGGAGTCTCCATTAGGGAAGGAACAATGAAGTCCTTACTCCAGCAGGGTAGAGTGCCTGGCTCAAGTAAGATCTCAATTAATATTAGTTGAATGAACAGATTTACAGTCTCTTCTTGAATGCAAAATTAATTGCCATGTAATATTCCTTTGCTGGGCTGTATCTAGCAACACTGAAGTCTGGCATGGCAAGATGCATATTGCAGTTGTGACTTAAGATGACAATTGTCTGAGTCTGTTCCAGCTGCTATAAAATTACAAGAAATTTAGAAGGCCCGGCACGGTGGCTCACGCCTGTAATCCCAGCACTTTGGGAGATTGAACCAGGAGGACTGCTTGAAGCCAAGAGTTGGAGACCAGCCTAGGCAACAAAGCAAGATGCCATGTCTACAAAAAATGTTTGAAAAATTAGCCAGATGTGGTGATATGCACCAGGAGCATGGTATGCACCAGCTTACTTAGGAAGCTGAGGAGGGAGGATTGCTTGAGTCCAGGAGTTTGGAGGCTGCAGTGAGCTATGATAACACCACTGCACTCCAGCCTGGGTGACAGAGAGAGATATCTGTAAAAAATAGTAAGTAAATAAATAAATAAAATTTAGAAAATATTTCTAACAAGCATTACTATGAAAGAAGATTTGGTGCTGGAATAGATGTGTTCATTCAAATTAATTTTATTGAGTGTCTAATATGTTCAGTACGCCTAGGAAGAATACTAGGCACTGGGGATGCAGCAAGAAATCAAACAAATCAAAACCCCTAACCGAATAGAGTTTTAATTCTAGTGGATAAGACTCTTGTATAATTGTTTCTCAAGTGTCAGATACATAGATTTCTTTGTACCCCATGCTTTTCCTTTTAATTTGCAGTCATCTGAGCACCTTTGTGAGTCTAAACTAAGCCATTTGTAAATCAATCCATGTGTCCTTCTTCTGTTAGCCCACAGGTCAAGACTTCAATTCTTTCCACAGTCACCCAGCAGTACCCAGCTCACTACTTAGAGCCCTTAGCACTCACAGGCAATCTGAACCTCGAACAATATGCTGCGCAGGCTCCATGACAAAAGAAAAAGAGAGCTCATGTTCCACCAAGTTGGATCTAGGACTAGGAAATCTAGAGGCCATCTGGATCAAGTGAGGAAACCCTGTGGAGAAACCAGTCTCCAGCAAAATGGGAAATTTACATTACTACCCCTTCTTATTCTTTTTTTTTTTTTTTTTTTTTTTTTGAGACAGGGTCTCAGTCTGTCTCTCAGGCTTAAGTGCAGTGGGCGCAATCATGATCACTGCAGCCTCAACCTCCCAGGTTCAGGCAATCCTCTGACCTTAGCCCCCCAAGTAGCTGGGACTACACATGTGTGTCGACACCCCCGGCCCCTTCTTATTCTTTTAACCTCCTCAGCAGGGCTCTCGTTGAAGTGACAGATGTCCATCTTTGCCTTTGCATAGCTGTCTCTGCTTTGGAATTGCCCCTAGTTTTGTTCTTAGGCTCTGATGAGGACTCTGGGTGAGAACGTTGGCCTTGTTTTTTCAGGTCCATGGATCTCTCAGCTTGAAGTCAAGGTCTCACTTTCTTCTTACAGACCTGCCCCTTCCCCTTTCCAGCTGGCAAAGAAGCAGGCTGCTCCTGCCAGGTTTCAGAAACCATGGTCATTTGATGGTGCAAGAAGTCAGACTGTTTTTCTACAAGCGGCAGAAAGCTCTGGGGATCCTGCCTAGGGGGAGCTCGGCCAAAACATTGGGTTAGGAGGGGGTGGGAGGGGTAATCCGTTTGATCCAACGTCAGATCCCACCACTGACTCCCTTGAACAAGGGCTATCAAATGAGGCCTTCTCCCAGCAAGCTGTATGAAATTGGAGATTCCACTTACCTTCTGCCTCTTAAAATTAGACAAGCCCTCCACACAGCAAGAGAATAAGTGGCAAGCATGTGGACAGCTCTTTCTGAGCTGGATGATTTAGTGAAGCAGCTGTGGGGGACACAGGAGGGGAGATTTGGAAGAAGGACGCAGTGGGCTGAGGGAGGACTATTCACCCCCTATTTGCAATGCTGGTAAGAGCAATATTGGTTGGGAGGTGGAGAGAGGAGAGCTTGCTGTTTGAGCTCTTTGCCATGGAGTCAGTGGGGAGCCTTTGAAGACAGGTTCCCCCACCCCATTTCCCACTTGGGGCCTGGGGAGGGACTTAGGTTAATACAATGATCTGGGAACAGTCAAAATCCAGTTGCTGTTTGGCTCTGCACTTCCAGGGAAATGTGAGCTGTCTGTTTCTCATTACTTTGCCCTTATCACATCAGGCTGTTCTTGTGGGGAAGCAGTTTCATTTCCAAGAAACCTGTTTTGCTTCTCCTCCCTTGAAGTCCTCCAGGCTCTTGCCTCCTCCCTCTTCCCTGCCCCTCCCTCATCATCTCACCCCTTACTCCATCTGCTTGTGACCAACTTCTTTCCCATCTAGGAACTAAGCTACTACCTGCCCCCCACTAACGCTAGACCTAGAAAATAAAAAAGATTAAAGCTTGGTCAGTGACTGCAGCAGATGGCAAAATATAACTCCTCTTCCTTTGTGTTTCTAAGTTATTACTTTCTTGCCTATGGTGTTAAAGGGACTGTGAACCTCAGCCCATTTTGTGGTCATAAATCAGCAACTTGGAGGAAGTACCTGGTATGTTTGCAGGTAGGACTCCTTGTAAAAAAACACCTGGTGGCCCACAATCTGAAAGGCAGGACAAAGCAAATCATGTGGGTAAGTCCAGCCACCATGCTCCAACACCATCTCCTTCAGGACACTAATGAGTATGGACAGTGAAGTCCTCTATTGTCGCACATGCTCCATGAGGACCTGGGGATGTTCTCAGCCAGCAAGGACCAGCGGGATGGCTGCTTCTTCCTCAAGCATCCCTCAGTGAGACCTCAGGGAGCCCCAAGTGCCTCTCTCCAAGTTCCTATGACATGCATTTGCCTTTATTCTTACTTCCTTCTTTCTGTCTCCCTCACATTTTATCTACCCCTGTCTTTCTTCTGTCATCCCCATCTTGTACAAAAAAAAAATGAAAGAATGAATAAGACCTACTATTTGATAGCACAATAGGGTGACTATAATCAATAATAACAATTGTACCTTTTAAAATAACTTAAAGAGTGTAACTGGATTGTTTGTAACTCAAAGGATAAATGCTTGAGGGGACTGACTATAGTCAATAACAACAATTGTACTTTTTAAAATAACTTAAAGAGTTAATTGGATTGTTTGTAACTCAAAGGATAAATACTTGAGGGGATGGATACCCCATTCTCCATGATGTGATTTTTTCGCATTGCATGCCTCTATCAAAACATCTCATGTACCCTATAAATATATACACCTACTATGTATCCACAAATTTTTTTTAATGAAAATATCTTCCCTATCTTTTCCTAGAGTTTCACTCATGACTGTCATTGAAGGGTTTACTGAGTCCCGCATCACCCAGGGTCCACTGAGATCTCCCTGCTCTTCAGCTTTGGGGAAGATGGCCTCAATTCCACTCATGCTTAAGCCCTGCCCTGTGAAAATCCAAAGTCTTCCTCAAGTTGTCTGTGAATTCCTCAAGAGGTAGATCCTTTTGGTCTACTCTGACTCTCAACTACCGCTTCCACTGAGCTAACCAACCGTGTAGGTTATTGATTCTGTGCCTGCTATGCTATTTCTTTCTGTGCCAGAATCACCAAGGATAAGAACCTGACACTTCCCTCAGTTTAAAAAACAATTCTCACCAGGCCCTTGTATGTGAGTAGATGAAGAGGTTCACATTAGAGAATCTCACACATCTTCCAATTGCGTATAGATATCCCTTTTTGTGAAATGGTCCAACCACACTTGCAGATTTTTCATAGACTCCATGACCCCAGGAGCCCTAGCCTCACCCCCTTCTCTGCCCGCTCTTCCTCCTTCCATCTCTCTTCTTCACCAGCTTTGTGGAAAAGCCTTTGTAATGACAAAAGGGCCATCCATTTTAATGGGTCTATCTTCCTTACAAGGCTGTTGTAAATTTTAATTTTTTTAATTGTGAATTGACAAATTATGGTTGTATACATTTATTGGGTACAATTTTATTTTAAATTTTTTTTTAGACAGTTTCACTTTTTCTTTTTTTTTCTTTTTTTTTTTTAGACAGAATCTCACTCTGTCACCCAGGCTGGAGTGCAGTGGTATGATCCCGGCTCACTGCAACCTCCACCTCCTGGGTTCAAGCAATTCTCCTGACTCAGCCTCCCAAGTAGCTGGGATCACAGGCATGCACCACCACGCATGGCTAATTTTGTATTTTTAGTAGACATGGGGTTTCACCATGTTGGCCATGCTGGTCTCAAACTCCTGACCTCTGGTAATCTGCCCACCTCAGCTTCCCAAAGTGCTGGGATTACAGGTGTGAGCCACAGCGCCTGGCCTTTTTTACTTTAATTTTTGATTATAAAATATTTCAGGCATTTAGAAAAGTGCACTGGTATATTTTAAGAGTTGACACATTTAAATAAGATATAATGGATGATAAAATGTTGCTATTTTTATTTCATGTCTCTCTCTCTTCCCCACCCCCACTACCCCTCCTCCTCCAAAATAAAATGCTTTTCATACAGCTAAAGCCTGGAGCCATCCCTTTCCTTCCCTCCCACTCCCTTTAGGATTAACCAGTATCCAAAAGTTGTTGCATTATTCTCATGCATATTTTTGTACTTCCATTATATATGAATGTTTCCATAAACAACATACAGTATTGTTTGGGGTATTTTTAAATATTTGCTTAAATGGTATATCGTAGTGGATGCTGAGAATGAGCTTTATGAACAAGAACAACATTATCTTATTCTGGTTTCTATTTCTTCCAATCTCAGCCTTGACCCCAGTGGCCCAGCATCTTCTAGGTACCCAATACATACCTTCTAAATAAATTGCATTACAAAATAGCCTCCAAACCATCAATAATAATAAAGCATGCCAAGTTAAGAAGTGACCCAAGATAGGTGGTCATTTATACACTTTTTAATTTTTGGCCTAAGAAATTTCAATAACTATGAGTAACTGTTCCAACGTAGGTACATTCTTCCTGAGATTAAGCGGGGGCTTTATAAATGCCTCACTAAGGAGCCTTCTATCACCAAGGTGCAATGTGTCTCCCTTTACATGACCCTAATTCAATGAGATCCCCCGAGACTGAAGTTCTTAGCCCATATCCTCCTATTCCCCAAACTGCTGCCTTCATGGATGAGTACAGCCCCTCCTCTTCTCCTACCCAGAGTTCATCCCCTCAAATGCCAAGAAGACTACTTGATGTTACTATCTCTGGATAGCAGTCAAGGACACCCGCAGTCATTCAGTAATGGGTAGGGCTCACATCCCTACGGCATTATTTATTCATCCAGACTGTGAAGAAGCAGAATCCTTCAGATTCTTGGCTGCAACTCCCTGTGAGACAGAAACCTCACCCAAGGCAATGGTGCTGGCAGCTGCTCTAACCTCTCATTACTCTGACCTTCAGTAGGGAAACCATATAATTCATCTTCTAAACTCTTACAACTTGGGAGTAAAGATGGTGCCATTAATAATTATGCCAGGCTAATAGACATAAATAAAGACCCCTTTTGGCAAACCAGGTTGTATGATCACCCTAAATCAGCAATCCTGTGTAAAGCCAAGCACAGTATCCCTTCTTATAAGGTGCTTCAAGTGATATACTATCCAGAGCCTCAGGAAATAATCCCCTCAGTCCCTCTTCCAGGATATGTCTAATGATGGATGAGTCCGTTCTCTTACAGCAGCATGTGAAGACCTAATCTTAATATTGTTAAGTTTGGGGAGAAGAGACAGCTTTTTCGCAGAGAGTAATTAAACTCATTTTCCATTTCTTTTTTTTTTTTCTCCACTAGGATGAAATTAGAGCCTACTATTCCCTCCTAGTTCTCTGAAAGTTTGCAGAGAAATGACAACGTATGTCAGACATGTATAAATCAGAGGAGAAAAAAAATAAGACCAGTGGATCAAAACTGTGGCTCTAAAGCAGAGTTTATTTGGCATCAACAGTAATGTTTACTGGGTGACCATATGGTTTCATGAATAAGAATTTTAGCATTAGATAAATTTGTGTTTGAGTTTCAGTTTCACCAGTATCTTCATAAGGCCCTAGACAAGTTACTTCTCTAAATAACTAGACTGCAAGAGTGGTGTTATTCCCACCCCCATTTTACAGATAAATTGATAACTCATTTTACAGATAGATCTATCTGTAAAATGAGGGTGGGGATAATATCAATCTCACAGTCTAGTTAGAAATTTTTCAGTGAGATAATAAATTCAAAGCCCCAAGGACAGTGCCTGGCACATTTTAGGTGCCTGGCAAATATGAGCTATAATTATTACTCATACTATTTAAATCTGCATTGTATTTTTTTCAGCATTTTCTCTACTTCCACACATACTCTTTCTGTCCCATCAAACTGGCCATTTAACTTTTCCAAAAACTGCCTTGTGTTTGCCACCTCTTCATTTTTGTTGCTGGCCTGCCTCTCACCTGGAACACTCGCCTCTTTCCTCTCTATTCTTATTCTTTTGGTGCAGTATAGCCCCATCTTACCCCTTTTCCACAGCCTACTTCAACTGCCACATCCTCCAGGCAGCCTTCTGAAAGGTGAATTCTCCATCCCTGAATTCATTGTTTTCTTATCACTTTCCACCATGCATTATAGGAGATTAGTACTTTCCCAGTACACTGTGAATT
The DNA here is from genome assembly GCF_000001405.40 of Homo sapiens. NCBI lineage: Eukaryota > Metazoa > Chordata > Mammalia > Primates > Hominidae > Homo > Homo sapiens. The sequence goes on along the minus strand of NC_000017.11, from coordinate 55,562,944 downwards.
TGTCAAGGGTATATACTATGTCTGATTAAGATTTCTCTTCCCCATGGTGTTTATCATATTACCTTGAAAAATGTGCTCAAAGGATATCTCTTGACCATAGTAGAGCTTAGAACATAGTGGTTAACAGCTGGAGTCAGACAGACCTGAGTCTCAATCATAACTTCTTTTTTTTTTTTTTTTTTTTTTTTTGAGACAGAGTTTCGCCCTGTTGTCCAGGCTGGAATGCAATGGCAAGATCTCGGCTCACTGCAACTTCTGCTTCCCGGTTTCAAGCGATTCTCCTGCCTCAGCCTCCTGAGTACCTGAAATTACAGGCATGCACCATCACATCAGGCTAATTTTTTGTATCTTTAGTAGAGGCAGGGTTTCACCATGTTGGCCAGGCTGGTCTCAAACTCCTGACCTCGTGATCCGCCCTCCTCAGCGTCCCAAAGTGCTGGAATTACAGGCGGGAGTCACCACGCCTGGCCAATCATAACTTCTAATTGCATAATGTAAAGCAAATATTTAACCTCTTCAAATCTTGATGCTCCCCTCTACAAAATGGGCACACGGCTGCACAGGTAGAGTTGAGACCCTTGGTTTACACTTGAGCAACTAGTGAACATTCAGGAGATCAGAGCCTTCTGCTGCATTTGTTAGTTTAGTCACTGTTATCATGAAGTTTCATTATCGTCAGTAATACCCTTTCAGAATGATGCATACCTATTCCCAAAGTGTTTTTAGATCTTTTATTTTGTTGTTCAAGTCAGTTGCAGTAAATGCCAGAGACTTGCATAACAAAGAGCTCTCCTACATCTTTCACTCAGGGCCAAATCTGACATCTCACAAGCTCTCACTGCATCTCACAAGTTGCAACAACTGCAGAATTCATGTGTTTTCATGTTTTTCACAATGAGCACTATGACCATTAATCTCACAAATTGTGTCAGCTCTTAAACTCAAGAACACATAGAGATTTTCTCTTATCTGTCACAATACATACAAAAACTGAATCCTGATTTTGGCCATTCACAAATATCTCCCTTCTGGATCCACATTATGAATCATTTCTTTTGTGACCGATTGGTTCATTTCTTCGCCCCTGACTGCTGGTTCCCATGCATAACTCACTCATTCCTACCTCTGAGCTGTTTAACAGGCCATCCATCCACCTTTACCACTCAAATTTAACAGTGTGCTGTAGTGCTTGAGGATGGGCTCTAGAGCTTAACAGAACCAGATTCCACTCCTGGCTGCATCGTTGACTGGATGGAAATGTTGGACAATGCACTTACCCTTTCTGAGCTTTAATTTTCTCATCTGTCAAATGTAACTGGATAAGAGTGACTTCAGACTTCACGTGACGCCGGTGCTGGGCGAACAGGGCGGCGGCCACTGGACCCTCGTTTTGGCTGGGGAAGGAAACCCTGAAGGTGCCACTGGCGCTCTTTGCCTTGAACCGGCAGCGCCGGTGTGAGCGGCTGCGGAAGAACCCTGCTGTGCAGGCCGGCTCAGTAGTGGTCCTGCAGGGCTAAGAGGAGACTCAGCGCTACTGCACCTACACCGGGGTCCTCTTCCGCCAGGAGTCCTTCTTTCACTGCGCATTCGGTGTCACCGAGCCAGGCTGCTACGGCTTCATCGACGCTGACACTGGGAAGTCGGCCCTGTTTGTGCCCAGGCTTCCTGCCAGCCATGCCACCTGGATGGGAAAGATCCATTCCAAGGAGCACTTCAAGGAGAAGTATGCCGTGGACGACGTCCAGGACGCAGATGAGATTGCCATTGTCCTGACGTCACAGAAGCCCTCTGTCCTCCTCACTTTGCGTGGCGTCAACACAGACAGCAGCAGCGTCTGCAGGGAGGCTTCCTTCGAGGGCATCAGCAAGTTCAAAGTCAACAACACCATTCTTCACCCAGAGATCGTTTAGTGCCGAGTGTTTAAGACGGACATAGAGCTGGAGGTTCTGCACTACACCAATAAAATCTCCAGTGAGACCCACTGTGAGGTAATAATGAAGACTGTAAAAGTGGGAATGAAAGAATATGAGTTGGAAAGGAAATTTCAATATCCAAAATAATAGAAAGTATAATGAACCCTAAGTCCCCATCAGGTTTTTGTGTTTTGTTTTGTTTGCTAGAGCATTTTATTATTATTATTATTATTATTATTATTATTATTATTATTGTACTTTAAGTTTTAGGGTACATGTGCACAATGTGCAGGTTTGTTACATATGTATACATGTGCCATGTTGGTGTGCTGCACCCATTAACTCGTCATTTAGCATTAGGTATGTCTTCTAATGCTATCCCTCCCCCCTTCCCCCACCCCACAACAGTCCCTGGTGTGTGGTGTTCCCCTTCCTGTGTCCATATGTTCACATTGTTCAATTCCCACCTATGAGTGAGAACATGCGGTGTTTGGTTTTTTGTCCTTGCAACAGTTTGCTAAGAATGATGGTTTCCAGCTTCATCCATGTTCCTACAAAGGACATGAACTCATCATTTTTATGGCTGCATCGTATTCCATGGTGTATATGTGCCACATTTTCTTAATCTAGTCTATCATTGTTGGACATTTGGGTTGGTTCCAAGTCTTTGCTATTGTGAATAGTGCTGCAATAAACATACGTGTGCATGTGTCTTTACAGCAGCATGATTTATAATCCTTTGAGTATATACCCAGTAATGGGATGGCTGGGTCAAATGGTATTTCTAGTTCTAGATCCCTGAGGAATCGCCACACCAACTTCCACAATTGTTAAACTAGTTTACAGTCCCACCAACAGTGTAAAAGTGTTCCTATTTCTCCACATCCTCTCCAGCACCTGTTGTTTCCTGACTTTTTAATGATCACCATTCTAACTGGTGTGAGATGGTATCTCATTGTGGTTTTGATTTGCATTTCTCTGATGGCCAGTGATGGTGAGCATTTTTTCATGTCTTGTTTGGCTGCATAAATGTCTTCTTTTGAGAAGTGTCTGTTCATATCCTTTGCCCACTTTTTGATGGGGTTGTTTGTTTTTTTCTTGTAAATTTGTTGGAGTTCATTGTAGATTCTGGATATTAGCCCTTTGTCAGATGAGTAGGTTGCAAAAATTTTCTCCCATTCTGTAGGTTGCCTGTTCACTCTGGTGGTGGTTTCTTTTGCTGTGCAGAAGCTCTTTAGCTTAATTAGATCCCATTTGTCAATTTTGGCTTTTGTTGCCATTGCTTTTGGTGTTTTAGACATGAAGTCCTTGCCCATGCCTATGTCCTGAATGGTATTGCCTAGGTTTTCTTCTAGGGTTTTTATGGTTTTAGGTCTAACATGTAAGTCTTTAATCCATCTTGAACTAATTTTTGTATAACATGTAAGGAAGGGCTACAGTTTCAGCTTTCTACATATGGCTAGCCAGTTTTCCTAGCACCATTTATTAAATAGGGAATCCTTTCCCCATTGCTTGTTTTTCTCAGGTTTGTCAAAGATAAGATAGTTGTAGATATGCGGCATTATTTCTGAGGGCTCTGTTCTGTTCCATTGATCTATATCTCTGTTTTGGTACCAGTACCATGCTGTTTTGGTTACTGTAGCCTTGTAGTATAGTTTGAAGTCAGGTAGCATGATGCCTCCAGCTTTGTTCTTTTGGCTTAGGATTGACTTGGTGATGCGGGCTCTTTTTTGGTTCCATATGAACTTTAAAGTAGTTTTTTCCAATTCTGTAAAGCAAGTCATTGGTAGCTTGATGGGGATGGCATTGAATCTGTAAATTACCTTGGGCAGTATGGCCATTTTCACAATATTGATTCTTCCTACCCATGAGCATGGAATGTTCTTCCTTTTGTTTGTATCCTCTTTTATTTCCTTGAGCAGTGGTTTGTAGTTCTCCTTGAAGAGGTCCTTCACATCCCTTGTAAGTTGGATTCCTAGGTATTTTATTCTCTTTGAAGCAATTGTGAATGGGAGTTCACTCATGATTTGGCTCTCTGTTTGAGAGTCAAGACCCATCAGTGTGCTGTATTCAGGAAACCCATCTCATGTGCAGAGACACACATAGGCTCAAAATAAAGGGATGGAGGAAGATCTACCAAGCAAATGGAAAACAAAAAAAGGCGGGGGTTGCAATCCTAGTCTTGGATAAAACAGACTTTAAACCAACAAAGATCAAAAGAGACAAAGAAGGCCATTACATAGTGGTAAAGGGATCAATTCAACGAGAAGAACCAACTATCCTAAATATATAGGCACCCAATACAGGAGCACCCAGATTCATAAAGCAAGTCCTTGGTGACCTACAAAGAGACTTAGACTCCCACACAATAATAATGGGAGACTTTAACACCCAACTGTCAACATTAGACAGATCAACAAGACAGAAAGTTAACAAGGATATCCAGGAATTGAACTCAGCTCTGCCCCAAGAGGACCTAATAGACATCTACAGAACTCTCCACCCCAAATCAACAGAATATACATTTTTTTCAGCACCACACCACCACCTGTTCCAAAATTGACCACATAGTTGGAAGTAAAGCCCTCCTCAGCAAATGTAAAAGAACAGAAATTATAACAAACTGTCTCTCAGACCACAGTGCAATCAAACTAGAACTCAGGATTCAGAAACTCACTCAAGGCTGGGCGCGGTGGCTCACGCCTGTAATCCCAGCACTTTGGGAGGCCAAGGTGGGCAGATCACGAGGTCAGGAGATTGAGACCATCCTGGCTAACATGGTGAAACCCTGTCTCTACTAAAAATACAAAAAATTAGCCGGGCATAGTGGCGGGCACCTGTACTCCCAGCAACTCGGGAGGCTGAGGCAGGAGAATGGCGTGAACCCAGGAGGCAGAGCTTGCAGTGAGCTGAGATTGTGCCACTGCACTCCAGCCTGGGCGACAGAGCCAGACTCCATCTCAAAAAAAAAAAAAAGAAAAAAAAAGAAACTCACTCAAAACCGCTCAACTACATGGAAACTGAACAACCTGCTCCTGAATGACTACAGGGTACATAACGAAATGAAGGCAGAAATAAAGATGTTCTTTGAAACCAACGAGAACAAAGACACAACATACCAGAATCTCTGGGACACATTCAAAGCAGTGTGTAGAGGGAAATTTATAGCACTAAATGCCCACAAGAGAAAGCAGGAAAGATCTAAAATTGACACCCTAACATCACAATTAAAAGAACTAGAGAAGCAAGAGCAAACACATTCAAAAGCTAGTAGAAGGCAAGAAATAACTAAGATCAGAGCAGAACTGAAGGAAATAGAGGCACAAAAAAACCTTCAAAAAATCGATGAATCCAGGAGCTGGTTTTTTAAAAGATCAACAAAATTGATAGACCGCTACAAAGACTAATAAAGAAGAAAAGAGAGAAGAATCAAATAGACACAATAAAAAATGACAAAGGGGATATCACCACCGATCCCACAGAAATGCAAACTACCATCAGAGAATACTATAAACACCTCTACGCAAATAAACTAGAAAATCTAGAAGAAATGGATAAAGTCCTTGACACATACACTCTCCCAAGACTAAACCAGGAAGAAGTTGAATCTCTGAATAGACCAATAACAGGCTCTGAAATTGAGGCAATAATTAATAGCTTACCAACCAAAAAAAGTCCAGGACCCGATGGATTCATAGCCAAATTCTACCAGAGGTACAAGGAGGAGCTGGTACCATTCCTTCTGAAACTATTCCAATCAATAGAAAAAGAGGGAATCCTCCCTAACTCATTTGATGAGGCCAGCATCATCCTGATACCAAATCCTGGCAGAGACAGAACAAAAAAAGAGAATTTTAGACCAATATCGTTGATGAACATTGACGCAAAAATCCTCAGTAAAATACTAGCAAACCGAATCCAGAAACACATCAAAAAGCTTATCCACCATGGTCAAGTGGGCTTCATCCCTGGGATGCAAGGCTGGTTCAACATACGAAAATCAATAAACGTAACCCAGCATATAAACAGAACCAAAGACAAAAACCACATGATTATCTCAATAGATGCAGAAAAGGCCTTTGACAAAATACAACAACCTTCATGCTAAAAACTCTCAATCAATTAGGTATTGATGGGACGTATCTCAAAATAATAAGAGCTATCTATGACAAACCCACAGCCAATATCATACTGAATGGACAAAAACTGGAAGCATTCCGTTTGAAAACTGGCACAAGACAGGGATGCCCTCTCTTACCACTCCTATTCAACATAGTGTTGGAAGTTCTGACCAGGGCAATCAGGCAGGAGAAGGAAATAAAGGGCATTCAATTAGGAAAAGAGGAAGTCAAATTGTCCCTGTTTTGCAGATGACATGATTGTATATCTAGAAAACCCCATCGTCTCAGCCCAAAATCTCCTTAAGCTGATAAGCAACTTCAGCAAAGTCTCAGTATACAAAATCAATGTACAAAAATCACAAGCATTCTTATACACCAATAACAGACAAACCGAGAATTTGCTAGAGCGTTTTAAAGTCAAATCCCAGATATCATGTCATTGTACCTGTAAATACCTCAGTAGATATTTCAGTTGAAGAGAACTATTTTTACTTTTACATAACCACCATGTCAATATCACATCCATCATCACAAATGAATCGTAACTCCTTAATGTCATGCATATCTAGTCCATATTGATCCTAACCTCTTTTTAGCATTGGTTTGTTCAAGTCAGGATCCACACAGAGTCCATACATTGCACTTGGCTGCGACTAGAAGCAGCATGTCGTGAAGCTGAGCTCTGGGGAGATCTCACCCCTGTCTACAAATTGCTCGACTTTCCCTCCACCCCCATCCCAAGACCCTGGATTGGCCTTGCTGCCGCCTCCTGTGTGGACCAGGGTGGCTCTTGGAGAGATGAGATAGAAGCCAGAGGCCACAGCCCAGTGCACCAGGAAGCTCTCAGCCAGGAGCAGCCACCCACACGAGTGTGCTAGGAAGCTTTCAGCCAGGAGCAGCCACCCGCAGGGTGCTGAGTGGCACTGGGTCAGTGTGTGTGCCTGCTGTGCTCATGCTGTGCACCTGCCGTGCATGCCCACCTGTGGCTGCCCACAGGACATACAGAGGGGAGACAGTGCCCGCCGGGGAAGCCATCTGATCTGTGGGCCCCTGAGAGCTTAGAGCAGGGGGGTGGGGATGAGGACTGAGATAGCAAGAACGAGAGATGGAATCTGTTCCTGAAGGGACCGAGTGGGGAGAGAGGGGTCACGCCCTCTGAAGATGGTGGGAAGATGGGTGTCTAGGGAAAGTGTCACATCATAGGGTATCCCTGGCCAGATTTGAGGAGGGTGCCCCCGATTGCCGGTGCCCATGCTGACACCCCTGGGGACATCTGCAGCCAGAGAGATGGACTAACACTTCTTCCTCCTGGAGCTCCCTCTCCAGGGCGGGATCACTCTGTGTTGCAGTTTTGTGATCCTTGTCCTGGAGAGCCTGGAGGCGCCTTCTTGGGGACCACGTCTCATTTATCTGGGCGGTGTCAGACCCACCGTGGGTGTCAGGAAACATGTGTGTGGTTGGGTGCGATAGATGGATGGAAAAGAGAATAAAAGGTTTTAAGCTATTTTTCTGCCATCTTTTGTGTCACTGGGAACTCGAGAATTCTTAACTAGTCAGGGAATAAAAATCTCTTCTAAAGCCAGAAAAAAAAAAGCGACTTCTGATAATCTGGCAAGCTTAGCTAATGTGGAAAGGCTGTCCTTCCATATGATAAACATAGAAACACTGGAGAAAATATAACAAAAAGAAAAAATTAAATACGTAACCAAACTATTCAATAATAATAAAAGGAGCCAGGTGCGGTGGCTCACATCTGTAATCCTAGCACTTTGGGAGGCTGAGGCAGACAGATGGCTTGAAACTATTAGTTTGAGACCAGCCTGCTCAACATGGTCAGATCCCATCTCTACAAAAAATACAAAAAATAAAATAAAATTAGCCAAGTATGGTGGTATGTGCGTGTAGTCCCAACTACTTGAGAGGCAGAGGTGGGAGGATCACCTCAGCCTGGGGAGGTCAAGGTTGCAGTGAGCCATGATCACACCACTGCACTCCAGCCTGGGCAACAGAGTGAGACCTTGTCTCAAAAATAATAATAATAACAATAATAAAAGAAAATTCTCAGGTCCAGGAATAGAGCAGGAAATCAAAGGCAGGGTGAGGAACAGCAGACAAAGCCAAAGAACTCCCAGAAGGATCAGAAACTGGCAAAAACCGTAGGGACAAGAGGCATTCCTGTACTTCAGGTTCCTGCAAGACAAGGTGCTGAACTTGAATCCCTACTAAAAGCTAGTGATGAAAAATGCCATCACACCATAAAATTGGACTTGAAATACTCTTCTATTGGCCTGGATACATGGTAACAAAGCTACCCATCAGGTGTCATGGCTAAAAGTTTAGACTCATAAGAAATCGTTGGCCTTAAATTGACACAATCCAATTGATGGGACACTTGAAGCCAAGAAATTATCACAAAAACAGATCCAGAATTGGTAAAAATCCACTGAGCTTTAGAAGAAACAAACTCAGATCATCCTATAAAGAAGAAGATATATCTCAAGTCATGCAGACTCAACTTTCACTAAGAATGAGTTTACTACGGAAAATAATTTTGAACCACATGAGTTAAGCCACATAAAAGAAAGTCAGAAGATGCAATAAATAGTAGGAATTCGCAATAGAAAATGGCAAATAAAACAGTATAAAAATGTTAAATAAATGTTTTTATATTTAAAGAGAGAAGGAGCATAAACACAATGCATTATTAAAATATTTTAAATAATCGTTTTAATTTTTTTAAGAATTAAAAACATTTTTTAACCAAATAGAAATCTTGATAATGAACACATAGTCACTGAAATAAGTACATACAAACCTTCATATTTAATGGTTGGGCCAAAAGCAGATTATTCATAGCTGAGGAAATAATTAATGAATTAGAAAACGGAGCTGATGAAGATGTTGGAATGCATCATATGTGGCAACAGAATGGAAAATACAAAAGTTAAGGCCTGGCCTGGTGGCTCATGCCTATAATCCTATCACTTTGGGAGGCCAAGGCAGGAGGATTGCTTGAGTTTAGGAGGTTGAGACCAACCTGAGCAACGTAACAAGATCCCATCTCTACAACACAATTTTAAAACTTAGCTGGGCATGATGACAAGTACCTATAGTCCCAGCTACTCAGGAGGCTGAGTGGGGAGGATCTGTTGAGCCTGGGATACTGAGGTTGCAGTGAGTTGTGATCATGCCACTACACTCCAACCTGGATGATGGAGCAAGACCTTGTCTAAAAAAAAGAAAGAAAGAAAGAAAAAAAAGAAAAGAAAACAGAAAAAAAGAGTTAAGAGAACTGAAGTGGAGAGAGAGACGGGCCCACATGGGTCTAAAAAAAAATTGTAGGAGAACACAGAAAGTGAGGGGAAAAGCAATATTGAAATAGAAATCGAATAATAACTTTTTCAGAACTTAAGAATGACTTAAATTCTCACATCAAAAGATCATTCCTAGCAATGAAAAGAACAACAAAATTCTCCTACATATACTGTAGGGAAGTAACAAAATAGGAAATGCAAAGAGAAAATATCCATATCACCTAGAGAAAAGAGATTACTCACAAAAGAATGACCATTACATCGAAAAGTCTCTCCATTCATTATAATAGATGCCAGAAAACAATGGAACGATTTCTGCAAAGAGCTAAGGAAAAATATTTGTCCATCTATATTCCCACACTCAACTAAATTCTCATGAAAAAAAATGAGGGCAAAGTAAATATATCTTCAGGCAAAAAAAAAAAAAAAACTGAGTTTCTAAGTCCTCACTTAAACTGCTTCTAAAGAATATAGTTCAGCTAAAAGAACCCAAAACCCAGATGTAAAGAGGTGGATTAAAGAAGCAAGGAAAAGAAAAGAAATTGGCAAACTTGTGAGTAAAGTTAATGTATTGATATTTAAAAAATAATATTGACCAGTGTTGGTGGAGGTGATTAAAAACAGTTCAAACTAAGGAACCAAAACTTGGAAATAGAGATGGAATGAAGCTAAGAATCTTTTATCGTTTAAAAAGAGATTAAAGATATTGATTTATTTTAGACTTTGGACTGTATATATGTTAAAGTGTAAAGGCAACTACTAAAAGAATAGAAATAGAATGTAGAACTTCTACAGAGAAGCAAAATAGGAAATAAGTAAAATGCAATTAATCATATAGATGGCAGAAATGGAGGAAGAAAAAAAGGGGAGGGGAGAAGGCAAAAAATAGAAAACACAAAGTAAAATGATTTTTTAAAGCAGCATAAATATACCCCAATAAATGTAAATAAACGTAACTTTCCTCTGAAAAGACAAACTATTAGATTGTTCTGCTTTCTATCCCAATAGATTTTGTTTACAAAGGACAGGCCTGAAAGTAAGGACACAGAAAGATTTAAAATGAACGGATTAAAACATTTTATATCACATAAATGTTAGTCCAAAGGTTTTCTTCACGGCATTAACAGGCTAGTTCTAAAATTCACATAGAAGAATAAGGGAACAAGAAGAAACATGAATATTGGGAAGAAGATAAACAAGGAGTAGGATTTGCCTGACTAAGCATCAAGACTTCTTTTAAATCACAATAACTAGAACACTGTCATATTGGCATGGCAATAGACAAATGAACCAATATCCAAACTACACACATATGGAGATTTAGCAGTGTTACAAATCAGTGGGAAAAGGAAAGACTAGTCAGTCAATGGTGTGGGACACTTGGCTATCCATTTGGAAGTTAATAAAAGTGGATACATCCTTGTGTCAAGCCATATACAAAAAAAAGTGAATTCCATATGAATTTAAAACATTAATCTGAAAAGCAAACTTTTTAAACATTTAGAAAAGATTCTAAATTAGGGGAAATATCTTTGTGACATTGGGAGAGGAAGACATAAAAAACCAAAACCCATAAAGAAAAACTTTTTGAATAGAATATGCCTAAAAATATTAAACAAAAGGTTTGATATATTTGACTACATGACAAAAAGAAAATGTTAGAATGACAAAATAAAACATAAAGTTAACACTTCACAAATTTGCATATCATCCTTGCACAGACAGGGGCCATGCTAATCTTCTCTGTATCGTTCCAATTTTAGTGTATGTGCTGCAAAAGTGAGCACAAAACATAAAGTTAACACATGAGTGAGAGACCAGAAAAGATGTTTGCAATGTGTATGACAAATAATAGGTTAGTATCCAAAATATGTAAATAACCATGACGTTTGTTTGAGTGCAGAGTCTCAATTCACAGGGAAGGAATATGAAGCTGTCTACCTAATACCCAATAAGGGAGCAGTTGGTAAGGCGTATAAGAAGCATGCAAAACTGATGATGGAGTATCTCGCCAATTGTGATGAATGTTACATTACAGAAATTGAGATGCAATTGAATGAGAAAGGGGAATTTACAATTGAACCCGAAGGGAAAACATTTCGGCTAACAAAAGATGTGGCCAAACGTGATGAGATTCCAGAGAACACTCTGTGTGGAAGAAGTTGTTCTGAATGTAACTGAACCCTCCTTCAGCCTGTGCAGGATTATGTATATGGTATTTGAACATATATTCCATGTAAGAGAAGGAGATGAACAGAGAACATTCCTCAGTTTCCCTGCTATAGTCACTCTATTCAAATGTTACGCCCTCTCACTGAGCCAAAACCATTCATGCCATTTATCAAGGAATTATCGGAAGCCCTGACCAGGCACAGGTTGTCTCACAAAGTAGATGATTCCTCTGGGTCAATTGGGAGACACTATGCCAGGACTGATGAGATTGGTGTGTCTTTCAGTGTCACCATTGACTTTAACACAATGAACAAGACCCCCCACAATGCAACTCTGAGAGACTGAGATGCAATGTGACAGATAACAGCAGAGGTCTCTGAGCTGCCTAGCATAGTCCGAGATCTGACCAGTGGCAGCATCATATGGGCCAATGTGGTGGCCAGGTATCCTCTCTTTGCAGAGCAATGATACAGGAGGTAGAAAGAAATTATTTAGGCAGATTTAGTTAGAAAGAAATTATTTAGGCAGATAGTGAGGGCAAACGAGTCCTTAGCAGAGCTTCCCTTCAAACAAAAAGCAGCCCAAAAAATCATTTCTTTCCCAACAAAGAGCAGCCTGAAAAATCAAGCTGCAAATATAGATAAGCAAGCTGGAAGCTTGCACAGGGGAATGCCAGCAGCTGTACCAATAAGAAAGGGCTACCTGGGGGCTAGGCGTGTGCACCATGGAAGCTCCATCTTCCCTTTTTTGTTAGCACATGTACAGTAAGAAAAAAATGGGCAACATGGCACAGCTCAGGCAGGGAACCCACTTGCATAATAGAAGATTGGCATGGGGGCGGCCAGAGATTTGTGCCATAGGCAAATGGCACACCTGGTCCTAACCAGATTTTTGCACCCTATGTAAATCAGACACCACCTCCCCACTAGCTCATCTATAAAAACCCCTGCATTTTGCTGTGGACCAGCAACCTATTTTTTCAGGACTACTCTGTGTAGCAGAGAGCTATTCTTTTTCTTTTCCCAATTAAATTTCCGCTCTTAACCTCACTCATTGTGTGTCCGCATCCTTGATCTCCATGGCTGTGAGACAACAAACCTCAAGTATTTTCCCAGACAATGAGGCCACTTCAACAAGAGACTGGTAAAAAAAAGAGACAATCAAGGAATAAGGACAATTTTTGGCGACGTGCATTAATTGAATAAATAACACATCATATCCACTTTATAAAAGAGAACAGCATTGTGATTACTCCCAGTAACTGTATTCTATCTTCAGTGGCTGTCTGATTTTATCCCCACAATCAAAATTGAAGGAATTCTGAAAAGAAAAAAATCTTAACCTTGGGGGTTAAGATTTCAACATAGGAATTTGGAGGGGGACAAAAATGTTCTATCTGTAGCAGGGTCTAAAAGCACAATTGCCCACTTAATCTCTAATTCATAGAGTAATATTAATATTTAATATACAGTTTACTTGTTAAATGCAGTTCCAAGCACTTTACATGTTTGGATGGTGGCACTCTTGTGTACTGGATTATTTCCTTCGGCTCATACAAACACCTCCTAGTATCTCTCATTAAAAACAAAACCACACCCCTTTTGAACTCTCATAACCCTCCAGATGCTTCTCCATTTCTCTGTACTTTTTCATTGTTTAGGGTTGTCTACAAACATTATGTCCACTTATTCATTTTCCACTTACTCTTACTCACTACAAGCTGAGTTTCACCTCCACTACTACACAGCAATTACTCTTGTCTGTGTCACCTGTAATCTCCATGTTACCAAATCCTATGAGCACATTTCTGCCCTCGTTTCAGTTGATTCCATAGTAGCATTCCACATAGTCAATCACTCCTACCATTTTGGAACTCCCTCCTATATTGGCTTTTGTGACACTCTTCAGTCTTGGTTTTCATTATATACCATTGCCTACTCCTTGCCTGTCTCCTTTACTCCTCTTCTACCCAATCTTTAAATGTTGGCACTTCTCAAACCCCAGTGGCAGCACTCCTTCTTTTTCTATACTCGTTCTCCTGATATAACCCAGTCGTTCTCAACAGGGTGTGATTTTGCCCCCTAGAGGACATTTGCCAATGACTAGAGACATGTTTTACTGTGACAACTGGGAGTATGTCACTGGCATCTAAAGGACAGAGGCTGGAAATACTACTAAACATTGATGGTGAGTATACAATCCTAAAATGCACAGCACAGCCTCCCACAACTAAGAATTATCTGTTCCAAAGTGCTGCTGGTACATTGAGAAACCCTGCCCATGCAGGCTTTGCCTTTTTACTGTCTGTGGCAGACAGTATGTCTTGTCTTCTGGTATCCATTCTCCCCTTCTTTTTAGTAATGGAATTGACATTTCATCAGGTAGCATATGGCCATCCAGTTTATAGACTCTATGTTACAGCCTCTCTTGCAGCTAAATAACATGTGTTACCCCTGGGTCGTTTCCTTAAAAAGAAGGTGCACCTTTTTCCCTATTTCTGAATGATAGGATGTGGTCTTGGTGCTAATGAACCAATTTCCACCATACAGAGAAAAATAATATTCAAGGGATGACAAATAAAAGTGCCGTGAATCCCTGAATGACCTTGTGGAGTGGAGCTGTCTAACTAGATCACCCACCTATCTCTGAACTATGACATGAATGATAAAGAAACTTGTGCCTTGTTTGATCCACTATATTTGGGTGCCTCATTTTAAAAATCTTAATTGATCTCCCACTGACATACCATCTATATAATACCTGATGGAGCTATAATTTGTAATCACTACCTTGAGTTCCTCTCTAAACTTCAGATTTATAAATTAACTACCTACTTGATATGTATTCTTGCATATCTCCCAGAATCTCAAACTTAACGTTTTCAAAATGAAGCTATTGATTTCACCACCAAACCACCCCTCTTTGGCCTTTCCTCCACTCAATAAATGGCTAGAAATTGTAAGTCATCCTTCATCACCGTCTTTCAACCCCAAATATATGCCTTCATTTTTGCTTCCGAAATAAGCATGATATATGCTCATTTTCTTATAGCTATTTCTACCATCTTGGTTCACGCCACTACCATCTCTCTCCTGGACCATTGTGATAGCCTCTGCACTGGGCTTCCTGTATTTTGCTTTGCTCCTCCGATTCATTTTCCACAGAGAAGCTGGAGGAAATCTTTCTAAAATAACAATCAGATAATCACATGCTTTTCACAAGACTTTTCAAAGTCTACCTAATGCGCTTAAAATAGAACTCATAATTCTTACCCAGAGTCTACAAAGATCAGCATAATCTAATCCTTGTATAGCTTCATCTTGGGCCACTCTTGCCTTTTACACCTGATGCCCAAGCCACACTGGTCTCCTTTCAGTTCATCACACAAAGCTCTTTCCTGCCTCAGGACCTTCACTCATACTGTTCCTTCTGTCTTAAGTGCATTGATCCCTCCTTTCTGCATGGTTGACCCACCTCCTTCTGCAATTTCCTATCTTCACAGATGCCTCCAGGGCCAAGCCAAATAAGCTTCTTCCCTCTCCCCTTGTTATTCTCTGTTAATGTGCCCTGTTTATTTCCTTTATGAAACTTATCACCATTTCTTATTATATACATATACGTATGTGTGTGTTTTGTCTGCCTCTCCCACAAATACATGGATTCTGGTTGTTTTATTCACCAATATGTATTTGGTATTAACATTGCCAGGCACACAGTAGGTACTCAAGATTGTGTGTGTATGACTGTGTGTGGTCAGTTGTTCATTTGTATTTATTGAATGAAATAATGTTTCAGCAAAGCATGGTTTACCCTGGATTTCACCCCATAAATTCTATCCAGTTGAAAGCAGGGTACAATGAACATTAAGGGCAACCTGAAAGGGGAAAGGAGTTGCACTCAGATGACATGAAACTTAATGAGAGATGATTACACACAGCAGTGGGTTGTGTGGGAGGGAAGAACATGATGCTGACTTGGTAACATAGATCTCTGCTCAAATCATCATTCACTTCCAGTAAGAGGAAAATGTAAAACAGGTCCAACTCTTAGAGGCTAATTGTTTAAGATAGAAGTTAGGAAGAAAAAGAAAGAAGGAAGGACAGGAATGGGAAAAGAAGAAAAGAGAAGAGAAAGCACAGAATGTTCTTAATGGTTTTATTCTCATTCAAGAGCAATGTATAACCAGGGAAGAGGGAAATCTGATGAAATACTTGGAAAACTTCATTGCTGGAACTAAAGTGATCTGTACTGGTCTTTGAGAAAGGTCTTATTGAATAGTTGGCTGCCAGTCTCAGCAGTCCCTGATGATAAACACTGTCTGTGTATAAATTATTCATGTCTTCTTTTTTTTTTTTTTTTTTTTTTTGGAGACAGGGTGGTGCCCTGTCTCTGCTGCCCAAGCTGGAGTGCAGTGGTGCGATCATGGCTCAGTGAAGCCTTGACCTCCCAGGCTCAGGCAACCATCCCACCTCAGGCTCCCAAATAGCTGGGACTATAGGTGCATGCCACCTCTCCTGGTTAATTTTTTAAATTATTTGTAGAGACAGGATCTTACTATGCTTCTTAGGCTGGTCTCAAATACCTGGGCTCAAGCAATCCTCCTGCCTTAGTCTCCCAAAGTGCTGGAATTACAGGCGTGAGCCGCCACATCTGGCCTCATGTCTTTTTTTCAGCAAGAACTGGTCATAGCACTTTCTTCTCCTTTTTCTGACACTGCCTCTAGAAGATCCATCCTACTCACAGTCTCACCACCCACACACACCCACCCATTGTGCAGGACTTCTCCAACCTGTGGCTGGTTTCACAACTTGCCAACACTGATCTGAGATGCCAGTGTTGGCTGTGTTTTTCTGGTTTTCTTCTGAAGGGCAACAGCACCTTGAGAATGAGTACCATCAGAAACTAGCATTATTCCCAGGTCTGTTATGTACAAGGTGTTTTACTAAAGTAAGCCAGTCAATCCCTTAGAAAATCCAATAAGAAATGTATTGCTCTCCCCACTTTACACATGTGGAAAGTAAGACTCAGAGAAGTTATGTGCTTTTTGTCAGTCACACAGCTAGTGAGAATCTGTGTCTGCTCTGTTTGATCCCCAGCACATGATCTCTTCTCTGCATATGGTACCTCTCAGCTACAAGGCAGAAGTTTTTAGACAAATAAAACTACCTCACTACAGCCAGAGCGATCTTTTTAAAAATGTAGACCTAATCATATCCCTCTCCAGCTAAAAATACTTCCTAAAATAGTTCCTTACTAACTAGAGCTTACGCCGCTCCCTCTCCTGGAAATACTAACCCTTCAGCATTAAATCCACACCCAAACCCACATGCACACCTGTGTGCACTCACACACACACACACTCACATCATTCAGTTTCATTTAAATAACTACAGTCATGTGTCGCTTAACGACAGGGATACATTCTGAGAAATGCATCATTAGGGGATTTCACTGTTGTGCAAACAGCATAGATTGAACTTACACAAACCTAGATGGCATAGCCTCCTACACACCTAGACCATATCGTATAGTCTATTGCTCCTACGCTACAAACCTGTACCAAATACTGTAGGCAAATGTAACACAATAGTATTTGTGTATCTAAACATAGGAAAGGTACAGTAAAAATACGATATCATAATCTTACAGGACCACTATATACGCTGTTGATCGTTGGCCAAAAGGTCATTACTCAGCTTATGACTAAATTTCCTTTCAACCTTTACTATACCCTAAACCAGTGGTTCACCAACCACAGAGTCAGCACAAATTATCTGGGAATATTGCTCAAATTTTTAATTTTCAGGTCCCACCCTCAGAAATTCAGTATCCATAAATCTGAGGAAGGGGTCAAAAATCTGTATGTTAAACAACCACTTGAAATGAAAGAAAATAAAGTCCTTATTCTCACGGAGCTTACGATTTCCCTGGAGTAAAACCAAAAAATAAACTGATGGACATATGGTATATCAGGTGGCAAAGAATAATAAATAATGTAAAAAAGTACTGATAGGGAGCTATCGTATTATTTATTTATAATTTTTTTTTTTTTTGAGACGGAGCCTCACTCTGTCGCCCAAGCTGGAGTGCAGTGGTGCGATCTCGGCTAACTACAACCTCCACCTCCCGTGTTCTAGCAATTCTCCTGCCTCAGCCTCCTGAGTAGCTGGGACTCTAAGTACATGCCACCATGCCTGGCTAATTTTTTGTATTTTTAGTAGAGATGGGGTTTCACCATGTTGGTCAGGCTGGTCTCGAACTCCTGACCTCGTGATGCGCCCACCTCAGCCTCCCAAAGTACTGGGATTACAGGCATGAGCCACTGCACCCGGCCCGTATTATTTATTTAAATTTTTCTTTTTAAAGGAAAGGGTTTTATCTATCTTCTTCACCGTTTCATCCCAAGTATCAGGGATCTAGCACTCATCAAACATCTGTTGAGGTAGGAATGGGACTACTTTACACATGCTAGAAATAAGGATCCTCATAATAGCTTTTGTAAAGTTAGGAATGATGACATGATGCCTAATGCTGCCACCTAAAGCAGCCTATGTAAGCATTCCGAAGTAGAAGTCAGTGGTTCAGAGCCAAGGAACTTAAATTGTGTTTTGTTTCGTTTTGTTTTGTTTTGTTTTTGAGACAGCGTCTCGCTCTGTTGCCCAGGCTGGAGTGTAGTGGCACAATCTCAGCTCACTGAAACCTCTGCCTCCCAGGTTAAAACAATTCTCCTGCCTCAGCCTCCCGAGTAGCTGGGCTTACAAGCACACATCACCATGCCTGGCTAATTTTTGTATTTTTAGTAGAGATGGGGTTTTGCCATGTTGGCCAGTCTGGTCTCAAACTCCTGGCCTCAAAGTCATCTACCCGTCTCAGCCTCCCAAAGTGCTGGGATTACAGGTATGAGCCCGGGCCACCACGCATGGCCTGGAACTTAAATTTTATCACAAAAATAGAACAACAGGAGTTTTACATATAACCAAGATGGAGTAACAGGTGATTGGATTTACTCTTTCACTAAACAACCAAAAAAAACAAACATGTAACAGTGGTTTTCAAGCAGTAGACATCAGGCACTATAGGGCAGAGATACTTGAAACTCAGAGAAACAAACAAGGTAATCACTGTTGCCCTAGTTTACTGCCCGAACAGATACTTCTGTCCAGGCAACACTGCAGGGGTGTAGCACCCACGCAGAGCCCAGCTGTCACCCTGAATTGAGGAGAGAGAGCTCGGCGTCTGAGAAGGCAAAGGTGGCTAGAATTTGCAAGACAGGTCCCTGGAGAGAAATTATGCACGCAGAGAAAAAGATTGAGCTCCAGAAATATTCAAAAGGTCCCCCTCAAATGTTCAGCTGCATATTGACAGGTGCATGCATGTGAGAAAACTGTATGAGACTATGGAAGGAACATCCAAAAAAGAGCACAAGTAACCACTGCTAGGGCTCACAAATCCAAGAATAGTCCATGTTCTCACCAGGCAGAGTAGAACACCTTGTAATTCATAGTCCATTAGGTGGAGCATTCAGAAAGGCATTGCCTCAGTAAAGGGAAAATTTAGTTCAGGATCAAAGGCCAGTCTAGTCCTACCTTAAAATGCTTAAAAGCAAGCCTCAGAAAGATCAAACTACTTGCTAATAATGTAACTGTGTTCCAAAACCAGGTAAAAATATTTACTAGAATATAAAAATATAAGATACAAGATATAGAATATAAAGATAACCAGCACCCAACAATTACACAATGTCTGGTATACAATCAAAAATTACCAGGCATGCAAAGAAGCAAGAAAAAATGGCCTATGCTAAGGACAAAAATTAAACCATCATTCTCAGCAAACTGTCACAAGAACAGAAAACCAAACACTGCATGTTCTCACTCATAAGTGGAAGTTGAACAATGAGAACACATGGACATAGGGAGGGAAACATCACACACCGGGGCCTGTCAGGGGGTGGGGGGGCTAGGGGAAGGATAACATTAGGAGAAATACCTAACGTAGGTGATGGGTTGATGGGTGCAGCAAATCACCATGCCACGTGTATACCTATGTAACAAAACTGCACGTTCTGCACATGTACCCCAGAGCTTTAAGTATAATTTTAAAAAAGAAAAAAAATTAATCAATAGAAACAGACCCAGAAAAGAAAAAGATAATAAAATTAGTATAAAAAGACATTAGAATAATAATTGTTAATGATATTTAATGTGTTCAAGATGATAGGTGTAAAACTAATCATGTTTTGTAGATATATAAAAAATATTTTCCAAAAGACCCAAATTAATCTTCTAGAGATGAAAACAACAATTTCTGAGATTAAAAATGTACTATATGGAATTAATAACAGATTACACATTGTGAAAGAAAATACCAGTAAACTGAAGATACAACAATAGCAACTATCCAAAATGAAGTACACACACACACAAACACACGCGCGCGCGTGCATGCACGGCAGACAAAAAATAAATAGAACATTAGCAAGCTGTGGGACAACTTCAAGAGGCCTAATAAGATGTAATTAGAATTGCTGAAGGAGAAGAGAGAGAGGAATAAATAGGAAAAAAATTTTTGAAGCAAAAAAGTGTAATTTTTTTCCAAATGTAATGAACACTATAAACCCACAGATTTAAGGAGCTCAATGAATCCAAAGCACAAAAAAAGTAAACCATAAAATATCATAAACATCAGGCTTAAAACCAGTGATAGAAAATCTTTTTTTTTTTTTTTTTTTGAGACAGTCTAGCTCTGTCACCCAGGCTGGAGGGCAGTGGCGGGATCTCGGCTCACTGCAACCTCCGCCTCCCTCGTTCAAGCGATTCTCCTGCCTCAGCCTCCTGAGTAGCTGGGATTACAGGTGCCTGCCGCGGTGCCCAGCTAATTTTTGTATTTTACTAGAGACGGGGGTTTCACTGTTTTGGCCAGGCTGGTCTTGAACTCCTGACCTCATGATCTGCCTGCCTCGGCCTCCCAAATTGCTGGGATTACAAGCATGAGCCACCGCGCCTGGCGGTGATAAAAAAAAATCTTAAAAGCAGCCAGAGAGAAAAAGTCATGTTATATATAAAGTAATGTAAATAATAATAGCTGACTCCTGTTCAGTAACAATGCAAGCTAGAATACAGTGGAACAACATCTTTAGAATACCGAAAGAAGAAAACCCTCACACCTTAAAATTCTAAACCTGAAAAAGTACCATTCACAAAAATGTATAATAAAGACTTTCTCAGACTTATAAAAGAGGCCTGACACAGTGGCTCACACCTGTAATCCCAGCACTTTGGGAGGCTGAGGCAGGTGGATCACCTTAGGTCGGGAGTTTGACACTAGCCTGGCCAACATGAGGAAACCTTCTCTCTACCAAAAAATACAAAAATTAGCTGGGCATGGTGTTGCACACCTGTAATCCCAGCTACTCAGGAGGCTGAGGCAGGAGAATCGCTTGAAACCAAGAGGCAGAGGTTGCAGTGAGCCGAGATCCCATCATCGCACTCGAGCCTGGGCAACAAGATCAAAACTCTGTTTAAAAAAAAAAAAAAAAAAAAAAAAAAAAAAATATATATATATATATATATATATATGATTAATCACCAGAAGATTGGTTTAAGTCAAAATAAGAAGAATGCAGTATGACATATATAACTTAGGTAGAAGTAATATATGTGGCAAAAATAGCACAAAGATAAGGCAAGGAGGAATGAAAATACACTTGTAATAACCCAAAAGAAGGCACAAAATAGGAATAAAAAAATAGATGATACAAATACAAAACAAACAGCAAGATGGCATATTTAAACTGAAGCATAACAATCATTAATCATCAATTACTAAATGTAATTAGTCTAAACATCTCAAAGGTAAGAGATCATCAAATTAGAAAAACAAAAGAATTTTATGTGTATACATATGTCTAAATTTGTCAAATTGTACACTTTATATTCTTGGTTTATCATATGTCGGTTATAGCTTAATAAAGATTTTAAAACAAATAATCTAGTGTTTGGTAGCAGAATAGGGTGATTATAGTCAACAATAATGTATTGTATATTTCAAAATAACTAAAATAGTAGAATCAAAATGTTCCTAACACAAAGAAATAATAAATGCTTGAGGTGATGGATATTCCAGTTACCCTGACTTGATTATTACACACTGTATGCTTGTATCAAAATATCACATGTAGCCCCGTAAATATGTACAATTATTATGTATCCATAATAATTACAAATAACTACAAACAATATTTTTAAATATATAAAATTATATTTAAAATTTAAAAATAAATTAAAAATAAAAATTAAATTAAATAGAATAACATAAAAGAAAAGTAGACAGGAGAAAAGGGCTGAGAATAAAAAATGTGATAGGGAAGGTCTTCACTGAGGGACTCACTATCGAAAGCTGTAGACCAAAAGTCAATCACATCATTCATGAATTCAAGGTGACTGCAAGGAATCTGTTGAAGACAAAGTAACCACGTGTTTTCCAAATTAAGCCAAGTCACAGGAAGCCATAAATGTTTTCAAAGGCACTTTTCCAACAAGTTATTCATTAAAAGGATGTTGACAGATGATTCAAGTGTCTGGTTCAAAACCTCGCCTCAAAGAGGAATCTTTTCAAGAGTCTGTCTTCCTAAGAATTCATATCTAACAGGAGAGCTCCCGTTAGATATGAATCACTAAATTCATCTTATTTTTGACCTTTAGAATGAGACTAAATTAATCTGCTCCCTCTCCCACTTGATAGCCCTTCAAATATTTTAGATCATATTATCCCTTCTCCAGGCTGTCTATGGTAAAAATTAATCATTCCCCATGGGACCTGCTTCCAGAAATTGTCACCATCCTAAACACTTTTATTTGGATATACTTCTGCTGAAAATCTCCCTTTTAAAAATAGAGTACTATATTGAGAATAAGCACAAAATTCTAGGTGTGGTCTGATCTTTTAAAACTTAAATTATATACTTATACATTGCAACCTATAAATACATTTGTTTTCTTAATAACATTGGCAAAATGTGTGTCACATATACCCTTTAAACTCTCAACTTGTTTTCATGTGAACAGCTAACTATGATAGGAGTCTTCATCCTATCTTCTATAATCAGCATTTTGAACCTCAGTGCAATATTTTATATTTGGTGAGATTATATGCTTTCTCATACGTGCAGGTTTACTTCATTTCATTTTAGTTGTGTTTTTGTTGTTTGTTTTTTGTTGTTGTTGTTGTTTTTGAGACGGAGTCTCACTCTGTTGCCAAGGCTGGAGTGCAGTGGCACAGTCTCGGCTCACTGCAACCTCCGCCTCCTGGGTTCAAGTGATTCTCCTGCCTCAGCCTCCCAAGTAGCTGGGATAACAGGTGCCTGCCACCACGCCTGGCTAGTTTTTTGTATTTTTAGTAGAGACGGGGTTTCACCATGTTGGCCAGGCTGGTCTCGAACTCCTGACCTCATGATCCGCCCGCCTCAGCCTCCCAAAGTGCTAGGATTATACTTTCAATGTATTATCTATTTCTACTAATTTTGCATCTTTTTTTTACTATGACTTGCAAGAAATAAGAGAAATTAGAGAGAATTATAATCAGAAAAGCAAGTTAAGCAGCCAGGTACAATATTTCTCTCAATAGCTATTTGATATTACAATGTGGAGAAAACATTAGAGATTAGCCTGCCAAAACAAATCATTGAAATCAAAAATATAAGAACTGAGTCAAGTAGTCAGCACAGTAGGGTCAAGTCCTGATTCCCCTAAAGAATAAATATGGTGGAAGAACATATCTATTTATCTCTCTTTCCATCAATCTTCCAAAAGGGAAGAAAATAAAAGAACTAAATAGATATAAATTAAAATTATATAAATACACAGGAATAAAAAGAATGATAGAGATGATAATAGTATATAAAAGATGTCAGCAAAATATTGGAACTTGAAAAGAATGATTAAGTAGTAATTGGCTTAATAGATTTGATAGAAATCTAGGTTACAGAAGAGAAAGCCAAGAAGATCCAAGCAACTCATTTCAAAGAACCTCAGAGAGGCTCAGAATATTGTGTCACTAGCTGTCTCAAAACTTCAAGATGAAGGATGGGATTTCAGGATTATATAAGAAGGAGTTATACTCCCCAACTTCCTCCACCATTCATCAAACTGGTTACCTATCCCTTCTTCAGTCTAGCAAAAACAAACAAACAAACAAACAAAAACACACACAGGAAGTTTGTCGTTTGGAGAATAACCAATCAGCTCTCTTCTTCCACTTGGTTTCTCAACATTGGTAGCCAGGCTTATAACACCTAGTCAGGAAATTGAAGAGTTCCTCTATGGGGAAACTGAGAGGCTCAGGAGTTTTGAGAATTCCCCCAACAAATCAGCCAGGTCCATTCCTAGTCTCTCTAAAATGAAGTCAGCAAGCCCTAGCCCACCCATAGAGATTCAGGTTTTCTTGGAGGAGAGAAGTTTAAGAAATAACTCAAGAAAAAATGCTCTGGTACTGAAAGATAGAGATTTATAGATTATATGGAACCAGCCCAAATGCCCATCAATCAATGAGTGGATAAAGAAAATGTGATATATACACACACCATGGAATACTACTCAACCACAAAAAGAAACAAAATAATGGCATTTGCAGTAACCTGGATGGAATTGGAGACCATTGATTCTAAGTGAACTACCTCAGGAATGGAAAACCGAATATTGTATGTTCTCACTCAGAAGTGGGAGCTAAGCTATGAAGATGCAAAGACATAGGAATAATACAATGGACTTTGGGGATTTGGGGAGAAAGAGTGGAAGAGGGGGTGAGGGATAAAAGACTATACATTGAGTACAATGTATACTGGTTGGGTGATGGGTGCACCGAAATCTCAGAAATTACCACTATTCATGCAACCAAACACCACTTGTTCCCCAAAAACCTATTGAAATAGAAAAGAGACAGAAATCTGCAGATTAAAATATTGCACTGAGTATCCAGCACAATGAATTTTTTACAAACCCACATTAACACACATCATTGTGAAAATTCAAATTCCGGGGAAAAAAATAGTATATATAAAATATTGTGAATAATATCAGCCTTCTTTACAGGAACTCTTGAAGCTTAAAGACAAAGAAGTAATGTCTTCAAGATTCGGAGAAATAATCGGTTTCCACATAGAATTCTCTACACAAGCACATATGCATGTACACACATGCTATTAATCACATAAGAGGGTAGAATAAAAATGTTTTCAGATATGTGAGATACTGTCTCAAGAAATTTAATGGTCAAGCACCCCCTCTTAACAAGTGCCTGGAAAATAAAATCTACAAAATGAGAAAGTAGCCCAAGACAGAGGATCCAGGAAATAGAGGATCTCACACAGGAAGGGGAAGAAATTCCAGTATGAAGTTAGGGAAGTCGCAGGATGTTCGCTGGTCATCAAGCCTAGAGACCTGTCAAGATTGGCACAAGAGAATAGAAAGTTCCAACAGGGTGACTCCATAAAAAAAAAAAAAAAAAGAACTGATAGACTATCTGAAATGTTGATTGTGCTGAAAAAACATATTCAACTAGTGGACTATAGAATGAATTAGTGACAGAAATATGGGAAAAAGGGCTAATCAAAAATTTAGGCAATGATTAATGCTGGGAAAAACAAAAAGTTGTTCAAAAGAGAAACATGTAATTGTGTATTTCTTTGATTTAAAATATACATTTTAATTAGAAACAAATATATTCATCAAGGAGCAGAATCTGCCCAGTGATTCCATTCCTTTTCTTTCTTTTAAATGCTTGATCATTGTTTTCTTATTTTAGATATTATTTCATCCATTGATGATGGAAAAAAAGCATTTAGCTGAGCATGGTGGTGCACGCATGTAGTCCCAGCTGCTTAGGAGGCTGAGGCAGAAAGATCACGTGAGCCCAGGAGTTCGAGGCTGCAGCGAGCTATGATTGCACCACGGCACTCCAGCCTGAATGAGAGTAAGACCCTGTCTCAAAAAACAAAACAAAACAAAAATTTAGATCCATGTATACCAAAGTCCCTTACTTGGCCGGGCGCAGTGGCTCACACCTGTAATCCCAGCACTTTGGGAGGCCGAGGCGGGCGGATCACGAGGTCAGGAGATCGAGACCATCCTGGCCAACATGGTGAAACGCCGTCTCTACTAAAAATACAAAAACAAAATTAGCCAGGCGTGATGGCGGGCGCCTGTAGCTCCAGCTACTCGGGAGGCTGAGGCGGGAGAATGGCGTGAACCCGGGAGGCGGAGCTTGCAGTGAGCTGAGATCGCGCGGCTGCACTCCAGCCTGGGCGAAAGAGCGAGACTCCGTCTCAAAAAAAAAAAAAGAAAATCCCTTATATACACACATACACATACTTCTGCTAACCCCATCTTCTTGATATTATAATTTTTGGATAAGTAAAAATTCATCATTCATAATATTATGACTATGCAAATACTGCGACAGCTGTAGCTCAGGGAGTTGAAAAACTGTGTACAGAAAGTCAATCAATAAAATAATGTCTACGACTGAAAAAAAATTAATACATTTTTAGCACATTTAGAAATATGGGGTTAAAATTCAGAAGAGTCAGCTAAGAGTTGAAAGTTTATGTTTCTGGGGAACATGACTCAATGTTAGGGAGCAGGACCCCTGTAGTTCTTTTTTTTTTTTTTTTACAATATGATTCTGTTGTTCTTTGATAATAATTTTAATTAATTTTTTAATTATAATCACCAAGGATCTTACTTAAAATTATAATAAAAGCTCTTTTTTATTGTTTAGAAACTTGTTCTTGAAATTAAAAATATTAATTTGAGAATCAATTTATTCTGTAGAATTGAAAAAGCAAATTAATGTTATATACATTTAAAAATCAGATAAATTACAATCCAGGAATTCAGAACTCTAACCCCAGACCATTTGGCCAAGGAAGGTTGGCACATTACACTTACATTTTTTTTTTCATTTTCCTGTTTATCATCATGCTTCATTTCCCAAATTATTTGAAATTCAGAATGCATATTGGAATTTAGCATCTTTGGATCAGTAAAATCTCTTTAGTCATATTTCCTCTGTTCGTTATGAACAATGAAAACAGAAAGATTGAAAGAGCACTGTGCACATATAAATCTATGAGCCAGTTTTTAACTTCTAATCTAAAGCCCAGTTCTTCTTTGAGTCTTTCTTGATGGAGTGGGGAAAACAAGGATAAAAGGCATTTAAGATAAAGTATTTTTATAGTTGCAACACACAAAATTATAATATGGAAATTTGTCCTTATAGATATCTGAACAATTTGTAGTGAAGAACAAATTTACTCCAAACTAAAATGCTATTTGTTTGCTGTTTTTTCTTCTGTAATTAAGAAAATTTAAACCTAGTCCTTTGCCAAAATAATAGTTAGAAAATTTTTTTCTTTATTATCTAATCGTCTGTGCTGCTGAGTATTGCTACAGGTAAGTTAAATTAGCCAGAAAATTATCCAAAGAATTTATACTCAGGGCCTGAAAAAATATTATACTGAATAAGTAAAGTCCAGATGTTGGAGAAAAAAGCAATTTAAAAACTAGTGAAAATAGGCTGGGCGCAGTGGCTCATGGGCACAGTGGCTCATCCCAGCACTTTGGGAGGCCAAGACAGGGTGGATCACTTGAGGCCAGGAATTCGAAACCAGCCTGGCCAACATGGCAAAACTGCCTTTCTACAAAAAATACAAAAATTAGCCAGGCGTGGTGGTGCACACCTGTAGTCCCAGCTACTTGGGAGGCTGAGGCAGAGAATCACTTGAACCCAGAAGGCAGAGGTTGCAGTGAGCTGAGATGGTGCCACTGCACTCCAGCCTGGGTGACAGAGTGAGACTCTGTCTCAAACAACAACAACACCAACAAAACTAGTGAAAATATAACTACCTAGCAGTACTATCATATGTTTTGTGAATCCTAGTTTTTATAGTAGGACATAATAAAAGACTGGAATCTAGGATTTTAGTCCTGGATCTGTTACTCATGTGTCATTTGACAACAAGGCTAGTCACTTCTCCTCTCTCCGCTTCATTTTCCATCTGTAAAATGAGGGGATCAGACCAGATGACCCATCAAGTATCTTTCAGGTCATAGGAGAATACAAAATTTACACTAAGAACATAACAAGAAATTCCTTTTTCTCTTTTTGTGCATCCCCTAGATTGATTTCTATAATTATATGGAAGCATGTGAAAACCCTACCATTTCCAAGGATCTGACCAACAATTACAGCAGGAAATGTGGTCATCTAATTTAACTCTTAAACATCATCAGCAAGACTAAAAGCTTGGATGCATCCCAATTATCCCCACAAATTAATGGTGTGGTATCAAGAATAATCCACAACACTTCCACTTAGCTTTGGGATTCATTCTATTTTTTGGTTTGCCGTAGATTCCAATTAACATTTTGGTTTATTCAGGCTGATTTTAAAATATGTTGACTTAATTACATACTCAAGCCATCTAGTCTACAAATATGCCTAGTTAGATAAAAGAGATAATATTCTTGAATTTGACATAGTCCTTGAATTTCTAAGGGCTGTTTTACACTGAGACCTAGTTACATGGTCATATGGTTTATCCGTGTCCCCACCCAAATCTCATCTTGAATTATAGCTCCCATAATCCCCACATGTTGTGGGAGGGACCTGGTGGGAGGTAATTGAATCATGGGGGTGGGTTTTCCTGTGCTGTTCTCATGATAGTGAATAAGTCTCACGATATCTGACGGTTTTATAAAGAGGAGTTCCCCCGCACGAGCTCTCTTGCCCCGTGAGACGCCTGTAGACCCAGCTACTTGGGAGGCCATTGCTCCTCCTTAGCCTTCTGCCATGATTGTGAAACCTCCCCAGCCATGTGGAACTGTGACTCCATTTTTCTTTATAAATTACACAGTCTCGGGTATTTCTTCATAGGAATATGAAAATGGACTACTATGCATGGTAACAACAGAGAACTCTGTGGTGTCTGCCCAGCTCATAATTCCTTCTCCTCTAAGAACAGCCCTCCATTCTACCCCCTGGGTAGAAGCCATGTTTTAGTCACATAACACCATTGCCTAGAACTCAGCTAAGTGCACAATGGCTGAGCACCAGAACCAAATTGAGCCAATCAGAGCCCCTTCTTAGGAATTTACAGTTGTGACTGAAAGTAAAATCTCAATGACAGTTCACTTATACAGACACTATATTAACTTGAGAACTGAGGCTCAGCCATTGTCTTAGGAGTAGATGAGTAATACAGATATATTTGCAAAGACATTTGAAGAGAAAAATGGAGGACAAAATAAAGAAAGCCTGTTTTCTGGGCTCCTCATGGCTCTCCATCTCTAGTCCCTTTTGAGTCACGGCTCCATCTCTGCTGCTGGCTTCCAGAATACATTCATGTCTTCTTTCATTATCTTAAATTCTCCCTTCCTGCTTAGACTAATTAAAATTGATTTCTGTTATTATCAACAAAAAGAATCCTGCTAAATAGGCTTTTTTTTGTAACTGAATTGAAAATTATAGCTTGCTTTTTTTTTTTTTTTTTTGCATTAACTTGTAGCTTAACTATACAGAGAAGTGGCTTGGCACCAGAGACTTCAGATAACTAAAACATGATTCATATTGAGGATATTTTATCTTATTTTCTGCACCAGTCTCTAGTTCTATAAAGCTTAAGCTTTACTGTATAATGAGAATGATACACTGAATTTATGAGGTTAAATGGAGGGTCACAGCAGTGGAACTTTTTATTGTAATGTACAACTGCATTCCTGAATCAGGCACAGGTTAATACATAATAATTATTCTCTGGAAACAATGGCAAAGCATTCCTAGCAACAGACAAATCAAATAGCTACTGGAGTATTATGGCTGTCATTTGTTAATTACTCCCAGATAGCTGCAAAACACACATGCTCTTCGGCAAAAACTGAAACCCCAAACCCCTTAGAGAAAAAAGGAGGATCAGGTGCTACAATGCAAAGAGCACCAAAATGGGTGTCTGCTGATGTGAACCCATCTTTGCAACTATCTTCACTTCTGTGAATTTTAGCTTCTTCATCTCATTTGAAATACAGAAAATTCAGCATGAGATCCAAAGGCCAAAAGTAGCTCAATAGACCATGTGCTAAGTCCTTCTTTTTCTGAACATGTTGTTAAACATTTTATGCCCCCATTTCCTCAACTGTATAAGGGAAATGCTACTTGTACCTACCTCATATGGTGGTTGTGGGGTAGTTATTACATAGTAAGTGCTTGGAAGAGTAGCACATAGGAGTACTCAATTAATGACAGCTATATTGGTTTTTTATTTTTTTATTATTCCTGAGGATTTTTTTTAAACAGGCTAACTAGTTATGAGCATCTCACTGGTATATTTACTTTGACCATTGCCAACTATATATTTCATGTAGCTTGTTAAACAAATTTATAACTGTAACCAAAGCTAAATATATGTAATGATGGTATTTTAAGACATTCAAGTTAAATTCCACTAAAAGTAAATCACTAAACTGGGGTGACATAAAGCATGATTGAATAAGGAAGAATGGGTCTGAAGAAAGCCTGCCGATAGCATCTGATTCATTTTTGAATCATGGCCAATTTTTATGCTACAAGAATAGCTTTCCATGTTGCCTTTACACTTCTGGATTTCATATCATGAGGGTAAATTGCTGAAAATGTACACACAAAAGAAAAAGAACATAAAAAACATATACATATTCTATTTGTTTGAGTTCTAATGTTGCTTTCAGGTCAGACATTCTGGATTTTCATGGTTTTGGCTTCAGAAAATTCTAAGTCTAGAAAGCAGCTGTTTCTATGGGTATCCCAAAGAAGAAAACTGCTACATGAAACAAGAGCAAACTGTGGTCTCATCTGCACATTTGCAGAGTAGCATCAGATCCATGGAGATGCTGCTCACTGAAAAAGTAACACCCATTGTGTTGGACCTCACCTACGTGACCTTTCCGGGGCATAGTCTGGAAGGACATGGAAAATTAAAAGAGAAGTTAAACACTGCACAATTAAGTGAGAAGAACTTTGAATCTCAATGAATAACTCAGGCAAGACAATAGGAAGAGAATGGAGATAAGGAGAAGGTATGAGCTACAAGAAGGAAGGTCAGCCCTCCGCCAAACCAGCAAGATATTCCCTGTGGTGAAGAATGGCTGATGAATTTCAGCACAAAGCTATCTAATGTTCAGTTTCAAGTTGCTATCTACATGATGCTATGCCATCATCCCTCCATTACTGCAAAGCTTCAGTAAAAGAGAGAAAGAAAGTTAACAGCAGAAATGAGGAGCAATATTTAGGAAGCATAACGGGGCATAAAGACATGTAAACTCTACAAAATTACACAGGTGAGACTTTTCGATAGCAATATCTTATTTCAATTTTAAAATTCAGGCTCAGACCAGAAAGTGAGGGTACTTGGGGTCACCCACACAACTGACACTTGGGTGACATATGTATTCCTACACAATGGAGAAATACCTCTTCTACATGATGGCAAATATCCCTGTGAGTGTTATCTCCTTATCTTTCACTTTATCTTACCATTGTCTGGTTTGTTTAGCTCCTACTTGGGGCCTATTCCGTACTATTGTGTCCTCCTCATTTATTATGGTTACATTCCGCTTCTTAAACAATTATGTCTACTATAGCTCCATGTTTATGTAAAACAGTGACTGTGTACTGATGTTTAGTCACAATAAAAGTAGCCCATACAAAGTAAAAAAGAGTTGGATTTCAAAGGACAAACACAATTTAAGACTTTTTCCCTTTGACATTGATTTCTTTCGGTACGTCAGCCAATACATAAAAACATGTCCACCTTATCAAGGCCAAAGGTTAACTACCAAGAGCTTCATTGATTCCACAAATATTTATTGTTCATCAGTCCTATGACTGACACTACTAGGGGGTAGGGCCACAGTAGGAATAACAAATGGTCACAATGTAGTTAGGGAAAGAGAAATGAAAACAAAACTGGAAGCCGGTATATACACCAGGCCAAGACAATATAAGGAGGTTATCAAAAGCCTCTGGCATGGGAAGATACAAAAACTTCAAAAGAAGGTGACAATTGGAGCCAGTTTTGAAGAATCCATGAGGGTTCACCAAGCCAAAAGGAGGGCAAGGGCATGAACTTACAAGTAACTGCCACATTATTGAGGGAAGTTTGGTCATGTGGGGAGGTCAGCGGAAGAAAAGGGAAAGGCAGGCAGCGTTGGGGTTGTGGAGATGTTTGCATGCTTGAGATGTTTGGCCTTTAATAACCATGGAGAGCCACTGAAAGTTGATAATGATAGGAGTGATTAAGAAGATATCTTGCTTCAGAAGGATGGCTTGGAAGGAGATAGAAATGGAATCTGAAAGTCCGCAAAATCTACAACTTTTGTCATGATTGTGGGGAAGAAAAGGGAAATTAAATCATTATTATTAGGTAGGCTTAAATAGGAAATTTTATTTATTTCCCTGTGCCTGGCTGCCTGAATCTAATAGTTGAACTTGCCTAAGGGAAGAGGGTCAAAAAAACAACCTGTCACTTATTTCTTCCTCATTCCCCGCAGACAATTCCCAAATAAGAATTTCTACATCCAAGCAATTCCTTCTGCTTTCCTGCATTTTTTTTTGAGGCGGAGTCTAGCTCTGTCACCCAGGCTGGAGTACAGTGGCACGATCTCGGCTCACTACACCCTCTGCCTCCTGGGTTCAAGTGATTCTCCTGCCTCAGCCTCCTGAGTAGCTGGGATTACAGGCGCCCGCCACCATGCCTAGCTAATTTTTGTATTTTTAGTAGAGATGGGGTTTCACTCTGCTGGCCAGGCTGTTCTCAAACTCCTGACCTTTTGATCCGCCTGCCTTGGCCTCCCAAAGTGCTGGGATTACAAGCGTGAGCCACCGCGCCCAGCCTCTCCTGCATTTTTAACTGCGTCTGGGGCAGTCTGTATTAATTAGCTCTACAATCTCTTAGATTCCCATCCCAGTTGCTAAAAGGGAAACCTTCTGCCTCCACCAATATTTCAATTGCCAAAGGAGGACCATAGGGCGTAGTGTGTAAATGGCAGAGAGGAAGGTGAAGTCCACATCATTCTGAGTTCCTAGAGCAGCACCAACTGTTTTCACATCCCTGGGCTGGATTGATTTGTAATCCTCCTCTCTCCTACCCTCGACCTTTACCACCTCAGTCAATCTCTGGAAGCCAAATTGGGTTCCTATCCTGGCTACATACAATCCATTCCAAATGACCTTTTGCCAAATCCCCATGGAGTTTAGAGATCCTTCTGGGGATTTTTAAAGCTTTGTTGTTTTCAGATCAAACTTTCTCTTTTATTTCTCTTTCCTCGCTAGGGCTTAGGAGGAGAACTCAGCTTTCAGTTTGATGGTGAAATATTAGTTAAACACATCATCCCCAAAGGGATGTATTTGCATCTTCTATGAACGATGATGGAAACAGTCTCAGTTTATCAGCAAGATGGCTGAGGATGCACTTACCTAAATGAGCAATGAAGATTCATCTGCTACAGCTGAACTGTATTTGCATAGGCTAACTTATTGAGAAGGAAAAGTTAGGTTTCAGTATTATATAAAATGTGTTTGTTTTGTTTTTTGTTTGTTTGTTTTTCGGACAGGGTCTGGGTCCATCACCCAGGCTGGAGTGCAGTGGTGCCATTGCAGCTCACCACAGCCTCGACCTCTGGGCTCAAGTGATCCTCCCTCCTCAGCCTGCCAGGTAGATGGGACTACAAGCACGTGCCACCACATCTGGATACTCTGTGTGTGTGTGTGTGTGTGTGTGTGTGTGTATTTTTAGTAGAGATGGGGTTTCACTGTGTTAGCCAGGATGGTCTCGATCTCCTGACCTTGTGATCTGCCCGCCTCAGCCTCCCAAAGTGCTGGGATTACAGGCGTGAGCCACCGTGCCAGGCTCACATCTGGATACTTTTGTATTTTTTGTATAGAGGGCATTTCACCATGTCACCCAGGCTGTTCTTGAACTCCTAGACTCAAGTGATCCACACATCTCAGCCTCCCAAAGTGTTGGGATTACAGGCATGAGCCACTGCTCCCAGCCTGGATATATAGTATGAAATATTTTTAATGGTAAATTAATTATGAGTTGTTGGGCAAAATTTGGCTGCTTATTTGTAAAACAAACTAGCATTTTTTAACCATATTCTGCTTTGTATTGTCTCTGTATGAATATCTCTTTTATACTGCAGCAAGAGGAAACCTGAGAAGGATAGTTCTGTCACCTCCATTTTTTCTTCAGAATAAATGTCAACATCTATGAGTTCTTCTTTACACAAGTTTAAATAGTTGGTGCTAGACAGACCCAGAACAAACATCTGAAGGAATCCCCTGAAAATATGAGGTCACTAATATAAGTGACTTATCCAATGTCACACAGGCAGTTTGTGGCAGAGCTTCAATTCTACCCAGATTTCCTGGTTCTTCATCCAGAGCTCTTTAGCTACTTTTCTGTATATGCAAATTGCATTTTCTTCCAACTGTCTTAGCAGAAAGAGTAAAAACAATTACGTTATAGGTTTAAGACTTCCTTGAGGCTGGTGCAGTGGCTCATGCCTGTAATTCCAGCCCTTTGGGAGGCCTAGAGGGTCAGATCATCTGAGGTTAGGAGTTCGAGACCAGCGTGGCCAACATGGTAAGACCCCTGTCTCTACTAAAAATACAAAAATTAGCCAGGTGTGGTGGGAGGCATCTGTAATCCCAGCTACTCAGGAGGCTGAGGCAGAACTGCTTGAACCCGGGAGGCAGAGACTGCAGTGAGCCGAGATCGTGCCACTGCACTCCAGCCTGGACAACAAAAGTGAGACTCCAACTCAAAAAAAAAAAAAAGAAAAGAAAAGAAAAAAAAAGACTTCCTTGAATAGCTGTGCTTGTGCTTGGTGGTGTGCGCCTATAATCCAAGCGACTTGGGAGGCTGGGGCTGGAGGATCACTGGAGACCAGGAGCTTGAAGCTGCAGTGAGCTATGATCGCACCACTGCACTCAGGCCTGGGTGACAGAGTAAGTCCCTATCTTTAAAAATATATATTATATGAAATTGAAAAAAAAGAACTTCCTTGAATAATCCCACCCACCTGTGTTGTTATCCTGGTTAGTAAATAATCGTGAGCAATGGTATTGATTTATGTGTTCACATAGGCAACAAGCATTTGTCAGGCATTTATTATTGTGCCTCACATGAGGCTAGGCAGTTGGAGAACAATGAGATAACACAATGTAGATTTTTAAGGGCTTCATATTGCAAACCGTAAGACACACTAAAATAATGGGTAATATGTGCTCTAATCCTGGCATGTGAAAAGTTCTGGAATATAAAGGAGAGAAGGCTGAAAAGTGAAGGGTGCAACCTAAGACTCTGACCAGTGACTAGGAGTTTTCCAGAGGAGGAAGAACGGGAAAGGCATTTCAGGAAAAGGCCAGCATGAACACGCATATGAAGCTGCACGCAGGTGCAGAAAAAGGGGTAGGTGTTAGTCTTCTGGGGCTAAGTAGGCAGACCCTGGTTTCTGCCACCCCTGCTAAGTTTAATGCTTTCTGACGACAGACACAAGGTGTTCAAACCTAAGTTGATAGTTCTCTTCTCCCCTGATCTGCAGAGTGGCAGCCTATTTTTTCTGACTGTAAAATGGACTACAAGAGAAAATTCCTGCTCAGAGGGTGCCCTCTCTTGGTAAGCGTGCACATGCAGTGTTTCTCTCCAAGAAGGAAAAGGATACTTCAAATTGCCTATAGTGTCACCCTCATGCAAACCTATAAAAAGAAGGAAAAAGATACTTCAAATTGCCTATAGTGTCACCCTCATGCAAACCTATAAAGAAAACACAGTTTCCCTGACAGGTCACTTTAGTTGACAATAAGAGTAGATGTGAGGGAAAGAGCCACAGACTGAGAAAAACTGGATCCCACAGGCCTAGCGACCTGATCATAAAATCAGTGGATTGCGCCAAATGTTCTTAGTCCCTCCTTTTTCTGATGTACTCTGACTTCTAGAAGCTATGGCTCACTAGATCTTGGCTAAATTTAAAATTCTTGCTACTTAAACCATATTCTCAGAAGTTAAGGACTCTGAGGAAACCAGAGAATCCCCACCAGGAGAGAAATATTGTTTCTGGCTGTGGCAGCTTTCATCTCTGAATGTTCCTTAGCAGCCAGAGATAATTGGTCCATATAACTTTTCCTTTCTCTTTTTCTCACATTCTAGCAGTAAAAATCCTTTTTGAAGATGGTCAATAACATGAGGACATAGAGCAGAATCACATTCTGTTTCTACAAAACACCCCCACCACCATTTTAAACTACAAATCTGCCAAACAAAAGATCATCCAAAAGACACTTTTTGAGTGCATTGCAGAACTGGGAGGGTATCTTCTTCCGAAGTAATTTCATTTTTCAGGCTTGCAATAATAAAATGATCTTAAGAGTGCTGAGAGCCAACAGCTGAGGGGAGTAGAGCCACCGTTGAGCCCTGAGGCTTGGTGGTATCCTGGGATTTGGACATTCCCCACAGATAATTCCAGCAAATGCATTATTATAGGGGAAAACAGTTCCTTGAAGTGGGGAAGGAGACTGAGAGTGTGGGGAGGGGAAAGAAATGAGCCAGAGGCAAACTGTGTGTGGTCATGTGGGAAAAAATTAGCTTATTTTTTCTGTTGTCGCCCAAAGAATGTCACTGGTGATATAAAGAAGTGGAAAATGAGAAAACTCCATGATCATCCAAAAGCCATTATTGTCCATTTCCTGATCCTGATGGGAAGGAAAATTGGACCATAAATCTTAGACTTACACATGGTCATGGTCTCTTAATGCCCTCTGCTGGCGAGGAGGCAGACTGCAGCTGCCTGCACTGTGTTATAGTGGACAAACTGCATAGTACCTCTAGGCTTCATTTCCCTCATCTATAACATGGGGATAATAATAGTCTTTCTCGGCCGGGCGAGGTGGCTCACACCTGTAATCCCAGCACTTTGGGAGGTCGAGACGGGTGGATCACCTGAGCTCAGGAGTTCAAGACCAGTCTGGCCAACATGGTGAAACACCATCTCTACTGAAAATACAAAAAATAAAAAATAAATAAATAACCAGATGTGGTGGCGCACACCTGTAATCCCAGGTACTTGGGAGGCTGAGGTGAGAGGATCGCCTGAAGCCGGGAGGTGGAGGTTGCAGTGAGCCGAGATCGCACCACTGCACTCCAGCCTGGAGGACAGAGTGAGACTCCATCTCAAATAATAATCATAATTAATAATAATAATAGTAGTATTGCTCTTAGAGAAACGTTGTAAAGATTAAAGGAACTAACATATATAATTCATTCAAAATGGTGCTAGCTATAAATTAGAATGGCCTTGTTGGCCACATTTGTTTCCTTTCTCTATCTCCAGTTTTTTGTTTGTTTTCCCAAATCAAAACAAATCAATTACAGCTCTGTAATTGGTGTGGTGGCTCACGCCTGTAATCCCAGCAGTTTGAGAAGTCGAGGCAGGCGGATCGCTTGAGCACAAAAGTTCGAGACCAGTCTGGCCAACATGGAGAAACCCCATCTCTACTAAAAATACAAAAATTAGCCAGGCATGGTGGCGCCTGCCTGTAGACCCATCTACTCAGGAGGCTGAGGCTGGAGAATCACTTGAACCCAGGAGGCAGAGGTTGCAGTGAGCCGAGATCACGCCACTGCACTGCAGCCTGGATGACAGAGTGAAACCCTGTCTTAAAAAAAATCAATAAATGTCTATCACACTTTCATTATGTACAAAGTATCATATATAGTAGATATTTTGTCCCTATCCTCAGTGAATTAAATCTATTTTGAAGATGCAACACAAAACTGGTGAAAAGTTAAATCTTAGGAAGATTTGTATAGAATATTCAGTCATCAAAAGAATTTTAATTGGGAAGTACATTATTAATTCTAAATTAGTTGTGCATACAATGAAATTTTCAGAGGAGAAGGGTAATGTAAAATGTTATGGGGGAGGTAGGATTTGGACTTGGTATTAAAGATGGATTTTAGGTAAGGATGAGCAAAGAAGGCATAAGAAACTAGAACAGCAATCAATCAATCAATTAATCAATGAGGCAAGGTAATGGGAAGGAGAGTTAAGGAAAAGTGGAGAGACAAGGGATGACACAGTTTTTCCAAATATATGTGAATAATGAAAATAAAGCTGAAAAGTAGGTTGGTGCTAACAGAAGGCTAAGCTAAGAACTAGCACATCTCAATGTTACAGAAGAAAGCCTTCTGTAGACAGGGGAACATATATAAAAGGAGGTACAGTATAGAAGTTACAGGTGCAGGCTCCATTGCCACTGCCTAGATTCAAGCCTTGGCTCTGCCACATAAAAACATACGACCTTGGGCAACTTCCTCAACCTGTCTGTGCCTCAGTTTTCTCATCTGTAAAATGGAGGGATAAACTTCCATAGAGTTGCTGGGAGGATCGGATGGCTCAGTGCATGTAAAGCAGTTAGAAGAGAACTTAGCACATAGTAAGCTCTCAGTCTATGTGAATTATGATGATGACAATGTAATGATAGCCCACCTCTTAGGTGATCCTTCACTATTCCAGGATTGAAGTCAATCCTAGCTTTATACAATTGCTACTAGTAATAGGGCACTTTTTTCACTAGCTTTATACAATTGTTACTAGTAATAGAATACCATTTTCTCTTAGTAATAATGGACTTCCTGAAACAACTGGACCCTTAGAAACTTTTAGTGAACTAGAGAAATGCAAATCAAAACCACAATGAGATACCATCTCATACCAGTCAGAATAGTTACTACCAAAAAGTCAAAAAATAACAGATGCTGGCCAGGTTGCAGAGAAAAGAAAACGCCTATACACTGTCGGTAGGAGTGTAAATTAGTTCACCTATTGCAGAAAGCAGTGTGGTGATTCCTCAAAGAGCTAAAAAACAAATACCATTCAACCCAGCAATCTCATTACTGGGTATATAACCAAAGGAATAGAAATTATTCTACCATGAAGATACATGCTGTGTATGATCACTGCAGCATTATTCAAAATAGCAAAGACGTGGAATCACCCTAATGTCCATCGATGACAGATTACATAAAGAAAATGTGGTGCATATACACCACAGAATGCTGCATAGCCATAAAAAAGAATGAGATCATATCTTTTGCAGAAACATGGATGGGGCTGGAGGTCATTATCCTTAGCAAACTAACGCAGAAACAGAAAACCAAATAATGCATGTTCTCACTTATAAATGGGAGCTGAATGATGAGAATTTATAGACGCAAAGGGGAACAACAGACACTGGAGCCTACTTGAGGGTGGAGAGTGGGAGGAGGGAGAAGACCAGAAAAAATAACTATTAGGTACTAAGGTTAGTACCTGGGTGACAAAATAATCTGTACAGCAAACCTCTGTAACATGAGTTCACCTATGTAACAAACCTGCACGTGTACCCCTGAACCTAAAATAAAAGTTAAAAAAAAAGAAAAGAAAAAGAAAAACTTTCTTAGGAGGTTAGATATTAATATGTTATCCTCAAAACTTGAAACAATTTTTCTGAAAAAAGAAACTTTTAATGAGCTTATGTTTTCCATTCGGCTTCATATAAATAGAGCCAGGCAATTTGAAAGCCCAACTCAAAATATTACTTTTCCCTGAAGCTGGATGTATTAGTCGGCCGAGACTGCCATAACAAAATACCAGATATTAGGTGCCCTAAACAGCAGAAACCTATTTTTCTCACAGTTCTGGAGGCTCTGGAAAGTCCAAGATCAAGATGTCTGCAGGTCTGGTTTCTTCTGAGGCCTCTCTCCTTGGCTTGTCTATAGCTGCTTCCTTGCTTTGTCCTCACATGTTTTTTTTTTTTTTTTTTTGAGACGGAGTCTCACTCTGTCGCCCAAGCTGGAGTGCAATGGCACAATCTCAGCTCACTGCAACCTCCGCCTCCCGGGTTCAAGCAATTCTCCTGCCTCAGCCTCCCAAGTAGCTGGGACTACAGGTGCGTGCCACCATGCCCAACTAATTTTTGTATTTTTAGTAGAGACAGGGTTTCACCATGTTGGCCAGGAAGGTCTCGATCTCCCGACATCGTGATCTGCCCACCTCAGCCTCCCAAAGTACTGGGATTACAGGCATGAGCCACCACACCCAGCCCCTCATGTGGTGTTTTTGCTGAGTATGCACATCCCTGCTGTCTCCCTGTGTGGTCTCATTTCCTCTTCTTCAAAGGACACCTTAATGGCCTCATGGTAACTTAATCATGTCTTTAAAGGCCCTATCTCCAAATACAGTCACATTCTGAGGTTAGGGATTCAATATATGAATTCTGGAAATCACAATTCAGCCCACAGCATTAAACTAGGACCTCTTTCCTCATTATAATATTTCTCTAATCCCCTGCCAAGATCTTTTTTTATCACCATTATTTCCTAATATTGGAAGAGATGTGTTTGTGAACGGCTTATTCATTCCCCAAATATATATTCAATGCTTAGAATGTGCCTGCCATGCTCTGGGCCCGTGTACAGGGATACAATGAATACAACAAACTTCCTGCCTTCATGGAACTTACTTTCTAGAGGGGAGAGTCATATCACAAACAAAATGCATGACAACACTAAGAACATGTCAGATGGGGACAAGTGCCATAGAAAATAAGCAGAATAAAGGAGAAAAGGAGTGGCCCAGGGATGGAGGTGACATGATTTGGCTGTGTCCCCACCCAAACCTCACCTCAAATTGTAATAATCCCCACATGTCAAGAGCAGGGCTAGGTGGAGATAATTGAATCACAGGGGCAGTTTGCCCCATACTGTTTTCATGGTACTGATTAAGTCTCATGAGATCTGATGGTTTTATAAATGGGAGTTCCCCTGCACAAACTCTCTTGCCTGCCTATATGTAAGATGTGAATTTGTTCCCCATTCACCTTCTGCCATGATTGTGAGGCCTCCCCAGCCACGTGGAACTGTGAGTCCATTAAACCTCTTTCCTTTATAAGTTATCCAGTCTCAGGTGTGTTTTTATTAGCGATGTGAGAACACACTAATACAGGAGGTTTTTCTTTTATAAGGAATGGTCATGGAAAGCCATAAAAGTCATAGTTGAGCAATGATCTGAAGGAAGCAGGGAACCAGCTATGCAGATAATCGGAGGAGAACATCTCATGTAGATAGAACAGGTACTATGCAAGTACTATGATCCTGAAATGGTAGTGGCTTAGAGTGTCCAAAAAACACCGAAGTGGCTAGAGTAGAACAGGTGAGGGAGAAAGTATTTGAAAATGAGAGGACAGAGGTAGGTTAGCCAGCTTGTGCAGTGCCTTACTGCCCGTGTAAGAATGCTGGCTTTTGATGGAGTGAAATGGGGAGTTATTAGAAGGTTTTGAGCAAAGGAATAACATGGTTTGACATGTGTTAAAATGCTCACTCAGGTTATTGTGTTGAAAATAGACTAAGTGAGGGGTGGTGGAGAAATCTAAGCAGGTATGCTAGTTGCATTAATCAAGTTGGGAGGTAAGAGTGGGTTGGCAAAAAAAAAAAAAAAGTCAAAGCGGTGAAGATGGTAAGAGAAGTTTGCATTCCCAATATATTTTAAATGTAGAGCCCCCAGGATTTTCTGCTATTCCATATGGTGCTTGCACCTCCCTCTCCGGATTGCTTTCAGCATCCTGACAATTAACACTGTCAAAGTTTTAGTTGCATCTGAGCATTCTCTACATCTTGGAGGCAAGGATACATCTAAAATCCACGCATGTCCTCCCAAGTCCAATCTACACATCAAATAAATGAACACTAACATTATATAAATCCTACATAGGAAACTAGAGAAAGATAAAGTAGACATCTTTATTCATCTATACCCTAATCACAGGTTATAAAAAGTCCAAAGCCAAAAGGAATGCAGAATGCCTCCAGATGGTATGATATTCAGATAAGGAAATACAGAATGTCATCATGGGTGTGAAACATTTCTAACCAGAAAAGGGAACAAGAGCAGCAGAAAGGAAAGCAGACCAGGGAAGTGATCACATTTGTTATCCCTAAAACAGGGTAGCTAGCATGATGCAATTATTTTTTGTAAGGGTTCTTGTCAATACTTTCAAAAGCAAGCTACAAAACTCTTCTCTCTAATTGCTGAAGTTAAGAGGAATTGGTGTCATTTTTGTTTTCCTTATTTAAGACAAAGAAGTTAGCCTAGCTCTACTCATCTTTTCCTTCCTTGCTTTTCTTTCATACATTCTGAGATGTTAGGTCAAGATTTTTTTTTTTGAGATGCAATCTTGCTCTGCCACAAGACTCCAGTCAAGCTGGAGTGCAGTGGCACAATCTCAGCTCACTGCAGCCTCCACCTCCTGGATTCAAGAGATTCTCCTGCCTCAGCCTCCCAGTGGCTGAGACCACAAGGGTGCACCACCACGCCTGGCTAATTTTTGTATTTTTAGTACAGACAGGGTTTCACCATATTCTCCAGGTTGGTCTCGGGCCTCAGGTTATCCACCCGCCTTGGCCTCCCAAAATGCTGGGAT
The DNA here is from genome assembly GCF_000001405.40 of Homo sapiens. NCBI lineage: Eukaryota > Metazoa > Chordata > Mammalia > Primates > Hominidae > Homo > Homo sapiens. Next base: position 55,520,875 of record NC_000017.11, on the reverse strand, counting down.
TACAGGTGTGAGCCACAGCACCTGCCGGTCAAGATAATTTTTGTTAAGTAAAAGTTATTATTACTACTATTGCAGTGGCTTCCCTCTTATCCACAGTTTCACTTTCCACAGCTTCAGTGAACCTCTGCCAAACACAATCTGAAAATATTAAGTGAAAAATTCCAGAAATAAACTATTCGTAAGTTTTCAATTGTGTGCTGTTCTGAGCATCCTGATGCAATCTCATGCCGTCCCACTCCGCCCTACCTGGGACCTGAATTATCCCTTTGTCCATTGTATCCGCACTGTACATGCTACCTGCCCATTAGTCACTCAGTGACCATCTCAGTTTTCAGACTAACTGTTGCTTTATCACTGTGCTTGTGTTCAAGTAGCCCTTATTTTACTTAGCCCCAAAGTGCAAGAGTAGTGATGCCAGCAATTCGGATATGCCAAACAGAAGCCATAAATTGCTTCCTTTAAATGAAAGTGTGAAAGTTCTCTATTTAATAAGAAAACAAATTTATGCTAGAGGTTGCTAAGATTGGTGGTTAGAATGAATTTTCTATCCATGAAATTGTGAAGGATAAAAGAGAAATTTGTGCCTACTACATACTTGAGATGAAGAGATTCTACTAGATTTTCTGGGTGGGCTCAAAATGCCATCACATGTATCCTTATAAGAGGGAAACAAAAGGAGATTTTACACACACAGAGGAGAAGGCAATGTGAAGACAGAACAGAGAGAGATTTGAAGATGCTGGCTTTGACGATTGGAGTGATACGACCACAATACCAGTAGCCATGAGAAGATGAAAACAGCAAGGACCAGAACTTCTCCCTCTTGATCCCCTGAGGGGAGTACAGCCTCACCAACACCTTGTTTTTGGCCCAGTAGTACTGATTTCAGACTCCTGGCCTCTAGAATCATGAAAGAATAAATAGCCAATTTTTTAAGCCACGAAATTTGTTAGAGCAACCACAAAAAATTTATATACCCACATACTTCAGGACCTACAATTTAAGTAGGTGATTTACAACCCTAAACAGCTGCTTCTAAACATTTCTTCACCTTTCTCCATCAAAATCCTGAGCTGGCGTGGTGTCCATACATCAGTGAAGGACATGTTGTCAGACTTACTCGCCAAATGCCTCTTCTTTTCACAATTGTCTAGCAACCTCCTGACCACCATTGTCTTACCAAGGACTTGAGCACTTAGCTCACCTCATTCTCTTCCCTCTTACACTTTTGTCCTTCTAGACAATTTCAGCAATGCTCTGCCCCTGCAGATTTTTTATTATCTCAACTCCAAAGATATGCCCTTCTGCTATACACTCTAATGGTCTTCCCTACATCTTGTCATTGCAAATAATTTCAGAATCTCAATTCCGGTCATACCCCTCTTGAAGCACCACTGCCAGTCCTCCCAGTGTGCCAACTCCTCTTCTCTGCTCCAACTCTCTTTGACCACACAGGGACCACCATTGCACTCACTCCACCATTTATCACAATTTCCCGCCACATTCCACCCACACACCACATGCCCTCATATCCCTCCTTACCCAGTGTACAGGTTTTGGTGTAGTAACAGAACTATTTCCTTCCTAACACCCTCTTGCGCCAACCTTCTATTCTGCTCACTGACTAACCTCCAATCTGCTTAACCAAACTATCTGCCTACTTTGAACTACTATCTCAATTTAAATTCATGACAACCCATGTCAAAGGGGAATTCAACACTGCCCAGCACTCCTACCCTACTTCTCTAGGATATTTGTCTTCCTTTTTGTCAAAATAACTATTTCAAAAATTCACCTCTTTTAAAATATACAGTACATTTCCTCCACTCAAATTCTGCTAATGATCTTAACTCATTCCTCGGTGAGAGAAAAAAAAAAAAAACCCAAATATCAGATGAAACAAACCTCATATTCTCACCACCAAAGCTGTTCTAAACCTACTTATTTTTCTTCTCTTTTGATAAATGGAAGCATTGTCCCTACCTCTAGTTCCACGTTTCCTCTGGATTTCATCGCTGTTCAAGGAACTTTTCCTTTTCTCTCTCATATTATCCTTTTCTCTCTCATACAACTTTTCCTTTTCTCTCTCATATTATCACTTGCCCTTTCACAACTCACAACCCATGGGCTCGCATGATGCTTTCATATCACTCATCTAAAACAAAAACGAAACAACTTTGTTTCACTGACACCCTGCTTTCTAGCTATTTCCCATTTCTCTTCAATATTTCACAACCAAACTCCTCAAAATTATTTTTACTCACGGTCCACTTTTTTACCTTCTTTTCTCCACCTATTTTTAGGGGTTTTCTTTCTCATCCCACCCTATGAAAACCCCTTCTAATTTTAGCAAAATCTCAAAACTAACAGTCAACTGTCTATTCTCATTTTACTTGATCGATCACTCAGCAGCTTTAAACCTAGTTGGTCACTGCCTTTGTTGAACCCAGTGCTATAGTTTGAATAGTGTTCCCCAAAGTTCGTGTATCGGTAACTTAATCCCCAATTCAACAGTGCTGAGAAGTGGAAACTTTAAGAGGCAATTTGGCCATGAGGGTTCTGTCTTTATGAATGGATTAATCCTTTTATTGTGGGAGTGGGTTAGTTATCAAGAGAGTAGATTCTTGATGAAATGACAAATTCAGCCCTCTTCACCCTGTCCTGCTCTGCTCTCATGCTCTCTCTTGTCCTTTTACCTTCTACCATGGGATGACACAGCAACGAGGCCCTCGCCAGATGGTGGCCCTTCAATCTTAGATCTCCCATTTTCCAGAACTGTAAGCCAAGTTATCCAGTCTCAAGTATTCTGTTATAGCAGCACAAAATGGACTAAGATACATACTTCTCCCTGGATTTTCATGACACTAAGTGCTTCTGATTTTCCTCTTATCTCTCTGTTCACTCCTCTTTATTATTTGTTGATTTCTTCCTCTCTGTTTAACATTTAGATGTTGGGATACTCTAGGCTCTGTCCTTATTCCTCTTCTCTTCCTAATGTACACCTTCTTTTAATGTCATCTCATTCAGTTCTATGACTGTAAATATTACCTATATATTGATAAGTCTAAAATCTATATTTGCAACACTGACTTTTCCACTAAGATCTGAACTCAAATATCCAGCTGTCTTCTCACCATCTCCAATTTAATCCTAAGGATAACTCTTGATTCACCTCCCAAATTTACTTTCCTTCAGTCATCCACATCACTAAATGATACCTCCATATACCCGAGTTGTTCACTCTGTGACCTTGGTAATAAGAACCATGAAGTCTTTTCAATCAGGCATCTCTCAACTTGTTGTTGTTGTTGTTGTAACAGAGTCTCACTCTGTCGCCCAGGCTAAAGTGCAGTGGCACGATCTCAGCTCACTGCAGCCTTCACCTCCCAGGTTCCAGCGATTCTCCTGCCTCAGCCTCCCAAGCTGGGACTCCCTCAGCTGGGACTACAGGTGTGCAGCACCATGCCTGGCTAATTTTTGTATTTTCAGTAGAGATGGGGTTTCACCATGTTGGCCAGGCTGGTCTTGAACTCCTGACCTCAGATGATCCACCCTCCTTGGCCTCCCAAAGTGCTGGTATTACAGGTGTGAGCGAACATGCCAGGCCCATCTCTTACCTTTTGTATCTCAATCCTATTTCAGAGTCTTAGAAACTCTCCATTATTTTCTTTGCACCATCTTAGTATACCTTCAATAGTAAGGTAGCCCTGGTTTCTCCAGTTAGCTACCTTTCTTGGACATTGTTCTCTACTATTCCAGCATATTGCCATTCAGTGTTATATAGGGCATGAGACTTCTCCAGGAACCTGGCAGTCTTCCAAGAATATACTATGTAATCAAAGCTGAACCCTTTCTGCCTTGGAGTGCCCATCTAGGTGATTATATAGTCTTTCTTCTAAAAGATGGTATAGGGAGTGTTGGGGAGAAGCGTCTTCTCAGGGACACACTAACATCTAATCTCTTGTCACCTCCCCTTAGAATTCCTTTTTCAAATCTTCCTCAAGAATAGGAAGGCTGGCCAGTTGCAGTGGCTCATGCCTGTAATCCCAGCACTTTAGGAGGCCGAGGCAGGTGGATCACCTGAGGTCAGGAGTTTGAGACCAGCCTGGCCAATATGGTGAAACCCCATCTCTGCTAAAACTACAAAAAATTAGCCGGGCGTGGTGGCAGGTGCCTGTAATCCCAGCTACTTAGGGGGCTGAGGCAGGAGAATTGCTTGAAACCGGGAGGCGGAGTTTGCAGTGAGCCAAGACTGTGCCATTGCACTCCAGCCTGGGTGACAGAGTGAGACTGTCTCAAAAAAAAAAAAAAAAAAAAAAAAGGAAGACTGTTCACATTCCTCACTTTCTCTTTCCTACATTTTGGCCTGTTATATAAACTTTATGCTTTTGGTCTCTTGATACACAAAGCCAATATTTTGTAGTTCTAAAAATGGCCTTTGCTTTCCCCCACAATGCCTGGCTCAAAGTCTATGGACTTTGGTATAAGCGTACAGAATTTTACAAAGGAGCTCAAGAATGATGAATTTGACTCTTCCAGGCTGTGTCTCTCCTGAGAGTCAATACCCTTAGAAATCTTGGATGATGAAGGAGAAGAGAAATTGGTTCAAATAAGTCTTGGGAAGGAGAGGGAGAACCAACACCATAGCATCTTAAAAATATTATCCCTAGCTACATTGTTTTTCATTGTTTTGTAGGTTTTTATATTTTTTTCTGTGTCTTCTGAGGAATTTTACTGGGAAGATATAAAAGGCTACATCAGGGGCTTCCAGCCAAGTGCTATTTTAAACTGAAGGTCTTTGTTTTTTATAGAAGTAAATTTTACATACAGTAATTTTCTTTCATCCCATGCGTTTTCTTCATGGAGCCATACCTGAGAAGAAAGAGCCAGGAACCAAGCTCAAGTCTATAAGGGGCAAGCACCAAAATAAAATAGAAGAGGATCTAAAAGAGCTTGGTATACCTCCTGGTTTGCTGCAAGCCACATCTGGTTTTATTCACACATTAGATAGGTAGTATGTTAGTTTCCTAGGACTGCTATACCAAAATGCCACAAAATGAATGACTTAAAATAATGGAATTTATTCTCTCACAGTTGTGGAGACTGAAAGTCTGGAATCAAGATGTCAGCAGGGTTGTTTACTTCTGGAGGCTCTGAGGGAGGGTCTGTCCCAGGCCTGTCTTCCAGTTTCTGGTGGTGGCCTGCAGTCCTTGGCATTCCATGGCTTGCAAGATGTCTCGCTCCGATCTCTCTCTATCTTTCCATAGCATCTCCTCCCTGTGTGTCTCTGTGCCCTCACACAGCCTGCTTATAAGGACACCAGTCATTGGATTAAGGGCACATTACTTCTCCAGTGAAATCTCACCCTTAACTAATTATATCTGCCAAGACCCTATTTCCAAATAAGGCCACATTCTGAGATTCCAGGTGGATGAGTTTGAGGGGAGACATTATTCAACCCAGTATAGATGGAAAGAAAGACTTTTAAGTTGCGACAAAATATGGCAGTATTTCTCCAGAGGCTGCCAGGTGAGGCTCCCAAGTGAGCCACCTGCTTGATTACAAGTAGGAGGCTGAGAAGGGTGGTAGGTTGAAAGTTAGGTTATGTCCTCTTAGCATAAATTTGAGGGACAAGTGGACTTTTGAAAATCTAGATGGCTAGCATTTGGTTTTGTTCATTATTGCCTTTCTCACTTTTCTAGCATCTACAGCATCTTTCCCTCTTTCACTTTCCATTCTATCTAGTCAATAGTTCCAGCGCAAAAAAAAAAAAAAAAAAAAAAAAAAAACACTAGACTAGAATTCAAAAACATTGCTTTAATGTCTTGCTTCTGTCATTTACTATCTGTTTGGACTCGAGAAAGTCACGTCCCTGTGCCTGAATGTCCTCAACTGTGAAATAATCAAACTCCCAATGCTTTTTTAAATAAGTTTATAACATTTTTACCTCTGAAGTTGACACTTCTCTAAGGCACTAAGACTTTTGGGATACCATATTTTATCAAGGAAGCAAGGCACTCTGAAATACCAGAGATAAATTTTCATCCAGAATAGTTGATATACAAAAATATGTTTGTTTTAAGTAATAAACTCTACTTACCTAAAAATGTATTTATATGGGACACATATTTATCTGGTATTATTAAGTAATATTCCAGGCCAGCCATCAAAATGAACTACACTGCAAGTAAATATGTAAACAACTGAAGACCCATAGAATACCTGCCCAATGGGTCTTGAATGCTCCATAGAATAAGTTATGCATGTACCTGTTTTATTCATATTTTATGCAGTAGAAAAGAGAGATGAGAGGGTGAGAGGGAAAAAGGGAATGAGAATAAGCTCATTCAATTCCACTGCCTCTTTAAGCTTCAATTTTCTCATTTTAAAAAATTGGGTTGATAATTCCTTTTTTCCTCTGAGCTCTACATTTGTTATACAGTGTGCTTTCAGTATCACATTATCAAGCTCTAAAGTGCTTAGTACCTTGCTAGCATATGGTAAGTGCACAATTCATATTTGTAATAAACGAAGGAATTAGTATGTCAAGGCTACCTCAAGGGGTTCTTCTGAAATGCAGCTTGTTATTGTTTTTACCTATGTCACCCTGTCATCCGTCCCAGTTTGCCTATTGCCAAGTTTTTTTCTTTATTTAGCAGCCCCTGCTTTGGCCACTAGATGGCACCAGAGGAAAGTTCCTTAAAGACAGCAAAAGAAGGAAAGATGGGTGAGGTTAGCCCCAGTATGAATAAAGGAGCCACCCAGGTTAATTAAGTAAAACAAGCACCCAGCATTTCACCGAAGACATTGCAAGGAAGTGAAGCCTTCATGAGACTGGACTTCAAATGAACTTTGAGCACTGGTGGAAACAGAAACAAAAAACTCTCTGCTAATAGAAATAAGATACTGGAACCAAAGACAATAGCCTTGAACAAAACATTCCGGGACACCACGGGTATCAGCAGAATGGGGGCAATCTAAGAAGACAGGCCAGACCAGATCACTCACCATGATTAATGATTATCACCATTACACAGAGAAACCTAGATCTGATATGAAAACTCCACTCAATAGAGCAGATCTGTTGCATATATTTCAGTTTAATTTAATGTGGACTAAACTATATGTAGTTCTCATTTCAGAGTCAATTTTAACCAATCCTTGTGTCATCTATTTAAAGTCACCAAATAACTCCCCTAAATATTGTTACATGGAGGCACCTGGGCTATCCAGACTCAGTTTACTATAGAAGTCACGAATCTAGAGTCCCGAGTGGGCAAAAGAAAGTAGGCATCTGGTACATAATGCTGCCTTTTAAAGCCTCGCTTCTGTCTGGTGCATTGCACGTGACTTACAGATGCAACAGACAACTCTACTTGCTGTGTGATTCTGTGCTTACCAGAAACTTTCCAATTATAAATGGACTTTTCCTGTAGATCTGCCTTCAGGAAGAAAAAGCTATGTCCTTGCAAGCACAAAATTAATTCTCTGAATCTGTCGGACTTAAAACCTTGGACAGTGTTGAATTCTGTGTTGAATGCCCCCTGGAATAGCTCTTCACAGATCACCAAAGCCCTGGTGACCGCATATTGGCCCATTTTCTTCACGTCCTTTTTTTCTACTTTTATAGCCATGATTCTCCATCCTGGTTGCAGATCAAAATTATCCATGAAGATTTTTATTAATACAGATCCCCAGACTCTAGTCCCAAAGATTCTAACTCAGTAGATCTAGGGTTGATCCAGGTATCTGTATTCAAAAGAGACCCAATAGATTCCAATAAGGCTGACCCTAAATCTATGGTGTTTCAGAATCATGCATCTTCTGGATTATAATTCCATAAGTTAGTCCAGGACCATAGAATCATGGACGATATTATTTGGAAAAACGTCTCCAGATGCATAAGAACCCCATACTACAACATCTTCAAATGCTCAGGTTCCCATGGAAGCTCAGTATAAAGGAGGCTGACAGGAAGACACTAGCCCATTGAAGCTTAACACTAAGAAACCAGCAGACCTTTGGGAACTTCAGCTTTTAACTAGGAGTATCCAAAAAGTCCTATTAGCTATTGGAGAAAAGGCTACTGATGCCCTAGCTGGCCAAAAATACATATATGAGACCAAGACCAGATACGTAATTTGTGGGTCCCAGTGCAAAGTTGAAAAGTTAAGAATTTCAAGATGGCAACAGCAGAGCATTAAACCAAGTGTGAGCTCTTTCTGAGAATGGAACGTTGTGCAGCTGCACAGGGCACATGCCCATGAAGTAGCCTATGCGGGACTATTGGGACCAGGCTACAACTGAGGCAGGACAGTGATTTGTACATCAAGGAATAACTGTAATCCGATCAGTATCTGATCTTCCTCTCAATTTGCTTGTTTTTCTGCATCCTTGAGGCAGCCTTTGGGAATCTCTTTAAAATGCAAATTCAGTAGTGTCACTCCCCTGTGCAAAAGCATTCAATGGCATCCCATTGCTCTAGGATCATATCTAAAGTCCTGAGTATGGCCCACAAGTGCCTGTGCCTTCTGGCCCCTGTCTACCTCTCCCACCTTGTGCTCCCATTCTCTTTATGCTCCAGTCACACTGCCCTTGTTTCAGTGCTTGCAATTTTCCAGGCTCCTTTCTCTTCGGGTCTTCACATATGCAGTTCTTTGTGGCTAGAAGAATCTTCCCTGTCTCTTCTCACTTAGCTAAATTCTACTTATCCTTCAGGTCATAGGTTAAATGTTGCTTCTGCATGGAAGCTTTTTTGACCCACACTGGGACACGCTGTCCTCTTACCCTCTATTTGTCCCTTATAAACTGATTTCCACTGTTCTTAAATGGCGAATTGTGCAATTATCTGTTTAAAGGCTATCTTTCCTGCTAGACTACCTGCTTCTCTGTCTTATCACTGCCATATCCCCTTTGCTTAGTGTAGTGTCTGAAACACAGGAAGTAAGTACTCAAAAAGTAGTTTTGAATTAACTAATGAGAAACATGGCAACAAATGAAGAAAGGGTGAAAATATCAGGCACTAGTATCTTCTTCTTGTTGAAGAATCACATTTACTTCCAAAGCCTACTGACCTAATCTTCCAAATCACTCCATACATGGCACTAAACATCCCTTATACAAAGACAGCACAATTGTCCAGGACAATCCAATTTTTAGCTGTCATCATGGAGTGCTTATTAACAACACTTACTTTTGCTCACCAAACTGCCTGTGTGGATGCTGAATTATGTGAATGCTCTACTTATATACCATGATCCAGTAACTCATGAGCCATCTCTCTCTCTCTCTTTCTCTCTCTGTGTAGGCGAACTGATGACAGACAGCTTCTGTGTTTTGGTGGCTGTGGTATTAACAGCAAGCTTAAGTTATTAAACCGAGCAGCTTTAATCCTCGAGGTCTCCTGGAGCAGTAGGGATTAATGTATTTTTACTCCAGAGCCAATGTAGCTATTCCGATGCTCTAAGATCTGCTCTCTGCAATGCCCAAACTGACCCCAATTGCCTTTCTCTAGACCCACTTCTCCACCGTGGGAGAAGTGATGGAATTCTACTTGGAGATCGACCCTGTTACCTTGAACCTGATCATCCTAGTTGCGAGCTACGTCATCTTGCTCCTGGTCTTCCTCATCTCCTGCGTGCTATACGACTGCCGAGGCAAGGATCCCAGTAAGGAGTACGCGCCCGAGGCCACTCTCGAGGCCCAGCCCTCCATCCGGTTGGTGGTGATGCACCCAAGTGTCGCTGGGCCCCACTGGCCAAAGGGGCCTGGCCTTTCTTTGGGGGATCCTGCTCCACTAGGAAAGAAAAGCACCATGGTATGAGGCTGGCTAAGGGACACTGGGGAGAGACCACTAGACTTTCCATAGAGACAAACTGCTCCCTATCGTGGCTCCAATTCTCTCAGCACATGTATCCCGCTTGATGAAGGAAGTGAGAGCTCTGTCTTACTTGCTGTTTTCTCGTCACCTTCTTTGTGACAAAAGTAACTGTTTAAGGTAAGAAGCCCAAAGTGGTCTTTAGTCAAATTCTCCAAATGCAAACTGTCAGCAATGCTGTAGTATAATGAAGTTGGTTACTGGTACATTTCTGATGTTGCTGTCCTTGCAACTCACAGGAGAGAATGACTTTTGAGAAAGGATGCAATATTGTGTGTGTGTGTGTGTGCACGTGCACGTGCGTGTGTGTGATAAGGAATGAGACTAACTCCAGTCTAGTCTATTCTTTGCAAATTCTTTCTTTCCAAGGCAACCAGTTTTTTGTTGTTATTTTTCTTTTCTTTAAGAGACAGAGTCTTGCTCTGTTGCCCATGCTTAAGTGCAGCAGCGTGATCATAGCTCACTGCAGCCTTGAACTGGGCTCAAGCAACCTTCCCACTTCAGCCTCCCATGTAGCTAGGACTCTAAGGTCATGACACCACGCCTGTCTTTTTTTTGTAGAGATGGGGTTTCACTATGTTGCCCAGGCTGGTATTGAACTCCTGGCCTCAAGCAATCCTCCTGCCTCAGTCTCACAAAATGCTGGGATTATAGATGTGAGCTGCTGCACCCAGTCAAGGCAACCCCATTGAACTTGTTCAGACTTCAGAACATTATTATTTCTGTACCTACCAGCTCTTCACGTTCTATTCCCAACTCCAAGACAGAATAAGGAATGCATACAACTAAAACAACAAAGCTTGGAGCCTGGGTTCAAATCCTGCCTCTTCTACTTGCTAGCTGTGTGGCCATGGTTAAGTTGAGCCACCTCTGTGTCTCAGGGATAGTGATTGGACCACTAAGCTTTTGGGGCTATTTAAATGAGTTAATTCACCAAAAGCACTTGAGACAGTTCTTGACACACAGGGTTAGCTATGATGATGATCACTGATAATATTTCCTTCCATATGCCTCATAAAAAATTTAATCTCCAATCCTCAAATCCGGCCTGATCCAATACAAAGTTATTGAAAACTCATTGAAAGAATTCTGAGACCCCACAGCTTGGTGTATCTGTCCCCAGAACACTGCCTGCTCTCCCTTCACTCTCTTTGTTGATGTTGAATGGTATGTTTTTTCCCCTGTTCATTAGTCTATTTCCAAAATTTTTGAATTATTATCTCCATTGTGTGTATTTTTATTAACCCTCCCTTCCCTGAGCTCAGAGAAACGTATGTATTTACTTTGAGATTTACTGAACCTCTTCTTTCCATCAGGACCTGTGTGGAAATAAAGAGAAATGAGTGTCATGACCCTGCCATATGATCTTTGCCGCCCAACAGAAGGAAGCAGGGTCAGGCATGACTTAGACAATGAAAGATAAGAAAGCTTTGCAGATGCTCTTTTAGAAGTCTGCATAGGATGCAGGAGTCAACAGAGACACGAGTGTCTGGCACACAGAAGACACTCAAGAAATATTCGAATAATGTTGAATGGCCAATTTCATCTTAGACTCAGGTACCAAAGATAAGATGATTTGTCTTAAAAGATAAGTAGTTATTTTTCCAGAAGAACCAAAGTATGTTGGAATCTTGAAGGGTAGGACAGGAGATGGCCTTTTAGAAGAAGAAATAACAAAAACAAAGCTTGAAAGCAAAATAATTAGAGTCCATTGGTTGTGAAGGTCTGATGGTGTCCAACATGTGAAGAAAACGTGAGAAATTCAATTTTGGTTTCTCCTGTAGAAAACTGAAGAGGAGGGCCTGGCCAGCCTGCCCTGCCAGCTTTGACAATGAGCACTGTTTTGCCTTTGGATTGTTAAGTAGCTGTAACAAACGTGAAGATAATCCCAGTTACTTTGTTTTCAGGTTTTGATGTTTATTTTTAATTTAATTTGTTTCTTATTTTATCAGAAGATTATATTTTCTCTTAAGTATGTGATTTAAAAACTATATTGAAAACCCTTCAGAGGAAATTTGTTTTCTTTATGAGCAAGAAGCCATCTTCACTTTTTTTTTTTTTTTTTTTTTTGTTCTGAGACAGAGCCTTGCCCTTATCACCCAGGCTGAAGTGCAATGGCACGATCTCGGCTCACTGCAACCTCCGCCTCCCGGGTTCAAGCAATGCTCCTGCCTCAGCCTCCCAAATAGCTGGGCTTACAGGCATCTGCCACCACACGCAGCTAATTTTTGTATTTTTAGTAGACACGGGGTTTCACCATGTTAGCCAGGCTGGTCTCGAACTCCCGACCTCAGGTGATCCGCCCACCTCGGCCTCCCAAAGTGCTGGGTTTACAGGCGTGAGCCACCGCGCTCAGCCACCATCTTCACTTTTATAATGAAAATATAAACTGAATGAAGAAACACCATAAATTCACAGGCAGTTTCTAAGAACCTACCCTTTATATATTATATACTTATATTCCCATGAAAGGGAAAGAAATAAGAAGGTTAGTTCAGATGAAGCTCACATTAAGAAAAGGGCAGGTTCATATATATATATATATATATATATATATATATATATATTCCTAGGAATATATATATAAAATATGTATATATTTTACGGGAATATATAGAGAGAATATATATATTGAATGTATGTATTTCTTTTTTTGTTTGTTTGTTTTCAGGACAAATACTGACACCTTTTTATTGCGTTTTGCACTCTTAGAGGTAGAAAACAAGGCACTAACTTGGTTGTGGCAGCATTAATGAGTATCCTTGTGGAAGGGGTGAGGGGGATGTTGGGCTATGAAACCAGATTTAGACAGGCAGTGTAAATACAACACTCAACTCTGCTCTTTTCATTGTGTGTTTGTTACAAGGCAAAGCAGTAGGTTGGGGCCACTCTAATGCACCACCAGACACTAATAGCTCATATTTACACCAGTAAACCAAATGGTTGCATTTAGGGCTAATCCAGCAGCCAGAGGGGTCCCTTAGGCTTGTGTTGGTAAAAGCACCAGTCATGCCCAACCCAGGGTTTCTCCAGTGCCTTGTAAAGGGACTGCCAGCAGAGCTCTTTAATTTTTATGTTTATCAAATGATGTTCTGTGTTTCTTCTTATGACGAAAGAGGAATCATCTTTAAATGTCAGCACGACGCCTGGCTTAAGTCCGCAGGCTGATGGACTGAACTAATGGGAGAATTGCAGTTCGGAAGAGGTAAAGTGCGCATGCGCAAAGCCAGTGGTCTTTTTACCATTCTTTTTTTTTCTTTTTTTTTTTTTATTATACTTTAAGTTTTAGGGTACATGTGCACATTGTGCAGGTTAGTTACATATGTATACATGTGCCATGCTGGTGCACTGCACCCACTAACTCGTCATCTAGCATTAGGTATATCTCCCAATGCTATCCCTCCCCCCTCCCCCCACCCCACCACAGTCCCCAGAGTGTGATATTCCCCTTCCTGTGTCCATGTGATCTCATTGTTCAATTCCCACCTATGAGTGAGAATATGCGGTGTTTGGTTTTTTGTTCTTGCGATAGTTTACTGAGAATGATGATTTCCAATTTCATCCATGTCCCTACAAAGGACATGAACTCATCATTTTTTATGGCTGCATAGTATTCCATGGTGTATATGTGCCACATTTTCTTACTCCAGTCTATCGTTGTTGGACATTTGGGTTGGTTCCAAGTCTTTGCTATTGTGAATAATGCCGCAATAAACATACGTGTGCATGTGTCTTTATAGCAGCATGATTTATAGTCATTTGGGTATATACCCAGTAATGGGATGGCTGGGTCAAATGGTATTTCTAGTTCTAGATCCCTGAGGAATCGCCACACTGACTTCCACAATGGTTGAGCTAGTTTACAGTCCCACCAACAATGTAAAAGTGTTCCTATTTCTCCACATCCTCTCCAGCACCTGTTGTTTCCTGACTTTTTAATGATTGCCATTCTAACTGGTGTGAGATGGTATCTCATTGTGGTTTTGATTTGCATTTCTCTGATGGCCAGTGATGATGAGCATTTTTTCATGTGTTTTTTGGCTGCATAAATGTCTTCTTTTGAGAAGTGTCTGTTCATGTCCTTCGCCCACTTTTTGATGGGGTTGTTTGTTTTTTTCTTGTAAATTTGTTTGAGTTCATTGTAGATTCTGGATATTAGCCCTTTGTCAGATGAGTAGGTTGCGAAAATTTTCTCCCATTTTGTAGGTTGCCTGTTCACTCTGATGGTAGTTTCTTTTGCTGTGCAGAAGCTCTTTAGTTTAATTAGATCCCATTTGTCAATTTTGTCTTTTGTTGCCATTGCTTTTGGTGTTTTGGACATGAAGTCCTTGCCCATGCCTATGTCCTGAATGGTAATGCCTAGGTTTTCTTCTAGGGTTTTTATGGTTTTAGGTCTAACGTTTAAATCTTTAATCCATCTTGAATTGATTTTTGTATAAGGTGTAAGGAAGGGATCCAGTTTCAGCTTTCTACATATGGCTAGTCAGTTTTCCCAGCACCATTTATTAAATAGGGAATCCTTTCCCCATTGCTTGTTTTTCTCAGGTTTGTCAAAGATCAGATAGTTGTAGGTATGCGGCGTTATTTCTGAGGGCTCTGTTCTGTTCCATTGATCTATATCTCTGTTTTGGTACCAGTACCATGCTGTTTTGGTTACTGTAGCCTTGTAGTAAAGTTTGAAGTCAGGTAGTGTGATGCCTCCAGCTTTGTTCTTTTGGCTTAGGATTGACTTGGCGATGCGGGCTCTTTTTTGGTTCCATATGAACTTTAAAGTAGTTTTTTCCAATTCTGTGAAGAAAGTCATTGGTAGCTTGATGGGGATGGCATTGAATCTGTAAATTACCTTGGGCAGTATGGCCATTTTCACAATATTGATTCTTCCTACCCATGAGCATGGAATGTTCTTCCATTTGTTTGTATCCTCTTTTATTTCCTTGAGCAGTGGTTTGTAGTTCTCCTTGAAGAGGTCCTTCACATCCCTTGTAAGTTGGATTCCTAGGTATTTTATTCTCTTTGAAGCAATTGTGAATGGGAGTTCACTCATGATTTGGCTCTCTGTTTTTCTGTTGTTGGTGTGTAAGAATGCTTGTGATTTTTGTACATTTATTTTGTATCCTGAGACTTTGCTGAAGTTGCTTATCAGCTTAAGGAGATTTGGGGCTGAGACAATGGGGTTTTCTAGATATACAATCATGTCATCTGCAAACAGGAACAATTTGACTTGCTCTTTTCCTAATTGAATACCCTTTATTTCCTTCTCCTGCCTAATTGCCCTGGCCAGAACTTCCAACACTATGTTGAATAGGAGCGGTGAGAGAGGGCATCCCTGTCTTGTGCCAGTTTTCAAAGGGAATGCTTCCAGTTTTTGCCCATTCAGTATGATATTGGCTGTGGGTTTGTCATAGATAGCTCTTATTATTTTGAGATACGTCCCATCAATACCTAATTGATTGAGAGTTTTTAGCATGAAGGTTGTTGTATTTTGTCAAAGGCCTTTTCTGCATCTATTGAGATAATCATGTGGTTTTTGTCTTTGGTTCTGTTTATATGCTGGATTACATTTATTGATTTGCGTATATTGAACCAGCCTTGCATCCCAGGGATGAAGCCCACTTGATCATGGTGGATAAGCTTTTTGATGTGCTGCTGGATTCGGTTTGCCAGTATTTTATTGAGGATTTTTGCATCGATGTTCATCAAGGATATTGGTCTAAAATTCTCTTTTTTTGTTGTGTCTCTGCCCAGCTTTGGTATCAGAATGATGCTGGCCTCATAAAATGAGTTAGGGAGGATTCCCTCTTTTTCTATTGACTGGAATAGTTTCAGAAGGAATGGTACCAGTTCCTCCTTGTACCTCTGGTAGAATTCGGCTGTGAATCCATCTGGTCCTGGACTCTTTTTGGTTGGTAAGCTATTGATTATTGCCACAATTTCAGCTCCTGTTATTGGTCTATTAAGAGATTCAACTTCTTCCTGGTTTAGTCTTGGGAGAGTGTATGTGTCGAGGAATTTATCCATTTCTTCTAGATTTTCTAGTTTATTTGCGTAGAGGTGTTTGTAGTATTCTCTGATGGTAGTTTGTATTTCTGTGGGATCGGTGGTGATATCCCCTTTGTCATTTTTTATTGTGTCTATTTGATTCTTCTCTCTTTTTTTCTTTATTAGTCTTGCTAGCGGTCTATCAATTTTGTTGATCCTTTCAAAAAACCAGCTCCTGGATTCACTGATTTTTTGAAGGGTTTTTTGTGTCTCTATTTCCTTCAGTTCTGCTCTGATTTTAGTTATTTCTTGCCTTCTGCTAGCTTTTGAATGTGTTTGCTCTTGCTTTTCTAGTTCTTCTAATTGTGATGTTAGGGTGTCAATTTTGGATCGTTCCTGCTTTCTCTTGTGGGCATTTAGTGCTATAAATTTCCCTCTACACACTGCTTTGAATGCATCCCAGAGATTCTGGTATGTTGTGTCTTTGTTCTCGTTGGTTTCAAAGAACATCTTTATTTCTGCCTTCATTTCGTTATGTACCCAGTAGTCATTCAGGAGCAGGTTGTTCAGTTTCCATGTAGTTGAGCGGCTTTGAGTGAGATTCTTAATCCTGAGTTCTAGTTTGATTGCACTGTGGTCTGAGAGATAGTTTGTTATAATTTCTGTTCTTTTACATTTGCTGAGGAGAGCTTTACTTCGAAGTATGTGGTCAATTTTGGAATAGGTGTGGTGTGGTGCTGAAAAAAATGTATATTCTGTTGATTTAGGGTGGAGAGTTCTGTAGATGTCTATTAGGTCCACTTGGTGCAGAGCTGAGTTCAATTCCTGGGTATCCTTGTTGACTTTCTGTCTCGTTGATCTGTCTAATGTTGACAGTGGGGTGTTAAAGTCTCCCATAATTATTGTGTGGGAGTCTAAGTCTCTTTGTAGGTCACTCAGGACTTGCTTTATGAATCTGGGTGCTCCTGTATTGGGTGCATATATATTTAGGATAGTTAGCTCTTCTTGTTGAATTGATCCCTTTACCATTATGTAATGGCCTTCTTTGTCTCTTTTGATCTTTGTTGGTTTAAAGTCTGTTTTATCAGAGACTAGGATTGCAACCCCTGCCTTTTTTTGTTTTCCATTTGCTTGGTAGATGTTCCTCCATCCTTTTATTTTGAGCCTATGTGTGTCTCTGCACGTGAGATGGGTTTCCTGAATACAGCACACTGATGGGTCTTGACTCTTTATCCAACTTGCCAGTCTGTGTCTTTTAATTGGAGCATTTAGCCCATTTACATTTAAAGTTAATATTGTTATGTGTGAATTTGATCCTGTCATTATGATGTTAGCTGGTGATTTTGCTCGTTAGTTGATGCAGTTTCTTCCTAGTCTCGATGGTCTTTACATTTTGGCATGATTTTGCAGCGGCTGGTACTGGTTGTTCCTTTCCATGTTTAGCGCTTCCTTCAGGAGCTCTTTTAGGGCAGGTCTGGTGGTGACAAAATCTCTCAGCATTTGCTTGTCTGAAAAGTATTTTATTTCTCCTTCACTTATGAAGCTTAGCTTGGCTGGATATGAAATTCTGGGTTGAAAATTCTTTTCTTTAAGAATGTTGAATATTGGCCCCCACTCTCTTCTGGCTTGTAGGGTTTCTGCCGAGAGATCCGCTGTTAGTCTGATGGGCTTCCCTTTGAGGGTAACCCGACCTTTCTCTCTGGCTGCCCTTAACATTTTTTCCTTCATTTCAACTTTGGTGAATCTGACAATTATGTGTCTTGGAGTTGCTCTTCTCGAGGAGTATCTTTGTGGCATTCTCTGTATTTCCTGAATCTGAACGTTGGCCTGCCTTGCTAGATTGGGGAAGTTCTCCTGGATAATATCCTGCAGAGTGTTTTCCAACTTGGTTCCATTCTCCCCATCACTTTCAGGTACACCAATCAGACGTAGATTTGGTCTTTTCACATAGTCCCATATTTCTTGGAGGCTTTGCTCATTTCTTTTTATTCTTTTTTCTCTAAACTTCCCTTCTCGCTTCACTTCATTCATTTCGTCTTCCATTGCTGACACCCTTTCTTCCAGTTGATCGCATCGGCTCCTGAGGCTTCTGCATTCTTCACGTAGTTCTCGAGCCTTGGTTTTCAGCTCCATCAGCTCCTTTAAGCACTTCTCTGTATTGGTTATTCTAGTTATACGTTCTTCTAAATTTTTTTCAAAGTTTTCAACTTCTTTGCCTTTGGTTTGAATGTCCTCCCGTAGCTCAGAGTAATTTGATCGTCTGAAGCCTTCTTCTCTCAGCTCGTCAAAGTCATTCTCCATCCAGCTTTGTTCTGTTGCTGGTGAGGAGCTGCGTTCCTTTGGAGGAGGAGAGGCGCTCTGATTTTTAGAGCTTCCAGTTTTTCTGTTCTGTTTTTTCCCCATCTTTGTGGTTTTATCTACTTTTGGTCTTTGATGATGGTGATGTACAGATGGGTTTTTGGTGTGGATGTCCTTTCTGTTTGTTAGTTTTCCTTCTAACAGACAGGACCCTCAGCTGCAGGTCTGTTGGAATACCCTGCCGTGTGAGGTGTCAGTGTGCCCCTGCTGGGGGGTGCCTCCCAGTTAGGCTGCTCTGGGGTCAGGGGTCAGGGACCCACTTGAAGAGGCAGTCTGCCGGTTCTCAGATCTCCAGCTGCATGCTGGGAGAACCACTGCTCCCTTCAAAGCTGTCAGACAGGGACATTTAAGTCTGCAGAGGTTACTGCTGTCTTTTTGTTTGTCTGTGCCCTGCCCCCAGAGGTGGAGCCTACAGAGGCAGGCAGGCCTCCTTGAGCTGTGTTGGGCTCCACCCAGTTCGAGCTTCCTGGCTGCTTTGTTTACCTAAGCAAGCCTGGGCAATGGCGGGCGCCCCTCCCCCAGCCTCGCTGCCGCCTTGCAGTTTGATCACAGACTGCTGTGCTAGCAATCAGCGAGATTCCGTGGGCGTAGGACCCTCAGAGCCAGGTGTGGGATATAGTCTCGTGGTGCGCCGTTTTTTAAGCCGGTCTGAAAAGCGCAATATTCGGGTGGGAGTGACCCGATTTTCCAGGTGCGTCCGTCACCCCTTTCTTTGACTCGGAAAGGGAACTCCCTGACCCCTTGCGCTTCCCAGGTGAGGCAATGCCTTGCTTCGGCTCGCGCACTGTGCGCGCACCCACTGGCCTGCGCCCACCGTCTGGCACTCCCTAGTGAGATGAACCCGGTACCTCAGATGGAAATGCAGAAATCACCGGTCTTCTGCGTCGGTCACGCTGGGAGCTGTAGACCGGAGCTGTTCCTATTCGGCCATCTTGGCTCCTCCCCGAATGTATGTATTTCATGGGACTATATATAAACACCCATAAAATATATATATTATATATTCAATATATATTAAATTTCTCATTATGTATATTCAGTGATTAATATATATACACTGATTTTATATATAACCAGTGAATATATAATTATTATGTATATAATGATATATATAATATTGTATATAATTATATACAATATTATATAATACATAATAATATATTATATTATATTATATATAATAATTATAAAATATAATATATAATAATATATTATATTTTATAATATATAATAATATATTATATTTTATAATATATAATAATATATAATATATTATATTCTATAATATATAATATATTATATATTATAAAATATAATATATAATATATTATATATTATAAAATATAATATATAACATAATATATATTATAAAATATAATATATAATATAATATATTATAAAATATAAAATATAATACTATATTATATATTATAATATATAATATATATTATATATTATAATATATAAGATATATTATATATTATAATATATAAGATATATTATATATTATAAAATATAAGATATATTATATATTATAAAATATGATATATATTATATATTATAAAATATAATAGTATATTATATATTATAATATATAATAATATATTATATATTATAATATATAATAATATATTATATATTACAAAATATAATAATATGTTACATATTATAATATATAATATATTATAATATATATTATAAAATATAATATATTATAATATATATTATAAAATATAATATATTATAATATATTATAATATAATATATTATAATATATATTATAAAATATAATATATTATAATATATTATAATATAATATATTATAATATATATTATAAAATATAATATATTATAATATATTATAAAATATATAATAATATATTATATATTATAAAATATAAAACATAAGTGAAATACTTTTAAATGAATGTTCTTTTAAAAATTTTGAAAATTTTATTTTTAATAGGAATCCAAGAGAGAAGAATATTTTATTTTCTTAACTTCAATATTAGATGCATTGAACATTTTATATTTCTCTCTCGGAAAAAACTAAAAATACTCTAAAGAGAGTGTTGGAATAGACGGCATTGAGTTATTCCAAGCCTCTGGTTCATTTGATTTGTGATTCATTCAATTTGTTCTTCAAGAAGGAACCAACTTCTCAGTCTTTAAAACAATCTTTTCAATATAAAATGAAGCCTTAGAATCTTGTAAGAACTAGAACTAAGAATTTTACAGACCAGGAGCAGTGACTCATGCCTGTAATCTCAGCACTATGGGAAGCTGAGGCAAGAGGATCACTTGAGACCAAGAGTTTGAGACCAGCCTGGGCAACATAGCAAGAGCCCGTCTCTATAAGAAGTGAAAGAATTAGCTGAGTATGGTGGCTGGCACCTGTAGTCCCAGCTACTCAGCAGGGTAAGGCAGAAAGATCGCTTGAGCCAAGGAATTTGAGGCTGCAGTGAGCCATGATCACATTACTCTCTACCCTCCAGCCTGGGTAACAGAGCACGGCCCTGTCTCTAAAAAAAAAATTTTTTTTAATTACCAGCAAGGAAATAAGCCCAGAAGAAATTGCGATTTCTTCCCAAGAATATTTGGCCTCAGAGCTAACAGAAAAAAAAGAGGAGAACAAAAAAAGAAAAAAAAACAACAACCCAGGAACTGAGGTCCTATTATCACCTTTTTCCTATTTGCCCCTGCCACTTACCTTTCTACAGCATGATGTTTACTTGCTTTTATTTTAAACCTTCATTAATTGTGTCTTATTTTTAAATATAGCTTTATTTTTTAATGGAATTATAAGTTGCACAACTGCAAGGTTCCACCTAATGTTTTAATATTTTGCTATTAAGACCTGGTGGAATGGCTTGCCAGCTAGAACCAAGAGGTTTATGTGACATTCAAATACTGCCTTATTTTTGTTTCCTTATGGAATTAGGACTCCCTTTTTCCAGTATGTTTTAATTCATTACTCTTCTATCATGCACATTTGTATTAAAGCAAATGTAGTGTTTTGGCTTAATTTGGATGATAGCTTTGGGAAGGACCCAAACCAAACACTTCCAAGGCAAGGAAAGGGAGGGAGATAAATGGAGATTTATCAGGAATTCGCTACGTGCCAGATACTTTTTATTCATGATATCATTTAATCCTCATGCTCCCCTGTGAGATAGTCACATCTAAAACTAGTTCAAAGATTAAGAAGTAGAGGCTCATAGAACAGCTCGAGTGTGCACAAGGCCATGCAGTTTATCCATGTAAGAAGCAGGATTTGAACTCAATTCTAGATGGGTCACCTCCTACCATCTGTTTTTTCACAGCTATTAAAGAGCAGGAATAAACCTATGGTTGTTCCACCAACCCCATCTCTCTCCTCTGCTAGAATTGCATGCCTAGGAAGTTGCTCCGTAAGCATCTGTTTAATCCAAAGGACTTTCAGATTTTCTCCTCTGAATAAGATGCCCTATCAGAGGAAAAATAAATTATTGTAATTTGGCTGGAACATCTCCTAATATTCCAAAAGACACCAGGACAGAGTTGGACTAAGCCTGAACTTTATACTGGAAAAGCCTCACTCAATTTCCCCTCTGTCACTATCTGCTGTTTACTATTTTGTGTTTTTTGTTTGTTTGTTTTTGCTTTTTTTTTTTTTTTTTTTTGGTGACAGAGTCTCACTCTGTCACCCAGGCTAGAGTGCAGCAGCCAGATCTCGGCTCACTGCAACCTCTGCCTCCCAGGTTCAAGTGGTTATCCTGCCTCAGTCTCCCCATTAACTGGGATTACAAGTGCATGCCACCATGCAGGCTAATTTTTTGTGTTTTTAGTAGAGACGGGGTTTTGTCATGTTGGATAGGCTGATCTTGAACTCCTGACCTCAAGTGATCCACCCGCCTCGGCCTCCCAGAGTGCTGGGATTACAGGTGTGAGCCACCACGCCCGACCTGTTTAACATTTTGTGCATCAATTAACTTCCTGAGCCTTTTTCCTCAACTAAAAAAATGATATATACCTTGAGCCCAGGAGTCTGAGATGAGGCTAGGCCACATAGCAAGACCTCATCTCTAAAAAAAAAAAATGGATATAATCTTAAGATGGTCAAGGTTTAGAATCACACACATAAAGTATCTGGCATATTGTGATATTTCAAAAAAAATGAGGCCACTACCAGCAAATAAGATGAAAATAAGTAGAGGACTTCATGACCTGCTGGCTAGAGACAGCTCAGGATAGTTTAGACACATTTATGGGGGTGTTGAGGGGAAGGGGCATGAAAGGTTAGACAGCTGTCACGTGCTGTAGAAATTTGGAAAGAAAACGTAGTGTCTGTTATGGGTTGAATTTTGTCCCCCCAGAATTCATATGTTGAAGTCCTTACCCTGTACCTCAGGATGTAATCTTATTTTGAAATAGTGTCATTACCGGTATAATTAGTTAAGATGAGGTCACACTGGAGTATGGTGGGCCCCTAATCCAATAGGACTGTGTCGTTATAAAAAGGGAATTTTGGACACAGATATACATGCATATGAAGAATGGAGTTATGCAATCACAAGCCAAGGAACTATCAAAAGGTAGAAGAGAGGCTTGGAATACATCCTTCCGTGGTACCTTCAAAAGGAACATGGCCTGGCTGATGCCTTGACCTCAGACTTTCCAAAAGTGTGAGGCAATCAATTTCCATTATTTAAGCCACATGGTTTGCAGTACTTTGTTAGGACAGCCCTAACAAACTAATTCAGTATCTAAAAGGAATGTTTAGGATGTGCAATGAGTTGTTTAACATGTCAAAGCTCTTTAGGGTCAGTTACATGATTCTATTGGATGTGACATTATGCTGAGTTAGAGTCTGGGGGAGAAACTTGAAGGCCAAACTTAATAGAGGCTGCCTAGGAAATCGATGCTGCACAAGCTGAGTAACCATTTGTTGTGGGGGTTTTGTTTTGCTTGTTTGTTCGTTTGTTTTAGAGACAGGGTTTCACTATGTTGGCCAGGCTGGTCTTGAACTCCTGGGTTCAAGCAATCCTCCTGCCTCAGCCTCCCAAGTAGCTGGAATTACAGGAGCACACCACCAGGTTGTGTTTTTTTAAGAGGGTAGGCTGGGCATAGTGGTTCACGCCTGTAATCCCAGCATTTTGGGAGGCCGAGGCGGGCAGATCACCTGAGGTAGGAGTTCGAGACCAGCCTGACCAACATGGAGAAACCCCATCTCTACTAAAAATACAAATAATTAGCCGGGCGTGGTGGCGCTTGCCTGTAATTTCAGCTACTCAGGATACTAAGGCAGGAGAATCGCTTGAACCCGGGAGGCAGAAGTTGCGGTGAGCCAAGGTCACGCCATTGCACTCCAGCCTGGGCAACAAGAGCGAGACTCTGTTTCAAAAAATAAATAATAAATAAATAAATAAGAAGGTAGAATACAGAAGAAAAAATCCTTAGTAGAAAAATGTGCTTGTGGTTTTGCCAGATGGAATGTAAGGTATAATTGAGAGGAATAGAGGTAAAATCTCTCTGTTCCATAGAGAAGGACTAGGGACAAATCACAAAGGAAAGATATTATGGGGTTCAAGCACAAAACTATTAGAGTGAAGCAAAGACAGTTCGGAATTATCCCTAAAGTATCCAAGTCTCTTCCGATACCCCATATACACTTCAAAAGCCACTTAGTGAATGCCAGACACCTCATTTAATCTTCCTGAAGATTTGTAAGAGGAGGAACCGTTATTTTTATTTTAGAAACAAGGGAGTTTGAGACTGTCATGCAAACACCTTTAGGTTGAAAGGGTGGGATCAGCAGAATCCAGGGATCCTGACTTTTAGTCCTGAGTTTACACTATAACTTTATAGCTGCCCAGAATCCATGCAGAGCAACAGGATGATTCAGCAAGGTGGGTGCAGAAAAGTCACACTTTTGAGATCTGTCTCTCCCTGCCATCACTTTTGGGGAATGCAAAATAACATAATCTCTTTGATTAGAACAATTCCTGAGAACTAGAGGGCAGACACAGACAAGTATTGCCCAAGAGGAGCAAGAACAGTCTCTTTCTCATTACGTCATCTTCCCTGAAGACACTAGTGATTGAGATACAGAAAGTATGAGATCACTTATTATCTACCTCTGTTGTACAGTTATTTCGACTTTGACTTTCTTGGGCTGCCAGTGTTCCAGATAAGGGTTTTGTAACACCAGGATTGAGAAAGATTTTAGCTATTTCACATCCTCCCAAGATAGTAGGAAGTTGTCTGCGCATATTTTTTTTTTCTCAAGGCTTCTCTGTACTCAGCCATTATTTAATTAAACACCAGCCATATGCTGGGATCTGCTGGTTCTCTGCTTGACGCATTGCCAGCCTGGTGGCCTCAACTGCAATTTGAAGTTGACAGGCGTACAATACAAAGCTCAGGAGACACTAGGAAGAAAAGGACTTGGCTTGGAGGAATCAGGAAGACCCAGGGAGAGAAAAGTGTGCCGCTCCAAGGGAGGGTTTGCCCAAGAGTGGCTCAGCGGAAACGTGGCAG
This sequence comes from Homo sapiens, assembly GCF_000001405.40. Classification (NCBI taxonomy): domain Eukaryota; kingdom Metazoa; phylum Chordata; class Mammalia; order Primates; family Hominidae; genus Homo; species Homo sapiens. The sequence goes on along the minus strand of NC_000017.11, from coordinate 55,496,142 downwards.
TGGAATTTGGAATCTGGATTGTTTGTCAGAATTGATAAAGACATTCTTATAAGGAAATGTATCTGTGAAAAGTTGTTTGCCACTCGGGGAGGGAGAAAAATGATTATAGAATTTTGGAGACAAAAATGTATACGCAGCAGTCATTATACACATGATCAGAAGGAAAACCAGAAGATCCAGGGGCCAAAGGGGAATAATTGATTTCTTAAATGGCAGCAAGACTGGATTTGACAACTCTCACGATCAAGAATATTTCTCTGTATTTAATCTACATCTCTTCTGCTCTTAGACTTTATATTCATTTTCTCTTTTTTACCCATTATTGGTCTTTTTCAAAAACAAAAATTTGAGACAGGGTCTTGCTCTTACAGCCCAGGCTGGAAAGCAGTGGTACAATCATAATTCACAGCAGCCTTGAACTTCTGGGGTCAAGTGACCCTCCCAAGTAGCTGGGACTACTTGGGTGCTTGCCACTACCCCCTCATAATTTCCTTTGTAAAAAAAAAAAAAAAAATTTATAGAGACAGGGTTCTCACTATGTTGCCCAGGCTTGTCTCAAACTCCTGTCCTCAACCGATCCTTACCTAGGCCACCCAAAGTGCTGGGATTACAGGCATGAGCCACCACGCCCAGTCTATTATTGGTTTTATAAATAAGCACTGTTTATACAGAGATTTTTATAAGTGTGTCTCATGAACGAATCCAAACAGATTAGATCACAAAGTGTAATAAGTTATGGTTATAGCAGTGGTTCCAATCCATGGGTTTGTAGCATGCTGGTGAATCACCATCAGCCATCAGGTGTGTTGTAAATAGTTTGTTTCTAATAATAAATTACCCAAGTTTGTGAATGATTTACCTATTAATATACAGAGGGTGAGTTGAAGGTCATTTCCATCATAATGTTATTCTCAGTTCTGTGTACTCCAATTTTGTTGCTTGTATAGCACAGATACAGGTGGAGGTCCGGTAAACATGCAAAGAATTGGATATACCTACAGACCACTTATCTATTTGACAAATATTTGTAAAGCACCTACTTTGTGCAGATGCTATGCCTGGCCTGAAGGATACAATCAATGCACACAACAGACATGAGTTCTGTCTTTGGAAAGCTTAGCAAGTGGCAGAAAAAGACTATACCAAGCGCTTTGCATACATTGCCTGAATTTTCACTGTAACCCTGAGAGGTAATGTCATCTTCCCAACTTTATATATTTTAGGCAACTGGAACTCTGAAGCTCGTTCTCTAAACCAGTGGCTTTCAAATGCCTTTTATCGTGCATTCCTGTCAGTGAAGATAATTTTAGTACTTGTGTGTGTGCGTGTGTGCCTGTGTGTGTGTGTTCAAACAAAATATACAAAAGTATACATGTGTATACACTTATCTATACTTATATTTGTATATACTTATATACTTATAATTTTAGCACTCGTGTGAGTGTGTATGTGTGTGTGTGTTCAAACAAAATATACAAAAGTATACATTTGTATATACTTACATATTACATATACACATACGCATATTCTTATAAATTATATGTACATTATTTGAATCTTCTTGTACCCCTCACTTTGAAGACCGGCTCTGCACCACTCCACCATATCACCTTGGAGTTTGTCTATGTGTAATGGGCATAATCCACCTCCAATCTTCCCCCATCTAACCCCAGGTTTTGGTCTAGATTGGTAGGGATGGGAACTTTGCCAAGAACTTGATCCAGGAAGTTTTTTTAAAAAATTAAAAAACAGTACATTTCAAATTTGGTTTTTGTATTGCTAAGGATGCTTTGCAGAGTTCCTTGGTGAGTTTTTTAATACACAAAGGAAAGTTCTTCTGTTAGTTTGTAAATCCTAGTCCTTTCCCCTGTGTTCTTTTTCCTGGCTGGATCTTAAGCACCTCAAAAAAGGAGTGCGTGTCTCGTACATCTATTTCACCTCCCCGCAGCACCCAATAAACAAATGAACATATCAGGAATTCTCCATCCTTTGGAGATGACTTTGTTTCTCATGGGAAAAAGGAGAGAGGATTTTTACATCCATTGTAGCATAAGAATACTATCCTATGGAAACAAACTGTTCCTAGACACAGGAGAGAATAAGTTGGGCTGTTTTGATGTCCCCAGGCATAGAGGGCTGGGAAAGTGCAGCAGGTAGTCTTGTGATGAATGAGGCCACGGAGAGAAAGCCAGGATTCACACTTAATTCCACAAGCACAGGGAAGGTGAGGGTTGAGAAAGTGATTCAACAGATTAGTCCTTCTGTCTCTCTGCCCACTTTGGCTCCAAATTACCCAAGCTGCTGCTGCTTTTTTTTTTTTTTTTTTTTTTTTTTGAGAGAGAGAGAGCTCTGCTGCCCATGCTGGAGTGCAGTGGCGCGATCTCGGGTCACTGGAGCCTTGACTTCCCAGGCTCAAGGGATCCTCCCACCTCAGCCTCCTAAGTAGCTGGGGCTACAGGTGTGCTCCATCACACCCGGCTAATTTTTGTATTTTTTGTAGAGATGGGGTTTCACCACGTTGCCCAGGCTGGCGTCAAACTCCTGGACTCAAGCAATCTTCCTGCCTTGGCTTCCCAAAGTGCTAGGATTACAGGCTTGAGCCACCACATCCAGCCCAAACTTCTTTTCCTCAGCGGAGGTGCCTTTACTGAACTATCAGGAAAATAGGTGCGACCCTTGACTTGATATTACCAACACCTCTGCTTCAGTTGACCCTGTGCTTGGTTCTCATCCATATTCCTGATTCTACAGACTACACCTTGGAGCAGCAGCCTGGGGTTATGGGGTTCTAATTCTTAGCCCAGCCACTAACTTCCTAGGAGGCACTAGCTTCACTTACTCAGCTACACAAAAGTAGGAGTGGAGTTAATTAACAACATGCCAAGGACCTTTTGGCTATGGCATGTTTGACCCTGCCTCTTTCTTTGTTTCTGATCTTTCCTCTCATTTCCAACCTGACCTCCCTGAATGAGGAAACTAGTGACAGGAGGATTTGTCCTGAAAAACTGCCCGTGGCTACAGCATTGTTGTTGATCAGGGAGCTGCAGCAGGAAGCTTAACAGGGGGCTGAGGCCTTTCCTTTCACAGAATGCATGCACACACCCCATTTGCTAACATGTTTTCCATCTGACATTTCAAGTAACTGTCCCCGCGTTGGTGATTCTACAAGTCAAGGTCTGTTCTGCACTCTTTAGAAAGAACGTAAACCGTGACAAATGTTCTCAGTTCAGGCATATGGTGATGCATTGACTTCCTAGTTGCTGGCGTGTATTAACAAACTTATTGTCCCCAAATGTAAAAAATAATGAATTTGCCACCGTGCATGGAACTTTAACAATGTGAAACATATTAGATGTGTTGGATCTTCAGGGACCATCCTTAATTTTTAGTAGAACATTGCCTTTTATTTCCTTAATTTTAAGTGAATTTCAATTGCATTGCCCCTAAAACCTTTTTATAAGATGTTCGCAATAGTTAGCAATTGATGTGTGTGTGTTTTTCTTTTTTTTTTTTTAAGTGGGTGTATTTGTTAGAAATTGTGCTCAGCTATGACTAACAGCTACAGTGATTGAAATATCAAGGGGAAGCCGGGCGCAGTGGCTCATGCCTGTAATCCCAGCACTTCGGGAGGCTGAGGAGGGCAGATCACGAGAAAGAACGTATGAGGTCAAGAGATCGTGACCATCCTGGCCAACATGGTGAAACCCCATCTCTACTAAAATATTATAAAAAATTAGCCAGGCTTGGTGGCGCAAGCCTGTAGTCCCAGCTACTCAGGAGGCTGAGGCAGGGGAATTGCTTGAACCTGGTAGGCAGAGGTTGCAGTGAGCCAAGGTCGCGCCATTGCAATCCAGCCTGGTGACAGAATAAGACTCTGTCTCAAAAAAAAAAAAAAAAAAAGAAAGAAAGAAAAGAAAAGAAAAAAGAAATATCAATATCAAGAGGAGTTTGCTCTCTTTATTTTAATTTTTTCTTTTTTTTTTTGAGATGGTTTCTCACTCTGTTGCCCAGGCTGGAGTGCAGTGACAGCATCTCAGCTCACTGCAAGCTCTGCCTCCCTGGTTCACGCCATTCTCCTGCCTCAGCCTCCCGAGTAGCTGGGACTACAGGTGCCTGCCACCACGCCCAGCTAATTTTTTGTGTTTTTAGTAGAGATGAGGTTTCACTGTGTTAACCAGGATGGTCTCGATCTACTGACCTCGTGATTCCCCCACCTCGGCCTCCGGAAGTGCTGGGAATACAGGTGTGAGCCACCCCGCCCCGCCTAGTTTGCTCTCTTTCTTTCACTCTGATGTTGAAGAAAAGTGGCTGAGCCAGATGCAGTGGCTCCAACATGCCACTAATATTGCAGGCACCTTTATTTCTGTTCTATCAGCTTTACTTCATCTTTGAGGTTGTCTTCTCATTAAAGGCTGGCCACTGCAGTTCCAAACTTTACGTCTGAGTTTGAGGCCAGGAGGGGAGAAAGAGGGAATAGGCAAACAGGCACAAGCCCATTTAGTTAGCTGAGAGGCCCAACCAGCAATGTATGCTTATATTTCATTAGCTAGAACTTAATTAAATGTTTACTTCTATCTACAAGGAAGACTGAAAGGTATAGATTTTTGTTAGTTACATTGCCATTTCCAACAAAATCAGGGTTCCAGTAAAAAGAAAGAGGGAGAGAATGAATTTGGAGCAGCAGCTGCCCTAGTGGGGTTGTTTCTCTTTCTAAAATTAATACACATTTGTTAAGGCAAACTTAAAAAATGGAGCGAAGGAAAAGAAAGAGAAGATAATGATGATATTAACTCCTCAAAGTGACCTCTAGTAGCATTTGTGTGATTATTTTCTTTTTTTAATTAATATTTGAAGATTTTTTTTCTGACCGCCCTTTTTTTTTTTTTTTTTTTTTTGGTGAGGAGACAGAGTCTTGCTCTGTCACCTAAGCGAAAGTGCAATGGTGCAATCATGGCTCACTGCAGCCTCAACCTCCCAGGCTCAAGTAATCCTCCCACTTCGGTCTCCCGAGTAGCTGAAACTACAGCACCACCACATCAGGCTAATGTTTTGTAGAGATGCGGTCTTACTATGTTGCCCAGGCTGGTCTTAAACTCCTGGGCTCAAGAGATCCTCCTGTCTCAGGCTCCCAAAGTGCTGAGATTACAGGTGGGAGCCACAGCACCCAGCCTGATTGTATTTTTCTGATTCTAAAAGTAATGCCTATTCACTTGGGAAACTTTGAGAAAATACAGCAAAGTGTAGAGAAAAAAAAAAAATGGAAATCACCCATAATCCCATTACCCACATTATACTATATCATTTTGTTGTATTTTCTGCTGTTCTAAGTATATATTTTACATACTTATGATCATAGTGTATGTACAAGTTGACACCTTTTTCTCACTTTATAAATAAAATAAGTAAATTTACATATGACCCTACTTCGAGTATTCCTGGGTCCTCATAACACAGCATTTCGAATCTCAGTTGCAAATCTGTTTGGAAAGTGCTTGAAGTAGGAAAGAACAAATAGCATGGACTGATTTTCCCCTGCACTGTTTCTGGGAGACCATACGGCAGATTTGGCTCACTTCTCACTCTCACTCTGAGACCATATCATATGCTCTCCTTTCTTTATTTTTCTATCTCAAAAAATGTCAAGTGTACAAACCAAGAGTTAAAATTATTCTTTAGAACATGAGCTGTCAGGCCCATTCTTACCGTATGGCTCACAAAAGTGGGTTTTGCTCTGGCTTATAAATTCATGAGATGTCAAAGCTAGAAAAAGCCCCCATGGCTGTCAGTCCAAACCACTAATGTAACAGCAAAAAGAAGCAGACAGGAAAAGCGCCCTGCTCAGGATACCACCTGGCAGAATCAGTGCCAGAACCCAGGACCCCAAGTGCCCTTCTAGTGATTTTTCCACCCTACTTTAGATGCTTTTGATGATGCAACTAACTGGTAAACTTCAAAGGTGTTATGACTCCCGCAAAAATACGCATCGATGGCCAGGCGCGGTGGCTCCTGTCTATAATCCGAGCACTTTGGGAGGTCAAGGCAGGCAGATTACGAGGTCAGGAGATCAAGCCCATCCTGGCTAACATGGTGAAACCCTGTCTCTACAAAAAATACAAAAAAAAAAAATATTGCCAGGCGCAGTGGCAGGCGCCTATAGTCACAGCCACTCAGGAGGCTGAGGCAGGAGAATGGCATGAACCCAGGAGGCAGAGGTTGCAGTGAGCCGAGATTGTGCCACTGCACTCCAGCCGGGGCGACAGAGCGAGATTCTGTAAAAAAAAACAAAAAAAAACCGAGCAATAATAACTTTTTCCATTCAGTGTTCACTTGATATGAGCTCAGACTTTTGATAAGAGCCATAGGATTATGCTATAGATGTGCAAAATTTACAGCCTGGTTGGGAAGATGAGGGAGACACATGAACCAATATGGTATATTCATACAGTGGAATGCCGTGCACCTGCAAATGAGGTAATCTGCATGAACTGCCATGGGAAGATGGCCATGACATATTGTTAGAAGAAAAATCCGGATTGCAGAGGAGTGTGATGGTCTATGTGGTATGATCTCTTTTGTAGTTTAAAAGCAAAAGAGTACATTCACACACTTTATGTTTTTATATGCATAGAAAACATTCAGACAAATACAAAACTTTTATAAGTGGCTGCTTCACAGATAATGCGGTTTGAAGATGGAGAAATTATTTTTCTTCCTTTTTTCCTTTTTTCTTACACATTTCTCTTTTTGTTTTGTTTTGTTTTGTTTTTGGAGACAGGGTTTTGTTCTGTCCAGGCAAGAGTGCAGTGGAGTGATCTCGGCTCACTGCAACCTCCACCTCCCAGGTTCAAGCGATTCTCCTGCCTCAGCCTCCCAAGTAACTGGGATTACAGGCATGCACCACCACGCTTAGCTAATTTTTGTATTTTTAGTAGAGACAAGGTTTCACTACATTGGCCAGGCTTGTCTTGAACTCCTGACCTCAGGTGATTTGCCTGCCTCGGACTCCCAACGTGCTGGGATTACAGGCGTGAGTCATTGTGCCCGGCCTTACATTTCTGTTTTCTAAATATAATTATGTACTGCAGTTTCCCTATTGTACATGTTGAATAACCATGGTATCTACCGCAGAGTTGTGACAATTAAATGAATTGTTCTGAATAAAATGCTTGGATATTTGCCAGACCCATACTAAGTGCTCATTAAATATTAGCAATGATGATGATGATGATGATGATGATGATGATGGAAAATGAGTACTCTTATACTGCTACCAGGTGTACGCATTCATACAAGTTATAGGGCCGTTTGATCAGATATATATGTGTAAAGCCTTTAAAATTTGAAGACATTTGACCCAGCAGGTCCACTTGCAAAAATGTCCTCTATGGAAAAAGTTGAGTAAGTCTATAAGAAGTGTATACAAAGATGAATAAAGAAAAAAACATTGGTGACAAGCTAAATGTTCAAAAATGAAAATAGTTTAATAACATATGGTGCATCTTTACAATGGAATAGTATGTCCTCATTGCAGCAACAAATATACTGATATTGTAATAGGCTAATAATCACATAATAGTAAATGAGAAAAGCAAACTTCTGAACAGCATGTACAATATGATCCCGTGGCTACAAAAAGTATAATGTACATATGTATGCTAGAAGCACACATCCTAAAATTGCATGCACAGTATTAAACCCTGGGAAATTGTAAAAATGTTCTTCTTTATGCTTGGGTATAATTTCCAATTTTTCTACAATGAATCTCTATTAGTTGTGTAAGTGTTTGAAAGAAAGGCAAAGGGACTTTGGGAGAGAATTTCGTAATGCAGCCTCCACGCTAACAGACTGCAGTCGGGATGCCTCTGCTGGAGCCTGAGCAGATGCAAGTGCTTCCAGCCTGCAGGGACCAAGTGGGCACATTTTTCCAGTCTCTACTGCAGAATCAGCAGACATGGGACTACTGTCCTGGCCTGACTCAGGAGACTGACTTTGAGATGTTGGCTGAAGGCCAAAGAAGTAAATAGTAAGGAAAACTGGGCCATGTCATTGCCCTCAGCCAACCTGAAAAAGGTTTAATTTTCCAAGAATTGAAGGTTCAACTTCCAAGGATCAAGGGGAGACAAAGACAGGCTACTCACCTCGCCTCTTACTGGGGTTTTCAGAAGTTTCCAGCAGCTTCCCATCAGACTCAGCTAGCAGCCTTGTTTGAGGCTGGTCTGGAATCCCCACTCCGTGTAGGCTCCTTTTAGCCATTTGCCACGAAACAGCAAAGGCTGTCGGCACTCCTCCAAGTAGTCAGCTGCAAGGGGTCTCAGCCTTGCATCTCCTAATTTCTCAAGGAAGAAAGGAACTGGAATTTTACTTAAGCCACTCTCTCCTTTCTGTGATGTTTTTCTGGGCTCCCCAAGGGTGATACTGCTGGAGGGAAGAGAAGGAAAAGCCCCAAGTGAGCTGAACTTCCCATTTACTCACAAGGACTGACCCAGGCATCCCTCAGTTCCTACAAAGGCCCCCACCCATATATTCAAGCTTCATTTGTTGCTATCCTCCCCCATCTCACTCCGTTCTGGTGTTTCTTGAGTATTCTGTTTCTTACATAAACCCTCCCCTTTTTTAGCCTCTGGAATTTTTGCTGGCAACTTCAGAGATCAGCCGATGTGCCTCCTTCTCAGTGCAGTCTTTCCTGATCCCTTGCCTTCCCCACCACTCTGGATTAGGAAACCCTGTTCTGTGACCCCATAGAACCCTGTCCTAAACTCCACAGGGACACTTTTTTATTTATTTATTTTTTATGATACTCTAAGTTATAGGGTACATGTGCACAACGTGCAGGTTTATTACATAGGTATACATGTGACATGTTGTTTTGCTGCACCCATTAATTCGTCATTTACATTAGGTATTTCTCCTAATGCTATCCCTCCCCCTACCCCCCACCCCATGACAGGCCCCAGGGTGTGATGTTCCCCGCCCTGTGGTCCAAGTGTTCTCATTGTTCAATTCCCACCTATGAGTGAGAACATGCGGTGTTTGGTTTTCTGTTCCATAGGGACACGTTTCCATTATGTTAGAATCGTTTGTTCCTGGTCTCTCTTCCCAACTCTAGCATAAGCAACTCGCAGCCAGAGGCCATGCCTTATTCTCCTTTGTATTCTCAGTGCCCAGCACATGGTCTGCGCTCAACACACATTTGTCAAATAATTAAATGAATGAGTTCATTCATCCATCAATTGATCTTTAAATTGGTTGCAAATTATCTTCTTTTTAGGAAAATGCAAACAATTCTGGGAATTTTGAGGGAGCTGATATTAGTTATTCTCATTTTAGTGTGAATTCATTTGTCTGATTCCATTTCTTTCCTTTCATGTTAAAGTAAGGAATAGGGAATTGAAATTTGACTTGGAGATGAAATTCTTAGAATGGAGAACAGTAGTTCACTTTGGATAGAATATAAGGTAGGGCACGATGCACGCTTATGGGTAGTGAAACACCAGCCCTGTTTCTAAAAGTGTGACAAGTTACATCAAAATCACCTGAGTGCTTATTAGAAATGCAACATCCAAGGCCCCAACCCAGACCCACACTACCTAGAATCTAGTGAAATGGGCATGTGGAGCTTCATTCATCGTCAGCCAGTTCTGATCAGAGGAATTAGAAAGGCCTAAAGTTACTAGACATTTGGGGTCATGAGGAGAGATGCAGATGGAGGTAGGAGCACCCAGAGATAGAGAGAGGAACATGCCAAGGTAAACCTCATCTGTTCTGAAATTTTGTCTAAGATTCCCCATAAAAGAAAGCTCTTACTGGGCGGGGAGCCATAGCTCACGCCTGTAATCCTAGCACTCTGGGAGGCAGAGGTGTGTGGATCACGAGGTCAAGAGATCGAGACCATCCTGGCCAACATGGTGAAACCCTGTCTCTAATAAAAATACAAAAAAAAATTAGCTGTGTATGGTGGCATGGGCCTGTAGCTCCAGCTACTTGGGAGGCTGAGGCAGGAGAATCACTTGAACCCGGGAGGCGAGGTTGCATTGAGCGGAGATCACGCCATTGCACTCCAGCCTGCGCAACAGAGCAAGACTCCGTCTCAAAAAAAAAAAAAGAATAAAGGAAAAAAAAAAAAGAAAGCTCTTTCTTTCTTTTCTTCATCTCAATTCACTGTTTTATGTCACATAAGAATTAATACTACTCTACTCTTGGAAATTAACATTAAGCATAAAGTAGTAGAATGGATAAGAATATATATGGATGCTAGTGATATACTGCCTAGTTCAAACTCTAGCTTTAAACTCACTTGACATATAACCTTGGGTAGCTAATTTCTCAGTGCCTCCGTTTCCTCATACGTAAGATGGGAATGATAACAGTAGATACCTGCCTTCCAGGGCTTATGGAATTAAATTAACTATAACATACAAAGTACTTAGAACTTCATTAGCAAGCACAATGTATATTAGATATTAACATTATTCTATAAACTATAAATAGGCAAATAGTTGTGTTCTTAGACCCAACAACCATAGACCATGTTGGTTTTTAAGAAATGCTTTTTTCTGCTGGACACAGTGGCTCACGCCTGTAATCCCAGCATTTTGAGAGGCCGAGGTGGGGGGAACAATTAAACCCAGGAGTTCAACTCCAGCCAGGGCAACATAGGGAGACTTCATCTGTACAGGAAAAAAAAAAAAAATCAGCAGGGTATGGTGGAACACACCTGTGGTCCCAGCTACTTAGGAGGCTGAGGTGGGACTGCTTGAGTCTGGAAGGTTGAGGCTGCAGTAAGCTATGATCGTACCACTGCACTCCAGCCTGAGCAACAGAGCAAGAAAACCTTGTCTCAAAACAAAAGAGAGAAAATGTTTCTTTTCAGATTTAGATTTTTATTTTGATTATGAATATTTTCAGATATACTAAGACATAGAGAAAATGGTAGACAGTCTCCATAAAATTATCACCAGTAATTATCAAGATTTTGCCATATTAGCCTAATCTATCCTTTAATAAAATATTTTAAAGAAAATCATATATATCATGTCATTTTACCCCTCTGTATTTCATTATGCATCTCTAAAAAATATGGATAGTTTCTCACATTACCTCAATTTTCTTACAGTATCTGTGACATAAGGATTTCTTGGTATCAGCTAAACCCAGTCAATGGCAGCATATTTCCCTAATAGTTGAAATCAGAATCCAAACCTGGTCCATCATCACATTTGGTCCTAATATTTCTTAACTCTCCTTTAATCTAGAACAAGCTTTCTTGCCTTTGCCTCATGCCATTGACTTCTTGCAGAAGCCAGGTCAGTCATCTTTTAGAATGTACCACATGCTTACAGTGACCACGCCTCAAGTTTTGCATGAGACAGCCCCAGTTTATACCTTTTGTCCCAGTACAATTATGAGTAACACTCCTCTACTCTTAGTTGCCTACCCATTGGGAGTTTGTCTTTTTGTTTTACTGTCTGCTTTAATTTGTTCTATCTGCCATATTTCCTATACATTGACATTAGCGAAAGGCCTGATGCAGCCTCATCTTTTTTGATAAGAATTCTTCCCAGATGGTTCTGTTTGCTGCAAATATCCTTGTACTGGGAGGTTTATAATGTGTGATTGTCCCACTTTTAGTGGTACTCAAATTGATGAGTGAATTCTGGGAATATAAGCATGATCAAGCCATTGTAAAGTTCTTCGTCTACCTTTCATCTCACGGTTTCATTCCTTGTTGATAATTGCTTGAATCAATTATTACATTCGATGTTAGAAAACAGCTCTAGCTCTATCAGTCCTTCCATATTTATTGGCTAGAATTTTTTTGTAAAGAACTTTCCCTTCTCAGTTAGGGCTTGGTTATCCTGCAGTGCAATGTATACAGAATCAGTGCTTAACTCTTTCCTTTTAATGGTCAATTTTCAGAACGGGAAGTTGAAACCTTAGTTACTTCAAGTAGTGTCCAATTTATTAATTTTTTTGAGTTTTTTTTGTTGTTTGTTTTTTGCTATGGTGATTTTTTTCTGTTTAAAAAATTTTGTATCATTATAAATTCATGGGTTCTTATATGCTAAGCTTAAATACATTTATAAAATAAATTATCCTCATAAATTAGGAGCAGTCTATATTAGTCAGGGTTCCCTGGAGAAACAAAGCTAATAGAATGTGTAGAGAGAGAGAGAAAGAAAAAGAGAGAGATTTATTTTAAGAAATTAGTTGACACAGGCCAAGCACGGTGGCTCATGCCTGTAATTCCAGCACTTTGGGAGGCCAAGGCAGGCAGATCACTTGAGGTTAGGAGTTTAAGACCAACCAGCCTGGCCAATGTGGTGAAACCCATCTCTACTCAAAATACAAAAATTAGCGGGTACACACACATCATCCCAGCTATTCAGGAGGCTGAGGCTTGAGAATCACTGGAATCCAGAGGCAGAGGTTGCAGTGAGCCAAGATTGTGCCACTGTACAGAGCAAGACTCCATCTCAAAAAAAGAAATTAGTTCACACAGTTTTGGGGGCTGGCATTTCTGAAATATGTAGGGCAGGCAGGCAGACTAGAAACCCAGAGGAGAGTTACTGTTGCAGCTCAAGTCCGAAGGCAGTCTGGACCTCAGTCCTCGTCTCTTAAGCTTTTCGACTGACTAGAGGAGGCCCACCCACATGATGGAGGGTCATCTGCTTTACTGTTCTACTGATTTAAATGTTAATCTCTTTTCAAAAGTACCTTCCTAGCAACATCTAGACTGGTGTTTGACCAAATATCTGGGTACTGTGGCCTAGCTAAGTTGATGCATAAAATAAACTATTACACTGTCTCCATATTTTAAAATAACAATAGCATCTCAGGGTAGAAAATGCAAAAAGTGGTAGAATCAATGCTTACTGTGAGTGTTCATATGTGGGAGAGAGCACTCAGGCCAAACCCAACAAGAAACATTTGAATTTGTAATTTCTGAATGTTCTGCTGGTTTTCACGCTAGACAGAGCTGACAAAAAATCCCCCTGGTTCTGCTGCTTCCTATGTAAACTTGAGGAACTCACATTAGTTCAATGAGCCTCAGAATCTTCATCTAAAAAGCAAGGATAATAGCATCCATTTGGCCTGCCATTTGACAGCCAAGAGTTTGTGCACATTTTGAAATCTCTGTATGTTACACAAATATGTTATTAGACTACTTTTGTTAAGACCCAATGAACCAGAGTGTCAAACAAATGTACCTTGAAGCTATAGTCGTAAGTGTAATGCTGCATTACAATGTTCAATGACTTTATTTGACAGATGCCTTTACTCTCAGGTCTCACATTTTAAGAAAAGGGAAAGTTGTTATTCTTCTAAGGGAAAAAGAGTAAGAGCACTAATTTTCCATATGAATGCCTCTATCAGTAAGTACATGTTTTCCCTGTAGTCTCTAATTCTCTATGTCAGCAATGTAACAATGACAAATGCAAAGGATAAAGGTAGTTATCAATGTAATAATGACAAATATGCAGGCTGTCTCTTTGTTATCCATTCAACAAACACTTATAAAACGCCCACTAAATGTGAAAGACTATGCCAGGTGCTATTGAAGACACAGAAATGAATCAATCCAGATTCTGTCCTCAAGCAAACTATAGGCTATTAAGAGGAAGAAACCATAATTAAAAAGGAAAAATCTATAAGATTTGAATTGAAAAGTACAATGAGAGTGCTTGGTAACAGCCTGTGGAAGCCTGGAGAAGGAGAGATGAGTTTCAGTTGCAGGTTCCAGACAACTTCTTGGACAAGGTGGCACTGAAGCTAGGCTAAAGAATAGGAATAGATTTGGACTCATGAGATAGGCAGGGTAGGGCAGATGAAAGGTGGGGAGGATGTTGTGGATGCGGTGGGAGTATAAGATAATTGAAGGGCCTAAGAAGTAGGAAAAAAGTATGGACACATGCTATGTGTGGCAACCAACGAGTTCTTTCCTTTACCTCTAACTTCTTTCTCTGCAATTTTAGAAAGGGTCTTAGGATTCGTCTAATACTAGGATGGCAAAAAGTCTTCATCTGTCTAGCTCACCAACTTCAATTGATGGGTAACAGAAGGTCACACCTGGTTGGTCAGCTCAATGGAGAGGGTTATTGTCCTATACCACTTCATAAATTAAAGTTTTATTAAAATCATGATGCTTGGCTGGACACGGTGACACATGCCTGTAATCCCAGCACTTTGGGAGGTCGATGCAGGAGAATCGCTTGAGTCTACAGGTTTGAAACAAGCCTGGGCAACATAGTGGAACCTCATTTCTACAAAAAAAATAAACAAAATTAGCTGGGCATAGTGGCATAAGCCTGTAGTCTCAGCTAGTTGGGAGGCTGAAGTGGGAGACTCACATAAGCCCAGGAGGTTGAGGCTGCAGTGAGCCAAGATTGCACCACTGCACTCCAGCCTGGGCAACAGAGTGAGACCCTGTCTCAAAATAATAATAATAATTATGATGCTTTCCAACTTTAAAACTCTATGATTCCCAGAAGCCAAATCTTGTCTGGAAGTTTAAACATTTTAGATATAAATTTTTCTTAGCTAGAACACTTATACCCGTGCTTCCTAAACATAAAATACAGAACTTAATCTAGCCTTCTTGATGATTCAGATTTGTCATGATCGAAAACAGGAGGGATTGTACCGTGCAATATCACAGCATTGCCAGGATCCATGGAGGCACAGAGGATTATTTACTCTTAAATTTAGTGACTCCAAAATTCTCTCTACTTGGTATATATAATTTTTTATTTTTCTTCTGCCTGGTTATTGGGCATTTAGCTCTCAGATTTTGGTGCTTTCAGTATGTCTACCTATTTTGCCCACTTTTGTTCTGTCTGTTTGCTGAACCTATTCTACTTGAAGCTTGGAAGTTACATAAGAAGTTCTGTTAGAATTAGGCATAAAATAAGAGTAAATAAGCTCTGAGTATGAGTCTAAGAGGATTGCCTACATGTAAAGTATCTTAAGTCTTAGTGCCATCTGGTCTGGCTGTTTAATTAAAAGGGTGTGTGTGTGTGAGAGAGAGAGATAAAGAGAGAGAGAGGGAGAGAGAGAGAGAGACAGAGACAGGGAGACAGAGACAGAAAGAGACAGAGAGAGAGAATAAAGAGAATGTATATATGTATGTGTGTGTGCACATAAATGTATTTTTCCCTTCTAGTTTTTTACTATGACTGTAAGACAGCTAAATTCAAGATAAGTAAAGTATGACAGTTTATAATATGCCTAGAAAAATTGAGAAACATAGAAAAATCTAAGATAACAAGAAATTTTGTCACACTGCATAGAAGAGATAATCATGGTTGCCCCTGCTGTTGTACAGACCCTGTGATGATCATGAGGCAATGCAAAGAGCAACCATTGTCTCTGAGAGACAGCAGCTACAGGATTAGGCCAAGCTCCTATGGGGAAACTGAAAGAAAATTATTATTAAACTTGAGGTTTCCTGATCCCAAACCAGACTTCCTTCAACTTCTATGAAATTCTGCCCATATGATCATTATTATTAGACATCAAAAGAAATCCTGCACTTCCGCACTACATTGAAAGAGCATGTATCCCAGGGATGTGGGTTTGGAGTAAGTCAATGCATCCCCCCAAAAAATCAACCAGTGAGTGGCTGAACAGAATCACCTGGAGAGCTTGTTTAGAATATGGATGCTTGGATCTCATTATCTAGAGTCTCTTTAGCAGCCTGGAGATTGAAACCAGAAGTTTGAGAGAGGTTTTCATCCTTAGACACTTAAGCATTCAACTCCATCATAACTGTAGTACAATGATCACACCCAGGTTTGATTTTAGAGAAACTCAAATTGTCTTTGTGCTTCCAAACATTTAGCATTTAATATTCAGGCCTGGGGCTTTAGGTAATCAAGAGGTCATTGCTTTTTTTTTTTTTTTTAGAACGCTCCATTTTTTCTGCCTCTGCCTTTCCTGTCCAGCTCACTATGTACTTCTCAGCCCTTTCACCCATGCCTGTGCCAAAATAACAGGCTATCTAGGTATGCTTGACATCCCAACCAACTTCTTTCTGTTCTACCTCTGCTCCTGGTGCTGAACTGGAAGTGGCGGCAAGGTTACTATAGGACATCCTAAGAGCCTTTCCCTGCTACACAGAGGGAGTGGGGGAGTAGGGGGAGGCTTTTTGCAGCAAAGATGATGTTTCTGAAGAAAAGGTCAAGTGGTCAAAAGTAATGTTCACAGCAAAAATTGTGACAGTGTCCCAGCTAGGAAGTAAAAGTGTTCTCCAGTGTTGAAGGCACATCTGTCTTCTGCAACAGCAGCGACAGGGGTTCTTACTGAGAATATACACAAGGAAAAGTGTTTTTGCTCATATCACCTCAATACTCACAACGGCTCTAAGATGAAAATATTGTTGTCCTTACTTTATATATAATAAAACTAAGGTTGAGAAGTAATTTGGTCAAGCTTGTACAATAAGAAAGAGGCAAAGCTGGGTTCAAAATCATCACAACAGATGCAAAACCTGAGTCTCAGCCACTGGGCTGTATTAGCACACAACCAGATTTATTTGTTTATTTTTTATTTTTTTATTTTTTGAGATGGAGTCTCACTCTGTTGCCCAGGCTGGAGCGCAATGGTGCAATCTCAGCTCACTGCAACCTCTGCCTACTGGTTCAAGCAATTCTCCTGCCTCAGCCTCCCGAGTAGCTGGGATTACAGGCATGTACCACCACACCCACCTACTTTTTGTATTTTTAGTAGAGACAGGGTTTCTCCATATTGGCCAGGCTGGTCTCAAAATCCTGACCTCAGGTAATCTGCCTGCCTCAGCCTCCCAAAGTGCTAGGATGATAGGCGTGAGCCACCACACGGGGCTGCACAACCAGATTTAAATACATATTCAGATGTTACAAGAATCCTGACACCTGCCTGTGGTCCTAAGCAATGCTATGGAGGATACATTCCATTCCTATACTTTGAGGTCATTGTAGCAATACTGAATCCTATGGGAGTAAGAGCTAGACACTTTGCATACACCAAAAGGCTGAGAAATCCTCTGTCCTTGGAAGTCATTGTCAGGATCTGCAGCTGACTCAATGCCTGGGAGAAACTTGTGGGTGACGCTATCCTATTGAGAATGCAGACAGCCCTCTCCATCAGAAAGATAGAGCACTATGGAGCTCACAAGAAACCACAGGAAAACAGCCTTCCCATGGGTCTACAGGACTTTGGGATCCCTGCTGCTGCAAAGGGGTTGCATTCTCCTTTCCCAGATTCAAAATTAAACACCAATATGACAGATCTAGGTATAAATAGCATCTTCACCAATGAACATTTAACCCAGTGTTTTTTTTTAACTCTCAAGGTGTCTGAGGAGCTCCACAAAGGTGTCTTAAGAGACACTGCAAAGAAACAAGGTAAGTGCAATATGCCTGAGTTTTCCCAACCAACCCCATTTCAACCAGAACAGGGCTGCTGAAATGTGTTTTATATGTTAGGCTTCCTTGTAAGCTTCTGTTTGAAGGAAGGATTCCATGTCAAGAACCATGTTTGTAAATGACAGTTTCTATCCTCTTGAGTTTGACTACTATTATTCCTAAATCCTACCAGATGGTTGGAGATCTAAGACTAAATAAAATCTAAGGAATAGGCCAGGTGTGGTGGCTCACTCCTGCATTCCCAGCTCTCTAGGAAGTCAAGGCGGGCAGATCACTTGAGCCCAGGAGTTCGAGATCAGCCTGGGCAACAAGGCAAGATCCTGTCTCTACTAAAAATATGAAAATTAGCTGGATATTGTGGCACCTGTAGTCCCAGCTACTCGGGAGGCTGAGGCAGGAGGATCACTTGAGCCTGGGAAGTCAAGGCTACCGTGAGCCAAGATCACACCACTGAACTCCAGCCTGGGCAACAGAGTGAGACCTTGTCTGAAAAAAAAAAAAAGGAATAACCTCCCCACAACGTAACAACAGGTACTTTTTTTTTGGGTGGGGGGAGGAGGGACAAAGTCTCACTTTGTCTCCCAGGCTGGAATGCAATGGTGCAGTCTCGGCTCACTGCAACCTCAACCTCTGAGATTCAAGTGGTTCTCTCACCTCAGCCTCCCTACAGGTGCATACCATCATACCCAGCTAATTTTTGTATTTTTTTGTAGAGACAGGATCTCACCATGTTGCCCATGCTGGCAGAGCCTTATCTCCCTTTGTTTAGGCTGGAAATGTCAAATATTCACTTTCCCAGCTTCCTTGGTAACTAGGACATGGGAATATGTCCCATTTCTCCAAAAGTCTTCTGGGAAGAGCTTTTCTCTCTCTTAAAAAAAAAAAAAAAGTAATAGGTTCGTGAAAATGCCCCTCTTCTTCACTTGCCAGGCCCTTGGAAAACATTATCCCTTTTTATCCTCATAGCAACCCTATGAGGTAATTAATAATATCATGCCAAGTTTAAAAGTGGAGAAACTGAGGCTCAGAAAGGTGAATAACTTGACCAAGATCATATCTAATAAATGGTAGGGCCAAGATTTGAACCCAGATCTGTGTGACTCCTGTTATGGGTTGAATTGTGTCTCCCTAAAAAGATATGTTGAGGTCCTAATCCCCAGTACACAGAATGGGGCCTCATCCAGAAATAGGATCTCTACAGAGGTAATCAAGTTAAAATAGGGTCATTAGAGCGGGCCCTAATCTAATATGACCTGCCTAATTATAAAAAGGGGGAAATTAGTGCACAGAGACAGACACATGTAGAAGACAGTCTAAGGCATGCAGGGAGAAGACAGCCATGTGTCTGGAATGATGCATCTCTAAGCCAGGGAACTCAAGAATTGAATGTAAACACTGGAAGCCAGAGAAGGCAAGGAAAGATTCTCTTCCCATAGAGCTATCAGAAAGCATGACTCTGCCATTACCTTCATTTCAGATTTCTAGCCTCCATAACTATGAAACAATACATTTCTGTTGTTTGAAGCCACCTATTTTTTGTTTGTTCGTTTGTTTTTTCTCTTTGACAGAGTCTAGCTCCATCGCCCAAGCTGGAGTGCAATGGTATAATCATAGCTCACTGCAGCCTCAACCCTCTGGGCTCAAGCAATCCTCCTGTCTCAGCCTCCCAAGTAGCTAGAACTACAGGTGAGCTACCGCATGAGGTCCCATTTTTTGGTACTTTGTTGTGGCAGCCCTAGGGAACTAAAGCAACTCCCAAACTGTTAAAGAGATTATTATTAGAATGCCTCCCTGAAAATGTGCAAATTTAGATATGTTTGCCTGGGAATGGCACTGCAGTAGCAGAGACAATCCTAAAAAATAGTGATCATCTTGGCCGGGCATGGTGGCTCACACCTGTAATCCCAGCACTTTGGGAGGCGGAGATGGGTGGATCACTTAAGGTCAGGAGTTCAAGACCAGCCTGGCCAACATGGTGAAGCCCCGTCTCTATTAAAAATACCAAAAATTAGCCAGGTGTGGTGGCATGTGCCTGCAGTCACCTAGTCAGGAGGCTGAGGTGGGAGAATTATTTGAACCCGGGAGGTGGAGGTTGCAGTGAGCCGATTTCATGCCACTGCACTCCACCTGGGTGACAGAGCGAGACTCTGTCTAAACAAACAAAAAAAAAAAATAGTGACCATCTTCATGAAGGCACAAAGGCAGAGCCAGGCAAATCTGTATTGGCCTATTATGCGTGTCCGTGTAAAGAGACCACCAAACAGGCTTTATGTGAGCAATAAAGCTTTTTAATCACCTGGGTGCTGAGTCCAAAAAAGGAGTCAGCAAAGGGAGATGGGGTGGGGCAGTTTTATAGGATTTGGGTAGGTAGTGGAAAATTACAGTTAAAGGGGGTTTTTCCTCTTGTGGGCAGGGGTAGGGGTCACAAGGCGCTCGGTGGGGAGCTGCTGAGACTCACTGTCCAGGAGAAGGAATGTCACAAAGTCAGTTGATCAGTTAGGGTGAAGCGGGAACAAATCACAATGGTGGAATTTCATCAGTTAAGGCAGGAACTGGCCATTTTCACTTCTTTTGTGATTCTTCACTTGCTTCAGGCCATCTGGATGTATACATGCAGGTCACAGGGGATATGATGGCTTAGCTTGGGCTCAGAGGCCTGACATTCCTGTCTTCTTATATTAATAAGAAAAACAAAACAAAATAGTGGTGAAATGTTGGGGTGGCGAAAATTTTTGAGGGTGGTATGGAGAGATAATGGGTGATGTTTCTCAGGGCTGCTTCGAGCGGGATTAGGGGCAGCATGGGAACCTACAGTGGGAGAGATTAAGCTGAAGAAAGATTTTGGGGTAAGGGGTGATATTGTGGGGTTGTTAGAGAAGGAGCATTTGTCATATAGAATGATTAGTGATGGTCTGGATGCGGTTTTGTATGAATTGAGAAACTAAACAGAAGACACAAGGTCCAAATAAGAGAGGGAGGAAAACAGTTATTAAAGGACTAAGAATTGGGAGGACCCAGGACATCCAATTAGAGAGTGCCCAAGGGGGTTCAGTGTAATTATTTGCTTGGTTGGCGAGTTTTTGAGCTCTATCCTTGAGTTTTTTATGTTGTCATATACCAAGCCAGACTGATTTAGGTAAAAACAACACTCTACATTTAAAAATATACACAGTCCTCTTTCTTCAGCAGTGAGTAAGTCAAGGCCTTGGAGATTTTGGAGGAAAGAGAAATGCAAAGCCAGCAATTGTTTGTTAAAGAAGGATTAGAAATGGCTAGGAGAGAGTGAGTGAGATTGACAGTGTGGTGAAGATAGATGGGGAGAGTTAGAGGGTGGCATAAGAACGGGAATGAGAATAAGAGTGAGTATAAAAGTAAATAATATGACTTCATCAGGGTGAAAGCATTGGAGGGTGCCCTGTCAGCAAACATCATCTATCCTCTCCAAGAGGGAGTCAAGAGTGGTGGATTGGGGATAGTACCAGGAGATATCCGCTACGATGGTTTGGAGAAAAAGTGTAAACCGGCAGTGTAAACAGGGGCAGGGCATTTATGAGTAGTTGAGAATGGTGAATAGGAGTATGACGAGACAGAAGATAGTAGGGATGACAAGTTTTTGGGGTGCAGTCCAAGTAGTGGGGGTGACTGCAGTACTAGTACTGCTGCTGCCTGTCCTCTTAAACACTGTGGGGGGTCCAAAACTAGCTGTAACCAAGAATCTATATACGGAACTGATCTGGGTGCCCTGGCTTACAGTTTACCCTGTGCCATACCTTTGAAACAAGGGACCTGTCCAGGCTTCCTTCTGATGGCCAACCTATCTCTAATGCTGGCCAGTCTATCTCACACAAAGTTCTAAGTTTTCCGGGTGTCATAGTAACTCCATAGTCTCCCTTAAATCCCTTTTCGAAATTTTTCAACATAGTTCCTAGTGGGGTGGGCTTACTTTGTGCCTGACCCATGTTTCCTTGAGACAAAACACCATGCTTACACCACACGCACACCACAAAACAAAGAATGGGTAAAAAGGGCACACACGCACTGTTTCAGCTTACACCAAACCAGAATCAGAACCAAAATCAGAGTATCAGGAAATCCAAGCCAGGTCAAAAGCAAAACCAAAGTATCAAGCAATCCAAGTCAAGTCAAAAACAAAAACCAAAGTGCCGATACGGGCATGCCGTGGGTGATCAGGCCACGCTTCCACTCAAATGGAGTAGGCAAGTTCCAAAGACCAGACTTACCAAGTTACAGATGTCCGGACTCCAAGTGCCAGTTCCTTCCTGGTGTTCAGCCACTGCATTGATCCTCCACGGGGGCCTGCCACGTGCTGCTCTGAGGATGCATTCCACTGGGGCAATTGCCTACCTGGGAGCACTCTCAGGATCCGCATCACTCAAGCTGGCTGTAGTCCCCTGCAGGGATGCTCCACAGGACAGGCCTAAGCCACCTAAAGGGCTGCCTCGACAGTCCGTTAATCACCTTGCTTCCCAATCAGGGAACCAAGAAATGTAGCAGGACAAGCCGCAGACAAAACCCCTCAGACACCAAGTTAAAGAAGGAAGGGCTTTATTTGGCCAGGAGCTTTGGCAAGACTCACG
Organism: Homo sapiens; assembly: GCF_000001405.40. NCBI lineage: Eukaryota > Metazoa > Chordata > Mammalia > Primates > Hominidae > Homo > Homo sapiens. Next base: position 55,474,142 of record NC_000017.11, on the reverse strand, counting down.
TCTCCAACAACCAAGCTCCCTGAGTGAGCAATTCCTATCCCTTTTAAGGGCTTACAACTCTAAGGGGGTCCGCGTGAGAGGGTCGTGATTGATTGAGCAAGCAGGGGATATGTGACTGGGGGCTGCATGCACTGGTAATTAGAACAGAACAGAACAGGACAGGGATCTTCACAGTGCTCTTCTCATGCAAATAACTGATTAGGTCAGGGGCCGATCTTTAAACTACCAGGCCCAGGGTGACGCGCCGGGCTGTCTGCTTGTGGATTTCATTTCTGCCTTTTAGTTTTTACTTCTTCTTTCTTTGGAGGCAGAAATTGGGCATAAGACAATATGAGGGGTGGTCTCCCGCCTTATCTGGAACAAGGTTGGGGCCTAGCAAGAAAGTGCATCCATATAAAAGTTCAAATGGACTGTACCCTGCAGCACCTTGAGGACAGGCTCTAATTTTGAGAAAGGCAAGAGGTAAAAGTACTGTCCAATCCTTTGTAAGTTGGAGGCTGAGTTTGGTGAGGCGTGTTTTTAAAAGACCATTAGTCTGTTCTACCTTTCCTGAGGATTGAGGACGGTAAGGAGTAGGAAGGTTCCACTGAATACCAAGAGCCTGAAAAACTGCTTAGGTGATTTGACTAATAAAGGCCGGACCACTGTCAGATTGAATAGAAGTAGGGGGGCCAAATCAGGGAATTATATCTGTTAGAAGGGAAGAAATGACCGCAGTAGCCTTTTCGGAGCTAGTGGGAAAGGCGTCGACCCATCTGGTGGAGGTGTCGATCCAAACAAGCAGATATTTAAATTTACGGAAAGTCAATCTGCCAACCTTGTGTTGGAGTAAATCCACAAGCCTGATGCATAGGAAAAGGACAAGGCCTGAGAAAGCCTTGGGGGCTGGTGGCATGGCAGACAGAGCATTGAGAGGTGATGGTCTTAAGGATGAATTTCCATGAAGGGAAGGAGATGAGGGGCTGCAGGAGGCAAGCCAGAGGCTGGTATCCCACATGGAAGTGGTCATGAAGGGAAGAAAGAATGGACTGAGCTTGTGAGGCAGGAAGAGTGAATTTTCCATGATCTAAGAACCACTTGCCCTGAGTTGGAAAAGACTGGTAGAGCAGGTTTTCAGAAGAAGAGTAGGTGAGAGTGATAGAGGAGAAAGAAAAATACTAGCCTTCTGGAGTAGGGGCTGGAATATTAGCGGGTGTGGAGGCATTGGCTATTTCTTTTGCTATCCTGTCGGCAGAGGCATTTTCTTTTTTCTTTTCTTTTCTTTTTTTTTTTTTTTAAGACAGAGTCTCGCTCTGTCTCCCAGGCTGGAGTACAGTGGCCAATCTCGGCTCACTGCAACCTCCGCCTCCCGGTTTCAAGCAATTCTCCTGCCTCAGCCTCCCGAGTAGCTGGGACAGTTGTCCGCCACCACACCTGGCTAATTTTTGTATTTTTAGTAGATTCGGGGTTTCACCATATTGGCCAGGTTGGTCTCGAACTCCTGGGCTTGTGATCCGCCCGCCTCAGCCTCCCAAAGTGCTGGGATGACAGGCGTGAGCCACCAAGCCCGGCCAGCATAGGCATTTTCTTTTGCAATAAGATCAGTAGGTTTCTGGTGTCCTTTACAATGAATGACTCCTGCCTTGGCCGGCAGCAGAGCAGCCTTAAGGAGGGCCCTTATTAGGAAGGCATTGATACTGGAAGAGCCTTGTGTGATAAGGAAGCCTCTTTCAGCCCAGATGGCAGCATGGTTATGGAGGATGTGGAAAGCATATTTGAAGTCAGTATAAATGTTAATATGCATTCCTTTAGCGAGAGAGAGCACACGAGTTAAAGCAATCAGTTTGGCTTGTTGGGAAGTAGTGGAGGGAGGAAGTGCAGCAGCTTCGATAATGGAGGTGTGGGACATGACAGCATATCCAGCTTTAGCTGGTGAAAATTGATTGGGTTTAGAAGAACTGCCATCGATAAACCAAGTGTGGTCTAGGTTTGGAATTGGAAGAATAGAAATATGAGGAAAGGGGGAAGATGCTATGTGTATTAGTGAAATACAGTCATGTGGTTCAGTTGCGTTGGGTGCTAAGTGAGAAGCTGGGTTGAAATCAGGCCCATGGGTAATAGTTACTGTTGGAGTTTCAACAAAAAGTGAATAGAGCTGGAGGAGTCGAGGGGCAGACAATAAATATGACAGGTGCGATGAGGATATTAATGCTTGAAGGTTGTGAGAACTATAGAGGGTAAGTGGAGCATAGCCTGTGATTTTGAAGGCCTCTAGAAGTATTAAAGAGGCGGCTGCTGCCTCAGGCAGACACAGAGGCCAGCCCAGAACTGTGAGGTCAAGTTCTTTTGACAGAAAGGCAGCAGGTCATGGGCCTGGCTCCTGTGTGAGGACTCCAGCAGCACAGCCTTGTATGTCAGCTGTGGTAAGGAAAAAGGATGGGATGAGTCAAGGAGTCCTAGTGTAGGAACTGTCTCCAGGGCCTTTTCGAAAGAGTGAAAGGAAGAATTGGGAAAAGACTTAGGGTCTATGGGATCATTTAAGTTACCCTTTGTGAGCTTGTAAAGTGGTTTGGTTAGGATAGAAAAGCCTGGTATCTAGACTAGGAAATATCCAACAATGCCTAAGAAGGAAAGGAGTTGCTGTTTGGTGGTGGGGATTGGGGTCTGGGAGATTAACTGAACATGGTCTGCAGGAAGGGCATGTGTATGTTGATGGAGGATTATACTGAGATAGGTAACGCTAGGGGAAGAAATTTGTGCCTTGGAGGGGGATACTCAGTACCCCTTTGAGTAGAGATGTTGAAGAAGCAGGACAGTGTCCTGCTGGGAAGATTGGTAAGAGGGGCTGCAAAGAAGAAGATCATCAAAATATTGAATAAGATGGGAGGCAGACAGGCGAAAAGAAAGCAGATCATGAGAAAGGGCCTGGCCAAAGTAGTGTGGCCTGTCCCTGAAGCCTTGGGGCAGAACAGTCCAGGTGAGTTGTTGGGATTGGTGGGTGTCAGGGTCAGTCCAAGTAAAGGCGAAAAGAGGCTGGGAGGAGAGATGCAAGGGGATAGTAAAGAAGACGTCTTTGAGGTCAATAACAGAATAGTGAGTTGTGGGAGGGGGTATTGAAGATAGGAGGGTGTACGGATTTGGCACTATAGGATGGATGGGAAGGACGATTTGATTAATAAGGTGAAGATCCTGAACCAACCTGTAAGACTTGTCCAGTTTCTGGACGGGTAGGATGGGGGAGTTGTAAGGAGAATTTGTAGGCTTTAAGAGGCCATGTTGTAACAGGCCAGTGGTAACAGGCTTTAACCCTTTTAAAGCCTGCTGTGGGATGGGATATTGGTGTTGAGCAGGGTAAGAGTGATTAGGTTTTAATGGGATGATAAGGGGTGCATGATCGGTCACCAAGGAGGGAATAGAGGTGTCCCATACTTGCGGATTAAGGTAGGGAGACACAAGGGGAGGATGCAAAATAGGCTTTGAACTGGGGAAAAGGGCAGCAATGTGGTGTGGCTGTAGTCCAGGAGTAGTCAGGGAAGCAGATAATTTAGTTAAAATGTCTCAACCTAATAAGGGAGCTGGGCAAGTGGGGATAATTAAAAAGGAGCACATAAAAGATGTTGTTCAAGTTGGCACCAGAGTTGGGGAGTTTTAAGAGGTTTAGAAGCCTGGCCATCAATATCCACAATAGTTGTGGAGGCAAGGGAAACAGGCCCTTGAAAAGAAGGTAATGTGGAGTGGGCAGCCTCTGTATCGATTAAGAAGGGGACAGACTTACCCTCCCACTGTAAGAGTTACCCAAAGCTCGGCATCTATGATGGTCCAGGGGGCTTCCAAGGCGATCAGGCAGTGTCAGTCTTCAGCCACTAAGCAGAGAAGATCTGGGAAGTAGTCAATCAGAGAGCCTTTGGGATCGGTGGGGAAGGAGTCAGTCAGAGAGTCTTGGGCCAGAGTTCCAGGGGCTCTGGGAGTGGCTGCTGGGCAAGATGGACAGTCCGATTTCCAGTGGGGACCTGCACAGATGGGACATGGCTTAGGAGGAATCCTGGGCTGCTGGCATTCCTTGGTCCAGTGGCCAGATTTCCGGCACTTGAAGCAAGATCCTGGGGGAGGAGGTCCTGGAGGAACGCCTGGCCGCTGCAGTTTAGGTGTTTTGAAGTTGTGGTTTTTTTTTGTTTTTTTTTTAGATGGAGTTTCACTCCAGTCGCCCAGGCTGGAGTACAATGGCACAATCTCAGTTCATCACAACCTCTGCCTCCCAGGTTCAAGTGATTCTCCTGCCTCATCCTTCCAAACTGGGACTTGGGACTACAGGCATGTGCCACCATGCCCGGCTAATTTTTGTATTTTTAGTGGAGATGGGGTTTCACCATCTTGGCCAGGCTTGTCTCGAACTCCTGACCTCATGATCCGCCTACCTCGGCCTCCCAAAGTGCTGGGATTACAGGCGTGAGCCACTGCACTTGGCCTTTGAAGTTCTTGTGTGCTGGAGATGTGGCTGGGGTTTTTCTCACAGTGGAGGCAAGTAATTGCAACTCAGAAATACATTGTTGCTTGGCTGTCTCTTCTCTATTATTGTACACCTTAAAGGCAAGGTTAATTAAGTCCTGCTGTGGGGTTCAAAAGCTGGAATCTAATTTTTGGAGCTTTTTCTAATGTCAGGAGTGGACTGGGTGATAAAATTCATATTGAGAATAAGATGGTCTTCTGGCCCCTCTGGGTCTAGGGTGGTAAAGCACCTAAGGGTTGTTGCCAAATGGGTCATGAACTGGGCTGGCTTTTTATATTTGATGAAAAAGAGCCTAAATGCTGATTTGGGAGAGGTTGGATAAAGAAAAAGCAGCATTAACCTTGACTATGCCTTCAGCTCCAGCCACCTCTGTCAGAGGCAATTTTGGGGCAAGTGGGGAAGAGCTAGTCGCGGAACGAAACTGTAAGCCAAACTGGGTGTAAGGAGGGGAGGTGATAGAAGGATTATAGGGTGGGGGAGTGGAGGCTGAGGAAGAATTGGGCCTGGTGAGGAGCAGCCTGGGGAGGAGGGGAGAGGTCAGATTTGTCTGTAGAAAAGGAGGATTCAAAGGACTCAGAACTTGGGGTGGAGACTGAAGGAACAGACAGGAGAGAAAGAAGAAAGATTTGGGACGAGTCTCATTGGGAGCAGAGACTAGGGAGGGACTGACGTGTAAAGAATGCCTGGACGTCAGGCACCTCAGACCATTTGCCCATTTTACGACATACATTATCTAGATCTTGTAGGATGGACAAATCAAAAGTGCCATTCTCTGGCCACTTGGAACTATTGCCCAGTTTGTATTGGGGCCAAGCGGTATTACAGAAGAAAAGAAGACATTTAGGTTTTAGGTCAGGTGTTAGTCGAAGGGGTTTTAGGTTTTTAAGAACACAGGCTAAGGGAGAAGAAGGGGGAATGGAGGGCGGAAGTTTGCCCATAGTAAGGAGGTAAGTTTAAAGAGAAAGGTAGAGACACGGAGAAGGGGGCGGGTGAGCCACCCTAGGCTGTAATGTGGGTGAGCATCCAAAGCAGGCATCCCAGCAATTGACTTGCCACCAAGGGAATGTGGTGAGTGGGTGAATGACCAAGGCAGGCATCCCCACGGTGATCAGACACCAGTGAAATGTGGGTGAATGATCAAGGCAGGCGTCCCCGCTATAATCAGACACCAACGGAAGGCTGTCTTCCCAAATCCGTGACCGACGTCGGAGTTTTTAAGTTGACGGATAAAATGTGTCTCCTTTGTCTCTACTAGAGAGGAAAAAAGAACTGGAATTGGAAGGACAGTGAGATTGAAGGGTAGCAAGAGAGGCTGGAGAAGAGAATGAAGAGACTGCTTACCCGATTTGAAATCAGTGAGATGTTCCTTGGGCTGGTCTGAGGACCTGAGGTCATAGGTGGATCTCCTCACGGAGTGAGGGCGAAGACAGGGGACCGGTCTCCCGAAGGAGTCCTTCTGTCCCAGGTCTTTGGCACCAAATGTTACACGTGTCCGTGTGAAGAGGCTTTGTGTGAGCAATAAAGCTTTTTAATCACCTGGGTGCAGGTGGACTGAGTCCAAAAAAGGAGTCAGCAAAGGGAGATAGGAGTGGGACAGTTTTGTAGGATTTGGGTAGGTAGTGAAAAATTACAGTCAAAGGGGCTTTTTCTCTTGTGGGCAGGGGCGGGGGTCACAAGGTGCTCAGTGGGGAGCTCCCGAGACTCACTGTCCAGGAGAAGGAGTGTCACAAGGTCAATTGATCAGTTAGGGTGGGGCGGGAACAAATCACAACAGTGGAATGTCATCAGTTAAGGCAGGAACTGCCTATTTTCACTTCTTTTGTGGTTCTTCAGTTGCAGGTCACAGGGGATATGATGGCTTAGCTTGGGCTCAGAGGCCTGACATGGCCCAGCAGGAAAGCCAGGTTGCAGCAGAGACAATCGCAAACTCAACCTGCATTTATCAAACTAAAAATATGGTTGGCCGAGTGCGGTGGCTCACGCCTGCAATCCCTGCACTTTGGGAGGCCGTGGCAGGCGGATCACGAGGTCAGGAGATCGAGACCATCCTGGCTAACACAGTGAAACCCCGTCTCTACTAAAAATACAAAAAATTAGCTGGGCATGGTGGCCGGCGCCTGTAGTCCCAGCTACTTGGGAGGCTGAGGCAGGAGAATGGCATGAACCTTGGAGGCGGAGCTGGCAGGGAGCCGAGATCACGCCACTGCACTAGAGCCTGGGTGACAGAGCGAGACTCTGTCTCAAAAAAAAAAAAAATATGGTCAAAAGTGCTTCCTATATAAGGCTCCAACACGCTTTGAGGTTGGTGTCTCTGTTTTCATCCTATAGGTGATGGAACTGACTGGCCCCAATAGAAATTAGACTGACAGCTAATAAAAAGAAGCTTTTGAATCTATAGCTCTTAACAAGCCCCACTGCTCTTTCTGCCTGCTGTGGCTTACTGTCATGGGAAACCATCCTTAGGGACATTTCGTGGCCTCTGGATGTGGGCAGACATTATAACAAACACTGTGTAAGTATATTTGCCTCATCCTTTGTGTTTCTATTTGGAGCAAGTTTTGGTTTTATTGTTGTTGTTGTTGTTTTTTCTTTTTTCGGACTTAATTGGTGAGTGTAACGAATTGCAGTTCCTCTGTATGTTGTCTCAGAACACTCAACTGCATCTCCCTGATGGCCTCATTTCCCCCTTCTGTTACTATGCATTCCACTGCAGCAGAGCTAGTAATTGCAACTAATTAACTTAAGAATAGCCTTGAGATAAAAACAAAAGCACTTACACGGAGCAAGTCAGCAGGTTGGACTTACGCAAAAGAACTTGCTGCTTAAGAGGAAACTGAACTTTGGCTTCCAGCCCTTGGCACCTCCGATACCACCAAGTCCATGAACTGTGGCTTTTCTGTTGAGCAGACCCGGGGTGCTTCCTATACAGCTGAGAGAATCACTTCAATGAAAGCTCCTCCTCCTGCCCACTCTCTCGGCCTGGAAAGGAACAGGAACGTTGTGGATCATCACCACTCAGGGTGCGATGAAGAGGAGCTCCGAAATGAAGAAAATGGAAGATGACAACTCAAGCTACAGGTTCTGTGCTTGAGAACTCCAAGAGGAAAGGAATATGATGTCTGGACTTGTCCTTATTCATCATTTAGCTCAACTTTTCAGAATGTGATTATTTGTAACTTCTTTTGTCCTACATTTATCATGGACCCCTGCTTGGTAACCTGCAAACTCCCACACGTAGCATCTAAATTTCTCCATACGCTGGCCCTAACTTCTCATTCAAACCAGACTCCAGCCGCTCCCAAACTTGAAGCCTCCCTTCTAACCAAATGACTCCAAAATATGTGTGGCACTTTCTTTTTTTTTTTTTTTTTTTTTTTTTGAGACGGAGTCTTGATCTTGTTGCCCAGGCTGGAGTACAGTAGTGCAATCTCAGCTCACTGCAACCTCTGCCTCCCAGGTTCAAGCGATTCTCCTACCTCAGCCTCCCTAGTAGCTGGGATTACAGGTGCCCGCCACCATGCCAGGCTAATTTTGCATTTTTAGTAGAGACAGGGTTTTACCATGTTGGTCAGGCTGGTCTTAAACTCCCAACCTCAGGTGATCCGCCCACCTCGGCCTCCCAAAGTGCTGAGATTACAAGCGTGGTGAGCCACCATGCCCTGCCAGCACTTTCTTATCTTCCTGTCTCCTGGCTCAAAGCACTTCCCTACTGGAATCCCATTATAACAAAATATAGGTGAAAGGGCACCCATCCTGCAGTCCAGTGGATCTAAATCACCTATGCAGAGACTGGCTTCATCAAAACCATCTAAGGACCTTATTAGAGACTCTGAGCTCTACTGCTAGATGGTTCTCCTGCACAGCCAAGTTTGGGAACCCCTAATAGCCCAAACTCACTTGGCCAGTGCAGAACTCTCCTCTATACCATTCTAAGACACAGAAACCAGTCTCTGCTTGAACATTCACTGTGGTCTGGAAATCACCACCTGATGAAAGAACTTAATTCCATTTTTAAACAAAGCTAATTGTCAAAAATTTATGCCATGTGTTGAGGCAATGTCATCTTCTCTGCATATCCCACTATTTGACCTAATTCTGTCATATGCATCTACCCAACATAAGCACAATAACTCCTCCAACAGCAATTGTTCAAATATCTAAAGATAGACATAATATCCCATACACACCACACCCCAACTCCTAAGTCTTCAAATCTTCTGGCTAAACCACTCTAATTCCTCCAAATGTAAATGATAATTGCTCATCATGATCATAGTCCTTGGCATAATCCATGAAATAGATACTATTATTATTTCCATTACATAGACAAGTAAACTGAGGCTGTGAGAAGTTAAATAACTTCCCCAAGGTGACATAGTAAGTGTCAGAACTTGGGTCTGAATAAGCCTGTCTGACTCCAAAATGATATTATTACACTTTACTGTGCTGTCCCTAATTTGTTCATTTTGTTTGAACAGTCTCCAATTTTAATATTGCTCATTCAATGTCGTACTCAGAATGGAGCAGATTGTTTATGAACTTGTCTGCCCAACACAGAGCACAGAGCTCTCTTGCTGCCCACTGTACACTTCTATTCATGTAGTCCGAGATGATCTTGGTATTTCCCGGCAGCTCCATCACACAGTCGACTGATATCAATTAAAATGCTTCAATTTATTTTCAGGTGAACTGCTATAAAGTCAGGTATTATTTCCATTTTATCAATTGCCTATGGTTTGCAAATCCAAGAACTATGGACTAAAGATACTGGAATGGATACAATGTTAAGACAAGGCACACCTGCTCTCAAAGGAGCGAATGAAAGAAAAGGGAAGGAAAAGATTGAGTGGAAAAGATTAGGGAACTGGTTCCCATCTTTATCAATAGCATTTGTGTAACTGTCAGGTGGAGAGAGCTTAGGGAGGCCCAATCCTTTTTCAACTCTGTGATAATTGTTACTTTGTGACTATGTAATCCCTATAACTAGAGCCTGAACAGAAGAACAGATCAGATGCTTAAAGCTACCATTCTATGTTTCTTATCCTGTGCCTTTTAAACCTGAGTTGAAGACTTTCCTTCTGTGTGTACTGAGTTATACCTTATGTATTTATCTTGTGAGCCTTGGCCCATCTTTCCAAACTCTAGAATTTTTTTTTTTTAATTTTGTTTTTTAACCTGATTCTGTCATACAATGTCTTGGTCAACACTACCAGATCTGAACATCCTACAAGTGGAATTAACATGCCCTCTATGTTCCAGATGAAAGCACTGAATGGGAACTGACCCTAGACAAGTAGCACTGCAATAGATACAAGCTCAATTCAGGAAAGGCCTAGGTCGAGCTTGTTCATTAACTGTCCATCACATGGCACAGGGCTCCACGTGGAATCAATACCATATTGAGCCTTGTATAAATCAATCAATTAATTAATTAAGATCCTTCTCCAGTTTCAAGCCATAGAATAGTAGAATATCCTAGGTGGACATGACCTGAAAAGTCATTTAACATCCTCTTTTTTGTTTTGTTTTGTTTCATTTTTTTGAGACAGGGCCTTGCTTTGTCACCCAGGCTGGAGTGCAGTGGCGTGATCTCAGATCACTGCAACCTCTGCCTCCTGGGTTCAGGCAATTCTCATGCCTCAGCCTCTCGAGTAGCTAGGATACAGGAACATGCCTCCACACCAGGCTAATTTTTGTATTTTTAGTAGAGTCTGGGTTTTGCCATGTTGATCAGGCTAGTCTTGAACTCCTGGCCTCAAGTGATCCCCCTGTCTTAGCCTCCCAAAGTGCTGAGATTACAGGTGCCCGGCCTTCAACATCCTCTTTTCTTATAGTCAGAAAATGAAACCCCAAAAGGAGCAACTAGTGACCTCAAGTACCTACTTTGGGGAGAAAAAAAAACACAGATTACCCAGGCTTCCTGTTTCTGAATGCAGAGCACTTTCCACCATACCAACCCACGGACTTACTAATCAACATTCTCCTATTATATTTGTCTACCCTTTAACTGTACTACAGTAGTCCCCTCTTATTCTCAGTACAGTATAATAAGAGACCACATTTACGTAACTTTCATTACAGAATATTGTTATATTATTATTATTTAGAAACAGGGTCTCGCTCTTGTCACCCAGGCAGGAATGCAGTGGCAAAGTCATAACTCTGCTGCCTCAAACTCCTGGGGTCCAGCAATCCTCTTGCCTCAGCCAAGTAACTGAGTTACAGGCTTGTGCCACCATGGCTGACAATTTTTTTTATTTCTTTTTTTAGGGATGGGTTCTCACTATGTTGCCCAGGCTGGCTTTGAATTCCTAGGCTCAAGCAATCTTCCCACCTCAGCCTCCCAAAGTGCTGGGATTACAGGTGTGAGCCACCGTGTCCGGCCTTATTATTAGTTATTGTTATTAGTCTCTTACTGTGCCTAATTTATAAATTAAGCTTTATCATAGACATTATGTATAGGAAAAATAATAGTATATATTGAGTTCAGAACTACATAAAGTTTAAGGTATCCACTGGAAGTCTTAGAACATACCCCTGAGGATAAGGGGTGGGGGGCAGTTATGTATTATTACATAGCCTGGAGGATCATGTGGAACTCCAATTAGAAAAGAAAAAATACCTTTTCCTTCTGACTCAGAGGCCAAATGTTCTTGGGTAAATGAAGATAAATCCCCAGCTTAGATATCAAATTTATCATCATGTGGGAAAGGCCTCTTTAACAGAGAGTTTTCCAGCTTTCTGGGGGTTGGGAGGAGTCTTCTATCATTCCTCAGACACAGTAATTGGCCTTCAAAGGACCTCTCCACATCTGAGGCTCATAACCCCAGAGGCCTGAGTATTCTGTCTCTGGGCCTGACCTATTTTAGATTGTGCATTCTAACCCACAGTAAATATTAAAGTGTTATGAATTGTTGAGCACCTAACAAGTGCTAGTCCCTTAAAAAACTAAAGTATGGCTTTAGTTCTTTATTTCAAATCCTCATGACAACGCTGCATGCCAGATTTTTAAAAATTTGTATGTATTTATTTATTTTTATTTATTTATTTAGAGACATAATCTCACTCTGTTGCCCAGGCTGGAGTGCAGTGGTTCTGTCATAGCTCACTGCAACTTCAAATTCCTAGGCTCAAATGATCCTCCCACTTCAGCCTCCTGAGTTACTAAGACTACAGGCACATGCCACCTGGCTAATTTTTTAAATTTTTGTAGGGATGAGGTCTTGCTACGTTGCTAAGGCTGGTCTTGAATTCCTGGCCTCAAATGATCCTCCTGCCTTGGCCTCCCAAAGTGCTGAGATTACAGGCATAAGCCACCATGCCCTGCACATGGCAGCTTTTATTAGCCCATTTTTCAGATGAGGAAATGAACAGCCAGAGGTTAATTAACTTAATGCTTATATTAACTTTATATACTTCTTATTAAGTATTAATAAGTATTAATTAACTTAATACTTATATTAACTTCATACTTTTAAGTATTAAGTGGGGAAGTCAATATTCAAACCCAAGTCTATCCATCTAAAACCAAGATTTAATCCAAGGCCATACACTTTCCACAACATCAAACTGCTTGCCCTAAAATCTGTCCAAAATTATTTCAAGCTAGACCTTTAACTATCTTCTTAACAAGTTACCCAGAAAAATATGAATTTGCCTATCACCATATCTACAATCTTTCCCATTTGTTACTCCAGATCAGTGGCTCAGTGGATCCCTAATGTAACCTACATTTGCAGCCTTCTTCCGTAAGAATTCTCTGCCCTGAATTGTTCTATTGACTAACCACATTACAGAATCAAAAACAGTATGATTTCAAGGAGACATTTAACTCATTCAATACCACCACTGGTGGGAGTCTGTACTTTCTGGTTTTTGGTTTTTGTTTTTGCTTTTTTGCCTCATTAAAGAAATGAAGATCATAAAAATGAATTATGTTTTTCTGGAAATTCATAGAAATGTGTTTGCTTTCTGTGTTTAAATATACAGTATAATTTATACATAAATAATTTACTTATGTTTTTTCTTTGTTTTTGTATTTGTTTTTGTTTTTTTGAGACAGGGTTTCACTCTGTTGTCCAGGCTGAAGTGCAGTGGCATGATCACAGCTCACTACAGCCTGGCACTCCTGGACTCAAGCAACTCTCCTGCTTCTCTATAATCAGTCCTCTTCCCCACCACAGTCCCTGGCAATCACTGATCTGATTTCTGTCCCTATAGTTTCACCTTTTCCAGAATGTCCTGTAAATGGGATTGTACAGTACATAGCCTGTTGAGTATGGCTTTTCCATTTAGTATTATGTGTTGAGATTTATCCATGTTGTTGCATGGATAATCATTTCTTTTTAGCAAGGATATTTTGAGAGTGTATAAGCAAGAGAAAAGACAGAAGGAAGAAAAATAGGACAATGCTTTGGGGGAGTAAGGTGATGTTGAGTCAAGAATCAGGTGTTTGGAAAATTGAACGCACTCAAAATATGGTGCAAATAATTATTGTAGATTTTTTCCCAAAGTCTAATGTACACAAATCTCTCCCTTCTACCTCTCCTGGGCTTTAGGTTAGAGTTAATTATACTTCTCAGTTCCCAATATCTTATTACCTTCAGTCTGTGCAAGGCCACACTCCTGCTTAATTTTATTATGTTTCTTAAGTTATTCTCTACACAAGTACAAATCTCCTTCTCCCAGATTTTCTCTTTAGCTCACTTGTTCACTATATGTGCTTAGGTACACATGGATTCTTAAATCCTACATAGTGCTAATTCATGTATTTATGGTTTTTTTTGTTTTTGTTTTTTTGAGACAGGGTCTCACTCTGTCACCCAGGCTGCAGTGCAGTGGCACAGTCTCGGCTCACTGGAAGCTCCGCCTCCTGGGTTCACGCCATTCTCCTGCCTCAGCCTCCCGAGTAGCTGGGACTACAGGCACCCACCACCATGCCCAGCTAATTTTTTTGTATTTTTTAGTAGAGATGGGTTTCACCGTTTTAGCCAGGATGGTCTCGATCTCCTGACCTCGTGATCTGCCCGCCTCGGCCTCCCAAAGTGCTGGGATTACAGGCGTGAGCCACTGCTCCCGGCCTATTTATATGTTTTAAATTTACGTAAATGGTATTTTATGCCATTACATAAATGGCATCAAGCTTGTGCTGTTTTGTTTTCACTTAGCATTATAGCTTTTTTGTTGTTGTTGTTCTTTTTTTTTGTTTTGTTTTTTGTTTTTTGTTTCCAGACAGAGTCTCACTCTTGTCGCCCAGGCTGGAATGCAGTGGCACAATCTAGGGTCACTGCATCCTCTGCTGCCCAGATTCAAGCGATTCTCCTGCCTCAGCCTCCCAAGTAGCTGGGATTACAGGCACCTGCCACCGCACCTGGCTAATTTTTGTAGTTTTAGTAGAGACAGGGTTTCACCATCTTGGCCAGGCTGGTCTTGAACTCCTGACCTTGTGATCCACCTGCCTCGGCCTCCCAAAGTGCTGGGGTTACAGGCGTGAGCCACCATGCCTGGCCAGCATTATGTTTTTAAGATCTATGGATGATGAGTTAACAACATATAGGACTTTGAAAACTGCAAAGACCTCTACAAATGTTACTACTACTAGTAGTGATAATAATACATAGTAACAATTTGTTCAATAAATATTTTTATGTTATTTATTTATTTGAGAAACAGGGTCTCACTCTGTTGCCCAGGCTGAGTGCAGTGGTGCTATCATAGCTTACTACAGCCACCAACCCCTAGGCACAATCCCCCTGCCTTAGCCTCCAAAGTCGCTGGGATTATAGGCACATGCCACCATGCCTAGCTTTTTATTTTATTTTTTGTAGAGACAGGGTCTTGCCATACTGCCAAAGCTGGTCTCGAATTTCTGGGCTCAAGCGCGCCTCCTGCCTTGGCCTCCCAAAGTGCTCCGATTACAGTTGTGACCATGCCCAGCCAAGAAATCATTTTTAGCATCTATTCTAGGCATGTTGCTAAACCTTTGGGGTAGAGAAATCATTTTAAAGGACATAGTTCCTTATGAAGGAAGACAGTAAACAAATAATTGCATAATCAACTATATAAATATGATAGCAGTAAGTCTAAAATTGTAAAGAACTGAACAGTATGAGGATTTCTAACAGTAGACCTACCCTCACCTTGAGATTCAGGGACAACTTCCCTGAGGCAAGGATAGTTATGCCAACTTTTGTCCCTTAAATTCAAATTCATAAAAGACCCATATATGCCACACATATTGGACATATACCAAATAGGTTTTGCCATATTTTCAGAAGGATAAATTTGAACAACAACAAAAAAAATCTAGGACCTAGCTGCAGAAAATTTGATCCAATGACTCTCTGGAGAGATGACTCAAGCCCAGGTCACCTAGAGATGACTTAGAACAACACAAAACATTCAAAACCGAATTAATCAATGGTGTGAGTCAACTTCTTATTCTGAAATGGGAATCCCCCTCTCAGGGCGTGTGATGGGGGTGGGGCTCGCATCTTCAGTGCCCCGCTGCTCAAACCTCTAGGGAAGCATACACACGGACAGGCTGTGGGGCTCCGACCCCATGGCAGTGTCTAGGGATGAATGTTAGTAGTGTATAGGGGTGAATGTTGACAGCTCCTGAGGCCCCAGTGGGCGTGTGTTACAGGGTGCTCTCAGTTTGCCATCTACAGACCACTTGAATTAACCAGCTCAATTAGACCCTCTTCCTTATCACAAGGACAGAGGGATTTCTGTACCCCGGGGTTTCTTGCCTTGGTGTACTGGAAGAAGCAAATCACACGTGGGCTTGGAGAATGAGTGTAAAATTTTATTGCGTGGAGGTAGCTCTCAGCGGACGGAGGATCCACAAGGGAGGTAGTCTTCCCCTGCAGTTGGGCCTCTCAGCAGCCCGGCTGTCCTCCCACTGCCCTGGCCAGACTGCCCTGGCCAGACTCCACTGCCTGCGGGCATGCTCTTCGGCCGCAGAGGAGGCATGCTCTTCTGCGAGCTCTTCTCAACGACCAGCTGCTTGTGTCTTCTTCAGCCGACGTGCTCCTTTTGATGTGTGGCTGCCCGCTAGGATGTGTGTGTGGTACGGGGCGGGGGGTGGGGGTGGAGAACGGTTATTATAGGTACAGGATGGGGCGTGGCAGGCCAGGGTGGTGTCGGGAAATGCAACAGTTGGGCAGGAAATGTCTGTCCTCACCTAGGTCCGTGGGGTGGATCCCTAACAAGGGACCACGCCCTCCTCTACCCTGCACTTCCCTTCCCCGGTTTCCTATTATTTAAAGAGACCAGGGTCTTCCCTTCCCAGCACTCCCATATTAATTCCACGCAAGTGGAAGTCACCAACAGCTACACCAGCATTGTCAGAAGGAATATTAATTAAACTGCTGTCGCTGCAGATTGTGACTGGGGGCCTGTTTGCTTGGATGTAGGAACAATTGGAGAAAGTGAGTAATAGAACATCCAGATAGCGGATCATGTCATTATTCTTGGTTTTACTGCTGAACTACACCAAATAATTGGTTCTAAAGAGAGAACAATAATCCAGGTTCACAATACAGAATTTATACCCCCAAACTAAGTAGTATATATTGCATTCATCTCCCTTTAATGTAAAGTAGGAAGGAGAAACAATAGAGAAAAGACACACTCTAAAAGCGGAGAGCACATACTCGCATGAAAATGTTCAGCTAGCAGGCAAATCCCAATTCTGTACCTCCACTAATCTCAAGAACAGGCATCATCCTTTGGATTAATGACATAGTCAAGTATTTTTCCCTTTAGTGAGATAGCCAGATAAAGATCTCTACAGATGTCAACATTTTTTTATTTTTTTAATTAACAAAAGGCCGGCGCGGTAGCTCAAGCCTTTAATCCCAGCACTTTGGGAGGCTGAGGTGGGGGGATTGCCTGAGGCCAGGAGTTCGAGACCAGCCTGGCCAATATAGTGAATCCCGTCTCTACTAAAAATACAAAAATTAGCTGGGCATGGTTGTGGGCGCCTGTAATCCCAGCTACTCGGGAGGCTGAAGCAGGAGAATGGCTTGAACCCGGGAGGCGGAGGTTGCAGTGAGCCAAGATCGCACCATTGCACTCCAGTCTGGACAACGAGAGCAAAATTCCGTCTCAAAAACAAAAAATAAAAATAAAAAAAATTTTTTTAAAGATCTCGAGAGCTGTCAATTTTATTTTATTCTATTCTTTTTTTTTTTTTTTTTTTGAGACGGAGTTTCACTCTTGTCACCCAAGCTGGAGTGCAATAGTGAGATCTCAGCTTACTGCAACCTCTGCCTCCTGGGTTCAAGCAATTATCCTGCCTCAGCCTCCTGAGTAGCTAGGACTACGGGTGCACACCACCATGCCCAGCTAATTTTTTTTGTATTTTTAGTAGGGATGGGGTTTCACCATATTGGCCAGGATGGTCTTGGTCTCCTGACCTCGTGATCCGCCCGTCTCAGCCTCCCGAAGTGCTGGGATCACAGGCATGAGCCACCACAACTGGCCCATTTATATATTTTCTAATAAGGCAGATTTATTTGAAAACTGCCTGGTTTATCCTTTTATCCTTTCCCAATCTACTCTTATGACCATGAATTAATCTCACAAAAATCTGTGTCCTCATGTTTGAGGAAAAACATTACATTATAACTGCTTACCCATTCGCAATCCTCTCACACAGGAAATCTGAAATCACTAACTGCTATGTAGGATTTATCAAAATGCTGGATGTTTAATGGTGCCTAAAAGACTAAAGGGCATGGCCTATTTTGAATGTACTTTGAAAGCCTCTCAATTTGCCTTTTTAATGTGTTGACATGAGTGGAGATTTAACACCAAGGGTGACCTGAAAGTAATGAAACTTATAATTAAGTCCCAAGAGAAAACCCACATAATTATTTTTTAGTATTCACCTTCCTGTTTGAATATGATTCACATTGAAAAATATTTATTGAACCTTCCTACTATATTCAAGAGAAACACAAACAAACACAGACTTAAACAGCCAAGTTCTTAATCTTGGGCCCTTAAACAGACTGTTTAACAATCACATTGTCCTTGAATGCCCATATCTCTAAATTAATTTGCGGAAAATTAGGGCTCAGGGCTTTCTTCAGATTCTCAAAGGCATCTGTGGCCTTAAGAAATTTAGGGATCACTGTCCTGGTTGTGCAATAAGTCATATGGAAGAATTGATGGATAGGTTTGTCTACTGTGGGAAAAAAGATGGAATGATAAATTGTTAAAGGTGAATTGGTACTTAAAAATCATCTAATCTGAATCAGACTTCTGTGCTTTACAGATGAGAAAACTGAGGCACAGCAGGGAAAGGTGACTTGCCCCTAGTACAGGAGACAATTAAGAATGGGCCGTAGCCCTCATTCTGGAACTATGGATGTGACTTGTATAGGGAAAATTAACTGCCATAAAACAATTACAGGAGAAGAAGCAAAAGAGTCCCTTTGCTTGGGAGGAACAAGAAAAGACCTGATGAGGGATATGGACTTTGAAACAGTTTCAAATGATCCTTTTTTTTTTTTTTTTTTTTTTTTTTTTTGAGACAGTTTTGCACTTGTTGCCCAGGCTGGAGTGCAATGGTGCGGTCTTGGCTCACTGCAACCTCCGCCTCCTGGGGTCAAGCTTTTCTCCCACCTCAGCCTCCCAGGTAGCTGGGATTACAGGTGCGTCCTACCACACTCAGCTAATTTTTGTATTTTTAGTAGAAACAGGGTTTCACCGTGTTGGCCAGGCTGGTCTCAAACTCTTGACCTCAAATGATCCATGTGCCTCGGCCTCCCAAAGTGCTGGGATTACAGGTGTGAGCCACCGCACCCAGCATGTTTTTTTTGTTTTTGTTTGTTTGTTTGTTTGTTTTTGTTTTTGAAACAGCTCTCCTTCTGTCACCCAGGCTGGAGTGCAGTGGCATGATCACAGCTCACTGCAGCCCGAACCTCCCGAATTCAAGCAATCCTCCCACTTCAGCCTTCCTGGAGTTGCTGAAACCACAGGCATGCTCCACCATGACTGGCTAATTTTTTTGATTTTTCGTAGAGACGAGGTCTCACTATGTTGCCCAAGCAGGTCCCAAACTCCTGGGCTCAACTGATCCTCCCACCTTGGCCTCCCAAGTTGCTGAGATTATAGGCATGAGCCACTGCACCCAGTCTCAAATGATATTAATAGATTTTAAGCGATTACGGAAGGCTAAGGTGACAGTGGATGGAATATGAGTGTCATCTAGGGAGAAAAAGCACAAAGCTAAGAATGTATGAATCCTGTTTGAACAACAGTGTGGGGAGGGGGGCAGCGTGGGGGTGGTGGGAGAGGAATAGAAGGAGATGAAATGAGGCCAGAGAGATAGGTGGCAATCCTGTTGCGAAAGGCATCGGAGACCAGATGAGGATTTACACTCTATACACAACACGGGTTAAAGAATCCACAAGCTACCATGTATTCCCTATCATATTTCCAAAGCCTTCTTTAAATGCTTGCACTTACTCAGCATTGGCAAACACTCATAAACACTGCTGGTGGGCTGTAAATCAGTACAACCTCTCCAGAGGGAAATTTGGAAATCAGTATCAAAATGCTTTGAAAAGGGCATAGCTTTTGACTGAGCAATGTCTCTTCCAGGAATTTATTCTAAGTAAACAATAATGAATGTGCACAGATAGTTCTCTCTAAGACTATCCATTGCAGTGTTTGTTCTAGTAATGAATAATGCAAAATTGCCTAATGCCCACACATAGGGAATACATTAAATTATGGTATCTCTTCACGATGAAAAAAAATATGGTCATTAAATCTCATGTTGTAGAACAGTAGTCACTGGCATGGGAAAATATTTATGATGCATCGTGAAGATTTTAAATTTGTTTTGATTATTTTACCTTCTGTATTATGTTTTCCTCAAATAAGAAGCCAGAGGTTTTAAACTTGCCTGTGCAAGTTTATCTTGCTTTATTTCACTAAAAATGTATTGTAAGCATAGAAAGCCCATAACACACTTTTTTAAAGCAAGTTTCACAGCAGTACGTATACTATCATCATTAATGTAAAAGGCGTGTAAATACATGTATATAGACTCAAAGGATACTCATTAAAATGTTAATGAGTGGTTATCCCCAGTTGTTAAATTAACATTAAAAATTTTTACTTTCTGTTGATCTATGTTTTCTAGGTCTTAAAAAATAACGTGTGATCCTTTTAAAAGCAAAACAATACAGGTATTCGTTTTGTGAGTTTTTTAACGGTAATCCCTGCAGCTTTTTTATTTTTTAGTGAGGAGGTAAATCCAGCCAGGATGATTGCTGACCTCAGCGGTTCTTTCTCTTTTGTAATGCACATCAAAATGCTACAGGACACTTTCCTTTCTCAGTTTTTCCTATCTTATTTTGAAAGCTTGTTTTGTCTGAGATAATTTATTTGGGGGCTTCATTTATCTCTTAACATTTCCTCCTTTTTAATAAACATCTTTCTAAACCCACTTTTTAAATATGAATATTCCAAAGACTCACACCAAACACCTACTTAAAACCAACTTCCTAGGAAAGTTACTTCTGGTTTTGTCAACAGTTCCATCGCTGCCCAGCTGACACTGGTGGTCAGCTGCTAATGACCCTTCCGCTGGAGAGAAGAGGAAGTGGGCTTGGCTCTAACTTGCCCTGATCCCCTTCCAGCCTGACATTTCTATGCACAGAGAACTAATGGAGTCAGACCAGACTGCAAATTCCCATGCTGCCATGCAGGTAGATATTTCCTAGAGAATCAGAGAGTTCTGCTACTAATCCTCAAAAGGGGAAAACACTAAGTTATTTCAGACATCACCCAATGAAGATCTATCCCACTGCCCTACTTAGTCTTGACCCAACTACTCTAAATATCTATTTTACTGTTAAAACCTGGGAATCTCCCATTAATAGTAGAACTAATAAATAAATTGTGGTGTATTCCTACCTGCAGGGGTGGGAGGGAACAGTAGGGGCTTCCAGGGGATCTGGTAATGTTCTGATTCTTGTTCTCAGTGCTAGTTATTAGCGTGTGTTCAACTTCTAAGAATCCACTCTATGTACACCAATGATATGTGCACTTTTGGCATATATGTTATACTTGAATAAAAAGTTTAAAAATACACTATTATTTTTAAAAACAACCTGGAAATCGTTACTGCCATTCCCAGAACAAAGATCCTGGTATATTTTATTTGGATCAGTGCTGAACTTGCCAAGAAACCTATGGGATGATTTATATGGTTTGCAGGCCTTTAAACGTGAAAGGAAGGCAGAAGAGTAGAAAACAGGAGTAACCTAAATGCTTCAAAACCTAACTGCATGGGTTCACTTTTTATTTATTTATTTATTTACTTACTTATTTATGTCACCCAGGCTGGGGTACAGCGGCTTGATCATAGCTCACTGCAGCCTCAAACTCCTGGGCTCAAGCCATCTTCCCGCCTCAGTCTTGCAAGTGGCTTGGGACTACAGGTGTTTACCACCAGGCCTGGCTAATTTAAAAATTTTGTTGTGTGTTGGGGATAGAGTGTCATTATGTTGTCCAGGCTGGCCTTGAACTCCTGGGCTCAAGTGATCTTTCTGCCTCAGCCTCCCTAAGTGCTGGGATTATGGGCATGAGCCAACCACACCCAGCCCGTGGTCTCACATTCTAAGGAACTGCCCAGGTGGTGTACTTCAGAGAAAAGGATGTGGTAAGAGTGTCCAAACACAGCCACCCATTCCTAGCCCTCCCTATGGAGACTTAGATCACTGAGCATCTTACTTCCCTCTCTATCAAAGTGTTGGGTTTTTAAAAAATTTATTTAGTGAGTGTTGACCTAATGGCTTTGTTGTCACTGGAATTATATGTCTAAGGAAAGACACAATTTACAGAGGAGGAGAGTACCCAAAATATACAGCAACGACTGACAGCATTATTTTTTCTATTAGAAAGCAAAGTCAAACATTTATAGGTCACTCTCAGGTCACCCAGAGACAGGATGTGAGCCAAGTGATGACAAAGCCCATTTTCTGGAACAGGATGGCCACTATGTGAGCAGAGCACGTGGAGGCAGCAGAGCTGGATCTTTCTGTGTGCTGTTCATGGCAAGCTCTTGATTTGTCCAGACTCACGGTCAAACTCCCCTTGAGAAGCTGAGAACTTGCTCCACTCTAAGTTACCTCCAGACAGAATTTGAAATCCATGGCCGAGGTCATAATCCCCCACCTCTCCAGCCCTATGAGTTTTCCTCCCCTATCACTATCACTACCCCAGCTCTGTTAGCAACTTCACTCTGCTGTTTATATACACGAAACTGTGTGTATACACACATACTGCTGCCTGGAGTCAACTGGATATTTTCAAATGAACTGGTGATTTAACTGGATTCAGCTGTTACCAGTTTCTACACCAAGAGTTCTCTAACTGTTCTGGGGAACATCTATATTCAGGAACATTTACACAAACTCCTGAACAATAGGATGTATGGCCAAATACACTTGGGCTTATTAAAACCATATGTGGGTCAAATATGCCAGGCTTATTAAAAGTGTTTCCTTTTTTTTTTTTTTTTTTTTTTGTAGAGATTGAGTCTTATGCTGTCACCCAGGCTGGAGTACAGTGGCCCAATCATAGCTTACTGCAGCCTCAAACTCCTGGGCTCAAGTGATCCTCCCTCCTCAGCCTCCCAAGTTGCTGAGGGCACCCACCACCTTGCCTGTCTAATTTTTAAAATCTTTTTATTTTTTGTGGCGACAAGGTCTCACTATGCTGCCCAGACTGGTCTCGAACTCCTGGCCTCAAGTGGTCCTCCTGCCTTGGCCTCCCAAAATGCTAGGATTACAGGCATCAGCCCCTGCATACAGTCTAAATTTAGTTTTCTTTAGAATTTTTCAGAGACTTTGATATGCATTGTTCAGGAGGAAAGAAAGAGTCTTAAATCTTTTGTGCAGGAAATATATAGTAAATTCCTTAGGTAGCCCAGTTTAGGAAAACTGGTAAATTCATTCATTCAACAGATATTTATTAAGTACCTACACTGTCAGGCACTGTGCCAGGTACAAAGAGGGTGTATCTTTCTCAAGAATTTTCATAGCATTTTTAATCTAGTGACAAGAGAAGACACTCAACAAATAAACAAGACTGTTTCAGCCTGTGATAAGAAACATATGGAGGAAACAGCCACTTCAAAGCCTCTGTGGGGAGCTATGTGAGCTGGAACTTGAAGATAAAACATAAGTCAGCCACAGGAAGAGCCATGGGGAAAGTATTCCAGGCAGACAAGAGCAAGTGCAAAGACACAAAGACAAGAAAGATCTTGGCCTGCTTCAAGGGCAACCCAAGGTCAGCCAGCTGGAGGTGCTGAAGGAGGGTGATGGATGGAGACACTGGTAGAAAATGAGGTTGGAGAAGGTGCGAGTATTGGATCATATAGGGTCCTGTTATGCCACCATCTGGAATTAGGGTCTTAGTCTATGGATGATAAGAAGCCATTAGGGGCTGGGCACAGTGGCTCACACCTGTAATCCCAGCACTTTGGGAGGCTGAGGAGAGCGGATTATGAGGTCAGGAGTTCGAGACCAGCCTGACCAACATGGTGAAACCCCATATCTACTAAAAATACAAAAATTAGCCAGGCGTGGTGGCGCATGCCTGTAATTCCAGCTACTCAAGAGGCTGAGGCAGGAGAATTGCTTGAACTCGGGAGGCGGAGGTTGCAGTGAGCCATGATCGTGCCACTGCACTTCAGCCTCGGTGACAGAGCGAGACTCCGTCTCAAAAAAAAAAGAAGCCACTATGGATCTTTAAGCAGAGAGTTGCTGGCAAAGGAGATGGAAAGAAGTGGGCAGATTAGAGATGTCTTCTTGGAGGTAAAGTTGGTGGACTCTCCAGTGTTACTGTGTAGACTCACGGGTGCCTAAACCTGTTGTCTACGCTCTGCCAGTATTGCCTTGTGCTTGTGAGCCTCTGTCTCCTAACTCAGCTGCAAGTTCCCTCTCTCTAGGCTGTAAGCAGAAAGCAAGGAGTACTATCTGGGTATTGCACCCGGGTTCCACGTCTGGGCTCACACTCAGCAACTGTGTAAATGTGGGCAAGTCGCTTCACTTCTCTGAGCCTCCACCATGTTCTCTGTGAAATGAAACCAAAGGAGACTAAGTGATCTACTTGCAACACTGTGAGATCCATGTTCTATGCTTCTGATGGCAGCAGAACTAGATAGAAAAGAATAAGGAATTTGCCCCACACCCCTTGAGAGAAAGCAACGAGGAAATGTAAAAGGTCAAAGATTAGATATGCTGTTAGTTTTCACTTGACTGCTGTAACAATTTAGCACACAATGAGTGTCTTAAAACAACAGAAATTTTTTTTCTTTCATATTCTAGAAGCCAGGAGTATGAAATCAAGGTGTCAGAGGGGCTGTACTCCCTCCGAAGGCTGCAGGAGAAAATCTATTGCTTGCCTCTTCTACCTTTTGGTGGTTCCAGGAGTTCCTTGGCTTGTGATCACATCACTGAAATCTTAACCTACCTGGTCATACTGCTGCCTCTTCTTCTCTCTCAAAACTTCTCCTGCCTCTCTTCATACTTGTGATTGCATTTAGGGTCCATCTGGGTACTCCAGGAAAAACTCCTACTGTCAAGATTTAACTTAATCATATCTTATGTCATATAAAGTCATGTTCAATATTTTACAACATAAAATAATAGTCACAGTTTCTGGAGATAAGGACATGGGCGTGTCTTTTGGGGGATCATCCTTCAATCCATTGCATCTATCTATCAGTGATCACCCCAACCCAAATAAACCCGCATAATATTTTCAGGTATCCATTTTTCCTTTTTCCAGGGTCCCTATTCCATGACTTTTGTTTCTTTCATTTCTCCTTCA
Source organism: Homo sapiens (assembly GCF_000001405.40). Taxonomy (NCBI): domain Eukaryota; kingdom Metazoa; phylum Chordata; class Mammalia; order Primates; family Hominidae; genus Homo; species Homo sapiens. The sequence goes on along the minus strand of NC_000017.11, from coordinate 55,449,793 downwards.
TAGTGCTCAATATTGGGCTTTGCACAGAGTAGACGGTTACTCAATGAGTGCTGCTCCCAAAAGAAACTTCCAGAAACCCTTTAGTAAGAGTATCCTGGGCCAGGCGCAGTGCCTCACTCCTGTAATCCCAGCATTTTGGGAGACCAAGGCGGGCAGGTCACTTGATGTCAGGAGTTCCAGGCCAGCCTAGCCAACATGGCGAAACCCCCTCTCTACTAAAGATACAAAAAAATGAGCTGGGCGTGGCAGCATGATTCTGTAGTCCCAGCTATTTGGGAGGCCGAAGCACGAGAATCACTTGAACTGGGGAGGTGGAGGTTGCAGTGAGCCTAGATTGCGCCACTGCACTCCAGCCTGGGCGTCAGAGCAAGACTCTGTCATAAAATAATAAAAATAATTTTAAAAAAGAGTATCCTATCCATTTCCCTTAAAACTCGAAGTTTGGAAAATCAGCTTTACACCAGTTGATCTGTAAGGCACAAAAGAACATACTTAGCTAGATGTAAAGTGATCAAGATTTTAGTCCCTACTCTAAACCAACTTGTTTATGACCCTGGATAGACAGGTCCCTCCAGCTGTCTAGACATTTGCTTTCTAAAGAGAGGGACTTACTACAGTTGGCTTCCCCAGAAGCCCTTATACCACTTACATTCCACAAGAATTCAAGAATAAATATGGTCTTTCTCAGGATCCTTTGAAATACATTATTTCCTTTAAGTTACAGAAGAAAAACACAACCTTTTGCCCTATCCTACTGCATATTGGCATGAAGTAGCTGCCCTAGAAGAAGAAAAGGATGAAGTGAGGTAAAACATCTTCATTTTCCAGTCCTGATGGCCCAGATCTGAACACTTGGGGCTTTTGCAATAAGGAGGGTCAAGTTTCAAAGATCGCTATCTCTGCAGTAAGCACTATTACCGTTTTGGAAAAAGTTAACAGATCCTTCAGCCAGCAAATATTCTTAGGCTTAGCAACATATAACTAACTGGATGTCTGTTTCTGTCTTCTACCCTCATCCTGCCCATCTCCCCCACCTCCCCCTCCCAACACCCGACCATATCCTCTGGAATACTTCCTCCCGTAAATAATTTGAAGAGCCAAGCATTAATTAGAGAAGTTATAACAGAGAAATCAAAAGAGGCACAGAAATAGGAAAAGAATTATCCGGTCCCTTTCATCACACTCCTTTACTTGGGCCTTAAAGGAAATATAAGAACTTTTGGCCAGGCGTGGTGGCTCAAGCCTGTAATCCCAGCACTTTGGGAGCCCGAGGCGGGTGGATCACGAGGTCAGGAGATCGAGACCATCCTGGCTAACACGGTGAAACCCTGTCTCTACTAAAAATACAAAAAAATTAGGCAGGCGTGGTGGCGGGCACCTGTAGTCCCAGCTACTTGGGAGGCTGAGGCAGGAGAATGGCGTGAACCCGGGAGGCGGAGCTTGCAGTGAGCCGAGATTGCCCCACTGCACTCCAGCCTGGGCAATAGAGCAAGACTCCATCTCAAAAATAAATAAAATAAATAAATAAATAAATAAATAAATAAATAACTTATGCCAGGGAGAAAAAAACATAGCATTAACTGAGCACCTACTATATACCAGGCCTTTTCCTGGTTATCTTACCCTCACAACAATCTGTGAAATAGATATTACATCCCCTTTAACAGATATGAACATAATAGCCAAAAGGTGGAAACAACTGAAATGTCCATTGATAGATGAACGGATAAAGAAAATGTGATATATATATATATATATAATGAAAGATTATTCAGTCTTAGAAAGGAATGAAATTCTGATACATGCTGCAACATGGATGAACCTTAAGACATTATGCTAAATGAAATGAACGATATACAAAAGGAGAAATATTATATGATTCCACTTACATGAGGTACCTAGAACAGGCAAGTTTTATAGAGACAGAAAGTAGAGTAGTGATTACCAGGGGCCACATGGAGGGGAATGGAAGTTATCATTCAATGGGCACAGAGTTTCTGCTTGGGATGATGAACCAGTTCTGGAAATGGATAGTGATGATGGTTGTACAACATTGCGAATGTTCTTAATGCTACTGAACCGTACACTTAAAAATGGTTAAAATGGGCTGGGTGCAGTGGCTCAAGCCTGTAATCCCAGCACTTTGGGAGGCCGAGGCGGGCGGATCACGAGGTCAGGAGATTGAGACCATCCTGGCTAACACGGTGAAACCCCGTCTCTACTAAAAATACAAAAAAATTAGCCGGGCGTGGTGGCGGACACCTGTAGTCCCTGCTACTCGGGAGGCTGAGGCAGGAGAATGGTGTGAACCCAGGAGGCGGAGCTTGCAGTGAGCTGAGATCGCGCCACTGCACTCCAGCCTGGGCGACAGAGCAAGAGTCCATCTCAAAGAAGAAAAAAAAATGGTTAAAATGATAAATTTTATGTTATGTATATTTTACTATAATAAAATAAAAGGATATGGAAACTGAGAGACTGATTGTCTCAAGCCTCATAGCCACTATTAGGGGAAGCCAGGGTTTGAGCCCATCTGTGTGACATGTGATAAATTATCATATAGGAGGAAAAAATTAGTAGTGATAATACTGATCTCCAGACAAAGCAAAAACCTCCTATGAAGAAACCTTAGCTTCTCATGTCTACCCTGAGCTAATTTCCTGACCTGAGGTTGTTTTTCAGATGACAACTGGATGGGTGGAAAGAATGTTAACACATCACTCATTGAATATTATCTAGCCACATCCTCGTAAGTCCCTTCTGTAGATGGCCTTATCTGCTGTTTTATCCTGTGGATCTAACTCTGTTTGAACTTTGAGAATAATTAAAGAACTAAAAGAAAAATAAATAAAGCTCTGGAAGCTTACAAATAACAGCAATAACGAGAGTAAATAGAGTGATTCCCTTCAGCCAGTGTCATGGAATTTTCCAGGTCACTAGACTGTAGTGTGTAAGCTCACCATCCTTGTCTCCCATTCCTGGGTATTTGGCACAATACCTGTCCAATAGCCATATTTGGCAATGTTTTAATGAATTGAATTACAATTTGAAACTTTAACCCCAAACCTGATAGGAGAGACACTCCTTCTTTCCAGTCTCGGTACTGAATAATCTGGTCTCCAACAGAAATCACTGATCTGAGATTTTCTTGTGGTTGTTGTTTCCCTGTCTATCACCATTACATACAGAGACTAACCGTCCTTTTTCTTACCATGTCCTGGGGATCTTTATCAAAAGACCACTTAAGAAAGTTTAAGTACTGCAACCTTTCTTGGTAATAATAACAGCTAATCTTTACAGAGTGTGTACTAGTGCCAGGCAGGGCTGTTAAGACATTATATTAGCAACTCATTTAATCTCCACAGCTCTATGAGATAGTCAGTAATATTCTTCTCACTTCAGTGATGAAGAAACTGAAAAGCTTGCCCTGGATCAGACAGCAGTTGAAGCAAGCTGTCATTCCTAGTCACTTTGCCTTGCTACTCAAAATATTCCATTATATAATGGAGATTTCTCAAGCAGAGAACATGAGACCATGTCAAGAGCAATTTTTTTTTTTTTTTTTTTGAGACAGAGTCTCATTCTGTTGCCCAGGCTGGAGTCCAGTGGTGCAATCTTGGCTCACTGCAACTTCTGCCTTCTGAGTTCAAGCAATTCTTCTGCTTCAGCCTCCCAAGTAGCTGGAATTACAAGTGCACGCCATCACGCCTGCTAATTTTTGTATTTTTTAGTAGAGATGAGGTTTTGCCATGTTGGCCGGGCTGATCTCGAACTCCTGACCTCAGGTGATCCACCTGCCTCGGCCTCCCAAAGTGCTGGGATTAGAGGCATCAGCCACCGCGCCCGGCCCCAAGACCAATTCTTGACAAGCCTGCAGTGAATTACTTCATTTCCAAGAAATGCCAAAAACAGACCTGATGCAAGCTTATAATCAAAAACCCCTACCTGAATTCTAGATTATTTAGTGCTTTCGTGGTTCACACAATTCAAGCCTTCCCTTTATTACTTCTTAAATATTCATTAATGCAGTTACTGCTATTGCTGAAACTCCACCTTTTAGGAAGTTTTATAATAATAAAATGATGTCATTCCTACCAGAATATATCTCAGTTTTTGATTGAGGGGTCAGTTCATTTTGTTTTGATGGTAGGAAGGGGAAGCAGTCAAGTGGTCTGAGTATATCTAGACATTTGTTCAATCCTCTACAATTAACGACTGTGGGGCCTAAGAGACATAATTTTTACCTCTCTGGGCCCTTCTCTTGTGAAATTAAGAGTTTCACAAAATTATAAGATCTTTTCCAACTTAGACTTGCTGTAACCAGCACTCAAAATAATCGGTTTCACAACCAATCTGTTCTATTTTATTCAATTATGAATTTTTTAAAGAAAGTCTCTCAAGGCTGGGCAAATCACTTTCCTTCTAAAGTTTTATATGGTCTTACTTTAAAAGTATCCCCCATAGCTGCTCCCTGCCTTCCTTCCACCCTAGGAGTCTGTTCATCTGGTAACCAAGTGCTGAGACCCCTTGTGATCTGAGGCAGGACGTTCAGGGTTGGAGCAGGGGGACATTTGGGGAAACTTTAAAGGGTGAGTCATCCCTCAGGCCAGAAATGGTCAGGATTGGCATGCTAAGTTCAAGTCTCAACCTTCACTTCCTGAATTTCATTTTCCACCAAGAGTAGGAAATACACTCTGTAAATCTTCAACTACCTACATGTTAGCAGAAGTGAGATTGGTGAGGGGGGTGCACAAGAATTCTGCTTAAATCTGTTCAGTCTCCAAAATCATACCCAACAAAGAGTCTTTCCATCCTAAGATTAGCAAGTGACCAGGCCAGCACCTTTCCGTGGTTAAGAGGCAGGAGAATAGGGTCTGGAGATGGAGAACTTAAGGCCAATTCGTGTTGAATGAAGGAAAAACACCAAGGTTTGGGGGCAGGGAATCTGAGGCCAATTTGTGCTGACTTTCTAAAAGAGAAAACACAAAGGTCTGGGGGCAGGGAGTCTAAGGTCAATCCATGCTGACTTCCCAAAGGTGGATCAAAAGGAAAACACCTGGGTCTGGGGGCAGGGACCCTAAGGCTAATTAATGCAAACTTCATAAAGCTAAACCAAAAGGTAAAACCCCATCTCCCCAAGCCCCAGTAGCAAAGGGTCAAAGGTTACTCTCCCTACAACCCTCCTTCTTCCACCACGTCTCAGACGTAAAGGGAGAGTGCCTTGGATTGGCCTCAGGCCAAGCAGGGACAATCCCTTCATCTGCACAGAGAACCAATTCACCTCAGCCTTTAATTAGCCACGGACCAAATCCTTCATCCAGATAAGGGGTAATGGATAAGAACCTCAAAAGGCACACTTAAAACCCAGAAAACTTTGTAACCAGGCCCTTGAGCCGCTTGCTCCGGCCCACCCCCACCCTGTGGAGTGCTTTCTCGCTTTAATAAATTCCTGTTTTTGCCTCTTTGTTCCTGTGTCATCTTCGTTACTTTGCTTTGCATTTTGTCCAGTTCTTTGTTCAAAACGCCAAGAACCTGGACATCGTACACTCAAGGCCATCCTTCTGGTAACAGAGTTGACATGGATTCTAATCCTCTACCAGAATTGTTGAAACTGAGCCCTTGGTTTGATTTCCACAAGTTCCGGGCAGGCCTCGATTACCCTACATTTCAGGTGGAAGTTTGCCTGGAGGCAAATTGCGGTGCAGGCGACCCGCAGACCTGGGTAATAAGCCCAGCCGCAGAGCAGAAGGCTGTACTCCCATCTGCCTGCCCACCCTCTGCCCGTCCTCAGCATTTTCTCGCTAAAGAAAAGGTTTTTAGCAAAAGTAACTTTGCATTGTGATTGATTTTTCATCTTTATTTTACAGACAAACTAACCTAAAATAAAACACTAAAAAATATTCCCAATGGAGGCATCTCCAACCTTCTTTAGAGGGGATTTAAAGTTGCCAGTATTGTTTGTTGTCATTGTAAGTTTTTAAATTATATACAGTATACATGTCAACTTCAAGATGTAGCACTAAAACCAGAGCCTCTGGTGCAGAGGGAGTCCCTGACAACCCCCATCCAGAACATCAGCTATGGGAAATGGGGACCTGGCCATGGCAAAGCTTGGATGGGGATGTGGAAAGGCCTCCTTATACCAGCATGATAGTGCAAGGCTTGCTCAGAGGCTAACCCGCTTCTCTATCCCCATCCTCCAACCAGGACATCCTGCACTGGTTATTTCTAAATCAGGACCAAAGGCAACAAAGTGTAAACTCTACATTCCATTCCTTATGTAAGAAAGCCCTGTGAAAGTTTCCTTCCTGGCAAGAGAGAAAGTGGAGGAGCGTCAAGGAGTTGTCAGACTCCTTAAGGACTGCACATTTTAAAGGAGAATTATCCCATCTTCAATTTTCCCATGGAAAGAGCCTTCAGAAGGAGACTGATCAGGGCCATGCATCATGTCCCAATGCATCATCAGCTGCAACAAAGCAATTCTGTTTTAAATGAGGTTGGGAAGTAATGCACATTAATATCTCTCTTGCAGAGTCACGCTGTGTGTTAGCATGTTAAGGGTTCTGAGAAGAACTACTGTAAGACAACTTGTTTATGTTTAACGCAAGATTTCCAAAAGCCTTTTGACAGTCTTTGTTCTCTCTTTTATGTAACACCTATTAACATCTGTTCTGAGGAATACACATTGGGAAATGCTGGTGTAATGGAAAATCAGAAAACCTTTGAAGTCAGAAAACCAAGGTTGGAATCACCGCTTGATCCCTTGCTTGCTGTGGGGCCTTAGGAAATCGTCTTAACCTCCCTGAGTCTCTGTTTTGTCATCTTCAGAATTAAGCTAATAACTCCAACCTCATAAGGCTACTGTGAGGATGAAATAAGCAAGCTTATTGCTTGGCATCTGATAAATGGTAACTTAGTATTAACAAAAGTGACACCTTATGGAGTGGAGGTTGTAAGGCACTTCCCAGATCACGCTGCTGGAATAAAGGAAGGATTTGTTTCCCAAGCTGCTGGGAATGCTGCATGGGAAGACAGCCCTCAGCTCTCAGTCCTCTTCAGGAATTGTCTTGGCTAAAGAGAGCCAATCCGGGCCAAAGGCAAGTCCTATCTTTAGGGCAGCTGTGGAAGAGGCAGCGGTTACAAAGGTCTGGCTCCCTCACCCTATTTGGGGACAAGTCTGAGAGTTATGCCAGCTTCAGAGCTTCCCATGGCATTGGCTAAAGTCTCTCTTGAGACGATTGCAGCCTATCTTCTTCTCCCAGTCCTATACCCTTTCTCTTTCTTTCTCCTTTCTTGCTCTTCTGTTCCCCTCTACAGGCGTTAATCCAAGAGCACTCCCGGATAAACTTACTGCAAATACATTTCCTGGAGACCCAGCTGATACCACATTGATTCTAATAGCCCACGTTCCATTCAGACTTTGAATGGCAGGAAAGAAAGGTGTGCAAGGCTCAAAGGGCCTCAGAGAGACCCAGGTTTATGCATGTAAGCATGTATGCGTTCCATATAGAGAAATGTATCACCACAGCTACTCTGGGCACACTGCCTGTGGGGTAGCCCTGCTCTGCAAGGAGCAGCTTTAAAAAAAATTAAATTAAAATTAAAAAAAGAACTGCATCACCGCTTGAACCCAGGAGTTCGAGGCTGCAGTGAGCTATGATCACACCAACTGCACTCCAGCCTGCGTGACAGAGCAAGACTGTCTCAAAAAAAAAAAAAAAGGAAAGAAATGCATTACATACTAGAATACCAGGAAAACATCCTCTCCATCAGTGATCGGTTCCCTCAGTGAAACAGAGTACAGCTTTATTCCTCAAAGTGTGGCTCATCAGCATCATCCGAGAAGCTTGAAAATTGTAGGGCTTCCCAGCCCCTTGCAGAGACTGTCTCAGGAGTAGGTCTCCAATAATACTGGAAATAAACATTGGTAACAAAATCTCCAAATGATGTTGATGCAGGCTATCTTTGGACCACCCTGGAGAATCAATGCTGCAAACTTCTTCTGTAAAGGATCAGATAGTACATAGTATAAGATTGGCAGGCCATGTAGTCTCTGTCATAACTATTCAACTCTGTGGTTGTGGCATGAAAGCAGCCACAGACAATACGTTAGATGAATGGGAGTGACTGTGTTCTGACAAAATTTTATTTACAGAAAAGGCAGCTGGCTGGCTTTGGCCATAGGCCATGCTTTGCTACCTTCTGCCCTAGACCGTTGCTATTCAAGCCTTGGTGCTAGGATCATCAGTATCACCTGGGACCATGCTAGAAATGCCAAATATCAGGCTCAGTCCCCAAACTACTGAATAGAACCTGTCAGTAACAAGACAAGTAACAAGATCCTCCGGTGATTTCCAGTACATTTGAGTTTGAGAAGTATTGCTATGTGGTGTCCACTGGGGCAAAAGCACAGATTAAAATGCCATGAGCTGGTTGGCTTCTCTCTGCTCTGTGATTACAGAGGAAAGATCAGAACCTAGGCTGAGCCGGTTTTCTTGCAAAAGTGTGACACACAAAGCAGGCTGGCTTCATGTTCCCATTTACTGGGAAAACAGTAAGTTCTAACTTTCTGACTGGGACTGTGTGGTTAATTAATGTGATAGACACACATTTTTTAAAAAATGCAATCAAGGCCGGGCACGATGGCTCATGCCTGTAATCCCAGCACTTTGGAAGGCTGAGACAGGCAGATCACTTGAGGTCAGGAGTTTGAGACCAGCCTGGCCAACATGGTGAAACCCTGTCTCTACTAAAAATACAAAAATTAGCCAGGCATATTGGCAGGCACCTGTAATCCCAGCTACTCTGGAGTCTGAGGCAGGAGAATCGCTTGATCCTGGGAGGCAGAAGTTGCAGTGAGCTGAGATCACACCACTGCACCCCAGCCTGGGGGACAGATTGAGACTCCATCACAAAACAAAACAAAACAAAACAAAACAAAACAAAACAAAACATGCAATCAAGCTGAAATATAAGGAGAGAAAAGAAAGAAACCTTATTTTTGAGGGAAAGTAAGAGTGGAGGAGATAAGCTGGTTGCCAGGCACTAGAGCTCATCTTCCTGAATCATGCCATCCTGTTTTTCCAGTACAGACATCACAATATTGCATTAGTCAAGTGATTCTGCAACATCATTTAAATGACATAAGGTGTCTGCTTGTGTCTGAGCATGATTCTGAGGGTGGACTTGTGCCAGCCCGTCTGTTCCTCAGAGATTATATCCAGAATTAATTCTATTAGAAACTCAAAAACAGCAGGCTTACTTTGGCACGATGACCCTAGCAATGGTTATAAAAGGATTGTGCGCCAGAAGAACCTGCTTCTTAAGGGACACCACCAGCAAAAGGGCAGATACATCTTGTCCTCCCTTCTGCCCATGAGCTAAGGAAAGCCCAGAGATGCTTTTCTGGCTGGATCTAGCCATTCCATTCTCTAGAGCAGTGGACAGCAAACTTTTTCTGTAAAAGACCAGATAGTATATTTAGGAAGGCAAAACTTTATTTCTACCTTTTTAGGATCCCTGGCTGAGTCTGCAAATGAAAATGACATGAAATAGATTAACAGAAGAACAACATACACGTTTAATACAAGTTTTGGTTGACACAGGAGCCTTCCTAAGAAAATAGGAGGGTCTTGGCTGGGCACGGTGGCTCATGCCTGTAATCCCAGCACTTTGGGAGGCTGAGGTGGGCGGATCATGAGGTCAGGAAATCGAGACCATCCTGGCTAACACGGTGAAACCCCTTCTCTACTAAAAATACAAAAAATTAGCCGGGCATGGTGGCGGGTGCCTGTAGTCCCAGCTACTCGGGAGGCTGAGGCAGGAGAATGGCGTGAACCCCCGGGAGGCAGATCTTGCAGTGAGTGGAGATCCAGCCACTGCACTCCAGCCTGGGCGACAGAGCGAGACTCTGCTCTGTCTCAAAAAAAAAAAAAAAAAAAAAAGAAAGAAAATAGGAGGGTCTTATTCGTTTGAATAGAGAAAGGCAATTGTGGAAAAGTAACTAAATTATGTGGTGGAGGCTAAAGGAAGATAATTAGCTTAACAAGGTCTGTTTGCAAAGAATTCTCTCAGCTATGACTCTCCACCAAAGAATTGTCTTTTTCTCCTGGTACAGGGAGGGCATCTTTCACATGGGAATCTTTATCTCCTGTTTTCTGAAAGAAAGGGGGAAGATTACAAAGCACTTCTTGTATCTTTTGTTTTTCAAGTGCCTTCAGCTAGAAGTCTCATGTCAAAGTGGCATGTTTTCGGGTAGCATATTCTGCCCCTCTTCATAAATATTTTAGGCTCTGTCAGCTATAACGTCTCTGTTACAACTACTCAGCTCTGCCATTGTAGTGGAAAAGCAGCCGTAGACAATTTGTAAAGGAATGGATGTGGCTGCGTTCAATAAAACTTTATTTGCAAAAGCAAATAGAGAGCTGGATTTGGCCTGTGGATTTTAGTTTGCTGCCTCCTGCTCTAGAGTCTGGTCTAGACTACTGCTTTTCAGACATTAATATGCATAGGAATCACTAAGGTATCATGTTACAATGTAGATTTTGATTCAATAGATGGAGTCTGAGATTCTACATTTTTAACAAGTACTCACATGATAGTAATGATGATGATCCAAGGACCATACTTTGAACAGCAAGGCTTGAATTAAAACTAGTAGTTCTCAATCTTGAATGCACCCTAGAATCACCGGAAGAGCTTTAAAAATGGCAATGCCTGGTTTTCACTCCTTCCCTGCCACACTCCATTATGATTTCTCTTTTTTTTTTTTTTTTTTTGAGACGCAGTCTTGCTCTGTCACCCAGGCTGGAGTGCAGTGGCGCGATCTCAGCTTACTGCAAGCTCCGCCTCCCGGGTTCATGCCATTCTCCTGCCTCAGCCTCCCAAGTAGCTGGGACTACAGGCACCCACCACCATGCCTGGCTAATTTTTTGAAATTTTAATAGAGACGGGTTTTCACTGTGTTAGCCAGGATCGTCTTGAACTCCTACCTCATGATCCGCCCACCTCAGCCTCCCAAAGTGCTGGGATTACAGGCATGAGCCACCACACCCAGCCCATTATGATTTCTTTATTTTGTGGTGTGGCCTGAGCATCAGGATTTTTTTTTATTATTATACCTTAAGTTCTAGGGTACATGTGCACAATGTACAGGTTTGTTACATAGGTATACACGTGCCATGTTGGTTTGCTGCACCCATCGACTCATCATTTACATTAGGTATTTCTCCTAACGCTATCCTTCCCCCAGCCCCCCACCCCCCGACAGGCCCTGATGTGTGATGTTCCCCGCCCTGTGTCCAAGTGTTCTCATTGTTCAATTTCCACCTATAAGTGAGAACATGTGCTGTTTGATTTTCTGTCCTTGCGATAGTTTGCTGAGAATGATGATTTCCAGCTTCATCCATGTCCCTGCAAAGGACATGAACTCATTCTTTTTCATGACTGCATAGTATTCCATGGTGTACATGTGCCACACTTTCTTAATCCAGCCTATCATCGATGGACATTTGAGTTGGTTCCAAGTCTTTGCTATTGTGAATAGTGCCACAATAAACATACATGTGCATGTGTCTTTGTAGTAGCATGATTTATAATCCTTTGGGTATATACCCAGTAATGGGATGGCTGGGTCAAATGGTATTTCTGGTTCTAGATCCTTGAGGAGTCGCCACACTGTCTTCCACAATGGTTGAACTAATTTACACTCCCACCAACAGTGTAAAGCATTCCTATTTCTCCACATCCTCTCCAGCATCTGTTGTTTCCTGACTTTTTAATGATCGCCATTCTAACTGGCATGAGATCTTATCTCATTGTGGTTTTGATTTGCATTTCTCTGGAGCATCAGGATTTTTGAAAGCTCCCTAGGTAATCCTGATATGCAAGTGAAATTAAGAATATAGCCCAGCATGTGAATGAAAGATTTAAGGGTTTCTTTGATAAGACTTAAATTCACTGCTCAGATTTATAAAATGGAACACTTGCTCAGAATGAAGTTATCCTTTGAGGAAAGGAAATGGCACTTGGGTAGAAAGTAAGCAGGTCTCTGAATTAGCCAAACAGGATTAGATTTAAAGCCCAAGTGGATGAATAAGCTGTATAGAAGGGAGCAGCCCCTTCCTCTGAGATTGAGGCAAGAAAAGCAACACAAGATTTTGTTAGGGGCTAGAAGCTGGGGCATTCATGTCAACTGTTTTGTAGAGGAAGAGATATTCAGCCAAGCAAACACTTTCTGAGCACTTAGCATGTCCCAGGGGAGGTCACCTGCTGAGCATGGGAAATGAAAGTGGAGTCAAAGACTTGAAGAGAATTGTGAAAATTTAGAACAGTTTCTGTGAACACTAGGGGAAGATGCAGAGCAGGAGACAAATGGATTTCCCAGTGCTGTTGTCGGCCAGCTGCAGTTAGAAACATTTTTCTGCTGAATAAAAGGAAGAATTTGCTGACAGTAAAAACTGTCCTGAGTTGCCACGGGCTTCCCTCGGAAATGGGGAACTTCCAGTGGCTGGATCTCAACCATAGGTTAGATCAGCACTTTTCATCCGGAAAACCTATGTACCAATAATAGCTGAGTGGGGTGTTACTAGTAATTTTGGCTAATAATGATACCGAACTATGCAAATTCTTAACTTTTAAAATGCACTCTAGAATACAATCAAGGCTGAGCCTGTAATAGCATCCCTCTTAATTACTTGCATTATTGATTCACTTTGAGCAGAAAATAAAAGGTGTGGTGCAAGCTTAGCTGCCAGGAATTGTACAGAACCCACAAACTATCTGATCTCATCAGCAGAGGTAATGTATTTCATATGTGAATGTTATCCATTGAGTGTGGGGGAATGGAAAAATGGGCTGAGAACTGTTGAGACAGATGTCAATGTGGTATTGGGAGATCTAAGAATTGAATGGAGATCTAAGAGTTGAATGTGGAATGGGGATGTTGACTTGAACAGTTAAAGTCCTTCCAACTCTGATATTCTGTGATTCTAGGAAAACACCTGTGTGTCTGGATCTTCTTTAGGCTTGAAACTAAAAGCTTCACACAAGAAGGGAATGAATCACTACATAAATTATTCAGCGCTTGAAGGCCCTCAGAGAATTACTCTCTGTTCTTTGATTGAGGCAGGGATTTTCTCCTAGATCCTTAGTCTGAATAAAGGCTGAGTTTTGGATCTCTCAGGTCCAGAAAAAATGCTATAGATAATTAGGCCGTCATTATCTAGGCCTCCTCCATCTTGAATCATTATGACTATAAAATCATTACCTTGTGCATAGCTTGCAATACATTCTTTTCCCTACTTACAGTCCAGAATTGCTGGTTGAGATAGATAAGGTGTTGTTGCAAAGGGATTTCATAACTAGTGGGAAACAGTATGACATAACAGTATGCCTGGGGCCAGATACCAGTTTTACTATGTTCCAGGTGGTTACCTTAACCAGGTTACTTTCTGCTCAGTGCCAGCCTCATCACTGGTAAAATGAGAATAATAATGTATCAGAGGGTTACCGTGAAGACATAATACACATCGAGTGCTTAGAATAGCACCTGGCAGGTATAAGGTAGGTAAGTATTCCAGCCACCTTACTTACATAATTGCTACCTTCCAGGAGCTGGAAGAAAGATACACTTAGATGGACATACTTTTTCAGCCCATGCAGCCAACAAAATAAGAACATAAAACCAAAACAAAATTAAACAGTGGGTATTTTATTACCTCCTTTTTTTTTTTTTTTTTTTTGAGAGAGAGTCTCGCTCTGTTGCCCAGGCTGGAGTGCAGTGGCGCAATCTCGGCTCACTGCAAGCTCCACCTCCCTGGTTCATGCCATTCTCCTGCCTCAGCCTCCTGAGTAGCTGGGACTACGGGTGCCCGCCACCATGCCCGGGTAATTTTTTTTGTATTTTTAGTAGAGATGGGGTTTCACTGTGTTAGCCAGGATGGTCTCGATCTCCTGACCTCATGATCTGCTCGCCTTGGCCTCCCAAAGTGCTGGGATTACAGGCGGGAGACATCGCAACCCACCCTTCCTCCTTTCATAGGTTCTCCTTGTTTAGAAAATTAGACGCCAACTCTTTAGCTTGGTATCAGAATCCTTCATGACAATGCCAATGTTTCAACACACATAATACACTCTTCCCCATTAAGTCAATAACCTACACTTGAACAAAATCAGACCATCTGCTGTGGTCCCAGTGGGCATGATATGTCCCCATCTCTGAAAGCTTACTCATAGTATTCACCCAGTCTGTATGCAATATATTTTTCACTCGTCTTTGCTGGTTGGTATCTTCTCATCCTTTACCATCCAAGCCAAGTGACTTTCTCTATGAAGACTTTCTTTAAAACCCCAGTAGATAAAATATGTCTATCCCTCTCTGTGATACCTTAACACTTTATATACTTGATACTTTCATTACCATACTTTTCATACACTTCCTTGGTATAGAGTTATTTTGTAAATTCCTCCAGATTTTAAGTGCCTTGAAAGAGAATTTGTTTCTTATTCATCTCTATTTCTCCTCCTGTGACTGGCTCCCACCGTCACTGCCCCCACAATATGCACAGTGCAGGCCATGCTGCCTTATACACTATAGGCATTTGATAAATGTGGGCTGGTTATGGGACTCTCTGGGATGTAAGAAAGCACTTAATTGGAATGAAGATTGGGAAGAGTTCCCTATCCAGCTTAAGTGGGGCAAGAAAGAGCAGATGCTATAACCCAGGGGCTTTGAGCACTTATTAAAATTAGATATTGAATGTCTGAGAACAAATTCTAGCACATACTGAGTATTAGGCATATTTTAGATGCTAGCCACCCCCTCTTCTAGAAGATCTGCCTCCTACCCACAACCCCCGATGAAGTGGTGAATGAATCATCTGTCTTTGTTCCACTGCAGTCCCCACTCCATCTTGAGTCAAAGCCTACCTACCCTACAGCCTCATGAGACAAGATGAGCTCAGCCACTGTCTCTCTCCACTAAGATTTCAAGTTAGGACTTAAAAATACTCAAGTAGGAGCTATAAACTCTAAAATTGTTGCAATACTAACAACAACAAGAACAACTGTATTTATTGAGTGTATACTATGTGCCAGTCACTGTGTGGCACATAGTACGTGCTCAATGTACTTAAGGACAATATCTTTACTCCTCACACTACTGTGAAGATGAGGCTGTTATTACCCCCATTTTATTTTATTTTTTATTCTTATTTTTTGAGACGGATTCTTGTTCTGTTGCCCAGGTTGGAGTGCAGTGGCACCATCTTGGCTCACTGCAACCTTTGCCTCCCAGGTTCAAGCGATTCTCCTGCCTCAGACTCCCGTGTAGCAGGAGCTACAGACGGGCACCACCACACCTGGTTAGTTTTTGTATTTTCAGTAGAGACAGGGTTTCACCATTTTGGCCAGGCTGGTCTTGAACTCCTGACCTCAAGTGATCCGCCTGCCTCAGCCTCCCAAAGTGTTGAGATTACAGGTGTGAGCCACTGTGCCCGGCCTCCCCCATTTTACAGGTGAGAAAAGTGGAAAACAGAGAAGTGAAGTTTTAAATCGATAGTCAAACTCCAGCAACCTATCTCCAGAGTCTATGCTCTTAACCACTATACTAAAACATGTTTCCCCGGGGCAGGGCAAGTCAAGGTGAAATGTCTCAAGGACTCAAAGATGGGGCACTGACAAGCCAAGGAGTAAGCAAAGGAAGTCAGTCTACAGACGTAAAAACAACTATGGGGTAGGAGCAAAGGGAGAAACATACATGAAAGATTACACAGCCATGAGGCAGCCACAGAAAGACACAGGACAACCCCATTTCCCCATAGCTATAAAATTCCTGCGGCTTGGCAACATCACATTTCCTGCCTTAGGATTTTGTAACCCTCACTGCTTATGATAAACTGACCTTTGCACTAGCTAAATAAGTGGAGCATAAAAAGAACCTGGTGTATATTGTTAAAAGCCTGTGTCTCCATGTTCAGTGTGGACTCAGAAGTCACACTCATTGCTCAGTCCTCAAGTCAGGCCAGCTCCCACTTTGCAGATCATGAGTGAGAAGACCTTATTGGAGCTCTAGCACTGCCAAGTTATTAAAACGGAGAAACTTTGAACTGGTCCTTAATGTGTTTGGACTTCAGCAGCTTCATTTATAAAATGAGTGTCAGGGGAGGGAAGAACCAATAACAAAACATTAGACCTGCCATCTGCCTCCAGCCAAAAGTTGTGACTGAGGCTCAGTGGAAAGGCCATGCAAACGTGGAACTTTTTTTTTTTTTAAGCTTAGCATTCCTTCGGGCTTGTGTGTAAACCGTGACTGTTATCGGTGGTGGTAAGCCAGTCAGTAAAGAAAAAAGTAATGCTACCTATCACGCTGGCATTGCCCTCTCTCACATCTCTGTTTACAAAGTTACAGGTATTGCCAGAAAATACCCGCATTCCTTTGTTCTCACTAATGAGTCAACTCTGGAAGCACCAGTCCCTTTATCAGTAAGACAGATCTACCTTGTCCAAGCCTCTGTTTACTCATCAACAGAAACATTCTCCTGGGCTGTTCTCCATAGTCTTGGCTCACAGTCTTCCTGTGTCTTTGTGCTTCACCAGACTTTACCTTTTCTGCCCACTTGGACCTAGATGACCTCCCACCCCCAACAACAAGGACTGTGATTCCTGCCAGCGAGTCTCTTGTTTGTTTTGGGGAGAAGCTTACTTGGCAACAAAGAGATGGGACAGATAGTTATTAGCTTGAGTGCCCAGACAGTGTGATTCTCTGATACAGTTAAATTTACAGGACACAGAGATGTTACATTTAATTGAGTTTTGTTGTAGATTTATTTTGCTGAATAAAATTCACAGGAGGCCATTGGTTTGGACTGAGCTCCCCCTGCACTAGATCCACCAGGCCAAACCAAAATGGAGTCACTCGTGCTAATGTTCTGTGCTACCATGTCGGAACTGAGTTGTTTATCTGACCTACCAAGAAATCAAGAGATAATAGCCATCTCCCCAAACAGGCGAGTTTTAGGAAGCCTGCTCTGCCTTAACCTTTACAAGAAAAGCAACTTTGAACACCAATCTACTCTTTGTTCTCTGTTGGGGCTTTCCTCAGCCCTTGCCGAGAAGCTAACCTCCCCTGCTCAGCTCATAGGAACACTCATTCAATTTTATGGAATGAGGTGTTGCCCAACTCTAGAATGGCAAACAAAAGCCAATTAAGATCTTTAAATTTGTTGTAATTTTGTCTTTTGACAGTTTGTAAATGAACTATGCTGCCTTCATAAATATTACTTATATTGGGTTGTCCCCAACTTCAGAAAGGTCTTATGTCTCATCAAAACCACAATATCACTAAATCATAGTCTTCCTGTCTTGTAACTCTTGCAGACATGACCACAATTTCCCACAAATAAATGATAAGATATTTGAAGCTTGCTTTGTTAGATTATGGAATGGGAAGGACCCCGGCAAGTTAAAAGCCCTGGGGTAGGATTGCCAGATAAAATACAGAATGCTGAGTATATATGTGTGTATATATATATATTTTCTTTTATATATATATATTTTTTTCTTTTTTCTTTTTTTTTTTCTTTGCTCTGTTGTCTAGGCTGGAATGCAGTAGCATGAACACAGCTCACTGCAGCCTCAACCTCCTGGGCTCAAGTGCTCCTCCTGCCTCAGCTTCCCAAGTAGCTGGGACTACAGGCCTGGGCCACCATGCCTGGCTAATTCCCTTCCCTTCCCTTCCCTTCCCTTCCCTTCCCTTCCCTTCCCTTCCCTTCCCTTCCCTTCCCTTCCCTTCCCTTCCCTTCTCCCTCCCCGCTCCCCCTCCACTCCCCTTCCCCTTCCCTCCCCTCCCCTTCCCCTCCCCTCCCCTTCCCCTCCCCTGCCCTTCCCCTCTCCTGCCCTTCCCCTCCCCTCCCCCTCCCCCTCCCCCTGCCCTCCCCTCCCTTCCCTTCTGTTTTTGTAACGACGAGGTCTTGCCATGTTTTCCAGGCTGGTCCTGAACTCCTGGGCTCAAGCAGTCCTCCTGCCTCAGCCTCCCAAAGTGCTGGGATTACTGGCATCAGCTACCACATCCAGCCCCAAGTTAAATTTGAACTCTAGATAAATAATGAATAAACAACCAATATTGCATGGGGCAGAATTATACTAAAAAATTATTTGCTGATAACTGAAATTCAAACTTAAAGGGAATCCTATATTTTTATTTGCTAAATCTGGCAACCCTACCCAGATGTCCAATTCTGACTCTTACAACAGGTAAGAGTTGTAAATTTAAATTTGTCATCCTCAGAATCCTCCATAAAATGAAAAGGCTGAACAAGATGAATCCTAAGGTTTCTTGCAGTTCAATAATTATGTAATTCTGTGACTCAAGTACTAATGAACTACAAATGTGACACTGGGCAAGTTAATTTCTTGGTGGATCAATTTCCTCCTCTTCAAAATAAGGATGATAAAGCCAATGTCAAAATTATTAGATGAATAGACCTGGTTTATGACTTGTCTTAGATAAACAAAGCTAGATATTAGTTAAAGAGGTGAAAGCAGATTTTATTCAACTACTGACAGTAAGGAAAGAGTTGGGCTGCCTTCTGATTTGTGCAAAGGTAACTGGGCATTTTAAAGGGAAAATAAGGGAGGAGGAAGTGTGAGCAACTGCAGCTCAGGCAGAGTCAGGGAAAGTGAAAAATGACCAAGGGTTAGTCAGGGTAAATGTGATTAGGCTGGCTGCATCTGCTAGCTGGCAATTATGGAAGTCAGGATTCTATCCTCCCGCAGAGACTGGGACTCCCAGGCCCTATTCTTCCTGATTATATTTCAAAGGAATAGTTTTCAGGTCCTTGAGAAAGATACTCCTGAGTTGTAGGAGATACGTATACATTTTAAAGCAACAGAGAAAGGACTCAGAATTGTAAGCCACTTTGATTTCATGTGCTAGGAAAGGGAAGTTAGGGGCCTATTGTCAGGTGTTGATGAGAACAAACAGTAAATGCTTTTGACAGCCTTGAGATTTTCCTGACAGGAACTCAAAAGGGGGCAGGGTTTTCTCAGTGATGCTGCCTTCCATGCTAGAAACCATTCTATGATTGGTCAAGTCTTAGTGCAGGGGTATGGACTGAGCGGTTGTTATGAGCCAATAGTTATTTGCAGTTCTCATCTTCAAAAGTGCGTGGCATAGTAACTTGTGCTTAATAATTAATCTCTTGTTTATTCATTCAAAATACTATAAAATCCCTCATGATCAAGCTGTATCTAAAGAAACTTTTTTGTTTTGTTTTGTTTTGTTTTGTTTTGAGACGGAGTCTCGGTCTGTTGCCCAGGCTGGAGTGCAGTGGTGCGATCTCGGCTCACTGCAAGCTCCGCCTCCCAGGTTCACGCCATCCTCTTGCCTCAGCCTCCCAAGTAGCTGGGACTGCAGGCGCCCACCACCACGCCCGGCTAATTTTGTTTTTGTATTTTTAGTAGAGACGGGGTTTCTCTGTGTTAGCCAGGATGGTCTCGATCTCCTGACCTTGTGATCCACCAGCCTCGGCCTCCCAAAGTGCTGGGATTACAGGCGTGAGCCACCGGGCCCAGCCTAAGGAACATTTTTTTTTATAACTTAGTTCTGTGTGAAGAAACGGCTTTTGATGCAAACTTTAAGTGAGAAAAAAGTATAGGACACTTGCTTAACTTGCTCACTTTTTTTATTTTTTTGAGACAGGATTTCACTCCGTCACCCAGGCTGGAGTGTAGTGGTGCGATCACAGCTCACTGCAGCTTTGAACCTCCAGGGCTCACATGATCCTCCTGCCTCAGCCTCCCAAGTAGCTGAGACCACAGGTGTGTGCCACCATGCCTGGCTATTTTTTTAATTTTTAGTAGAGATGAGGTCTCACTATGTTGCTCAGACTGGTCTGGAGCTCCTGGGCTCAAGTGATCCTCTTGGTTTGGCCTCCCAGAGTGCTGGGATTTCAAATGTGAGCTACCATGTCTTACCACTTGCTTAAAATATTATGAGTCTTAGCAAATTGTTGGTAAGCAATGATGGTGCTGCAGTTTAAAATGAATGTTATTTCTTCATTAAGGTATCTCTTAAGACTTGTCATTGTCACCATTTTTGTTGACACGAAGTTGGTGACCTATGGACTCAAAATACACATCTTTATTCTAGAATTTGTATGTTAGCTTTCAGCTTGCCCTCCCTTCAGTTGGTCCAAAACAAAAAGATTCCTCAGTTTCTGAATAGGTGAAGTTACTACACTGATTTAATTATATCTGTATTGCAGCAAATCTGAGCTGGATCTGGGGAAGAGTGTGTGTCCTATTTTTGTTTCTCTTTACTCATTAGATTTATATTTTTAAATGGTGCTAAATTGTGAATTTAATGCAATGCACACAGAAGCAGTCATGGGTGGAATTTTATCCCTCCTTGGCTCTAAAGAGTTTTCACAGATTTAGGCTTTGTATAAAGAACTTCTTGGCCAGGCACGGTGGCTCACGCCTGTAATCCCAGCACTTTGGGAGGCCGAGATGGGCGGATCACAAGGTCAGGAGATAGAGACCATCCTGGCTAACACGGTGAAACCCCATCTCTACTAAAAATACAAAAAAAATTAGCTGGGTGTGGTGGCAGGCGCCTGTAGTCCCAGCTACTTGGGAGGCTGAGGCAGGAGAATAGCATGAACCCAGGAGGCAGAGCTTGCAGTGAGCTGAGATGGCACCACTGTACTCCAGCCTGGGTGACAGAGCGAGACTCCATCTCAAAAAAATAAAAAATAAAAGAAAGAAAGAAAGAAAGAATTTCTTAATCTTTCTCAGATTATCCTTTTTCTCCACTCCATTGATGTTGCCTTGGTTCTGGCCTTCATTACTGCTTGCCTGGATGGTTATCCTCTTTTTTTTTGTTGTTGTTGTTTTGTTTTTTGTTTGTTTGTTTTGAGATGGATTTTTGCTCTTGTTGCCCAGGCTGGAGTGTAGTGGTGCAATCTCGGCTCTCTGCAACCTTTGCCTCCCAGATTCAAGTGATTCTCCTGCCTCAGTCTCCCTAGTAGCTGGGATTACAGGCATGCACCACCACACCTGGTTAATTTTTTTGTATTTTTAGTAGATATGGAGTTTCACCAGCTTGGCCAGACTGGTCTGGAACTCCTGACCGCAGATGATCCACCTGCCTCAGCCTCCCAAAGTGCTGGGATTACAGGCGTGAGCCACCGCGCCCAGCCGATACTCTTGTTTTAAAATGGTCACTCTGCTTCCAGCATCCCTCACAGTATTTGTTAGGCTAAACTGTATGTAACAAAAGCCCCAAGTAAGAGTGGTATAAACGAGATAGAAATGTATTCTTCTTACAGATCTTCTGGAGGTGGGGGATTTTCCCCACTGGCATGGGGAAGAAATGCTGGATAGAAACATGGGGTTGTTTGAGAGAAAGAGATATGGTAGCTGCCATATGACAGAGAACTAGAGAGATACAGAGATGTTTAAGAGTTATGTGCAATGCATTTCCCTTCTCCATATTCACAAGAAATTTTAGTAACAATTGACATTACTTGTCTGTGCTTTTATAGCAGCAGTCCCCAACCTTTTTGGCACCAGGGACAGAACTGGTTTTGTAGAAGACAATTTTTCCACAGATCAGGAGTCAGGGATGGTTTCAGGATGAAACTGTTCCACCTTGGATCATCAGGCATTAGATTCTCATAAGGAGCGGGCAACCTAGGTCCTTCACATGCTCAGTTCACAATAGGGTTTGTGCTCCTGTGAGACTCTAATGTCCCTGCGTGTGTGGTTCACAATGAGGTTCATGCTCCTATGAGAATCTAATACCACCGCTAATCTGACAGGAGGCAGAGCTCAGGTGGTAATGCTCACTCCCCCACAGCTCACTTTCTGTTGTGCAGCCTGATCCCTAACAGGCCATGGACCGGTACCAGTCCACAGCCTGGGGGTTGGGGACCCTTGTTTTAGAGACTCATTTAAATTTGTGATTCTTCCAGAATCATTAAGGCAGGTACTAGGACTTGCCCAAGGAGGCTCAGTTGCATTTAGATTGCAAATGGGTGATGATATCTACCTGGACCCTCTACAGCACCTGGTGAGGTTTCAGAGCAGCATCTTTCAGTGTGTGCGAGTTTAGAAATAGTCATGGGCATTTCCACCAACATACTCTGCTTTTCGCACTTCAAGAGAAATTACCTTTCATCTTTACCACCAACTCTTATTTATCATGAACAAATAGAATAACTGAGACCACACAAAGACACTAAGATTCTCAAATCTTTTCTGTTCACAGTTGACTTTGGTAGAATGAAAGAACTCACAGGCTGACTATTCCCAATGGCTTCTTACTACCCTCACCTAAGAAAGAAAGAAACATCAAGATAAGTGGCTAAGTGAGCCCAAATAAGGGGCATCTACATTGTGTTAAATATGATTCTTTATTCTCTGTGGCCAAAACAAAAGCACAGACATGAGTTTCACACAGACCAATAGGAAAGCCCCTATCTAATGTGTCTTGTGGCCTCTGCACCACATTGTGAGAACCATTGCCATCAACTTTTGCTTTATGTTGGTCTTTTGAGGCCTTCCTTGCATTCACTGACATTCCCATCCTTATTCTTATTGCCTTTCAAACCTCTGTTTGAAGAAAGAGCTGAAGCAATCCTGACCCTCAATCCTCAGCAGAATATGTCATGAGGCAGTCAGGGGCTTACATTCAAATGTTCTTTTTTGAGGGAAAACAACCACAACAGCCAACAGAATGTCATTTATTGATTGTGCAATGAGAATAGAACGCTGCTTCATGCAGTGAGTAATGACACATAATCATCTACTGTGACGAGGCATGGGTGGAAAAAGCCTTGAGCTTGGAGTCAGAAAACCTGGGCTCAAATCTTGACTTTTTCACTAATACACATTTATGTTATTTGCAAAACCTCTCTAAGCTTTCACTTCTTCATCTATAAAACAGACATGATATTATCTATCTCACAGCATAGTTTTAAGGATAAAATGAGATAATCGATGTAAAATTTCTAGAACCATGTTAAGCATTCAAAAAATCTGCGTGGGGTGCGGGGCAAGGGGAGGGAGAATATTAGGACAAATACCTAAGGCATGCAGGGCTTAAAACCTAGATGATGGGTTGATAGGTGCAGCAAACCACCGTGATATGTGTATACCTATGTAACAAACCTGCATGATCTGCACATGTGTCCCAGAACTTAAAGTAAAAAAAAAAAAAAAAAAAATTAATCTGTGCAAACATTGTACATCCTCCTTCCATGTAGTCCAGTTGCTAAAAGAAGTAACTTTCAAATAAATACAACCAAAGAGCCAAAAATAATTTTTAGAAAGGACTCAAGCCGGGCACGGTGGCTCACGCCTGTAATCCCAGCACTTTGGGAGGCTGAGGCGGGTGGATCAAGAGGTCAGGAGATCGAGACCATCTTGGCTAACATGGTGAAACCCCGTCTCTGCTAAAAAATACAAAAAAATTAGCCGGGCGTGCTGGCGGGCGCCTGTAGTCCCAACTACTTGGGAGGCTGAGGCAGGAGAATGGCGTGAACCCAGGAGGCAGAGCTTGCAGTGAGCCGAGATCGTGCCACTGCGCTCCAGACCAGGAGAGAGAGCTAGACTCCATCTCAAAAAAAAAAAAAAAAAAAAAAAAAAAAAAAAGGACTCAAAACTACTTCTTGGAAAATATGAGAGTATCCAACTCAGATTGTTAGTAAAACTTCTCCCAACCCGTTTCCTATTCTTCTTCTTATTATTATATCTCACAATCCTAAGAATCCTCCTATTTTGCTAAATCCCAACCCACCTCTCAAAACATCTTGACCAATATCTCCCAGAGCATGGATTTCTTTTCTTATTCATCTTTATCAGGGTGATAAATATAGACCATCTACCTAAGTCCTTCGCTTTTTCTGTAGATCTTTTTTTCTTCCCATTGCTTTATCCAGTTGTTTTTATCAAGCAAGTCTAGCAATGGGGCATGAGAGACAGAAGCACTACTCAAAGGTCAGCGACTGTGGGCAGAAAACCAAGTAGGAAAAGACGACATTCTTCTTTTCAGAAAAGAAGGAAAGACTGGGAGCATCTTCATTTTAAAACTTGCTTTATTCGGTCATATTTGTAAAAACAAAACACAAACAAACAAAAAAACAGATTGAAAGCCAGTTACAGAACACCGGAGGAGACTGGAAGTTCAGTCAAGTCTTCCGGAGGTGTCTGGAGTCAAAGTTTGGAGAAAAGCTGCTACTTTCAGATTGGATGATCAGAGCTAGGGGAGCAGGTCCCAGGTGCTTGCTTCCTCGTATGAATGGCATCCTATCCAGGAACTCTGTATCCCTCCGTGAGCAGAGCAGGTGTTTGCTCTCCTAAAACTTTCCTCTGGCATCTGTTCTATTGCACCTGGAGTTAGCTCTATCACAAATTCCTTCTTATAGGCACAGGCGATGCCCATGCAAATATACATCTGCAGTTTTGCAGAAAGAAGAACTGTAACTCTGAGCTCAACAAAAATGTCACATTCTGCTAATGCAAAACATTTTCCATTGTCTTCAGCTCTCACAACACTAATCTCTAAATCAAATTGAGTACCTCTTTGCTGCAATCATACTTGGGATTGCTCCTCAGAAACAGATTCACTAAACACCTCACTAAAAAAAATGTGGCAGGTGTTTACATGATTCATTTAAACCTGTTTCTTGTGTTTTCTTTTTATCTTTTGTGGCTTGCTTTTACCTTGGGGGGGTAGGTTTCAGGAAAGATGAGGTTAATTTAAAATTGCGACCATATTTGTTTAAGTCACCTTTAGTTGATAGTCCAGCATTTCTGTGGAAGAGACCACTGTAGGTCAAAGTGTTTTATTTCATCTGATTTAATCTGACTTTTTATCTCATTCATTTCTTTTTCCTTGGGTAAGTATCATTCTCACTGATGTTTCCAAACTTAGGTAGCCTCTCAAAAGTTTTCCTTATACCAACCACTTCTCTTCCTTGTTCAAGCTGTTCTCCCAGTGGGAAAGTTTGTGCTAAGTGATACCATCCAGCATCTCAATCAAAATCCATCTGCAGACTTCCTTCTCTCTGGCACCTCTTCCTCATTATGCTCATCATACTCAGTTCACTTCTTATCTCTGCACATTCCTACATCACTAATAAGATGTGATCTGGCATCTGTTGGCTCATTGTGTTGTTGTCGTTTTGTTATTTTTTAATTAAGTTCATATGAATAACTTTATTGAGCACCTACTGTGTGTCAGTTTCTGTTAAAAGTATCCAAGAAATACAAACATGAATAAGACGATCTCTGTGCTCCAGATATTTCTATTTCAACCTTTTTACAGAAACTAAAATTTTTCAAAATCTTTTAACAACTTTATTAAGATAGAATTCCTATGCCATACAATTTACCCACTTAAAGTGTAGAGTTCAGTGGCTTTTATATATTCACAGAATTGTACGTCCATTATCACAATTTGAGAAAATTTTCATTAGACCCCAAAAGAACCATTGTACCGCTTAGCCATCACTTCTCAATCCCCTCCCATTCCCCTGCCCTAGGCAACCACTAATCTACTTTCTGTCTTTATAGATTTGCCTGTTCTGGGACATATAAATGGAATTTTGTATGAATGGAATCATACAATCTGCAGTTCTTTGTGACTGGTTTCTTTCATTTAACATAGTGTTTCCAAGGTTCATCCATGTTGTAACATATATCAGCACTGCCTTTCTTTCCTTCCTTCCTTCTTTTTTTTTTTTTTTTGACAGGATCTCACTCTGTGGCCCAGGTTCAAGTGATCCTCCCATCTCAACCTCCCAAGTAGCTGGGACTACAGGTGCCTACCACAACACCTGGCTAATTTTGTTGTTGTTGTTGTTAGAGATGAACTCTTGCTTTGGTGCTCAGGCTAGTTTCAATCTCCAGGCTTCAAGCGATCCTCCCACCTAGACCTCCCGAAGTGTTGGGATTACAGGTGCAAACCACTGTGCCTGGCCCTTTAAAAAAAAAAAAAAAAAGACTTTTTTTTTTCCAGAGAAGTTTTAGGATCACTCAAAAATTGAGAGTAAAGTACAGGGATTTCCCACACATACATAGCCTCTCCTGTTATCAAAATCCCCCAACAGTGTGGTACATCTGTTACAATTGAGCTTCCTTGTTTTATTTTTTAACCCTTCTTATGTTATTACACATGGCTATTTTTCATCTATCTTTATTAGCTATCTCCTTTGTTACCTTCCCCTCCCGCACTGATGTTTTAGCCCAGTGGCCCAACATAGCTGATAAGAAGCAGACTTTCATTCCAGGTTCATTTTCCCGATTTAGTGTTGAGGGTGCGGGTAGATGAAGTTTTGTTTTGTTTGTTTTGTTTTAGAGAAGTGTATTGCTTTAAAACAGGGAGAGATAGTCTGACGTACTGAAAGGAGGTGGGTCTTTAAAGTTAGCGAAAGGTAGGTAGGAGCCTTACTTTTGCCTTTGGCAAGTTTATTGACCACTATAAGCCTCAGCCTTATCTGTAAAATAAGTTGGATAATGCCCATCTGGAGGAGCTCTTGGGAAGATTGAAGCATGGAAAGCACCTCTCTGGAAGGTTCAAGGAAAGGGAACTAGAATTATGGGTGACAGAATTCCCTGGCTTTCCAATGCTTTACTGTAGGTCGAATGAGCACTCCTAGCAGGCTGGCCTCATGCCACTTCAGAGTCTCTAGCCTGCAGGCTGGGGGCTGGGTATGGACACGATACCTGGAAGGGAACACATATAACTTCCATCAGTGATCCTGGAAAGGCTCGACAAATCACCCATTCATTCATTCTGTGTGTATGTGTGTGTGTGTGAGAGAGAGAGAGAGAGACAGAGTCTCACTCTGTCACCCAGGCTGGAATGCAGTGGTGCAATCTCGGCTCACTGCAACCTCTATCTCCCAAGTTCAAGTGATTCTCCCATCTCAGCCCCCCGAGTAGCTGGGATTACAGGAGCCCGCCACCACTCCCGGCTAATTTTTGTATTTTTAGTAGAGACAAGGTTTCACCAAGTTGGCCAGGCTGGTCTCGAACTCCTGACCTCAGGTGATCCGCCCACCTTGGCTTCCCAAAGTGCTGGGATTACAGGCATGAACCACAGCACCTGGCCCATTCATTCATTTTTATTTGAACTTCTCTTCCAGGAAGCCCTCTGAGTTTAGGTTTAGCGACAGGACCCTGATTCAAGTCAACTCGTTTATTTGAAAGCTGCCTGGATAAAAATAAAATAAAATAAAAAATAAACTGGAGGATAACATAAAAGGATCCTTGCAGAGGATTCCTCCTTTTGTGGATCTCACTGAATCTCAGAGTTAGAAGACGCTCAGAGATCTCAACTCCCTCAAGGGTCAGACAAGGACAGGTTTTTCATTCTGCCCTGGATCCTCTCACAATAGCCTCGCGGGAGCTGGCCCTCAAAATGATGAAGGAATAAATGAAAGGAGGGATGGAGAAATTAATGATGAAGAAAAAATGAATGAGGTAGGGCTGCTTGTTTGCTGCTATTTTCTTCACAATGCTTTTAAGATTTCCTGGTCCATCTCCTCCTTCACCACTTCTCTCCCTCCCTCGATCTCTTCTCCAACTTGTCTCTTACAGAAGGGCGCCGCGTTCCCGCGCTCCTCCCCTTCCCCTCGCCCCGCCCCTCCCCAGCGAGGCCCCGCCTCGCTGCCCGAGCCCGGCGGGAATGAATGGCAGCGTAGCCGCCGCGCCGCTCGGGGTGCCGATTGGCTGACCGGCGCGCTGACGCGCCGGCGACCGCGGGTGCACGCAGGCGAACAGAGCCGGCGGGGGCGGAGCCGGGCTCCGGGGCGGGGCGCAGGAGCCCCGGGGCGGAGGAGCCGGGGAGGCGGGAGGCGGGAGGCGGGAGGTGTTGGGGCCGTTGAAGCGGCCTCCCTCCCGCCCCCAGCCGCCCGGTCTGGCCCCAGCCCTGTCCCGACCCCCGGCCTGGCCCACTCCGACCCTACCCGGCCGAAGGGTTCCGCTGGACACGCAGGCGGCCTCCGGAGCAGCCCAAGCCCATGAGGGCCGCGCGCCCGGCCGCCGGTGCTGACGAGACGGAGCTCCTGGCCCCCGAGGAGGAGCAGAGGATCAATGCGGTTCAAGAATCGATTCCAGCGGTGAGAGGGATGGCGTCCCGGTCCCGCTGCCCGTGTCAGAAGCGGGTTCCCAAATCCCGCCGTTAAGCGCACGGCTCCCGGCTCCTCACCTGGATTCATCCTGGGTGGATCCCGCACCTTGGCCAGGGATCAGTTCCCTGGGGATTCCCCACCCTGCTGTCCCTGGGCGATCCCCTTCCTCCAAGGATGGGAGCTCCTGCCTCACCCGGGTCTCCCCTCGCGATCTGCGGACCTCAGATGGATTCCCGGCCCCGGGACTCCAAGCCTGTCCTCCTTCCCGGGGATCCCTTTGCTCCTGGGGCTCACCCTCCCGACCCCCATACAGGCTGGGCTCTGGCTCTCTCTGGGAACCCGAACCCCAGCCCCGGGCACCGCCCCCGAGTCCTCCGACCTGGCTTTGGCCTCCATCCCTTTACCTCCAGGGTGGGGGTCTCCCGGGGCGCGCGGAACGGGGTGGCGCCCTGCGGAGAGATTTGTCGTAAAGCGGGGTGCTAGGCATTTTGGGTGCTTTGTGAACGGCCCTAGCAACAGGGAAACTGAGGCACGCTCCGCCAGCTTAGCCCTGCCTGGCCGTGTAGGGGCCTTGCTGGTTCTCCAGCTGAACGTCCCAGGGCGGTGCTATTTTTGGGCTCTGCGAAGGGGCATGTTAGCTTTCGGGTGGCGAGACCTGCTGTGGAGGCGCCGGTGTTAGGAAACGAGGAGGAGGAACCGTGGAGGCGCCACCGGAAGGCTGGCCGACTGCTCATTCACTGTAGAGCTGGTGGAAATGCCGGGCTGGGGGGCGCCGTGGCCTTACTCCCCTCTGGGGCTCCACCGTCTAACAATGGATGGAGGTTAGCCCATGACTCTGAGAGGAACTCCGGGCTTTTCTTTTCTGTTTAAGTGGGTGAAAGTTCACCTCTCCAGGGCATATGGTAACTGCATCCCTTTGTGTGAATTCCCGGACCTTCACCACCAGCATGTTTGCTGGGGGTGCAGTGACAGGGGAAATTTTAAGAAATGCATGAAATCTTCCAAGAAGGTTGTTGAGTTTTTAGACACTACCTTTTATTTCAGAATTTTAAAGTACACATTTTTTTTTTCTTTCCAATCTCCATGCCCTCACTGCCCTCTCACCCATCTCATTCCTCCCCCAGTCCCAAAGGGTAAAGGAGGCAACAAATGCACAGAAGAGTTGCCATGGTCTGGGCCACCAGGAAGGGGATCAGCTTGAAGACTTGGATTGACTTCTGAATATATTGCTTATCAGTCAGGGTGTTGAATGCTTGGCACTGTTCCCCCAGTGGAACTTCATACCGGTGTGTCTAAGGGCAAAATGGAACCGTAGTGTTCTGACTTTAGAACCTGATGTCAGAAATGAAGACCGGAGGGGCTTTTAGAGAGAATGTAACATGCACTCCAGTCATGATCAGTGAAGCCCTGTGCATGCGGTTTGATTTGGTTTTACTTCTCTACACGTCTGTGCTCTTCCTGTTTTCAGAGAACAGTGGCAATATTCTGTGAAATTGCCCCTTCCTTGTTTGATTAAGAGTTTGTCATTCTTACCTATACCTTTGGATCCTCTAAAAAGAAAAAAAACAAACAAACCCTGTTCAATTATTTGTTGCACAAACGTTAAAACTGTTAAAACAACAACAACAACAACTTCATTTAGGATGCTACCCTCTCAGCTTATTGAACTGACTTTTTAATTATTTTTGCTGGACACTGATCTCTCCATTCCTTATTAGCACAGTTGTAATGTGATTTTTGCGCTATTATTCACTTAAAAACTAAAAATACAGGTATTTTCTTTTGGTGTGGCATAGACTGTAATTTTCTTGGGGGCTTGTGTGTTTCTCAATGGATATTTAACAGTTTCTTTCTTGATGACATCTAGATCTACCCTGATTTTCTTTGAAGATTTGTGTGATCTCATAATTTCTTGGTTTTCTATCATAAGCTAGGTTGGAAACATAGTTCTAAGCATCAATTTTAACTTGGAAATAAAGCCTATAAACAAAAAGTAATGTAATGAGAATGTCCTGATTTTTGTGGTTCACACATTAAAATGCTGAGAGTAGTACTATTCTGCATCTTTTAATGCTGTGTTCATGATATATCTTTCTGAGCATTCCCAGGTAGGTAAATTGCAAAGGAACTGGAGGGAGAGACACACTGTCTTTGAAGGGAGACATGCTTCCTCCCTCCTGATAGATTTATTGGGACTGGATGGAGGAGCATGAGGAGGGTTTATGCAATGATGGCTTCTTAACAAACTTAGGATGTGAAAAATTTCACTGGAACACAGAGGCATATTTTATCTTCCTCATTTTATGTTTCACACTTGAGTATCCCCAAGATACCTACACACACATAGACAAACACAAAGTCATCCTCTCCCCTTCATAGCATCTCTGATTGATGGCAATAACTGCTAATATTTATTGAGTGCCATTTATCTATGCCAGGCACTGGCTGGGCACTTGTATATTACTCATCCTCAACTATAACTCTGGAAGACATAAATGTTATACCCATTTAATAGAAGAGTAAATAGGTTTAGAGAATGAAAGGGAACTTGCCCATAGTCACACAGCTAGGAAGGGGTAGACCCAAGAGTTCAACTTCATGTCTGTCTCTCAACCAGTCATGCTGCTAGCTCACCTCTTTCTCTCTCTTAACTCTCTGCCCACACCACATCTGTGTGTGG
Organism: Homo sapiens; assembly: GCF_000001405.40. Taxonomy (NCBI): domain Eukaryota; kingdom Metazoa; phylum Chordata; class Mammalia; order Primates; family Hominidae; genus Homo; species Homo sapiens. The sequence continues at coordinate 55,418,977 of NC_000017.11, read as the reverse complement.
GCACACAGATCTTATAGGCATAAGATCCACAGAGCTCTACTGTATCTTCTTGTTGGTGTGTACTCATTTCAACAGTCTTGCAACCAAAAATCCAAGGAAAAAGAAGCCCTTTTCCTCAGCCCCAACCTCATGATCATGCAGCTAGCTTCAAAACTGGATATGTGGGAAAGCATTTTAATCTACAGTATTAGAAGTCTTACAGGGCTACCTATTGTCTTTTTTCCCATGTTCTTAAAGCACTAAATCATAGGCATGGGGTAGTCTCCTTATATATGCCATCTTCCTTTATTTAATAATTAAGTCAAGATTGGCACTATTGACAGTAGACACTTTTCCTGAACAAATATGCTCAGTCATAAAGGGGAGCTAATAGTAAGAGGGGTCCACTTATACGTTGCAACATAAATGATGTTGAAGGGGCCCTTGGAATATCCGTTGTCTTGGATTTTAAGTGTTTTTGTGTGTGTGTGAGATTCGGGGTTCTCTTGGTTCCAAGGCTGCCTGTTTCTCTTACTTACAGAACCTGCTGTGTCCACAGTAAAACTAATTGACTATGGGATATCTTTGTTAAGACAAAATAGTTCAGCAGTAGCTGGAATGTCTTTCTATTCATTCAACAATTATTAAGCTCTAGCAATAAGCTGGGCATTGTACTTCAGTTTGGTAATGGAAAGGTGAACAAGACAGCCTTCATGGAATTCACACTACAGTGGGAAAAGATGAAATAAAAAATAAGCTAAAACAAATCAAAGTCTTACCAATTGTGACATAGGGCTCTGGTTGGATGGGGAGGGTTGAAATGATACTTCAGTTAGGATAGTCTGGAAAACCTCTCTTGAGGAGGTGACATCTGAGCTGAGCTGAAAGGATGAGAAGAGAGCTGAGCATTCTGGAGAATATCCTAGACAGAAGTAAACAGCAAGTACACATGCCCAGAGGCAGACACAACCTTGATGTGTTTAAGGAGCAGAAAGGAGGTGGTATAGCCAGAGGATGGAGAGAGAGAAAGATGCCACCCTGAGACTGGAGGGGTAGTGAGGCCCAGACCACTCAGGGCTTGTGGGCCTCTGAACACTGTGTTACAGTGCTATCGTAAGCACTTTGGGAAGCCAGAGGCAGACTTTAAGCTGGGATTGGGGTGTGTGATGTGATCTGGGTTTTTTGTTGTTGTTTGTTTTTGAGACAGGGTCTTGTTCTGTCACCCAGACTGGAGTGCAGTGGTGCCATCACAACTCACTGTTGCAGCCTTGACCTCCGAGGCTCAAGCAGTCCTTCTACCTCAGTCAGAAGTAGCTGGGGCTACAGGCATACACTACCACACCTGGCTAATTTTTACATTTTTTTTTGTGTGTAGAGATGGGATCTCACTATACCGCCTAGGCTGGTCTTAAACTCTTGGGCTCAAGCAACCTCCCGCCTCAGCTCCCCAAAAGTGCTGGGATTACAGGTGTGAGCCACCATGCCCAGCCCCTCATCTGTTTCTAATGGAAAACTGTAGCTGCTATGTAAAGAAGAGAGTCTGTACTGGGTCAAGCAGGAAGACTAGTTAAGAGACTTTGTATTTGTACAGACCTGAGATGTTAGGTCTTTATTTAAGGTAGGAGACGCGGAGCTGGGATTACAGGTGCACACCACCACACCAGGCTAATTTTTGTATTTTTGTAGAGATGGAGTTTCTCTATGTTGGCCAGGCTGGTCTTGAACTCCTGACCTCAAGTGATGAGGTGGACTTATTTGAAATATATTTTGAAGGTAGTGTTGATGGTACTTGCACTCGGAGAATGAGGAACACTTGTGGGATTTGATCTACTGAGATCAGCCTCTGAGATCTGCTGGTGGGTTGCAGATCTACTCAGTGGGCACAGTGCTTTAGGTTGAATTTAAAGTGTGTTAGTGTGCTAAGGAGTGTTCCCAGGTCTCTGATCTGTTCTTTCCCTCCATGGTTTTGAAATTCTGTCATGGCATGGGAGAGGGGTATGGGGGAAGGAGGAGGTGATAAGAACGTTGGGCAAGGGGGAAGGCAGGAGAGTTTTGAAAGAGAAAGTGAAGGAATGAGTAAAAAAACTCTGCCTAACTAGTAGCTTTATTAAGTGCAGCTCCCACTCCCAGGACTGAATCACCTTCCTTCAAACCCTCTAGAGCTTGTTGGTTACTCAAGCATTGAGTAACCATTAGGGCCACTCCGCTTTAAATAGAGATGTCTTCCATAAATGGATGCTGTTTTCCATAACCAGCACTTGAACCTTTCCCATTCTTTTTTCGGGGAAGAGATGAAGGCCAGAGTGTGGGAGTTGATTTACATTTTACATCTGCTTTTCCATTTAGGTTTTAGGAGTGATTTCTTCAGGAGGCTGTGGAGGAGGCTTGATTGCACCCTGGCAGGTTAGAGAGAAATGGGAAAATTGTATTGTACTTTCCCAGCAGAACAATTATGCTGTCTATCCTACTGAGCCCCAGATTTAGAGAATTGCTTCCAGGATAGTTACCCTTATCTTTCCCTATTGCCCGTGTCTTACCCTGTGCATCAGGATAGAGTGCCTTAAGTCACCATGGGTGGGATATTTTTCTGTATAACTTTCTACTTTTATTTTTTAATGTGAATTATTCCAGGTGATCAGGGACTAAGCTGTCACAAACATGGCCATCCAGTTTATTTGTTTTTAGGAGAAAATGTGAAAGTCTATCCCTGTTGCTGGGTAATGGCTTGACTATTTTTAGATTGGGCTGCCAGAGATATAAATTGCTATTTTAGTCTGCAGCCTGGTGGTGGGTAGACAAATCCTACTTACTGCACCCTACACAGAGCACATTCAATTTCATCTAACTACAGCCATCTTGGGGCCTTGCTCTTTAGCCTTGAAAATTCCTAATAGGGTATGCTACTTATAGCTCTGTTGTTATGTCTCAGGACAATGATGTGGTATATCCTCCAATTCTTGGGACACTTTTAAAGCATTCTTCCCAAGAGTGTAATTATTTTCTTTTTTGCTAATAAGAGCTGTATAGCAACACTCTTGTCTCTTAGGAAATTAGTAAAATTATTTAAAATATTATCAGGGGAGAAAAGATGATGCTTAATAATAGTTAACTATATTTGAGAATAGCTTGGATAAATTTTGAAGCTACTAACTGTATATTTCTCTTTAACAGTTGGTTTTCAAACCATCTGGTAGATTATACTCAGTAAGTACATATTTTGTACACTAGTTAAATATCTTAACCCATCAGTGGGCCAAGTGAAATATCTTCACTGTCCCAAATTCATTCCCCAGTGGATTTTCCACCTGAACTATCTGTATTGTGTTAATAGTGGCTGCCACTTTATTTTTATTTATTTGATCTAACGATAACAGGCTCTTCCTAACTCAGGGAAAGAGTATTGGCTGGTCTTTTATTAATAAACTTGGCACTCTCTAAAATGGCTTGGTCATGCGTTTTAGCCAATTTTTGGCAACTTGGTTCTACCATTTGGTTCAGCCCTGTACCATTTTTTATTTTGTGTATGAATAAGGTAATGAGTAGTTAGAACTCATTAGTGGCACAAAATACCAACCCCCAACCCCCATTCACACTTCTTTAAACTAGCTTGAGCAAAAGGATTATTTATTGTGCAAAGCCTGTTGACGTCTTACAGACTCTTAAGCACAGGAGTGCAGTGGACCTCTGCAACCTGAATGCTGTTGAAATTTTTTTTTTTTTTTACGTCCGTCTGTTTCTGTGCATCTACCTCTTTCTTCTTTTATTCAGACAGCTGCTTTTTTCTCTCCTGAGAAAAAAAGGATTAATTAGACTAATCCAGAGTCCCTCATGAAACCTGTTGTGGGTATGGGTTGGGTTTTTGGTGGGGAGGGCATCCTCACTCAGCATACTGAAATGGAAGAATGCTATCCTCTCTTTAGGTTCTGTGGTATTCATGCTTTTCTCTGTACTACTGATGGTCACAAAGTTAGCCTAAAGGGAAGTGCGGAATATGGGCATATGTCTATATATGTAACAGATTTTGATATTTAGATACGTACACACATTTGTGTGTATATATGAATTTTATAGCCAAAAGAATCAGGTAGTAGTCATGTGTTTGGTTTTTGAAGCAGACTTTTTGATTTCAGGAAGAACAAAGGTGAAAACATACCTCCGGTTTTAAGTTGCCTAGAGGTAGCCAGGTGTCATTTATTTAAGCTGTCTGGTAATACAATATAGGGAAACTAGTGGGACAGGCCTGTTAATCATGGGATGTAGGGTTTAAAGATGTGCCTATATAAAGCTTTATAAATTTTAAGAGAGAAAATAGAAACTTTGTTTTTCAAATGTAGTGTATCCCTTTTCACTAAATGACAATAAAATTTAGAAAAATTCGTTTTTTTTTTCTAGTTGTACCGTGTGTGTGTGTGTGTGTGTGTGTGTGTGTGTGTGTGTGTGTGAATGGAGGAGGAGGGTTCCAGTTGAAGGGGTGGATATGGTTTCTCTTTGCTTTTGGTTGTAGAAGTTTGCTTTTGGTTATGGAAGGTTTTTCTTTTGAATAAACTGAAAGAAGGCTTAATCTAATAAACTAGGGTATTTGCTTAAGGATCATTGCTATTGGCTCAGTTTACTCCTCTTTAGTGGCTTTGGCTTTATTACCGCAACTGGGTATTTCCACCAGTCACTTCTTTGCGTAGAATAGACCACATACCCACTGGTGGGTTTCCTCATTGTTCTTCACACACTTTGAGTTTTTCTTACATGTGTTCTTTTTGTTTTTACAGGTTCATGAACCATCGAGCTCCAGCCAATGGCCGCTACAAGCCAACTTGCTATGAACATGCTGCTAACTGTTACACACACGCAGTGAGTACAAGTTTTCCACCATTGCCATCCTTTCCACGGGGCTTTGGTGGGAGGAAGGGGTAGTTATCTCTAGTAACCTCAGCACAATTAGTTGGATTTACCCATCTGTGACCTTATCTACCAGGAAATCAGTTCTGGGTCGTGTCACCAGAAACTATGTAAGCATGTAGAATGCTTTGTGTGTTCTAACCTACAGTCAGCTCTGTCCTGGATTCGCTTTCTCCAACAAGATATTCTTTAAAGGAATAATAATAGTATGTACCCTAGTTATAGAAAAACCAAAGACACCTATTTATGAAGACTGTCACCCCTAGAATGAAATGAATCGCCTTTTCAAGACAATCAACTGTGTTCATTTGGCAAAGAGAGTTCACAGTTTGTTGAAAAAGATGCTTTTTAAAATTAAGTGATCCTCTGAAATGGGGAGGGGAGCCATAGCCTCCCACTCCTACAGTGGCCATTGCTTCCCAGAGGAGATGTTATTCCATATTGGTGAAGAAAAAGCCGATGTGATCCCTAAATTTTTTGTTAATTTTTTTCTGCTTTGTAAAAGCAAAACATGCTTATTATAAGAAACTTTAAAAATACTGAAAAATATATAAGAAAAACAAAACTAACCAGAAATAAACTGTTAACACTTCGGTGCATTTCTTTGTGTGTGTGTTTGTGTGTATGTGTGTGTGTATATGTGTGTCTCTGTGTTGGGGGTGTTTGTGAATATGTATGTATTTTCAGTTTTCCTGTTAATGTGACATTAATGGCATTTCTTATGTCATTATAAATTTTTTACTTTACCTGTGGTTTCATTATTCCCTTGCATTTAGTGACATTGAGGGAAAAATAGTGGCTGGGATACAGTCTGAAAACAAGAAATAGAGAAAAGACCAGTTTGCTTCTTTAACAATGAGTGTTTGGAACAGGCTAGTTTAACTGTGGTAGTCACTGTTGGTACAATACAATGGTTCAGATATTGAAACACACAGCTTACCTTTAGGAATAATATTTACTCGGATGAACCTGAATAAACCTTAACTTGTCTCTTCTGAGTGTGTCACAGGTTAAGGAACACTTGTGTAAACTTAAGTAAAGGGAGACCTGACAAAACCCCCATATTAATTTTTTTAGAACAGAAAATATAATCTTATTAAACCGTATCTTGAATTTTTGGATTTCAGGGACCAGTAATATTTCTAACACAGACAAAACACCCCTATTGTCATCATTTCATTGAAGAGAAGATACTTTAACATGAAAAGTAGTAAGGACATGATCTCAAGATAAAGGGCATTCCTTTAAATGAAATACATTTTGTTTTATGAAAAACTTTATTGTACTTAAATGTACTTAAATCCTCTGAAATAGGAAGGCGAGCCATAGACTCTCACCCCTACAGTGGCCATTGCTTCCCGGAGGAGATGCAATTGTATTTAATGTTCTAATTTTGCTTGGGCCAACGAAAACTTCAGCATCTGAAAAACTCATGCCAGTCTCATCTAGGGGATTTAATAGTCTGTTGCAAGGTGACAAATGTAGGTTTGGGGAGAAAAAAGATAAGCAAATTGCTAACATTTGTATTCTTTGTCAAGTATGCTTACTCTAATATCTAATAAAGTAGTTTATTCTCCTGGGAGCTTCTGTCATTGTAAGATGTTTACTAGTCATAGTCATACACATATGACTAGACATTAAAGTTTGTGACCATGTGGACTATGAAATATGATGCAGAAAGCAAATCTCTCTAAAATTCTCAAGATTTTTTGAATAGGTGGGCCTTGGAAATGGTTTGCTCTTGCTTACTTAAAAGGCTCTGTTAAAAATGAAGTGACCCCAAAACTCTTACATTCTGCAGTAGCTCTCAAATTGGTGGAATGTACAGATCCAAACTGAAAATCAGGGTATATAACTTCAACAACTGACTTTTTGTATGTGTGTGTTGCTATGTACATTATAATACCTATTACTTGATTTGTTCAATTATCCTGTCCTGAAATATTGAGATTTCAATTGCAATAGGACAGATATTTTAAAATGAGGACCTCCCTGAAAAATCTGAGTATATGCTTGGCTGTTTTTTGAAATGGGGTCTCACTCTGCCTCCCAGGTTGGAGTTCAGTGGTACAATCATGGCTCACTGTAGCCTCAACCTTTCAGGCCCAAGCAGTCTTCCCACCTCAGCCTGCCAAATAGCTGGGACTACAGGTGTTTGCCACCATGCCTGGCGAATTTTTTAAATTTTTGTAGATACAGAGTCTTGCTGTGTTGCCCAGGCTGGTCTGGAACTCCAGGGCTCAAGCGATTCTCCTGCCTCAGCCTCCCAAAGTGCTGGGATTACAGTCATGAGCTACCACACCCTGCCTGCTTGGCATTTGAATATTTTAAGTAATTACTCTAAATCAGATTATAAAGTAGAATGAAACATGTCCTTATTTAATGAAATTAGGATAAAAAAAAAAAACCATCTGTTTTGCAACAGCTGAATGATGTTGCATCCTTGATGGCTTAATTGTATCCCCACTGGTTGGCACAATTCCTGGACCCTGAGTGGTATTACCTGCTTTCCAGTGTAGCAGCTAACTTCATCTGGCTCTCGTTATGATTATCCAGGAGAGACAAATACTTGCTCTAAGATTATTTTACTAAAATTGTTCCTGGTAAAGCTCTGTATTTTTAGTAAAAGACTCAATTCCATAAAAGCCAGAATATTCCATTCACCATTCTTTATCTTTCCCTCAGTTCCTCATTGTTCCGGCCATCGTGGGCAGTGCCCTCCTCCATCGGCTGTCTGATGACTGCTGGGAAAAGATAACAGCATGGATTTATGGAATGGGACTCTGTGCCCTCTTCATCGTTTCTACAGTATTTCACATTGTATCATGGAAAAAGAGCCACTTAAGGTACAGTGGATGACATGCTGTTTCAACAGATCCAAATAGTTGACTCAACGTGTTTGGTACCCTTCCAAGCTGGCATGCTTTAGTCAAGTAGGGCAAAGAGTAGACATTTTTCTGCCTTGTAGACTAGAATACTATCCCATTATTCAGGACTTGTTCTTTGGACTGGATGAAGTTTTAGGACTCCTCCCCAGCAGGCATCTAAGAAGGTAGGCCTTTGCTCAGTAACCCCAAACAAAACCTAACTGATTCCCCAGGACTTACCACTTAAAAACCTGAGAGCTATTTTCCAGTACTATCAAGCACACTAAGGATATGATGAGAGCAGCAGCTATGGGGTAGTGACAAAGCACACTGAGCTTGGAGTCAGCAGGCAGGCTTTGAGGCCCAGCCCTGCTCTTTAATTTTGGGTAAATCACTTGACCTTGTGGAGCCTCAGTATCTGTATCACTAAAATGAGAATAATAATACCTGAGTCACACAGTCAGTGTGATAGGTGAATGAGATAAGGTACTTGAAAATAACTTGAAAATTACAAAAGACCCTATGAGTGTGTGAGGTATGAAGGTATACTTATAGTTTGCGTTTACCATTTTGCAAAGTTTAGCTTTCAGAATTAAGTCTTGTGTATATTATTCAAACAGAGTTCACGTATTTTGCTATTAATAGTCAAGCACTTTCAAAACAATACTATAGCTCTTGGCCTGCCAATGAGAAGAACGTAAACGCTTTCCTCCTCTGAGTGAAGGATTGATTTTGGAGCACCACACCATTTAGGTGGGAATGGTTTGCTTGTGAAATGGATTCTGCACAACCCTAAAGGGCAAAACTTCTTTTCAAAAAAGGAAGTTTCAGAGCAGACTATGAGCAATTTAAAGAAATACTCGAATATGCCTTTTGGTTTTAAAGAACGTCCAAAAAAAACTCAAACTATTCAAACAATCTGATATTTAAAATATATGCTCCTTTTACAAGCAGGATTTGAGATTTATGAGATGATTACTGGTTTCCTCACATGCAGAATCCTAGAGTTTTAGAGCTGGGAGGATCTTTAGAAATCATCTAATTCAAATCACTTCATTTTTATTTGGGGGAACTGAGGCTCAGAGAAGTGGCCTGACTTGTCTGAGTCAGTGAAACTGGCAAAATCTGATTATTCCAAGACCTCTGACTCCAAGTCCTAGTTTTTTTCACCATATCTTTTACAATATTGCATATAGCTTGCAGTCTGCTACCTTTTCCTGTAAGGTGACAGTTTCCTGGGCTTAAAATAAAACCACAGCATTGAATCACAAGGGCACTTTGGGACACACTCACAAGAGAACCACAAAAGTGCCTGTCCTGGCTCCTTAGGACACACTGTCGCAGCGCCCAGAGGCCAGTTTAGATGCAAAGTACTATATTACCTTCTTGGCACAATTTAGTGCTTGTGGTTGTTTCAGCAAACTTGGCTTCGATGTCTAGATTTTGGATCAATAAAAAGTTGTAGGTACCTACTTCAGTATTCTGGGTCTCCCTGCCAGAGGTGTAATAGAAACTAGATTCTCTTTAACTTTGAATAGCATTGCTAGAATCATATGCCATGTGTAGATTTTTGCTCCTCATTAAAATTTCTAAATATCAAAAAAGCCTTATTTAAGTAAAAGTGAGAAGGGAATTTGCATTTATTATGTGGTAGGTGCTCCTGTGTGCTAGGCACTATGCTAGATACATGGCCTACATTATCTCATTTAATGTTCACACATACTCCATGAGAAAGATCTTATTTCCACTTTACCTATGAGGTAAGTGAGAGTCAGAGAGGTCGGTGGCAGATTTTGGATAAGATTCCAGGTCTGTTGTCTACCTACTCTAACAGCGTATGACAATCTAGAAAACAGAATTAGAAAGGCCCAAAACCTTGCTAGAAATCACAGTCATCCAAGGAGTTTTAAAAACTTATTCTCCTTCCTCCACCCTCTATCTCACCTCCTAGCACTTCAGAATCTTCTGAACTGGAGGCCATCACTGTATTTTGTAAGCTCCCCAGGGGATGATATGCAGTCAAGTTTGAAAAGCATTGACGTAATGTTTGCTTCTTTAGACCTATGGCATAAAGTATCATCTATGGGTATGCTATAGCTTCTGATGACTAGTAGACTGAAACCCATTCTTTCTCACAAATGTATTTTTCATTCCTTTAAAACTTTTTTTTTATTTTTAATTTTTGTGGATACACGGTAGGTATATATATTTATGGAATACATTTTTGTTTTTTTTGAGACAGACTATCACTCTGTTGCCCAGACTGTAGTGCAGTGGTGCGATCTCAGCTCACTGCCACCTCCGCCTCCTGGGTTCAAGTGATTCTTGTGCTTCAGCCATCCGAGTAGCTTGGACTACAGGCGTGCGCCACCACACCTGGCTAATTTTTGTATTTTTAGTAGAGACAGTGTTTCACTGTGTTGGCCAGGCTGGTCTCAAATTCCTGACCTCAAGTGATCCACCTGCCTCAGCCTCCCAAAGTGCTGTGATTATTGCTGTGAGCCACCATGCCCAGGCTTTATGGGGTATGTTTTTTCACTTACTCACACAAGTCTTTATTATTTGCTTTGGTCAATGTTACGTGTAGGGGGAGGAAAGTCTAATACTAGCGTTCCCTCAAATTATAGTTATACCTACTTGGACACTGAAAATAGATTCAAGATGATATTACAAATTTGTACTTTTAAATTACCTCAGTAAAGGGCAAATTCCATCTAATCCATTTTATGAATAGACCTCAGTGAACCAAACTCTTTGTACATATACCTCTGACTTTTCAGTTTTGGAAGGAGGAACTTGCTTAGAAATACAGGTGGCTATGCTTTTGTAGTAAATGTGCCATTTTTTGTTTTTGTTACTGTTTTTCCTAAGTTAGTTTCTGAATTTCCTTTATTACTATTTACTGTCCACACCAGGATATTTGAAGTAAAAACTGTAAATACCTTCTAAAAAGACACAAAGAATGTGATTTCAGCTCAGGGAGTGTTTACTGAACATCAGGACTTTGCCCTGCACTGATAGGAGCTGGGGCAGGTTGCGGGGAGGTGGTCTGCCCTCCAGGAACTTCATTTTTCTGTTAGAGGGGATCCAAAAGAAATGGAAAACATCAGAAAAAGACAGATTTTGTTTGTTTGCTTTAACCACTTCAGGCTTTCTAACTATCATGGGGCCCTGTCCCTATGTCTTATATATGCTGAGAGAATCTATTGTATGTGCAACCTAAAAAATAACAGAAAGCTTTTACTCGTGACTTCATAACATTAACAGCAACAAAAATCTGTGTAACCTTGGAAGAACAAGTGTAAAGGCCATGAGAACTAGAACAAGAATGGAAATTGCAACATAGTGGAGTGATAACCCGTACTTCCCATCTGAACACTTTCTGACAAATTTACTTTTTTTTCCCCCTCGCTAGGACAGTGGAGCATTGTTTTCACATGTGTGATAGAATGGTTATCTATTTCTTCATTGCTGCTTCTTATGCTCCATGGTAAGATACAGTCTTCCTATTTTCGAAGGTAGTGATTTTATGATTAGAATTCCTCACTCCTCCTTTCCTTTCTCCCTCTTGTCCCCACCCTCAGCCCTCATGTGTACACCACCTTCCCTCCTCCTGAACACATACATGCATGCATTTTTTTCCCCATTTGATGTACTTGGGTCAGATTGCATATTTGAAGGGGAGAATATTGCTGCTGTTTATAATATCTGGGTATTGGATTGTTCAAGAAGTGCTATGAACTTGTGTGCAGATAGCTTGCTCACTCTTGAAATCTGTAACCTTTGCTCTCCATATTGTTTCCCTATACCTCTGCTATTGTTCAGAACACTAGAAAATTGAATTATTCAAGTGGAAATGCTGTAAATATGTATGAGGAAAGCAAGCTTATTTATTTATTTATTTATTTATTTATTTATTTATTTATTTATTTATTTTGAGATGGAGTCTCACAATCTCGGCTCACTGCAACCTCTGCCTCCCGAGTTTAAGAGATTCTCCTGCCTCAGCCTCCTGAGTAACTGGGATTACAGGCACGTGCTACCATGCCTGGCTAATTTTTGTATTTTTAGTAGAGACGGGGTTTCACCATGTTGGCCAGGCTGGTCAGGAACTCCTGACCTCAAGTGATCTGCCCACCTTGATCTCCCAAAGTGCTGGGATTACAGGCGTGAGCCACCGTGCCCGGCCTATTTTTTTATTTTTTGAGACAGGGTCTCACTCTGTCTCCCAGGCTGGAATGCAGTGGCGTGATCTCAGCTCACTACAATCTCTGCCTCCTGGGTTCAAGTGATTCTCACACCTCATTCTCCCAAGTAGCTGGGACTACAGACATGTGCCACCACACCCAGCTAATTTTTGTATTTTTGGGGGGAGACGGGATTTCACTGTGTTGGCCATGCAGCTCACTGCAACCTCCACCTCTCAGATTCAAGTGATTCTCCCACCTCTTTCTCCCAAGTAGCTGGGACTACAGGCGTGTGCCACCACACCGAGCTAATTTTTGTATTTTTTGGTGGAGATAGGGTTTCACCATGTTGTCGATACCAGGTTGGTATCGAACTCCGACCCCAAGTGATCTGCCCGCCTCTGCCTCCCAAAGTGTTGGGATTACAGTCATGAGCCACCATGCTTGGCCATTTTTGTTTGTTTGTTTGTTTGTTTGTTTTGAGACAGAGTCTCACTATGTTGCCCAGGCTGGAGTACAGTGGCAGTGGCCCGTGGTCTCAGCTCATGCAACCTCCACCTCCCAGGTTCAAGCGATTCTCCTGCCTCAGCCTCTCGAGTAGCTGGGATTATAGGTGCCTGCCACCACATCTGGCTTCTTTGTTTGTTGGTTTTTTGAGACAGAGTCTCACTCTGTCACCAAGCCTGGGGTACAGAGGTGTGATCTCAGCTCACTGCAACCTCTGCCTCCCAGTTTCAAGTGATTCTCCTGTCTCAGCCTTTGAGTAGCTGGGGCTACAGGCATGTGCCACCATGCCTGGCTAGTTTTTCTATTTTTAGTAGAGACGAGGTTTCGCCATGTTACCCAGGCTGGTCTCAAACTCCTGACCTCAAGTGATCTGCCCACCTCAGCCTCCCAAAGTGCTGGGATTACAGGCGTGAGCCACCGCACCCAGCCTGTTTTTGAAACTTAAGCCATTTGTCTTCAATTCACCTCAAGTGCAGTAGCTACTATATAGCAAGTGTGTTTATCATTTCTTTTGCTGAGTAAGAGAACCATTTAAAATACCTAGTATCCTGTTCATTGCCTTTGATCTTTCTGCCTTTTTGGTGCTGATCAAATATAATCTTTTGTTGCTTTGAAACTCTTAATTAAAGAAACATTAGCTTTCTTCTACAAGACATAATCCAGTTTTAAAAACTCAGAAGCTTATATTTTGCAATCATCTATTGTAGTCATTAGAAACAGTATGCCTCTAGATTCTGACTAATGCAGCATCAATGATTCAAAAGAAACCTGATTATCTGAAGGAGTAAAAAGTAAGTGCTATCTTTGCCCAGCATCTGACTAAATTATAGGTCGGCTTCATGTTGGAAGAAGAACACTGAAAGGCTTTTATGAATGGACATTAAATGCCCAGAACAATGCTTATTTCAGTAGGAACCTACAGGGTGTTCCAAACAGGATTCCTTACTTAGTTATTTTAAATTCTTTAATTTAAAATAAGTAAATGAATAAAATTAATTTAAATGTGAGCTGAGGAGTTAAATATCATAGTAGGCAATTTGTTTACCTGTAGTTTTAGATATGTAGGCTGTACTTTTTCCATTTGGAAATGTGACTTTTGTAGTTATAGATAATCAGGACAACATTTGTTTCTTCCTCATTTATTCTTTTTTTTTTTTTTTTTCTTTGAGACGGAGTTTTGCTCTTGTTGCCCAGGCTGGACTGGACTGCAATGGCGCGATCTTGGCTCACCGCAACCTCTGCCTCCTGGGTTCAAGAGATTCTCCTGCGTCAGCCTTCCAAGTAGCTGGGATTACAGGCACGTGCCACCATGCCCAGCTAATTTTTTTGTATTTTTAGTAGAGATGGGGTTTCACCATGTTAGTCAGGCTGGTCTCCAACCCCTGACCTCAGGTGATCCACCCATGTCAGCTTCCTAAAGTGCTGGGATTACAGGTGTGAGCCACCACACCTGGCCTCATTTATTTTATTTATTTTTTTTGAGACAGAGTCTTGTTCTGTCACCCAGGCTGGAGTGCAGTGGTGCGATCTCAGCTCACTGCAACCTCTACCTCCTGGGTTCAAGCGATTCTCCTGCCTCAGCCTCCCTAGTAGCTGGAATTACAGGTGCCCACCACCATGCCCAGCTAACTTTTGTATTTTTAGTAGAGACTGGGTTCCACCATGTTGGCCAGGCTGGTCTTGAACTCCTGACCTGAAGTGATCTGCCTGCCTTGGCCTCCCAAAGTTCTGGGATTACAGGTGTGAGCCACTGTTCCTGAACTTCTCATGTATTCTTAATATGAAATTAGTACAAATGAATTTGCAGCATTTTAAAATTCAAACCTCACAACAGTCCATGGTTAAATTCTACCAAAATGTCTTCCATAATACATGTTAGGAATAATTCTTCTCATACTCTCTCTTGGCAGAGAGACTGATAATGGAGACACACTTGGTTTGTGTATTAGGTATCCACTGTGGGTATCTGATCCTGCGTCAAAATTTTGTTCCAGGTTCTTCTCATTAAGGTTTGTAAGTAATCTGCTCCCAAATACATGGTCAGAAATTAAAGGGCAAGCAGTTTTGACCTCATTCTGCCTAATAGGGTAAGTTAGGCGTCATAAGAGTGCTGGGACTCCCTTCAACTTGTCTGCTTTTAGCTGGTTCTATTTTTAAACCATGTTGAAACTAATTCTTTTTTTTTTTTAGGTGGAGTCTTGCTCTGTCGCCCAGACTGGAGTGCAGTGGTGCAATCTCAGCTCACTGCAACCTCTGCCTCCCGGGCTCAAGCAATTCTCCTGCCTCAGCCTCCCGAGCAACTTGGATTACAGGCACATGCCACCACACCTGGCTAATTTTTGTATTTTTAGTAGAGATGGGGTTTCACCATGTTGGCCAGGCTGATCTTGAACTCCTGACCTCAAGTGATCCGTCTGCCTCGGCCTCCCAAAGTGCTGGGATTACAGATGTGAGCCACCACTCCCGGCCTAATTCTGAGTCTTAAAGGTCGACTGACAAATTTGTTTTTGAGTTGCTTAATTTTACCTAAATTGCCCAAATGCCTGCTTGATGTGTTGAGTGTGTTTTCTTCCTGCTCTTATCCTAAGACTTTCTCAGTTTTCAATGACACAGGTTCTATGAATTCCCTTCATTTATCACTTCTGTTCTTTGTTGTCACGTTTACATTTTTAGGTTAAATCTTCGTGAACTTGGACCCCTGGCATCTCATATGCGTTGGTTTATCTGGCTCATGGCAGCTGGAGGAACCATTTATGTATTTCTCTACCATGAAAAGTAAGAGAAAATAATTTACATTTGATAGTTTTAAAATTGACTGCCTAAATATTATCTGCACTGCAATACAATTTACTTTTATTTGTACTTCAAAACAGTAGAAATACATATATAGAATATGTTATTTTTAATAAATCTTCAAAACCATTTGGTATTCATTATTAGTGGAAAGATTGCTGTGGAAAAACAAGAGTGGTACAGGTTTGGTATAATGTAGTTGAGGGGACATGGTAACCAGCCCCTTTGGAGTCCATCAGACTTCATTTCTATAGCATGAGGCAAATTGGCCTTATTCTCTGTGATTCAGTCATCACGTGAGAAAACCAGCCACTTGTCAAGGTGTCTATGAAGATTGGAGAGAATAGATATTAAGTGCTCAGTACAATATACCTAAATAAGGGCCTAGAGGGTATTCCAAAAAGGGTATCTTGAGAAAAAGGATGTTGGGAAGGACATTGGAACTCTTAATATCCTATCCCTAGGGCACAGCTTTTTAGCCAGTTATTCATAGCTGATAGTCCTAATTATTGAGCCATATAAAAACAAAAGCTAATTGAAATTTAGTATCTTTGCTCTAGAGGAGACCTTCAAGGTCCCCTATTCCAACTTCATGATTAAAAAGTCAGAACATTTAGGATATGCATCAAATTAGTGACTCATCTGGAAATTAGGACCCAAACATCCAAGTTCTGATTCCATTGCTCTTTTTATTACCCTGTATGTTTGAATTTGAGAAACACACAACCAGGAAATCTTTGTCATTGGGTTTATTTACAGTTCATTAAATTCTGTATCTATTGTGCTTGGCAGAATGGCTCTCAGAATTGAACATAATTTGTGTTTATCAGAAAATACTAAATTGTTTTCCCCTTTCAGAAGAAGAAAATGGTAGTTTTCACTAACTTCTTTTTGTCTCTGAAATTCACTTAAATACCTTTTTGACCATAATTAGCAATGCTGAGTAGTGTTATATATTATAGCATATTTAAGTCCAAGGGAATGGTTTGCTTCTTGGACTCAAATCTCTTATTTATATCCTTGGATAAAATAGGAAGTCAAGAAAGGCAACTATCTTTTCTCCTTTTCCCGGCCTTCTGGTGTAAACAAAACCCATAAACCCATTCTTCCCCTATCTGATTATTTCATGGTAGGCTTTGAGTATAAAACACGATGAATGAGGTATGAGTCACCCTTGGCCATTCAGTTTGGCAGACATTAGGGAGTACCTAAATTGTATCAGGTACTGTTCTAGGATTTACAGATCAAAACATAATTAATCTTGGTTCCTGCCTTTGAGGAGCTTATCGTCTGGTTTGATTAGGCTGAAATGTAATTTGAATTTCAATACAATGTATTTCTTAGGGTTTTTAGATCTTTTGTAGTCTAACGTGATGAGCCTTAAAATTACAGTTTGTGCAGGTGCAAAATAAAGAGACAAACAAAATTACACGTCCTTTCCTTAGGGCTTGCTGTTCCTTTTTGCTGATAAACTAGGCTCCAGGCTGCATCTCCATTCATCTTCAGAATTTCACTTCTAGCTCTGGATTGGAATGGTAATGAAAGCAGACACTCTAGGATCAGAAGAGGAAATATTTTACAAGGTGGAGTGGGTTAAACGATAACTACTTTTGGCAGAAAACATTTTCTTTTTTTTTTCTTTTCTTTTTTTTTTTTTTTTTGAGACTGAGTCTCGCTCTGTCACCCAGACTGGATGGAGTGCAGTGGTGCGATCTCGGCTCACTGCAAGCCCCGCCTCCCGGGTTCACGCCATTCGGGTTCACGCCATTCTCCTGCCTCATCTCCCCGAGTAGCTGGGACTACAGGCGCTCGCCACGCCCAGCTAATTTTTTGTATTTTTAGTAGGGACGGGTTTCACCGTGTTAATCAGGATGGTCTCGATCTCCTGACCTCGTGATCCGCCCGCCTCGGCTTCCCAAAGTGCTGGGATTACAGGCATGAGCCACCGTGCCCGGCCGGCAGAAAACATTTTCTAGGTGGCATGTGGGATTTGATGCCTTTTCAACCCTGAGAGAAATGCTAGTTCCTTGTTACTCAGCTACTGTGTTTTAGTTAGAGGCCTAGTGGTTGCCTACTGAGAAATAAAGTTTTATTTGAATAGTTAAGAGTTTACATTTCTTTCTCAAAAGTAAAAAGGAAAGGCTGGTATGTAAATTGTTAGGTGTTATAGAAATTTATAAGTTAAATTAACTGCATTTTTGTTCCTGCAGATATAAGGTGGTTGAACTCTTTTTCTATCTCACAATGGGATTCTCTCCAGCCTTGGTGGTGACATCAATGGTAAGACATGGCTTCAGAATTTTAGTTATTTTCTTTTAAGCTGCTGGAACTTAACATGATTATGGATATGATATGTAGCTTTTCTTTATAAAGTTATGTCCATTAAATAGAGGCTCAAAAGAAAAAGAACTTATAAATAATGAAGTGTTTAGCTTGGCATGGTGGCATGTGCCTGTGGTCCCAGCTACATGGGAGGCTGAGGCAGGAGGATTGCTTGAGCCCAGGAGGTTGAGGCTGTGGTGAGCTGTGTTCATGCCCTACAGCCTGAGGAACAGAGCGAGACCCTGTCTCAAAAAAATAATAAAAATAATGAAGTGTGCCAGCAACTCGTAAGCTTGCACTAGGTACCGTGTACAGTTTGGGAAAGCTATAAATTCAGGTATGTTTCTGTCTTTATGGTACTTTCCTGAATCAGAACCAGAATAGGTTCAGAGAGGTATTTTTCAAATCCCTTTACTCTTACTTTTCCTTTCCCTTGCTTTTAAGTCGTAAGTCAAGCACTTTTTTTGTTTGTTTGTTCTGTTTTCTAAGGCAAGCACTTTTTTTTTTCTTTTACTTTGCTTGAAAATATCTTTTGGGGATTTTCGTGGGTAAAGTGTAACATTACCTGTAATAGGCAGTTGCATGTATATATTTGAATTCCCTTTCAAATTGAATTACTGTTGAGAAGTCTGTGTGTGTCTGTCTTTTTGAAATGAAAATATATTATTACGACTTCATGGTTCCATCCACCTGGTTACCAGCCCTTTAGCTTATATATTGCAGTATCTTAGGCTCTAGGCACTATATTAACTAAGGAGGTCCCAAGGTGTTTCGTTTGAACCCTTCTGAGCCTACATTGTTCAGAAGAACTGTACTTAGGATTTCACTCCTAATCTCATAGGCACATTGTAAGAACCTTTTTTTTTTTTTCTTTTTTTTGAGACAAAGTCTTGCTCTGTTGCCCAGCTGGAGTGCAGTAGAGCGATCTTGGCTCACTGCAACCTCCGCCTCCTGAGTTCAAGTGATTCTCCCACCTCAGCCTCCTAAGTAGCTGAGATTACAGATGCGGGCTGCAACCCTTGGCTAATTTTTTGTATTTTTAGTAGAGATGGGGTTTCACCAAGTTGGCTAGTCTGTTCTTGAACTCCTGAGCTCAGGTGATCCACCTGCCTCGGCCTCCCAAAGTGCTGAGATTATATGCGTAAGCCATCACGCCTGGCTGTAAGAACATAATTCTGTGATAGTTTTTTTCCTGGTCACAAAAACACCTATAAAAGGTTTAAAAGTTTCAAATCTGGTTCTGTTTTTTCAGGGGATGTCTTCATGAGAATATAACAAAATATATTTCTTTGAGATACGAGGTTTATGATGGCTTTAATAATTACCTAGCACCCAAAATACATATAGATGGTAAAAGCAACAGGGAATGGTAAGGAGGAGGAGTTAAAGGACAGAAATGAGAAAATCAGCCTTGAAGGCCATATAGTTAGAAGGCATTTCAGGACACCCCAAGCAATATAAGCAAGGTTTGTGCAGCTTAATAGAGTAGAATTTCAAGCAAATTCCCTCTGGGTATCATAAGAGCAGGTTTATCCAGTAATTTTACTAGCCTAAATTTGAAATTGACATTTCCATAAGTGGTACAATAGCAGGTGACTAATGTTTGTGATAATCAAGCAGGATGATCCCCCACACTGCCTTCATAGAACTTAGAGTCAAGCAGGCAAATGCAGTTCCTATTAAAGAAAAAGAGATCATGAAATTTGATAAAATATTTGATGGGGGAAAGTTCAGGCTGCTATGCGAACATGACAGAAGTACCAGAGGAAGTGATATTTCAGCTGATTTGGAAAAACATGTAGAAGCTGAGAGATGGTAGGGGTGAGGCAAGTGTTACAGGTAGAGAATACAGCATGAAGGAAGCCCAGAGAAGGGGGAAGCACCAGCATCTTTGGAGAAATGAAAATAGCTCATTGTTTGTAACATAAAATACATGTACCAGCTTGAGTTATGTACATATGCATGGTGGGGGCAGGTATGCAGGTAGCACAAGTCTTGTAATAAAGCTGGAGAGCTAGACAAGAGTCCAGATCACAAAGGACCTCAAAAGCCACTAACACAGTAACAGAATGAATGAAAATGCGAATCTTTGGTTCTGGCCAGAATCATGGGTCTCAGACTTACCCTTCTGCCATAAAGAACTGTAAAACTAGAAAAAGAATAAAGGCAACTGTTTTTTTGGCTCTGAACCCAAACAGTACAGGACTGTGATCCTTGAAGGAAGAGAAACCAAGAAAATGAGCTTTGAATTCACCCCAGTAGTTTCCCTGGAGACACTTTCCAAACAGCAACAAAAGGAGGTAAAGCCCAGAGAACAGCAGCCTGGGTGGAGGAAACAGAAATTACAGTTCAGGTTACTGACATGGCTGCAGTTTGTGGGGCAGGGTATGGAAGAGGAGGAAGCCGCTCAGGGAGGATGCTTCAGAAATCCATGAAGCAGTTTCCGTGAGTCGTTGTCCAGATATCAAGCTGAATGTTGTACGGGCCAAAACTCTGCAAGCTCCAGTTGCAAATAACTCTTAGAAGGCTGGAAGATAAATGGAAATTCCGGACAGTTCCCAGTGCTGAAAGACATTGAAGTTCCAACCAAGCAGAGTTCAGAGATGGTGCTGGACATCCCAGGCACTCAGCTGACCCTGCCAAGGCCACAGCTTAGGAGTAGAGCTACTCTATCCCTAGAGGGAGGGCTACTCTAGAACTGCCATAACAAGGCCCAGACAAACCTTGAAAGGATAAAATTGATCCTCCAGTAAATAAACCGCCTAACAGAACAAAACTCAACAATTTTTAAAGGAATACAACAGAATCTTTACTGTAACAACTTAGCATGTACCATAAGTAAATATTATCAGAAATAAATCAATAATAATGTAATAAAATAAATAATAAATATATAATAAATATTACCAGATGGGCAAGAAACTGGAAAGTGACACATACCTAAGGGAAAACAGATCAATAGACACAGATCAAAAGACGGGAGAGATACTGAGATTCACACACAGGGAGTTTAAAACAGATGAGGAATCTCAGAAAATACCTGGAGACTATGAAGAAGAATCCACATGGAGATTCTAGATCCGAAAACTGTGATGTCTTAAGAAAAAAAAATTATTGGAGGGATTTAATAACAGATTGGATATTGCAGAAGCAAAGTTCAGTGAACTTGAAGCCAGGTCTGTAGAAACTATACAAACTGAAGCATGAGAGAAAAGAGTGATTTAAAAATGAACAAAAGAAGAAAGAAATTGGGGCAGTTTTTTGTTTTGGGTTTTCTGTTTTACAGTTTTTCTTTTCTTTTTTTTTTTTTTTTTTGAAGAAATAATAGTTACAACTTTTCCAAATTTGATGAAAAATATCAACCTAGAGATCCACAAAGCACGAGGAGGCCTGAGCAGTATAAACACAAAGAAAACTACACTAAGACACATTAAAGTCAAATTACTAAAAAACAAAGGCAAAGACAAGACCTTAAAATCAGCCAGAGAGAGAAAAAAGAGCAAGGAGAGAAGATGACCACTGACATTTTATCAGAATTCATGGGAGCAGGAATACAATGTAATGGCACATTTAAAATGCTGAAAGGGTCCGGGTGCTGTGGCTCACGCATGTAATCCCAGCACGTTGGAGGCTGAGGCGGGTGGATCATGTGAAGTCAGGAGTTCAAGACCAGCCTGGCCAACATGGTGAAACCCTGTCTCTACTAAAAATACAAAAATTAGCTGAATGTGATGGCAGAACTCCTGTAATCCCAGCTACTCGAGAGGCTGAGGCTGAGGCAGGAAAATCGCCTGAACCCAAGAGGTGGAGGTTGTAGGAGGTTGTAGTGAGCTGAGGTCGGGCCACTGCACTCCAGCCTAGGCAACAACATGAGACTCCATCTCAAAAATAAATAAAATAAAATAAATAAATAAATAAAATGCGGAAAGGAAAAAACAAAAAAACCCTGTCAACTTCAAGTTGAAGTTAGCACAGTTTAGTAATATTAATGTCAAAAATTTAACCAGGGAGGCCAAGGCAGGCAGATCACTTGAGGTCAGGAGTTCGAGACCAGCCTAGCCGACATGGCAAAACCCGTCTCTACTAAAAATACAAAAATTAGCTGGGCGTGGTGGTGGGCACCTGTAGTCCCAGCTACTTGGGAGGCTGAGGCAGGAGAATCACTGGAACACGGGAGGCAGAGGTTACAGTGAGCCAAGATCGTGCCACTGCACTCCAGCCTGGGCAACGGAGCAAGATGCTGTCTCTAAATAAATAAATAAATAAACCAGGATTGCTAGAAATGATGAATTTGTATGTAAATACATGGCTGTTTTTCATTTCTTAATTTCTTCACAAGATAACATGGGGGTTTCTAACATGTAGAAGTAAAGTACATGGTAACAATGGATGGGGTGGAGAAATAGAAGCACATTGTTTTAAGGGTCTTAACCTTGTATAGGGGGTATAATAATAAAGGTACATTGTGATGAGCTAAGGATGCACACTGTAATCCGTAGAATAACCACCACTGGCCAGGCGCGGTGGCTCACGCCTGTAATCCCAGCACTTTGGGAGGCCGAGGTGGGTGGATCACGAGGTCAGGAGTTCGAGACCAGCCTGACCGACATGATGAAACCCCATCTCTACTAAAAATACAAAAATTAGCCAGGTGTGGTGGCACACGCCTGTAATCCCATCTACTTGGGAGGCTGAGGCAGGAGAATCCACTTGAACCTGGGAGGCGGAGTTTGCAGTGAGCTGAGATCATGCACTGCACTCCAGCCTGGGCAACAGAACAAGACTCCATCTCAGAAAAAAAAAAGAATAACCACCACCACCACCAACAACAACAAAAGCAAAATAAATGTTATAGTTAAGTAGTCAAGAGAAAAGATAAAATGGAATCCCAAAGTTATTCAATTTAGTCTAAAGCAGGTGGGAAAATTGGAAAACGGAAACAAAGGATGGATGAAACCAAATAGAAAACAGAGAGCAAGACGGGAGGCTTCAATACAACCATATCAGTAATTAGGTACCTCATATATAATAACAATTACATCACAATGGACTGAACACTCCAACTAAAAGGCAGAGATTGTCAGACTGGATAAAAAAGTTTTCTCATCTGTATAATGGAGATAATAGTACCTAATTTAGGGTCGTTGTGAAGATTAAATGAATAAATATATGAAGTGCTTCAAACAGTGCCTGGCACATAGTTACAATAATGATAATGATAATGAAAAAAAAATTCTGTTTTGATACAGAATTAACTATGTTCTAGGTCTTTGAAAGTTGAGGTAAATGTGGTATCTTGAGGATACTAGTTAACAGAATGCATGTCAAAACTAACCTGCGTACTTGGTTTGGTGTCTTGCTTGTTTTGGCAGAAAGGAAAAAAAAGGATATTTTGTAACAGTGACTGGCCATGTGATTTTGTTCAGGCCACTTCACTGCTCTGGCCTTAGTCTCCTCACCTCTGCAATAAGGGGGTTGTGTTAGATGAGTGACTCTTACTATTTGGGAGTCCCTGTGCCCCTTTGCGAATCTGATGAGAGCCTTACCCCTATCCTAGAAGAGGGCTCCTAATACACACACAAATACTTTTGTATAATGTGTATTCATTGCTGTATAACCTTGAGGAATTAATAACGTGTGGTATTTTGTCTTTGTTTTTACTTTTTAAATAAAAATAAATCTAGCTGAAGTCCTTTCTTACCAAGGTTAGGAAGAAATCCAATGTCAGTCCATTTGGATTGGCTCCTTCCCCATCTTTTGATCCCACACAAAACATGGGGGCTTCTGTGAACTTTGAAAAAGGACTGAAGCTCACAGCTGGCCCTAGATCCTCACACCTGGTCCTTAGCTCATGATGGTCTATTGTTGCCTTGCTTTTAGCCGAGGGCCTTGGGGCCCATTCTAATCAGGTGCCTGAGTTAGAGCTTCCCTTTACTCTTGCGGGGCACACAAGGCTGCTGCCCAGTGCCCAGGCCTCTAGGACACCCACACACCTATCCCCTTCCAAGGCCCTGCCGTGATCTGCCTTAGGTTTCCATTCACTCTGCAGAACCTGTCTCCTTTCTATTCCTAGTCCTCAGAAATCCAGGGGACTAACTTGTTTCTTCATCAGCTTCTAAGCATTGCCTCTATTCTCTCTCCTCATTCATACAAGCCATTTTAATCTTGTAGATGGGCCTTGGTCTTTGAAAACCAAGAACAGCCTAAAAAATTCTCCCTTCTGCCCTAAGACACACAAGAATATTAACTTATTGCTAAGCTAAGCAATGGCCAGGCTCGAATACAAAAAGGCCTGGAGACATCTAGAAGGCTAGGAAATATCTTGTACTATGTGATCTGTGATTTCAGAGGTCACTTCTAGTTACGGTTTTCCTGTGTCAGCCTTAAGGAATCTATAAGCTCACATAAGCAGGGGAAGTCTCAAAGCAGCAATCAGTGTAGAACAGTGTTTGAGAAGGACAAAGGGAAGTAAATACCCTGCCTGAGATGTAAATTATAAATAGAGTGGCTTGGGCCTGCCTTAGTAGGGAAGGAAGCATTTAAAGGGGAAGATGAGAACAGAGGATTGCACTTTATTAAAATGAACTCCCATGTCTGGCTATGATTGCAGTTTGCTTAAATATGCTGTAAATGAGCAGAATGTTCTGCTTTTTCATTTGGGACCTGTAATGTGATTGCTTGCTCAACTCAAGAGTGTCAGTCCAAAGGGCAATCCAGGTCGATGTATAAGAGACTTTTTTTATGTTTGGTTCATGTTTACAGATCAGGATTGTGTTCACACAGCTTCTTCATTGTCTAGAAAATCAAGAGCCTTAGAGAGAATTACAGTTATCTGTAGCTTGCCATGCAGAGTAACATCAAACCCTTTTTATTTTTTTTTCTCTGTTGACAGAACAACACCGATGGACTTCAGGAACTTGCCTGTGGGGGCTTAATTTATTGCTTGGGAGTTGTGTTCTTCAAGAGTGATGGCATCATTCCATTTGCCCACGCCATCTGGCACCTGTTTGTGGCCACGGCAGCTGCAGTGCATTACTACGCCATTTGGAAATACCTTTACCGAAGTCCTACGGACTTTATGCGGCATTTATGACCAATCTGTACTAATTCTCCAAACCAGTATTATTTCAATTATGGCACTTGGGAGTGGGGTGAGAGCTAAACATTGCACAGGGAAAGAAAAAAAATAACTGCACTGACTTTATATCTTTTGAATATAATTACTGTGAAAGTATAAAGGCTGTGTTCTGGAATTTTCTGCCTCACAGCAAATAAATAAGGTAGTGAATTAATTATTCATTCCATTCCACTATCATGAAGGACTCTGAATAGACTTGGCCAACTGATGTTTACAAACCAGACTTTTATATTTTAATTTTACAGATTTTACTACATGATTTTTCTAAATTACTATGTCAGGTTGTAAAAGTCAGTGCAATAACAAACCTTCCTTTTTAAGAAGAAAATTGTTTCTATTACTTTCCCATTCACTAGGTAAAGAATCATGGACAGAACTTACACTACTTTTTACCATGTTTCATCTTGGCATAACATGGTTCTTTTTTAAATAGAAACTTTAGTTTTTTGTAAATTTTTAAAAAAATATTTCATTGATATGCATCTCTGCAGGTCCTCATTCATGTTGTAAATTTTTGCAGCAAGCAGTCAACATTCCACAAACGAACAAACATTATACCTCTTCTGATAGTTTTATTAAGCATGGAGAAATTGCCAATTTTTAAAAACTGCAGTTTTCCAAACTTTTCTGCCAACCTCTTACTCTGAATTCAGTGCTGCTTTGGGACATATACTTGACCTAGCTTGGTTTACCAGTGATGGAAAAGTATTTTGATATCATTAACTTTTTCAAAAGATCCAACTTTTTCTCTATGCCTTTGCCACATTCTCTTCAGGGTCTCTTTCCACAGTGGATAAATGTTTTTTCTGTATTATGACAGTATTGTTGTGATGGCCATCTGCTGGAAACTCCTGAAGAGCATTATGTATTACAGTGAGCAGTTGTATTGCCTGTTTGGTGCCCAATGGTTAAGTCATTGTCACTTAGCTTTATATTGTCAGTTTGATATTTATTTTAAATTGTGGAACTAGATGCATAAATTCACATTTCTGCCTTTCCTTTGCATCTTCTCATATATTGTGTTTTTTTTTTTTTTTCCTAGAAAAAATATTTAAAGCATTGTTTGACAGGTAGAAACTCATGTATCTGTAGTCCATGAGTTATATCCTGGCTCAGTGGAGTGATATTTATGTATTATTTTTACTTTTCTCTCAGTGTCTTATATTAAGATTAACATGTTGTTAATAGTTGCTTTGTTGATTAATCTCTCTTGTTGGTGTTTTAATAAATGAAATAGGCTTGCCTTTAGATCGGGTGCTGATATTGCCTGTTTCCTAGTAATGGGCTGATCAAATGATCAGTGGAATTCTTGGTTTGATGATAACCTTATTAATTGAAATTTTTTACTGATGTGGCTTTAAAAGAGGTTTATTTTGTATATGTTTAGAACTCTCTGATTTTGATGAATTATATGGGAATGAGAAACAGAAGAAGTGGTATTTGCTGGCGAGTTAAATAGGCAAGGTACCCAGTGATAACACCAACCAAACCACTCCTATCTGCATGATTCTGAACATCTGGATGCCTGTTGTTTTACTGTGTATATTTTATTTTTAATATATTAACTTTGTGGATTCATTTAAGGTCTACTCAAAAGTAACACTGTCAAAACCACTAATATGTATGTAAAAATTGTGCTGTATACTACAATAAAGTTGTTACTTGGATTTGTTCCACTGTCTCTAAATTAGATGACTGTGAAGAAAAATGAATACACCCTGTCACTTAGAACTTTCTAGTCTACTTTTTAATAATTGAAATGCCAGAGTCAGCTCAAACATTAATCAACAGACATTTTCAGTTTAAAATACACTAGTCAGGACCTAATGATTTCAAGTTTTTTAGATGATGCATCCTTACCAAGGTAAGCCTTTTGGTTTAGCATATTTAATATTCTATAGGACTGAGGTGACAGTCTTTTATGTTACCAACCAGACAAGTAGCAGATTATAAATCTTAACAACTCTCCTAGTGTTAGATGCCATTCTACCTCTTCTGTAGTGTGGGAAACCAGGGCCAGAGAAGTTCAACTGCTTCATCCTAAATCAGGGAGCTGGAACAGCAACCAGCTCTATCTGATTCCGAAGCCTCCCATTGACTATACCACTGCATTTCTAGAGTCAGCAGAAACAAATAAAAAAACTTGAACTAAAAATTCATCAGGCATGGACACAGAAAAGAAAACACTATTCACATGGTTTAGAACCTCAATAATCCCTCAGATAACTCTCTGTCAAATCTAATTTTGAAGATTGAGTGTCTTGAAGCGTTATGATTCCCAAGAGTTCTGTCCTTTAGGTCACCAGTGTGACCTCATCCATTTCTAGAGTGTCCCCACTATTGTGCTGTCAGCTTCTTGGTCAGTATCTTCAGCCTTAAACTATTTTCTAAGGACTAGACCTCTCTCTAGTCAACTGCCTAAATGCTCCCAGACATATTGACTCAAACCGTCCCAAACTGATTTCATTATCTTTCCTCATCCTACCACCAAACCTATTTTCTGAAATTTCCTAACTTAGTTAATGGCATGGCCACAGCCATCTGTTCATTCATGCATCCTTGATTTCTTGCACCCCCCAGATGCAACAGGTCAGCCAGAACTGTCACCCCTGCCTTTCTCACAACTCCCTGGTCTGGTTCCTCACCTCTCTTCACACTGCAGGGTCCTAAAAAGACCTACTTAGCACTCATCAGACTACAGCAGCCACCTCCTCATTTGTATCCCTGCCACTGCTTACACCCCTCAAATGAGCTCATCCTCCACACTGTACCAGCATTATCTTCCCAAAATAAAATCTGAGCATGTGTCTCGATGCTCCAAAACTTCCACTGACTATTATCCTATAAGATTCACGCCAGATGCTTTAGCATGGACTCTTCACATGCTGACTCCGCCTGATCGGCCCTCTCCCCAGCTGAACCCCACTTGACATCAGCCCTGCTAGTGATTTTCACAGCCTCCCCCACAACACACATGCCCTCATGGTGCTTTTGCAGCTGTGTTTTTGTACCTGCTGTTCCTTGGCCTGGAATGCCCTTACTCCAGCCCCTTTCCTACCTGGCAAATAGTTGCTTATTCCAAGCCTTCATCAGGTGCCACCCATCTCCCTTGTGCCATTGACCAAGTTCCCCCTGGCATGAGTAGTAGTGCCCTCCTTTGACCCCATGGCACAGATATTCCTTCATGGCCCCTGTCATGGTGCATTGTGATTGTGTTTACTGTCTTTACCTCTGGTCTTGGGACTGACCTCCTTCAGGCAGGGACAGAGTCTCATCCACTTCTGTTCCTAGCTTCTAGCATAGCACTGGCTTATGACAAGAGTGAAGAAGTTTTGTTGAATGAAAGGGGCAGGGTCGGGGGAAGGTTGGAGAATGTTGCTGTGGAAGGGAAAGACTGAGAATAAAGCATTTTTTAGGACAGACTTTGGTTTTAGCAGGTTTATCCTGTCCATCACAAGCACTCTTACTAGCTGGAAACTGACTTTTAGCTTCTTAGGCCTTAGAGGCTTTTTTGACCACAAGGGTCAGCTAGAACATTCGTGGCAACCACAGGAAAGTTGATGAGAAAATAGAGTGTAAATATTAGAAAATATGTCCTAAAGAAGA
Organism: Homo sapiens; assembly: GCF_000001405.40. Taxonomy (NCBI): domain Eukaryota; kingdom Metazoa; phylum Chordata; class Mammalia; order Primates; family Hominidae; genus Homo; species Homo sapiens. The sequence goes on along the minus strand of NC_000017.11, from coordinate 55,390,682 downwards.
AAATGTCCAGCATTTTTATTGGTGCTTTCCTAGAAATAACAATTTACAAAATTATTTTGAGAGAAAAAAGTATTTGGCCTAACGTATTTCCCTCTGGTCCTCTTTTCTGAATATAGTAATAAAATAAAACAATTGTGCAATCATTGGGTCTTAGTGCAGATTATACTCCAGAAGCAACAACTTAAATTTTTAAAAATATTTTGAATATTTTTACTTTAAAAATCATACAGCTATATAAAATCCTTTGGAAAATAGAGAAAGCTAAAAATTATCCAGCATTCATTTATCATAATATATTTTAATATACTTGCAATTTTTTATTTCCCTATTTTTATTATACAGCTGTAAATATGCCACATATGTAATTTTATATACTTTTTCCTACTTATTATAAGCATTTAAAAATACTATTATATTGGCCGGGCGCAGTGGCTCACGCCTGTAATCCCAACACTTTGGGAGGCCAAGGCGGGCGGATCACGAGGTCAGGAGTTCAAGACAAGCCTGACCAACATGGTGAAACCCCGTCTCTACTAAAAATACAAAAAAAAATTAGCTGGACTTGGCGGTGCATGCCTGTAATCCCAGCTACTCAGGAGGCTGAAGCAGGAGAATTGCTTGAACCTGGGAGGTGGAGGTTGCTGTGAGCCAAGATCACACCACTGCACTCCAGCCTGGGCAATGGAGCAAGACTCCATCTCAAAAAAAAAAAAAACAAAAAACTATTATTACTATTATATCATTTCATAGCAAGAATTTTCAATGATTTCATCATCTTTCAGAACTGGATATGCAGCCTATTTTGCTTAATCATTTGCCTAATTTTGGATATTTAGATTGCTTTAGATTTTTTAATATAAACAATGCTGCAGTGAACATACAGCTTCGTCCATATTTATGACTGGGTTTTAAAGGTAATAATAATAAACAACTGACTGCTTCTTATGTATCAGGTACTCTGCTAGTTTACATGGATTATCTCATTTTATGTTTACAAAAAACTTATAGATAAATCATTTTCTTATTCCCATTTTACAGATGAGGAAACAAATACAGATGAATAAGTTTCCTTGCCCAAGGTAAGTGGCAGAACCCGAGTGAACCCAGGAACCCTAGAGGCTTTTTTCATTTTCAAGAGAGCCATTCCTGGGGCAAAGGTTTATTGATGGGTTTACCCAAAGGAAGACCTTTTAAAAATAGAGCTCATTTCCAAATCTCTACATTTATACTTGGTGTCTTCAGTTTATGTCTACTCTTCTCACGTGCCAGTGAGATGGAGAGTGGAATAGGAAAATCTCCAAAGGAAACTGACCTCGAAGAAGCTGGTTCACCTCCCTCCTTGTGCAGCAAAATAAAAGTTTCTCAAGGGGCCCCGAGGAATGTTTTTAGTTTAACAAGGTTAGAATTACTGCATTTATGTCTTTCTACTGCTTTTGCTATTTTAAATAGACAGTGCCAATATGTTCTTACATTCTGTGCCATTCCCACCTACATCCCTGCAATGGATTGGTGGTGTTATTTTTCCAAGAAACAGTGCCACTGTGCACTCTCGCCACTCTGCAAGGGGAGTTAAGCTATTCTCATCAGGGGCCTGTTCAACACAACAGAACGCTTTCTCATTCTGCCACACAGCTCATTATCACTCAGACTTTCACTGCAGTCAGACTTGTGAAGTCAAAATAGACTAGCAAGGCTTAAGGGGGGCTTGGGAAAGTAGGCTTTGGAGGCTTGCCCTATCTCCTGGGAGAGGTCACAGGTCCTTTGCTGTTCTGTGCCAGGCCACACTTAACACACCCGATCTACTGTGTCAGTCACTGAAAAGGTCAGGAAAACTTTTTGATCATTAGGATTTGGTTCTCTTGAAGTCTCTTAAAGTGTTTTTTGAATCCCATCTATGAGCTGCGTGTTGAGTCAGGGTGGAAGCAGACAGCCTGTGACAAATTGGCTGGGTGAGCTTCGGTAAGTTTGGTATTACTTTTTGAGCTTCAGTTCCTGTCTGCAAAAGGGGTATATCACTTCTCTTGCAGTGCGGTCATAAGGATTAAATAATATGTTGAAAGTGTCAAGTTTATACAGTCTGACATATGATTGACACTGGGTAAATAATCCTAGTGCTTCTTTCCCATATGGCTGAGCTTTTAAAATTATGATTACAGCCCACCTGGGGATATTTTTCATGCACAAACAACCTGAAGAACAGTTCAGTACCACTCTTAAAATTGTTCTGTGCATTTTCTAGCTCTTATAAATGGTTCTGGATCAAATGATGGCCGAGGCTAAACTGAGGCATGTGGTTACCCCAGCCTTTCTAATAATTTTGTGTCATTTTAAACAATGTTCTTTAAACATTCAAGTTTTTTTTGTTTGTTTGTGTTTTGTTTTTGTTTTTGTTTTTGTTTTGCGGAGTCTTGCCCTGTCACCCAGGCTGGAGTGCAGTGGTGCAATCTCGGCTCACTGCCACCTCTGCCTCCCAGGTTCAAGCGATTCTCTTGCCTCAGTCTCCTGAGTAGCTGGGACTACAGGTGTGTGCTACCATGCCTGGCTAATTTTTGTATTTTTAGTAGAAACTGGGTTTCACTATGTTGTCCAGGCTGGTCTTGAGCTCCTGACCTCAGGTGATCTGCCAGTCTCTGGCTCCCAAAGTGCTGAGATTACAGGCGTGAGCCACCATGCCTGGCCAAATATTCAACATTTCTTTAGACAAGAACATGAGTATTCATAGAGAAAGGGTAGAAAAGGAGGAGGCTGGGGCAGTTCTTTATGTCCAGATAGGAGCTGCATGCTTTGCTTAGCAAAACAAAAGGCCTTCAATACATTGAGCCCACACTCTGTCAATTTGGACAGCAATTTGGTCACCATCTGTGCACTCTCGCCAACCTGAGCATGCCTCCTGGGGGACTCACACCAACGGGCTCCTAGTGGCTTATTAAAGAATTCCTTCCAACTACAGTCGTTTAATGCCTTCTCCACCTTGTTTCTTTCCCAGTGATGTTGTAGGGTCCTTTATTCACACATTCATTCAACAGATGTTTATTGGGTGTTGCCTATGTGCCAGGGACCAGTCTAGGGACTGAGGATGTTATAACAGAAAAAAAAAATAGGAACAAAAAGGCCAAATTCCTGCTTGTTGCTCAGTCTAGATGATTCTCTGCCCCCCAACTTCCTTAATCTGGATTTGACGTTTTGGGGAGCTTTTGTCAATCTGTTTGTTGGCATCACACAGATAGATGACTGTGGCCAGTGAATGTGACAGTGTGCATGACCAAGTAGAAAGTGATGCTGATTTACCTGTCTTTTCAACAAGGGTCCCGTACTTTGTGTTATTCATTTGTGCATCTGCTAGGGTGAGGTCGAATTGCCTGTTTGAAAGATGGCTCTTACTTATGAGAGCACCAAAGCAGCTCATTATTTAAAGAAACTTGTGAACTCTGCCCTCAAATGAATAACCCTCATGTGTGAATGAATCACCCTTTGCTTTAGCTGAACATTTAAGCATGCCGGGTTCATTCGAAGCAGGGCTTACCTATCCTCCCAGGCAAAGGATGATGAATGGGCAACACCTGTGTGGGCTGAGATATTTTTTTCCTTCCTTGTTTACTGTGTTTGGGATGCCTGAGGTCCATCCATCATTCCCCCAGTCCTGCCATGTGTCATACTTGTATTAGAGGCTGGGGACACAGTGTCCAATAAGGTAAGTCTCTGCCCTCAGGGGAGAAGGATGTGGAGACAAATGAACAATTATAACACAACATAATCTCCACCTGTGTATTGGATGCTATTATTGGAGGAGGGAGTGATTAGCCCTGTCCAGGGCAGTCAGAAACCCTCTGTACAGAAGCAGTAGTATGGCTGACACTCAAAGGGTGAATGAGGAATTGCCAGGGAGTCAAGTGAGGGGGCAGTGGGTAGAGACAGGGTCAAAGAAAGACATATTCCAGGGAGAGGAAAGAGCAGGCTTCAGGAAAGGGTGAGGTGTGTGGAAGGGGACATAATAATAATAGCTAATATTGACTGATTCCCTACTAAGGGCCCAGTTCATTCTTTATGTTTTACATACCTATTGACTCATCTATTATTTTGAGGAGTGAGAAAGACAATCTTGTATACATATGAATTCTTCTGCAGCAGACTAAATCTTAGATGGCGTATTGTTCAGTTCTTGCACTGCTATAAAGAAATACCTGAGACTGGGTAATTTATAAGGAAAAGAGGTTTAATTGGCTCACCATTCTGCAGGCTGTACAGGAAGCCTAAGAGCTTCTGCTTCTGGGGAGCCCTCAGGAAACTTACAATCATGGGGGAAGGTGAAGGGTGAGCCAGCACTTCACATGGCTGGAGAGGGAGGAAGAGGCGGGGGAAGGTACTACACACTTTTAAACAACCAGGTCTCACAATAACTCACTCACTATCACAAGAACAGCACTGAGGGGATGGTGCTAACCCATTCATGAGAAATCTGTCCCCATGATCCAATCACCTTCCACCAGGCCCCACCTCCAACACTGAGGACTACAATTCCACATGAGATTTGGTGGGCACACAGATCCAAACCATATCAGATGGATTTCTTTGTCTTAATATTTGGAACTTCTTTTCCTTTTTTGCCCCCTTGCAAACATGTACCAACATAGACTTCTTACGGAAGGCGAATATTTTGTCATTCACCTGAGCTAATTTCTGTGATACTGTATTAAATGGAAAGAAAGCATGACGAAGTATATTATGAATTGGTTGGACTACTGGGGATTTCTTTACTACAGGGGATTTCTTTGCTTGTTTTTTTTTTTGAGACGGAGTCTTGCTCTGTCACCCAGGCTAGAGTACAGTGGCACAATCTCAGCTCACTGCAACCTCTGCCTCCGGGGTTCAAGTGATTCTCCCGCCTCAGCCTCCTGAGTAACTGGGAATACAGGTGCCTGCCACTGTGCCCAGCTAATTTTTGTATTTTTAGTAGAGACGGGGTTTCACCATCTTGGCCAGGCTAGTCTCAAACTCCTGACCTCGTGATCCACCCACCTCGGCCTCCTAGAGTGCTGGGATTAGAGGCGTGAGCCACTGCGCTCGGCCTACTATTGGGGATTCTTATCCTTTGGTACTGACATAGATCATCTGGATCCGAGGGTATTTATAGAGACCCTCATCCAGGTGTCCAATTCATTTAAAGAGTGAGCCCCTTGTAGGTGCCAGATGCTGCTCCTGGTGTTGAGGATAAAGCTGTGAACAGAACAGACACAAGTTCCTCCTTCATAGAACAGACATTCTAGTTGTGGGGAAAATAGCCAATAAACAAATATATAAAGAAAATATGTAGTGTATGAGATGGTGATATGTGCTAGGGTGAAAAATCAATCAGGGAAGAGGTGTGGAAAATGCTGAGGGTGTGCGGACGTGTGCTCATAAACATGGAAGCTAGGGACAGTCTCATTGAGAAGGGGATATTTGGGTAAGACCTGAAAGGCCAAGGGCCCTGGCCGCCAGACACCCGCTAAGAAAGGCATCCAGGCCTAGCAGGTGCAAAGGCCTGAGGTGGGCATAGCCTGGTGCAGAAAAAGGCCCGTGATGTAGGGTTTTGAGCGAGGGGAGAGCAGGATCGGCAATGAGGTCAGGGTTGTGACAAAGACTGTCTTTTTTGACCAGACTTGACTCAGGCTTCTCTGAGTCCTCTTTCTGACTAATACCTGACCTTGGGCGTTGTCATCCTATTTGGTCCAGTTTTAGCAAGAATCCTACTGGGTCATTTCAGCGAAAATTCTCCACTCTTGATATCTGATCAACCTCCTTATTATTCCGCTGGACTTCCTTCAGCAAGAATCCTTCAAGTTGTGACATTTCTTCTTAGTAATTTTCCATCCACTGACCCCTACCCTGCTCCTTGTCTATACATCTCCACTTGTCCTTGTTGTTTTTGGAATTGATCCTGATCTCTCTCTCCTACTACAAAATCCCATTCTAGTAGTCCCGCTGAATAAAATCTGCCTTAGCATCTTGAACAAGTGTCATGAATTATTTTTTTCTTTAGGAGGGGTACTGAATGCCGGGGTACACAGCGTCCTGTAAGCCATGGTAAGGCCCACAGGCACAAGTGCAAGGTGATTATTAGTGGAAGAATCATTCATGCTTGGGTATTAGAACATCCCAGCCTCTGGATTCATAGCACTGAGTTAAGTCCTAGCTCCTAAAGCCAAAGGAACATGGGCAAGCACCCAAGCCTCTGCTTATCTTTCAAATACAGATTATACTAATAAGACCATCAGCCTCACAGGGTAGAAAAACACTGTGAACATTTGAGTTTAAACATGACACTGTCAACCCAAATGAGAGAATGAGGCAGGAGTCTCAATCACCCAAGGTTTATTGAGCCAGAGCCTGAGGGAACACCCGGGAAAAATACAAGTCACAGAAGCCCCTGTGGCCTGTGCTGTCCAAAGAGGTTTTCAGGAGGCTCAGCATTTATATGTTTCTTTAAAGGTGAAAAGCATGCAGGAAGTGGGGACTAGGCGGTGAGGCAAACGATTACATTCTTGTGAGGCTCTACTTAGTGCCCAGTAAATCTACATTTTACACAAGATTCAGTGAACATTTAAAGAAGAGGGAGTAAAAACGAAGAGTCAATTATGTAGACATGGCAGGGTGGAGGAAGGAATGATTGATCTCGTCTAGTCCTTGTTCTGTACCTGGGGAGATAAGCTCGATATTTGTCCATGTGAGACTTAACAGACCTTAGTTTTAGGAGCTAAATTCAGCTTACAGACCTAAAGTTACAACTGACATGTACTTGTTTTATAGGAGGATATACATCTTGAAAGGTTAAGGGGTCATCCCTTGTGAGGGCAGTCATCCAGAGGGGTGCAGGAGGCCTTTTGCCTTTGTGGGGGTCTGGTTAATGTATAATGCTTTGACACAAGGTTGGGAAGTAATCGCTGTCTGTTTGGGAAAAGGATGGTAACGTTACCTGACTCAGGCTTAACTCTTCCTTTGGCATAATGAGTTTGGGAATCCTGAGACTTTTATTTTGCTTTACATCACCAACTTTCAAGATAAAATGAACCAGGTATTCCCAAGCAGCCCTGAAGTCATCCTGGCTGACCTCCCTCCCCAACATCACCCACTCCCCTCGTGCCCCCCTCCCCCCAGCTGTCCTCTGCCCCTTTGAAAGAAAGCATTTTTGTGGCCGAGCACGGTGGCTCACGCCTGTAATCCTAGCACTTTGGGAGGCCGAGGAGGGCGGATCACGAGGTCAGGAGATCGAGACCATCCTGGCTAACACGATGAAACCCCATCTCTACTAAAAATACACAAAAATTAGCCAGGCGTGGTGGTAGGTGCCTGTAGTCCCAGCTACCCGGGAGGCTGAGGCAGGAGAATGGTGTGAACCTGGGAGGTGGAGCTTGCAGTGAGCCGAGATCGCGCCACTGCACTCCAGCCTGGGCGACAGAGCGAGACTCAGTCTCAAAAAAAAAAAAAAAAGAAAAAGAAAGAAAGCATCTTTGTGCAGTGTCTTATCTCTCTTCTACCCATTGATTTAAGTATGTTCCTGTGAATGTGTTCGTGGTAGAAATAGCAGCCTACATCTGGCCCAAGTCTATCTTTATTTTCACTTATCGGCATTAGGAGCTCGAGCCAGTGAGAAATAAAAGGCTCTTCACAGATCCGTTTTGGGGAATGTGACCTGGCAATCAGTGGAGAGGAAAGAGACAAGCAGTTGACTTGGCCATGCTGAGCCTTGATTTCCTCATCTTGAAAGGGAGGATTATGCTGTCAGCCTCAAAGGGCTGCAGTGAGATGATTTACATAAAGTATCTAGCACAGGACCTGACCATCAATATGTGCTGAATTCCATTCCCAGCTATGCACCTTCATCAGAGGTGCTCTGATGAATGTTGAATAGCCCTTGGTTATGAAGGGAAAGAGGTACAGGTAGATTGCTCTCATATTTATCTCCTTTCATTTCATATTAGGGAAAAATGGCCCTCCTTCTATCAAAGGCTCTTCTTCAAGCCCATCAGCTATTTGGACCTTATTCTACCAATCCTCTCTTCCTTTCCCTATTTCTGGCCTTCATCATACTTATCGTCCCTAAGGAACTTGATAGAATTGTGCACTTTCCCTTCTTAAATCTCCCCCAGGCCTGGCTTCCTTCACATTACTGCCTGGTTTCTCCCATGCATTTCTGGCCTTTCTCTTAGTCTTCTTACCTTGTTCCTCCTGCTCTGTTTACCTTTAAACCTTGGTGTATCCATGGTCCCTTGGCTCTCCACCCACTTTCCCATGGCGATCTCACTTGCATCTATGGTAAGAGTCTCTAGCACTAAACTCTCTCCCGATTTCCAAATCGTTTTTTAAATATTTATGTATTTATTTTTCAGAGATGGGGTCTCACTCTACTGCCCAGGCTGGAGTGTAGTGGCATGATCATAACTCACTGCAGCCTCAAATTCCTGGGCTCAAGTGATGCTCCCATCTCAGTCTCCCAAGTAGCTGGGATTACAGGGTTGAACCACTGCACCCAGCTATGACTTGTAAAGCCTGAAACCCATTTGTCCACTGGCAATCTCCCCATAGATGCCCAACCATACCCACCTTAAAGTCAGTAGTTTCAGAGCTAAACAAATCATCTTTTCTCCCAATCCTGAATCTCCTCTTATATTTTCTATATAAGCCAACAGTATAACTATCTCCACAATCAGCTAAGCCCCAAACCTGGGAGTAATTCTAGACTCCCTTTTTCATATCTATCCTCCACACTCCATGGTCGCCAAGTCCTTTACACTTCTGCTCAGATCTCTCTAGCCCTCTCACCTTCTCCACAGGCACTGCCTTAGTAAAGGTCCTTATCCATTCTCAGGTGCTTTACTGTGATGGCTCCCAGCAGGTCCCTCTGCCACCCACCCTGCACCTTCAATCTCACATGCCTCTAATCTATTCACATTTCTACCAGTGCACTTTTTAAAATGAGAATCTGATTCAATTAAGTCTGGGGAAAATCTCTGAACTAGTTCCCCTTCTCCTTCACAATAGACCCAGCACTGGATCTGGCACCAATTTACCTGTCTAGCCTCATCTCTTGCTCCTCCACAGCTGATCAAACTGCTTGCTCAACTCCTTGAATATGCCACTGCTTTATCACGCCTCCACACCTGCGCATGTGCCGCACCCTCTTCCTAGAACACCTTCCCTTAATCTATCCACATTGAAAATTTCTCCCTATTAGCTGGACATGGTGGTGCACACCTGTAATCCCAGCTACTCGGGAGACTGAGGTGACAATCGGTTGAACTTCCGGGAGGCAGAAGTTGCAGTGATCCGAGATTGCACCACTGCACTCCAGCCTTGGGGACAGAGCGAGACTCTGTCACAAAAAAAAAAGAAGGAAAGAAAGGAAGAAAGAAAGAAAGAAAGAGAGAGAGAGAGAGAGAAAAAGAAAGAAAGAAAGAAAGAAAGGAAGGAAGGAAGGAAGGAAGAAAGGAAAGAAAGAGAGAGAGAAAGAAAGAAAGAAGGAAAGAAAGAAAGAGAAAGAAAGAAAGAAAGAAAGAGAAAGAAAGAAAAGCAAGAAAAGCAAAGAAAAATTTTCCCTATCCTTCCAGTCCAAGTGTCACCTTCTCCTAAAAGTCTTTTCTGACTCACCTGGGCTTAGAGAGGTCTCCTTCTTCACATTCCCCTAGGGCATTCCATTATGATAGTCATTAATGACACTGTAGTTTCTTCATCTGTTTCTCACAATGGAGCTCAAGGTCGAGGAAATTTTCTAATTTTTATACTCCGAATCCTTAAGAAGTTCTTGACATGTAGGAGTCACTTGGAACTTGCCTATTGAATGAATGAATGAATGATTTTGAATGAAGACTTGATAGTCAGTGTCATCAAAAGGATCATTTGTTGAGAGAATATCAGTGGTGTTAAGACAAGAAGACCTGGGAGACCAAGCTGTCAGATGCACTGCCGGCATGTGTACTGAAGTCTTCAAAAGTGATGGCAAAGAGAAGAAAACCTTGAGCCAGGATTAACCCCAATCTTCCTCCCAGCACCCAACATCTATCTGGGCTGCCGCTCCCTTGCCTCTTGCAAAGCTCAGCCTGAACAAAACAAAATAAAATTATGAAGATAAAACTTTTAAAATTATTACTGCAATGCTGAATTTAAATGACCATGCTCTTTGAGATTATCTGCTCTTTGAGCTTATGCTCTGCCTTTAGCAAGGATAATCAAGGACTATTTCTCTTTCTCAGATTCTCTTTCCTGATGCACCAGAGCAACTTGTTAACACTTCATGAGATGAAAACTGTCAAACCAACCAAATCAACCAGGAGACAACCTGGAGGACCAGAAAGAGCAAAGGATTCAGACCTGAGGTCCCTTCCCAGCCCACATAGATTATGAAGGCCCTGTCAACTTTAATGCCAGGGCAGCAGAGGGCCCTGTCTGTAGTAACTCACAGACTAGGTGGTTCTGAGAAATGCTCTAATGGTAATGTCTCCAAACCTAAGACATCTCTCTATGGAAAACGTCCAAGTGCCTTTGTGGCTATCACCTACCTTCTTTTCCTTTTTCTTGAGGCCATTTAGTGGCACATATTCTCAATCCGATGTTACAGTTGGAGAGACTGAACCTTCCAGGAGGTAAATAACAACCCAGGATCACACAGCGAATTGGAGATCAAGCCAGGACCTGCACCCAAGCAGAAATAACTTATGAAAGGCTATTTTACCAAGTCTTCTATGAAGCATCATCTGTTCTTTATTTAAGTCTGGGGGAAAATTAAATTTGAGAAAAAAGAATAGAAGCATAATTAAAGGATCTGGCAAGAGAATATAAAACCCGGAGGGAACAAATCATTCCTTTGTGTCTTTTTTTTTTTTTTTTTTAGCTGCTTGAGCACGCATATGATTTTCCTTGTTCCTTATTCCCAAATGTTCCTCCTTCTTTTTTAAAGTTAAATCTTAAAGGCTGAAGCCTAAACCCTTCAGCACCTGACTTCCTTGGGGCCTGACCTCCCCTGGATTTACTCTTCCAGGGGCTGACCGAGCAACTCAACTCTATTCTTTAAAATTTCTTAAAAGTTTTATTATGGAAAATTTTATATGTGTACGAAAGTACAAAGCAACTCAACCCTAAACAGAAAAAATAAATACAAAACAAAAAACCTAGCCCTAAGCAGTTTTCAATGTATTTTCATCTCAGGACATCATTACCCTGTTTTCCAATGGTGTAAGATGAACTCAGGACTCGAAGGAGAATGAATATCTGGATCCAGCTTTCCTTTGTCTTAACTGTGTGGTGTTTGGAAAATTGCTCTGAGGCTTGTTTTTTTCACTTTCAGAATCAGAATAATCAAACTAGCCCCACAGAATGGCTGTGACGATGAAATGACATAATGTCTGGGAACATGTCCTGTAAGTTATAAAATGCTCTTAAAATGTGAAGAACTATTATTCATATTCCACAGGGCCCTTGGAGCATTGCCATGAAAAAGTGTGGGTAACGTGCTCAGGAATGTGGGCAGAAGGTGTGTGTGCCAGGAGCCCATGTGCCCACCCTGCTGAGACTCCGTCCTGGGCCCTTCACCTCACGCCATCGTATTTTTCACCCGCTTGACTACTGACCTCGCTGTCACTACCCCCTTTCCTCCTTCCTTCAAGGGTGATACTTTTTATCAATTCTTTCTCCCCAAATTTACTCCAGCTCCTCTGATCACCTGTCCTGTTTTTCCACCCAGGCTATGCCAACTTAGGCTGTCTTCATTTAGAAAGATCCCCTTCCAGGGGCACCTGTGATCTTCTTCTTTTTTTTAGGCAGGGTCTCACTCTGTTGCCCAGGCCGGAGGGCAGTGCAGTGATCACAGCTCACTGCAGCCATGACTTCCAGGGCTCAAGAAATCCTCCTGCCTTAGCCTCCCGAGTAGCTGAGACTACAGGCATTCACCACCACACCTGGCTCATTTTTTTTCTATTTTTTTTTTTTTTAGAGACAGAGTCTCACTATGTTGCCCAGGCTGGTTTGAAACTCCTGGGCTCAAGCGATCCTCCCATCTCAGCCTCCCAAAGTGCTGGGATTACAGACATGAGCCACCTGTGATCTTTCATTCCAGCAAAATCCTGATTGGTAGCACCCTAATCAGTGTCAGGACCCAGGCAGGAAGCACCATGGGCATAGGAAGGAGGGCAGAGAGGGAAGACTCCTCGTAGCAGGCTCAGCCTCTATCTCATGGACTAAAGAGGGAACCACTCTCCTTAGAAGGTGGTTTCAGGAACAGTGGTGAACAAAATGAAATCCACGCCCTCATGGAACTTATATTTCAGAGGGAGAGTTGAGTATAAATGAGTAGATATGCAAATAAATAATAAGTAATATTTAAAAAACATAATATTTCAAATTGTGTAAAGAAATGATACAGAGTTAGGGACTAGCAAGAGACTGGAGGTGGGGTGGCTAATTCAGATAGTGTGGTTAAGTTCATGGACTGTGGCTTTATTTTATAAGTGCTACCCCCCACCACATCCCATTGTGAATAAGGAAGCTAAGAGCCCTACATGCTGCTGGCAGCCATCCTAATAACCATGGGGGAGGCCATTTTAGGATGAAGCCATTGCTGTAGATAACAGAACAGAAAAAGATAAAACTGAGTCTTTGATGCTGTGGTTAAGCCACCATATGTCATTGATTCCTGAAGCCCACGCAGGTCTGGGCCTTTCAGTTAGGTGAGCCAGTGACTTTTTCAGGCCATTTTGATTTGGGTTTTCAATTCTAATAACCAAATACATCATAATTGATGCATGCTTCTAGTGGGCTATCATTCCCCGCCCAGGCAGCTTATCCATCTAGCCACACACAGCTCTTCTCATGCGAATTCTGAGAAGCCCGTGTTTCTCCATCTTCCAACGTTTCCATGCTGAGGCACTTCTTAATGTACCTGACATGTTAATGATACTTGACAAATATCTGTTGAACTGGATTGAGAGAATAATCCAGAGAACTGCTTAAGGAGAAAAGATGCACGAAGTCCTAGCCTCCCCAAAGACAAGGACATTCCAAAATAAAATTTTGCAGCCCTTTCTAGGTCACAGAAAGCTTTCACATACGTTACACCATTTAATCTTTTGCTACCCCAGGGACCATCATTATCTTTACTTTATGGTTGAAGAAATAGAGAATGAGAAAGGTTAAGTCAGGGGCATCACAATTAGGTGATGCTCACAGGTTTTCCGACTCCCAATTTCCCACTCATTTCCCACTCTTGTCTGGGCTCTGAAAATAAACCCGATGATGCAGTAGATGATCCAAATTCCAGGTAAGCCAGAAGAATGACCACAGTGATGTGCATAGGCTTATTGATTCAGGAGAACAAAGCTTTTAGAGATGACAGCAGGGAAAACGTTTATCCAGGATCAGCCAGTCACTGGAAGGGCTGAAGATTTGTGTCAGGAACACAGGAGTCCTTTTCCTGTGCTGCTGCAACCAAAGCTGACTGTCAATCCCAAAGAATGAAGAGAAAGCAGAATAAAGGCTTGTATAGCACTTTCCTCCCACCAACCCTCCCGCCACTTTATTACACCGGCAATACATTGGTTGTACATTTTCCATTGCACAATTCATCTTTTTAAATTTTATTTTATTATTCTTATTTTTTTTAGGGATGGGGTCTTACTATGTTGCCCAGGCTGGAGTGCAGTGGCTATTTACAGAGGCAATCATAACACACTGCAGCCTCAAACTCCTGGACCCACGTGATCCTCCTGCCTCAGCCTCTCAAGTAGTTGGGGCTACAAGTGCACACTACCATGCCTGGCTCTTTTTATTTATTTATTTATTTTTCCAAACAGGGTCTTACTCTGTCACCCAGGCTGGGGTGCAGTGGCATGATCACAGCTCACTGCAGCCTTGAACTCCCAGCTCAAGTGATCCTCCCACCTCAGTGCCCTGAATAGCTGGGACCACAGGTGCATACCACCACTCGGCTAATTTTAAAAATTTTGTAGAGATAGGGTCTCCCTATGTTGTCCAGACTGGTCTCAAACTCCAGGGCTCAAGTCATCCTCCTGCCTCAGCCTCCTGAGTGCTGAGATTACAGGTGTGAGCCACTGTACCCAGCCTTTCATAAACTATTTTTATTTTTACTTTACAGCAAAGTTATGACATTAGTGCAGAGTTTCCCATATACCCTCATGCCCAGTTTCTCCTGTTATTAACATCTTACATTAGGATGGTATATGAGTCACAATGAGTGAAACAAAATCAATCAATTATTATGCACTAAAGTTCATACTTTGTTCAGATTTCTTTGTTTTTTACCTAATGTTCTTTGTTTCAAGATCTCATCCAGGAGACCACATTGTATTTAGCCATCCTGTCTCCTTAGGCTCCTCTTGGCTAGGATAGTTTCTCAGACTCTCCTTGTTTTTTCTAATGACCTTGACAGTTTCCAGGAGTACTGGTTACGTATTTTGTAGAATGTCCCTGATATGGTTTGGCTGTGTTCCCACCCAAATTTCATCTTGAACGGTAGCTCCCATAATTCCCACGTGTTGTGGGAGGGACCTAGTGGGAGATAATTGAATCATGGGGGTGGTTTCCCCCATACTGTTCTCATGGTAGTGAATAAGTCTCATGAGATCTGATGCTTTTATAAGGGGAAACCCCTTTCACATGGCTCTCATGTCCTCTCTTGCCTGTCGCCATGTAAGACATGGCTTTTGCCTTCCGCCATAATTGTGAGGCCTCCCAGCCACGTGGAACTGTGAGTCCATTAAACCTCTTTTTCTTTATAAATTACCCAATCTCAGATATGTTTTTATCAGCAGCGTGAAAATGGACTAATTCAGTCCCTTAATTGGGATTCACCTGATTTTTTTTTTATATGATTAGACTGGTAGCATGAGTTTTTGAGAGCGAGACCACAAAGACGCAATGTTATTCTCATCACATGTTACTAAGGGACATGACTTATCACGGTTGATGTTGACCTTGATCAGCTGGCTGAGGTGGTGTTTGTCAGGTTGCTCCACTATAAATGTACCTTTTTCTCCCTCTCTCCCCACTGGACTCTTAGGAAGGAAATCACTATGTGCGGCCTGCACTTGAGTAGTGGGGAATTATGCTCTACCTCCTGGAGCATGGAATGTCTACATAAATTATATGGAATTCTGCTGCAGGGATATTTGGCTATTCTCCCCCATTACTTATTTATTTTGTCATTTATTTGTATCAGCATAGACTCTTGGATATGTATTTTATACTTCGGGGTATAATCCAATACTACTTTATTTATGTTGCTCAAATTGCTCTAACTTTGGCCATGAGAAGCTCTTTCCATTGGCTGATTGCACTTTTAACCCAAACAAATGTTCTGATGTCTTTTTACCTAACTGCATGAACTAGAGTCAGGAAAACTGCGAGTTGTTTGTCACGCCATCTCTACCACAAATTTTTGTGTCACTTTGGTAAAAGCTCAACTTGTCTTTCCTTTTCTTCACCTGTACAGTGAACTTAACACCATCTGCTTCCCTTTGCCTCTGCTGTGGCTGTGAAACTATAGTGAGATGACAAGTAGGACAGGACTCTGGAAAATTAAAAACAAAAACCAAAAAACATGCCAACCCAAAGCCTCACTTAAAATCTCCACTTCTTTTTCTCACTTGCATCTATAGAGCTTCACAATTCAAGCACACAATAAATATTTTCATATTTTCTGAGTAAATGAATAAGTGAATGAGCGAAAATGCATACAGGCTTCTGAGCTGCAACAACAGATAAGCAAGGGGGAAGAAAGGCCACAGGCCAGGTATGCTGGAGCATACTGGCTCGAACTCAGCTCATTTCAGAGTGATTTTGCAAACTTTGCAGGTAGGCCTAGGATGGGTGTGTTAGTCCATTTTCTTTTCTTTTCTTTCTTTTTTTTTTTGTTTTTTTGAGACAGAGTCTCACTCTGTCTCCCAGGCTGGGGTGCAGTGGTGCAATCTCTGCTCACTGCAACCTCTGTCTCCCAAGTTCAAGCAATTCTCCACCCCAGCCTCCCAAGTAACTGGGATTACAGGCGCTCGCTGCCTGGCTAATTTTTTTGTATTTTAAGTAGAGATGGGGGTTTCACCATCTTGGCCAGGCTGGTCTTGAACTCCTGACCTCGTTATCCACCCACCTCAGCCTCCCAAAGTGCTGGGATTACAGGTGTGAGCCACCGCACCCAGCTGTATTAGTCCATTTTCATACTGCTATAAAGAAATGCCTGAGACTGGGTCATTTATACAGAAAAAGAGGTTTAATGGAGTCACGATTCCACATGTCTGTGGAGGCCTCACAATCATGGTGCAAGGCGAAGGAGAATGTATTAGTTCGTTTTCACACTGCTGATAAAGACATACCTGAGACTAGGCAATTTATAAGAGAGAGGTTTAATGGACTTACAGTTCCACGTGGCTGGGGAGGCTTCACGATCATGGCAGAAGGCAAGGAGGAGCAAATCACTTCTTACATAGATGACAGCAGGCCAAAAGAGCTTGTGCAGGGAAACTCTCATTTTTAAAACCATCAGATCTCCTGAGACTTATTCACTACCATGAGAACAGCATGGGAAAGCCCCACCCCCTTGATTCAATTATCTTCTACTGGGTCTCTCCCACAACACACGGGAATTATGGGAGCTACAAGATGAGATTTAGGTGGGGACACAGCCAAACCATATCATTCCACCCCTGGCCCCTCCCAAATCTAATGTCTCACATTTCAAAATCAATTATGCCTTCCCAACAGTCCCCCAAAGTATTAACTCATTTCAGCATTAACTCAAAAGTCCACAGTCCAAAGTCCCATCTGAGACAAAGCAAGTCCCTTCTGCCTATGAGCCTGTAAAATCAAAAGCAAATTAGTTACTTCCTAGATACAATGGGGGTACAGGCATTGGGTAAATACAGCCATTCCAAATGGGAGAAATTGGCCAAAACGAAGGGGATACAGGCCTCATGCAAGTCTGAAATCCAGCATGGCAGTCAAATCTCAAAGCTCTGAAATGATCTCCTTTGACTCCATGTCTCAGATCTAGGTCATGCTGATGCAAGAGGTGGGCTCCCACAGTCTTGGGCAGCTCCGCCCCTGTTGCTTTACAGGGTACGGCCTCCCTCCTGGCTGCTTTCACAGACTGGCATTGAGTGTCTGCGGCTTTTCCAGGTGCAAGGTGTAAGCTGTCAGTGGATCTACCATTCCGGGATCTGAAGGACATGGCTCTCTTCTCACAGCTCCACTAGGGGGTGCCCCAGTAGGTACTCTGTGTGGGGGCTCTGACCCCACATTTTCATTTTGCACTGTCCTAGCAGAGGTTCTCCATGACAGCCTGCCACTGCAGCAAACTACTACTTGGACATCCAGGCATTTCCATACATCCTCTGAAATCTAGGTTGAGGATCCCAAGCCCCAATTCTTGACTTCTGTGCACTCACAGGCTCAACACCATGTGGAAGCTGCCAATGCTTGACGCTTGCACCCTCTGAAGCCATGGCCTGAGCTCTATGTTGGCCTTTTTCAGCCATGGCTGGAGCAGCTGGGATGCAGGGCACCAAGTCCCTAGACTGCGCACAGCACTGGGACCCTGGGCCTGGCCCAAGAAACCTGTGTTTCCCCCTGGGCCTCCAGATCTATAATGAAAGGGGCTGCTGTGAAGACCTCTGACATGCCCTGGAGACATTTTCCCCAATGTCTTGGGGACTAATATTTGGCTTCTCATTCATTAGCCAATTTTCTGCAGCTGGCTTGAATTTCTCCTCAAAAAATGGGATTTTCTTTTCTGCTGCATTGTCAGGCTGTGAATTTTCCCAATTTTTATGCTCTGTTTCTTTTTTAAAACTGAATGCCTTTAACAGCACCCAAGTCACATCTTGAATGCTTCGCTACTTAGTACTTTCTTCAACCAGATACCCTAAATCATCTTTCTCAAGTTCAAAGTTCCACAAGTCTCTGGGGCAGGGGCAAAATGCTGCCAGTCTCTTTACTAAAACCTAACAAGAGTCACCTTTGCTCCAGTTTCAATCAAGTTCCTCATCTCCATCTGAGACCACCTCAGCCTGGATTTCATTGTCCATATTCATTATCAGTATTTTGGTCAAAGCCGTTCAACAAGTCTCTAGGAAGTTCCAAACTTTCCCACATTTTCCTCTCTTCTTATGAGCCCACCAAACCATTCCAACCTCTGCCTGTGACCCAGTTCCAAAGTTGCTTCCACAATTTTGGGTATCTTTTCAGCAGCGCCCCACTGGTACCAATTTACTGTATTAGTATGTTTTCACACTGCTGATAAAGACATATCTGAGACTGGGCAATTTACAAAAGAAAGAGGCTTATTAGACTTACAGTTCCACATGGCTGGGGAGGCCTCACAATCATGGAGGAAGGCAAGGAGGAGCAAGTCACATCTTACACAGATGGCAGCAGGCAAAAAGAGCATGTGCAGGGAAACTCTCATTTTTTTTTTTTTTTGAGACGGAGTCTCGCTCTGTCGCCCAGGCTGGAGTGCAGTGGTGCGATCTCGGCTCACTGCAAGTTCCACCTCCCAGGTTCACACCATTCTCCTGCCTCAGCCTCCCGAGTAGCTGGGACTACAGGCACACACCACCACGCCTGGCTAATTTTTTGTGTTTTTAGTAGAGACGGGGTTTCACTGTGTTAGCCAGAATGGTCTTGATCTCCTGACCTCGTGATCTGCCCACCTCGGCCTCCCAAAGTGCTGGGATTACAGGCGTGAGCCACTGCGCCTGGCCAACTCTCATTTTTAAAACCTTTGGATCTCGTGAGACTTATTCGCTATCATGAGAACAGCATGGGAAAGATCTGCCCCCATGATTCAATTATCTCCCACTGGGCCCCTCCCATAACATGTGGGAATTATGGGAACTACAAGATGAGATTTGGGTGGAGACACAGAGCCAAACCATATCAGAGGCGCAAAGGCACATCTTACATGGCAACAAGTGAGAGAGCGTGTGCAGAAGAACTGCCCTTTATAAAACCATCAGATCTTGTGACACTTATTAACTATCATGAGAACAGGAGTGCGGAAGCTGCCTCCATGATTCAATTATCTCCACCTGGTTCCTCCCATGACACGTGGGGATTATGGGAACTACAATTCAAGATGAGATTTGGGTGGAGACATAGACAGACCATACCGATGGGCAAACCCTGGGCTTGTGGACAGCAGTGATGCATAAGCTACACAATTTACAATCTAGCAGGGATCCAGACACACAAACAACTGTTCATAGAGAGTGATATTTCTTATGGGTACCAGAAATGCATGTCTACTTTGTTATTTTCCATAACTTAAATCTCTATAAATGTCTCCATCCCCACTCCTGACCAATCACTTAGTCAAGCCAATTCCAGGCTGCCTCAGTCAAGCCTTCCCCTTTGATTCAGGTCTTTCTCCCTCCCAAAACACTCCTCCTTAGGACTGCATCTGAATTCTAAATGTCATGCACTGAATAGGCATTAGAGGTGGGGAAGCATCTGATACCTGGGTGTCACCTGGTACCATTGTGCTGGCCTCTACCTGATGCTCAGGTATGGTTACCTGGGGTGCAGCTTACCTGTCTCTCTCCTTTGCCATGGTGCTGATGCCATCAATATCTGCCTGCTGGCTGTCTTTGTCTTTAATGGAGATACAGGGAAAATTGGAATTCTTTCACACTGCTTTGGAGCCTCAGGAAAGTGAGGGTGGCCACTTCAGATCCTTTCTGCTGTCAGCTTGTCACATAACAGTCTTTGCCTTCTGCTCTTAGGCCACAGGGTTATAAGGAACACCTGCAAGATGCCTGCATCCCAGTCAAGAATTAGGGCACAGTTCCCGAACTCTTCAATACCCACACTTATCAGGGGACACTATCATCCGGCCCACTTTGAAGCTGACTCTGGGGAAGAGGGCCCCTTCTCAGGTGCATTCACCATCTGCTTTCCTGCTTTCATTCTAACCCTCTCATGTTCTTCCTCTTGGGAGATGGACATGGGTGGAGGGGAGCCTAGCTCAGCAAATTTTCTGTTAAATCAATACTGCTTAGACCTCAGCTAGGATGTTTATCTTAAGATGCAATAATTTGACAAAGCTCTTCCTGCTTTTTAGTCTCATCTTGGACTCCAGAGACTTTTTATTGAGCCGCCTGTATGCAGAAAGATCTCAAGAGGATGAAAGAGCCAGATGCAGTAATTGGGTGACACATCATAACCAATGAGCATAAAAACAGCATCTTTTCCTTTCAGGAACAAAATGCAATGTGGAAAATAGGACAGAGGGGCAGTCGATGTCTTCATCAGGGACCACATTCATGCAATGGAGTTAAGTGCATGATTCTTCAAAAAGAGCTGATCCTTCTCTTCTAGTCTGTGCTGGTTACCTTCTGAGATTAAATAATAATAGGAGCTTAGCTTTGCCTAACTCTTCACAATTTACCAAGCAGGACTCTATAAGGCAAGCACTTTATCTCCCTTACAGCATTTGATTACTAAGCAGGGAGTTCTAATGATCCTCATTTCACAGATGAGGAGACCATGGTTTAGAGAAGTTAAGGGACTTGGCCCAGGCAAACCAGAGAATGACAACAGTTGCTAGAACTGAACATCTCCTGTTTCTGTATTCTTTGTGGTGGGTGTACTCAAAAGTGTGGCTCATGACCTTTGGAGAAGGAAGAAAATGGCAAGGCAGAAAGCCCATCTCACTTCTAGGGCTTCAGGGAAATAGCAATGATGTGACAATCAAGACAAGAGCATTAATTCTTCAGCGCTGGTAAATTGCTGCCCTTCAGGTCCATGGAGGGGAGTGTGTATGTCATAGTAAAAACGGTTTATGTTTAGGTATTATTTATTCATTCAACAAACATTAATTAAATGTCTACTAGTGCTGGGTGCTGTTCTGGGTGCTAGGGGTACAAAGGATGAGTACCACAAGATTTGAGCAGCTTATCTCTAGTAAGTGGAGATACGTGAACAAGTAAGTGAAATACGATCTGGTGAGAATCTTAGAGGTTGATACAGAGCTTGGTTTGGCTCAAAGGAGGGATTTTTTTTCTTTCTTTCTTTCTTTCTTTTTTTTTTTTTTTTTGAGATGGAGTCTGGCTCTGTCGTCCAGGCTGGAATGCAGTGGTGAAATCTCGGCTCACTGCAAGCTCCGCCTCCCGGGTTCACACCATTCTCCTCCCTCAGCCTCCTGAGTAGCTGGGACTACAGGCGCCCGCCACCACGCCTGGCGAAATTTTTTTTGTATTTTTTGTAGAGACGGAGTTTCACCATGTTAGCCAGGATGGTCTCAATATCCTGACCTCGTGATCCGCCCGCCTCGGCCTCCCAAGGTGCTGGGATTACAGGCGTGGGCCACCATGCCTGGCGGCTCAAAGGAGGGATTGAACAGTCCTGGGTATCTGCACCACGACAGAGGTGGGAGGTATCATAGAGGAGGTGCCTCTTGAGCCAAGACTAAAAATGAGTGTTTTTTTTTAGGAGTGCAAAAGGCTAAAAAATATACAAATAAATAAATAAAAATGAGTGGGTTTTCGCTAAGTGAATAGGGAGATGAGGGGAAGGGCAATTGAGGGACAGGCTATGCTATGGGGAAAGTCCTGAGGCATGAAGTGACATGAAATATCTTGAGAAATGCACTTCCATGAAACTGACTCCTTATGTGCAGCAGGGAATTAAATAGAGACAAGACTGAAGAACTTGGAAAGAAGCTAGGTCCTTGATAGCCTTGTAAGCCATGCTGAGGGGTTAGAATTTTCTCTTGAAGTCCATGCTGACCAAAACAGCAGCCACAAGCCACATGGGTCGGTAGAGCATTTGAAATGTGGTTAGTGTCAATTGAACACAGGAAGGGGAACATCACACACCAGGGCCTGCCGTGGGGTTGGGGGAGGGGGGAGGGATAGCATTAGGAGATATGCCTAATGTAAATGACGAGCTAATGGGTGCAGCACACCAACATGGCACATGGATACATATGTAACAAACCTGCACGATGTGCACATGTACCCTAGAACTTAAAGTATAATAAAAAGAAAGAAATGTGGTTAGTGTGAGTGAGGAATTTAATTTTTAACTTTAATTAATTTAAATGTAAAAACTGATACTCAATTCAGTTCTTGGAAAGCTTTTTGTTTTATTTTATTTTTGAGATAGGGTCTCACTCTGTCACCAAGGCTGGAGTGCAGTGGTGTGTCACCACGCTTGGGATAGGGTCCCGCTATGTTGCCCAGACTGGTCTCAAACTCCTGGGCTCAAGTGATCCACCCACCTTGGCCTCCCAAAATGCTGGGAGTATAGGCGTAAGCCACCGTGGCTGGCCAGAAAACTTTTAAGTATGTTTGGAGCAACCTGGATAAGTACATCAACTCTGTCAGTTATGAAATCTAAAGACAAATCATTTCAGTGAAAGTATAACATCTGAATTGAGGTGGGCTGTAAGTGAAGAAATATACCCCAGATTTCAAACATCTGGCATGAAATATTAATGATTTTTGTATTCGTTACAGGTTGAAATAATATTTTTGATACATTGGGTTCAATAATATACATTTTAATGTTAATTTGACATTTCTTTTTACTTTTTAAGTTTTCTAGTAGCCACATAATATTACATATTTGGTCCACATTATATTTCTATTAAATATTACATATGTGGTCCACATTATATTTCTCCCTTATTTGGGAGAACAGTGAAGGAGTTTATGTAGGACAGAGACATGATCCAATTTTCATTTCAGAGAGAACGTTCTGGTAGGAAAGAGGATAGATTGGTGCGATCTAAGGCTAGAGAAAGGAACGCTAGTTGGGAAATGATTGTAATAGTTTAGGCATAAGATAATGAGGGCCTGCCTTAAAACAGGAGCTTTAGGAATGGGATAATTAGAGAAAGATAAGGACAATTAGAGCATGCATCAGATTCCCTGGAGGGCTTAAGATGCAGATTCCCTGGCCTCACCCCCAGAGAGTCTGATTTAGGAGAAATCGGGTGGGGTCCTAAACATTTTCATTACTAACTAGTTTCCAGACACTGCCGCTGCTGGTGGTAGTTTGGATACCTCACCCTGAAAACCTTTCCTTATAATACTTGGTGACAAATCGGATATATCAAGAGAGGGAGAAGTCTATGAAGACTTCCAGGTTCCTGCTCTGACTATCTGAGTAGACAGGGACTAAAAAGAGGAGAAGCTTATTTGGGAAAGAGTAGGATAGGTTTAGTTTGGGATATATTGAGTTTGAGGTCCCTTTGGAACTCCTAGGAGGCGATCTCTCAAGAGTAATTGTATATCTATGGATCTGGAACTCAGGAAACAGATCACACTATAATTAAAGATTTGAAAGTCATCAGAATTTAGTTGGCCCTAAGCATGAGAGAGATTGCCCAGAGAATCAGTGCAGTATGAGAAGGAAACAAACCCCAGGACAGATTCCTGTAGTGAAGCTCTGTTTTGATCAAAATCATTAGTGTTCAAGAAAAAGAAGATAGGCATGAATTTCCACTTGTCGTTTTTACCCATCTGCCTCTTGTGTTTGATCACAGTGACCAAGGTTTAGGTAACAGTTTCATAGGGCTTCAAGATCCTTCAGAAGATTTGAATCAATGGTTAGCTGTTTCATCAATGATACAGAAGAAGTTCAACAAAGCCTTTATTTCTAAATTTGATTATGAATAAAATAGGCTTGACCAAATAGCAGAAACCCCAGAGCTTCAATTTCTTCATCTATAAAATTGGAACACTGATACCTTTCTCACAGACTTGCTGGAAAATGGTGATAATGTATGTGGAGCATGGTGCCTGATCTACCCAGAATAGCATCTCAATAAAGGTAATTATCATTATTGCTATGAGACCAGCTTCCAGGTGAGTCTACTTCCCTAATTAAACCTTATGGGATAGGGGCCAAAGAAAGACTCCATTCACATGAAATTCCACCCCATGCAAAAGAGTGATTTAAAGCACTGAAAATAGCAATAATAATTTCAGTACTATTGTAATAGTAATTTTATAATTCAGAGGGGGAGAAACCCAATTACTGAGGACAATGTGTATTGTCCATTGTTTCACTGTGTTTTTGTAGCAATGGAAGGAGAAGGAAAATAGCCTTCCTATATGCTAGACAGGCTGGATATATTATTTCATTAAATTTACAATATAATATCTTTAAAATAAGGTCACAGTGAATGGCTCCAAGTGTTTCCTGGGATGAGCTGGGTCTCTTTGATCTCAAGAAATGCCATTGCTAAAGCAGTCAAAAGCTGGGTCATTGCAAGTGGCTTGTTGTCATGTATTCAGAGCAGCAGATGGCCAGCCACAGTTCTGATTCAATTGATGAGCACAGCCAGACCTGGGTAGACAAGCACAATCTTTCTTTTGTTCATTTAAGCCATTTTCTCTCTCACCCTCTTCTGTTCTCATTTTCTTTGGGAGCCTCAGTACTTTCTTTGATTTGCCTGCTGTTTTTTCCCGAACAAAACCCTTCTCCACCTGAGACAGAAAGTCTTCCTCACATTACCTTTAATCTGAATATCACTTTCAGCATCTTAACCAGAGAGGCTTATCAAGTACAGCTGCTTTGATTTAGATGTGGTCTGGAAAGAAGAATAAATTGAATTTGTGGGACATGCCTGACATCTCTCCTAGTCCTCCTGTACTTTTCTTTCCAGAGAATTCACCCTTCCCCAGATCCTGGTGTGCTAATGAAATAGACATTTTGTTTGTTTGTTTCTGCGAGGCACAAAAGGAGGCCCAAATGTATTTATTAATGGTTTGTTTTCAAGGTGGGCTGAACAGAATCGAAGCCACAAATTCCACCAACGAGGGCCCAAGACGTATAAAAGAACAAAGGAAACCATTAAAAATGCCAAAAATAAAATCAGAGGCCCATGAGAGTCTCTGTAGCTATTTTATTAAGGAGTTGAAGGAGATTATTTTATATACATATAAATGTATCTCGTTAACAAATGTTATATTATTTACCAAATGACCAGGTATGCTGTGCTGTTTTTGAAAAAAGCTTATCTAACTAAGCCTGTTCCATACCTCCTTCCTAACCTCTACCACTCGGCCACGGAGAACCTACCAAGTGATCAGCAAACTCACCTTTATCTGTAAACACTTCTCTAAATATTACCTATACCTCCAGGCCTTAGTTGAAATCCAAGCTAATTGTGTGCCCTCTGTTATGGTCTGAATGTTTGTTTTCCCCCCGAATTCATATGTTGATATCCTAACCCCCAAGGAAAGATAGTTGTTTTTGTTTTTGCTTTTGTTCTTTTGAGATGTAGTCTCGCTCTATCACCCAGGCTGGAGTGCACTGATGCAGTCTTGCTCACTGCAACCTCCCCTTCCCAGGTTCAAGTGATTCTCCTGCCTCAGCCTCCCGAGTAGGTGGGAATACAGGTGCACACCACTGTGTCCAGCCAATTTTTGTATTTTTAGTAGAGACCAGGTTTCACCATATTGGCCAGGCTGGTCTCAAACTCCTGACTTCATGATCTACCCTCGTAGGCCTCCCAAAGTGTTGGGATTACAGGAGTGAGCCGCCACACCTGGCTGGAAAGATAGTATTAAGAGCTGGAGCCTTTGGAAGGTGATTAGATCATGAGAGCAGAGCCTTCATGCATGGGATGAGGATACTTACAACAGAGGCCTGAGGAGCTTGTCTGTCCTTTCTACCACCTGAGGACCCAGCAAGACAGTGCCATCTATGAGGAATGGGCCTCTACAGACACTGAATCTGTTGGCATCTTGATCTTGGATTTCCCAGCCTCTAGAATTATGAGAAATAAATGTCTGCTGTTTATAAGCCACTCAGTTCATGGTGTTGTGTTACAGCAGCCTGAATGGACTAAGGCATCCTCTTACTCTCCTACAGCTTAGGGTCAGATGGTAGGACAGGGGTTCTCCTTGTTTGTCATTGTTACATCCAGACAATTATTTCTCCATCCTCTTATTAAAGCAAAACGAAAACGAAAACACACAACAACAGTAAACGTAGCTCCTTTGAAGCTCGTGATGTTATACCTTATCTTCCTCTCCCCTTCCTCATCTGATTTCTTTTCCTCATTCGCTGAAGTATTAAGGACCTGGTTCAGGGTCTTTATCTCTTGCAACCCATGCCATTAATCTTCAAAACTTTTGCAAGCAGGCATGCAGCTTGTTCCAAACCTTCTGCATCCACTCATCGGCCATCTCAATTCCACATCAGCCCACAAACTCATGACCCCGCCCTGAATATTGTTGTATCAACATATCTTCACCCCTTCCAAAATCATGATTTTACAGATCCATATTTTAGAGCACATTTTCCTACATTGCCAGTACTTCTTCAGCCTCATGGAGGCCTCCAATCAATTAATCTACTTATTTTTTTCCTTTGTCCTTCTGCCCTCTCTTGACATCACTTATGTCTTTATGACTTGTATGTCATGATTTGTCTGTATCATCACCCTTTGCCACCACCTTTATTTTTATTTATTTATTTATTTTGAGATGGAGTCTTGCTCTGTCACCCAGGCTGGAGTGCAGTGGTGTGATCTCGGCTCACTGCAACCTCCGCCTCCCAGGTTCAAGCGATTTTCCTTCCTCAGCCTCCCAAGTAGCTGGAACTAGAGGCATGTGCCACAACCTCTGGCTAATTTTTGTATTTTTAGTAGGGACGAGATTTCACCGTGTTGGCCAGGCTGGTCTCAAACTCCTGACCTTAAGTGATCTGCTTGCCTTGGCCTCCCAAAGTACTGGAATTTCAGGTGTGAGCCACTGCACCCTGCCACCACCTTTAACTATTTTGCCTTTCTCTCCTTTCATCACATTTACCTTACACACAGAACAGTTTCTGTACCAGTACCTCTGGGAATGGCTATAGAAAAACCACACAATGGAGCAAATTACCATCACTTTAAATGAAAGATAACTCACTTCAAACGTATATAGCACGATGCCTAGGATTTCTACTGTAACTCTCTAGTAAACTTGATCTCTATGATGGTTAATTTTATGTATCAACTTGACTGGGTTAAGAGCCACCCAGATACCTGGTAAAACATTACTTCTGGGTATATCTGTGAGGGTGTTTCTGGAAGAGAATAGCATTGGATCAGTAGTCTGAGTAAAGAAGATCTGCCCTCACTAATGTGGTCAGGGACCATTCAATCCCTTGATGGCCCAAACAGAACAAAAAGGCACAGGAAGGCCAAATTCTCTCTCCTTGAGCTGGGACATTCATCTTCTCCTGCTCTTGGACATCAGAACTCCTGGTTCCTGGGCCATTGCACTCTGGGACTTACACTAGCACTATCTTTCTCTCCAGGTTTTACCCCTGGCTCTCTGGAGTCTTATTCTTAGAGCCTGTGTTGATAGTCGTGTGTGTGTGTGTGTGTGTGTGTGTGTATGCATATGTGCATGTACACAAATCTACTCTCTGGCCTTCTCCACCCTGCTCTGTGCCTCTGTGCCCTGGCAGGGCTGACCCATATGCATCTGTGAGCTCATTTGCCTTTTGTGTTCCTGTTGGGCCCAGCCAATGGGATGCTCCTGCAGGAAATCAAAGGGCAAGAGGAGAATGAGGATGTCATATGTATGTCCCAGCTTTAGCCCAGCTGGATTGCTGTGGGTTGACTATGTCCCTCTATCAAAAGGCTGCCACTCCCACTGGGAGCCTTCTATGTTCAGCTCTCCTCTCAGGGTTCTGGAACTGCTCCTTCCTCTGTCTTCTTCAGCTCTGGGGAAAGTAAAGCTCCAACTGTTGTTAACCCTGGCAGAACTGCACTGTCTTTTTCTGTTTCCCTAAGCCTTGCCCACACCTTTGTAAATAGTCTCTTTATAAAATTCTGTTCAAACAACTTAGTTTGAATGTGCCATCAGATTCCTGCTGGGATCCTATAGCTTCTCCTGTACCTGAACTATAAATATTTAAATTCCTTGGGCTTTGGTCTTAGACCCTTTTCTTTCTATATTCTTCCTAGTTTGCTTCATTCACTTCTATTGTTGTATTCTGACACTCTAATAAACTATATCCCTGGCTGAGAACTCTCCTTTGATTTTGAGACTTGTATAGCCAGCTGCCTATTTGGAAGTCCTGTGGACAGCAGCCATACTAAAAGAGCATGCTCCATTACCTAGTGTAAGTATTACTGTCTGCCTAGCATCTGCCTATTACTATTGCCATTTCTGAGAGTCCATTGTTACAGCAGGACTCCAGCTATTCCACTCCAGGTCCTTCCCCTTACCCCCAATCTTTTGTATTGTCTCTTCTAAATTGGCCTCTACCCAAACGCAGTAGGGATAGTTTATTCAAAGTACAAGGTATTTTCAATTAAAAGAGGACTTTGTTCTGAAAGCTTATCAGGAGTTTAGAATTCTTCATGCTTTCCCCCACAGAACTTATGCTATAGCTTATGCCTTGATTTTTTGTTTACCTCACAAAGATTGCTGAAGGCGTATTGTACTTGTAAGCTTCTCAAGGGTGATGATTGTATCTAATTTATCTTTAAAAATAGCTTTATTGAGATAAGATTCAAATATCATGCAATTTGTCCACTAAAAGTAAATAACTCAATGTTTTTTAGTATATTCACAGTATACCATCATCACAATCTAATTTTAGAATATTTTCATTCCCTCCTGCAAAACAAATCCCATACCCATTAGCAGTCATTTTCTCATCCTACCACACCCCATTTCTAGGCAACCACGAATCTACTCTCTGTCTCTATAGGTTTGCCTATTTTGGACATTTCATATAAGTAGATTCATACAATATATGGTCTTTTGTGACTGGTGTCTCCCACTTAGCATAATATTTTTAAGGTTTATCATGTTGTAGTATATATTAGTACTTTATTGCTTTTTATTGCCAAATACTATTCTGTTGTATGGATATATGACTTTTGTTTATTCATTCACTCATTGATGGATGTTTAGCTTGTTTCCACTTTTTGGCTATAAGGAATAATGCTGCTATGAACATTATGTATTTTGTATAGAAATAAGTTTTCATTTCTCTTGGGTATATAGTTAGGAGTGGAATTTTCAGGTCATGTAGTAACACTATGCTTAACTTTTTGAATAACTGTCAAATAATTTTCCAAAACAGTTGTACCATTTTACATCCTTGATTAATAGATTTTTATTTCAGCACACTATATCTTCTTCCTGCTTTCTGGGCTCCACTGTTTCTGATGAGAAGCTCGTTTACATCTTACTGGATTTCTTTTGTATGTGATGAGGTGTTCTTCTTACTGTTTTCAAGATTATTTGTCTCTCAGCATTTAACTAGGAAGTGTTTGAGTGTGGGTCTTTTTGTGTTTATCTTATTTGGCATTTGTTGAGCTTCTTGAATGGATAGATCAATATTTTTCATCAATGTTGGGAAATTTTTAGCCATAATTTCTGTAATATTTTTGTCCCTTTCTCTCTCTCCTCTCCTTTTGGTGCTCTCATTACATGTATGTTGGTGTATTTCATGGCATTCCACATGTCTCTGAGGCTCTGTTTGTTTTTCTTAATTCTTTTTCCTCTCTCTTTATCAGATTGCATAATCTCTATCACTCTATCTTCAAGTTTGCCAATTCTTTCTTCTGACAGTTC
Source organism: Homo sapiens (assembly GCF_000001405.40). Lineage (NCBI taxonomy): Eukaryota > Metazoa > Chordata > Mammalia > Primates > Hominidae > Homo > Homo sapiens. Next base: position 55,361,109 of record NC_000017.11, on the reverse strand, counting down.
AAGTCTGCTATTGAACCCTCTAGTGAATTATTCATTTTCACTACTGTACTTTTTAACTCCAGAATTTCCTTTCAGCTGTGTGTATGTGTGTGTGTGTGTGTGTGTGTGTAATTTCTCTTTACTGATCTTCTGTATTTGATGAGATATTTTTACCACATGAGAGCTCTTCAAAAAATTCATAGAAAATGCATACTATAAAAAACTATGCATGAATTTCAAACTTTTTTGCACCAAAATAAACTCACACTAACTTGTTATAACATGTCTGAACACGATCTAGTTTGAGACAATAGGAAGGATAAGACATCAGTTGGAAAAGAGTCCCATCAGAGAAATACAAATTCTGCTAAACTGAAGCTAGAACAAACATCAAATTTATGGTGAATCTTGGGTGGAAGAATGGTGAAATCACTGATGCTTTACAAAAAGTTTATGGAGACAATGCCCCAAAGAAATCAGTGGTTTACAAATAAATAAATACAGAAATCAGCAGTTTACAAATGGATAATTCTTTTTAAGAAGGGATAAGACTATGTTGAAGATGAAGCCTGCAGCAGCAGCCCATGAACATCAATTTGTAAAGAAAAAAATTAATATTGTTCATGCCCTAATTAAAGAGGACTGATAATTAACAGCAGGAACAATAGCCAACACCAACACCATAAATACCTCAATTAGTTTATCTTAAAAACTTCTGACTGCAAATTTTAAATTAAGCAAATTTTCTACTTTATGGGTGCCAGAACCATTTCACCCAGGTTAGCTGCAGACAAGAGCAGAGCTTTCAATGGAAATTTTAAATAAGTGGGATCAAGATCCTAAAGCATTTCTTCGAAGAACTGTAAAAGGAGATAAAACATGGCTTTACCAGTATGATCTTGAAGTCAAAGCAGAATTAAAGCAATGGCTACCAAGAGGTGGAAGTGGCAGTCAAAGAAAACATGGGGGTTGGGCGCAGAGCCTCAATCCTGCAATCCCAGCACTTTGGGAGCCCGAGGTGGGCAGATCACCTGAGGTCAGGAGTTCGAGGCCAGCCTGGCCAATGTGGCAAAATCCTGTTTCTACTAAAAATGTAAAAATTAGCCAGGTATGGTGTTGAGCACCTGTAACCCCAGCTACTTGGGAGGTTGAGGCAGGAGAACTGCTTGAATCCGGGAGGCGGAGGTTGCAGTGAGCCAAGATTGCACCACTGCACTCCAGCCTGAGCATCAGAGCAAGACTCCAGCTCAAAAAAAAAAAAAAAAAAGAAAAAAAAGAGAAGAGAAAAGAAAAAGAAAATGTGGGCTAGTTAAGAGCAAAGATAATGGCAAAAGTGTTTTGGGATGCTCAAAGCATTTTGCTTCTTGGCTTTCTGTAAGATCAAAGAACAATAACATCTACCTATTATGAGAGTGTTTTGAGAAAGTTAGCCAAAGCTTTGGCAGAAAAATGCCTAGGAAAGCTTCATCATAGAGTCCTCCTCTGCCACAAAGCTCCTGCTTATTCCTCTCAACAAACAAGTGAAATTTTGTAAGTTTAAATGGGAAATCTTTAAGCATACGCCCTCCAGTTCTGATTTGGCTACTTCTGACTTCTTTTCCCCACCTAATTTTAAACAATCTTTAAAGGACACCCATTTTTATTCAGTTAATAATATAAAAAAGACTGCACTGACATGGTTAAATTCCCAGGACCCTCAGTTCTTTAGGGATGGACTAAACTGCTGGTATCATCACTTACAAAATTGTTTTGACCTTGATGGAATTTATGTTGGGAAATAAAATTTATATTTCTTATTTTTACTGTTTGTTGCTTCCACTTTCCATGAACTTTTTGAAGTCTTCTCATACCTTTATTTTTATGCATGTTTTCTTAGAACTTATTTATAATAACTACTTTGAAGTCTTTGTCTGCTAAGTTCAACATCTGGGCCTTCTCTAAGGCTGTTTCTGTTGCCTGCTTTTATGGGTCATATTTCCCTGTTTCTTTTAATGTCTCACAACTTTTTACTGAAAACTGGACATTTTAGATCACATATCATAGCAATTCTGAATGCTGATTCTCTGGGGCTTGTTGTTTCCTTCGTCATTTGTTTAATAGCTAAGCTTAAGTAGTTCTTCAAAGTCTATTGCAGTGTGCAGCTTCTAATGTCCCTGCTTAGATTTTTTTCCCTTATTCTTATCTTTTTTTTTTTTTTTTTCCTGACAGAGTCTCACTCTTTCTCGCCCAGGCTGGAGTGCAATGGCACGATCTTGGCTCATTGCAACTTCTGCTTCCCATGTTCAAGTGATTCTTCCAGCTCAGCCTCCCGAGTAGCTGGGATTACAGCCACTCGCCATCATGCCCAGCTAATTTTTGTGCTTTTGTAGAGATGGTGTTTCACCATGTTGGCCAGGCTGGTCTCGAACTCCTGACTTCAGGGGATCTGCCGCCCCCGCCCTGCCACTTCGCCTCCCAAAGTGCTGGGATTACAGGCATGAGCCACCAAACCTGGCCCCCTTATTTTTATCTTTTAGCCTGGCTAGATAGGGGTTTTCTCTAGGTCAGCATAAGCCATTTACTAGTCAAAGGTTATGCCTCAGTGTCCTTAGTCTGTTAGGTTTTTTTACCCTTTACTGTCGGAAATGATATGTGTGATGTGGAGGCTCTTATCACAGTTCAGGGAGCTTACTACTTTTCTCCCGTGTTCACCTAGGAACTAGCAGCCTGGTGGTTCTCTCTCTGATTGCTTCTTGGAGGATGCAGCCTTGGGTATGCACATAGTCTTCCAGACTTTCAGGGATGACTATGATTTTATTTTTAAGCTTGGCTGTCTTGGAGTCACTCCTGCGCCAGAATAACATATTGTTCAGTCAGTTGTTAATCAGAAGTTGTGCTTATGCCCTTTTTACCAATAAAATTTCCACCCTATGTTGATGGGCCTGTGGGTGACTTGAGAAATGCTATGAAATCTGCCCCACATCCTGCTCTGATTTTTCCCAAGTGAGTGCAGCCTAGCACAGCCTTTCTGATTGGACTTGACTGTATGCATAGAAGGGCTCTTCTTGGCTGTCTCTTTCCGTGGTCTCCCTATTAAACTTCTGAATACTCTGCTATTTTGTTTGTATACGCACATACCAGCTGCCTCTTCATTGCTCTCCCAACAAGATTACCATTATTTTTAAGAATGCTCTTACGTATGGAGTTCACCCTTTGTTCCAAATAAAGTCAGTCTCCTCAGGCAGAGCTATGGTGTTTTGCTCTTTGTGGCCTGCCTTTCCCACTAGGTAGAGCACCTGTGCCACTGCACTGAAGCTGGAACAGAGATCCTCTTTCCCCAGAGTGACATCCCTGCTCCATGACTAGGTACTGGGGTTGGGGAGTGTGGAGACCCCTTATCTTCTCATCTTACCTCTCCCAGCATGTAACCTCTCACTTGCAAGTGAACTGAGGTGTAGGAAATCAGTCCTCCAGTATTCTTGACTTGCTGTGCCTACAGCAGAGCTTCCACCTTATAACTGGGGGTTGGATGACACTTCTTGGCATACTCATGTGGAACAGAACTTCTGCAGACTGGGGCTTAGTGGAGTGAGAAATACTAGCATCCTGTCTTTTTTAGGGTGAAACCATAGCCTCAAACTAGGATGTAGAGAGAGATGGAGCCCTGTCTTGGCTGCTCATATACTGGGTAGAGTTTCCATAATAAGGAAGAAGATTAATGGGCAAATCGCAGCTCAAATGCCACAGACTCTTGCTATTATGATTGAAATTTTAAAGATTTTCTTGAATTAATGTTTCTTATTTGCTGTATGGCCCTTACAACACTTTCCAGACACTTTAAATGATGGATATTTTAAATAATTTTCTCTAATTCGATTGTTGTTTTGCTGGGGAAAGAGTCCACCAAACTTGTTATTCCATTCTCCCAGAAGTCCCACCTCTTAATTCCTCTTTATATATTCACCATAATATCTCTTTGCACCTAATATAGAAGTGAAAAGCACAAGCTCCAGTGTAACCAGCCTGAATTCAAGTCTCTAGTCTGCCACTTGTTAGCTGTGTTACTTAGCACATGTTATTAAACTAATAGTAGCTACCTCAGGGGATTGTGGTGAGAGTAAATGAGCTAATCCATTGAAAATGCCTAGCATGGTATTTGTCTCAGAGTTAGGCATCCCCTAAAGGATGGCTGTCATGTTCATCTTGGTAACCCTGCATGATGACAGATTGCCACAAGGGGGCACCAAGAACCATGTATAATGATGAAGGACTAGAGGGATTCAGTTAGGTCGCTCTAGCAGTTACATTTGTAGGCTCACGTTTACATTTGTAAGCCAGCCAGAGGTAGGTATTTTCCCAGAAAACAAAAGAAAGAGGTTGAAGGCATGTTATAAACATTGCCATACCATTTCCTACAGAAGATGGAAATTCAGGATCCTTCCTAAACATCACCAAGCCATTTCCCCAACTTGGAAGCTTAGCTAAGCAAAAGGAACTATGCTGTGAAAGGGGGAGTGTCTCTTGATTTGCAAGGTACTTTCCTGTGTACAAGGCACTGTTCCATGAGTTGAGGGGATTCAAAGGCTCCCTTAAGGAGCAATCAACTGTAGTAAGTTGGCATTTACTTATTGAGTGTCTGCCATGTGCTAAGGATTCTCAATAGCTTAAGGCATCATTATGCCATTCCTTTTGTTTTTATTGAAGAGTTCCCCAGAGGCTTGGCTGAGGATTTAGCCCATGTCCAGAGGATGATAAAAAGTCAACAGACAATCTGGAGCAGGGAGAGGACAACTTAATGAAGAATGAATTTAGCATGATTGATTGATTGATTTTTATTTTATTTTATTTTTTTTTGAGACAAGGTCTCACTCTGTCACCCAGGCTGGAGTGCAGTCCTGCGATCTCAGCTCACAGCAACCTGTCTCCCAGGTTCGATAAATTCTTCTGCCTCAGCCACCTGAATAGCTGGCATTACAGGAACACACCACCACACCTGGCTAATTTTTACATTTTTAGTAGAGACGGGGTTTTGCCACGTTGACTAAGCTGGTCTCGAACTCCTGACCTCAAGTGATCCACCTGCCTCGGCCTCCCAAAGTGCTAGGATTACAGGTATGAGCCACTGCGGCCAGCCAGAATGAATTTAGCTCGATTTATTTAGAGTGGAGTGCAGGAAAGAAGAGCGTCAAAGGCCAGGGATGCCCATGGCAATGTTGAAACAGATTGATGTGAAGTCAAACACTATTAAAGCAGAAATTCCTAATATAATTAAATTTTAAGAGAAATCACAATAGTTAACAGAAATAAAAATGAAGCTGTTGTTCTGGCTGAAACAAGAGTAGCAAGCCTGGGTCTCCATCTACTAAGCTGCTTTCTCACCTTCTAACAGTCCAGAAAATGGTAGTTTTTGAAAACGGAATAGAATGTTGGAAGAATCTTGGGTGCATCTCTGTGTAATACAGTTTGAAACCCACTCTAATGGTTCAAACAGTAAGGTGAATGGATGAAGACCCAGGATAAAGGATGGTTGTGAGGATGGAGAAAATGAGGCAGAAGGATGATCCAACGCCTTCACCCCAGCTGCCTCAGGGCACGCTCGGCTCAGTCACAGCTGCATCCTTTTCACTTTGCATCCTTCTTTGCAGTATTTCTCCTGTTTTTCTTCTCATTCTGTCCATTGCTTCATGCTAGTCTAGGATCAGGGTCTGAGCCCAATTTGTGGCATTAATCGTGTTTCTTGTCTTTAGTTATAATTCATATTTGCCTCTCCCCTCCTGGAAATAACCCAGTCTTCTCATGGACCTGGGAAGCCACTGTGTTGTTAGGATTTTTTAGCTTTTGTGAAAATGAGAAAAAGAAAGAATGAAGAGCATCTAGCAACTGATTATATATATCAGTTTGAAATACATATATGTATGTTTATACACACCTGCACGCGTGTGCACACACACACACACACACACACACACATTACTTGCCTGGGATTAAATAGCTAACTAGGAAGTGGCAGAGCCAGGGCTTAAACTGACATCTGTCTGACTCCAAAGCTCTTATGCTTGGTATTTATGGATTCTAAGCTTCTTTGCCTGTTTTCCAGACCATCCATATTTGAGGCCCCTCTAACAATCCTATCCTATTTCACATTTCTAGTCAATAGACATCTACCAACTTGAATGCAGTTAGGAAGCCTTTTGTACACAGCATTATTGTACATTCTCAGGTCAATATCTTAGTTTGAGGATTACACTTTATTCCATTAAATTCAGCAAATATTTATTGGGTGATTACTGTCTATCAGGTACTGAATAATAGAAAAAAATACAGAGAGAGATTAACTGATTTCAAAGCACTTTCATACTTTATCTCATTGAATCTGCATAGAAACTTCATAAAGTAGTTATGGCAGGTAAAATTATCCCAATATTCCAGATAAGCAAACTAAGGTTCAGACAGTTTGACTGTCTAATGTCACACAAATCTTACCAATTCACCAAGGTCCAGCTAAGAATCTCCTGCACTAAGTCTTCTTTCAAGAAGTTATGGCAGTGATGTGGCTCTATAGTTAGCAGCTTCCTGATTTGGTTTCTGGCAGTAACATCAGCAGCTCTCCTAAGCAGAGTGATCTTAGGGGCTGGGAGCTGTTCTTAGAAACTTAACTAGGAACCTGATCCTTGGACCTTCCCAACCATTAGTAATTCATTTAATACCTGGGAATAATTTCTTAGTTTTTAAAACCGTCTGCAGTGGTTTCTAAGGTCTATAATTGGACCCTAAATGGTAAAATTACTAGCTAAAAATAATGAAGAAAAAAAGAAATAAAAATAACCATTATCAAGGTCATTCTTCCCTCATTCAGAAAAAAAAGAACTGCAGGAGAGGAAAGATAGCTGTGTAGTTAAATACCATTTCTGCTCAGTGACTTGCAGAAAAGTGTTGACTTTGTATCCTGTAATCTACCCTCCTCATCCAGTTTCTATCTAGGGTATCTCTGATAGAGAACCTTTTGCACAATCCCAAGAGCAGGCACCTCTTTCATTTATAGGCAATCACATATTAAGCCAAAATGTGTCTCCCTGTCACTTGTACCCACGGGTACTACCTATCTCCATCTTTGAGAGCTAGATAAAATTGCACTTCTTTTTATAGAAGCCCTTTCAAAAATATTTTTGACCCCTATCAGACCAGCTAAAGTTTTTCTTTCCAACCGGGTATGGTGGCTCACATCTGTAACCTGAGCACTTTGGGTGTGCATGATATATCTTTTTCTATCTTTTTACTTTCAATTTGTTTATGTCTTTGAATCTGCAGTTTGCCTCTTGCAGACAGCATGTAGTTGGATCCTGTGATTTTTAGTTTTTTTAAATTCATTCTGCCAATCTCTGCCTTTTGATTGGAGTGTTTAATCTACTTATATTTAATATAATTACTGATAAGGTAGAATTTACTTAGGCCATTTTGCTATTTGTTTTCTATACAGCCTATCTTTTTTATTTTTCTGTTCTTCAATTGTTGCCTTGTTTTGTGTTACACAGATATTTTCTAGTGTACCATTTATATTTCCCATGTCATGTCTTATACTATATATATTTTTAGTTATTTTCTTAGTGGCTGCTCTGGAGATTACATTCAACACTTTAATTTTTAACAATCTAATTTGGATTAATCCCAATTTAATTTCAATAGTATACAAAAAACTGTGTCTACAGATCTCCATTTTCTCCCCCCTCCTTTGTGCTATTACTGTTATAATTATACATTATAAATCCATCAACACAGTTTTATAGTCATTGTTTTATAGAGATGTCTTATAAATCACATAGAAAAAGAAAAGAATTACAAACAAAAGTACATTCATACTACATTTTATATTTATCTATGTAGTTACTTTTACTCATGTTCCTTATTTTTTCTTCATGAGTATTTGAGCAAGTCTTCTTTCCTGTCAGCCTGAAGGACTCTTGGTAGTATTTCTTACAGGGCAGGTCTGCTGGTAATACATTCTTTTTTTTTTTTTTTTTTTGAAAAACCTGTCAATGTGTGGTTTTCTCGTTTATTTTTGAAGGATAGTGTTTTTGGTGAATACAGAATTCATTTTTTTTTTTTTTTTTTAAGAGACAGGATTTCACGTCATTGCCAAGGCTGGAGTGCAGCATCATGATCATAGCTCCTTGTAAACTTGAATCACTTCCTGGGCTGAAGTGATTCTCCTGCCCCAGTTTCCCAAGTAGCTTAGGACTATGGGCATGCATCACCACCCCTGGCTAATTAAAAAAAGAAGAATAGACATAGGGCCTCACTATGTTTTCCAGGCTAGTCTTGAGCTCCTGGCCTCAAACAATCCTCTTGAGGCCTCTTTTTCTTTCTGTACTCTGAATAAGGCCTCCATGGTTCCTGATGAGAAATCAGTTGTTAATATTATTGAAGATCACTTGTACATAATGAGTTGCTTCTCTTTTGCTGCTTTCAAGATTCTCCGTCTTTGGCATTTGACAGTTTGATTTTAATGTGTCTAGGTGTAGCTCTCTTACATTTATCCTACTTAGAGTTTATTGAGCTTCCTAGATGTGCAGATAAATGTTTTTCATCAAATCTGGGAAGTTTTTGGCCATTATTTCCTCAGATATTCTTTCTTCCCCCTTTTTCTCTTGTTTCTTCTGGAACTATCATTATGTGTATGTTGGTGAGCTTGATGGTGTCTCACAGGTCTCTGAAGCTTTGTTTTTCTCAATTCTTTTACTTTCTGTTCTCAGACTGGATAATTGCAAGCAGCCCATCTTCAAATTCATTGATTCGTTCTTTCCGCTCACTCAAGTCTGCCATTGAATTTCTCATTTCAGCTATTGTACTTTTCAACTCTAGAGCCTCTATTTTATTACCTTCTTATAAATTCTATAGCTTTATTAATATTCTACATTTGGTGAAGCATGTTCTCATTTAAAATAATACTTTGATTTTATTTATATTTATTTATTTATTTGAGACAGGATCTCACTCTGTTACCCAGGCTGGTGTGCAGTGGTGAGATCATAACTCATTGCAGTGTTGACCTCCTAGGCTCAAATGACCCTTCCATCTCAGCCTCAACCAGTAGCTGGGACCACAGGTGTGCACCATCACGCCTGGCTAATTTTTGTTTTTGTTTTTTTAGAGACACGGTCTTGCTATGTTGCCCAGGCTGGTCTCAAACTGCTGAGCTCAAGTGATCCTCCTGCCTTGGCCTCCCAAAGTGCTGGGATTACAGGCACTAGCCACCATGACTGGCCTTTATTTTATTCTTTACACCTGGTTTTCTTTAGGTCTGTAAGCATATTGATAGTAGTTGATTTAAATCCTTTGTCTAGTAAATCTAACATCTGGGTTTCCTCAGAGAAAGTTTCCATTAAGTACCTTTTTCTCTGTATATGGGCCATGCTGTCCTTTCCTTCCATGTCTCATAATTTTTTATTGAAGACTGGATATTTTAAATGATATAATGTGGCAACCCTGGAAATCAGATTCCTTTCTTCTCCAGAGCTTGTTATTGTTGCTGTTTGTTTTTGTTGTTGTATTGTTTGCTTATATCGTGACTTTTATAAATTAACTCTGTGAAGTCTCCACTTAGTTAGTTTAGTGGCTAGTAATGATTGGACACAAATTTCCCTAAGTGCCTGGCATTAATAAGTTTCTTAGCTTTTGCCAAAGGGCTCTCTCTATGTGTTGCAATGTGTATTCAGTGCTCTGGCAGGCAGTCTATAATGCTGTCTTAGCCTTCACTTCCTATTTCTGCAAAGCCTCAAGGTCCACCAAAGGCAAGAGATTAGGGCCTTCTCAGATCTTTCCTGGGCATAAACCTGAACATGTGTATGGCCTTCTAGATTCCCAGAAATACCCTGGAACTTTTAAAAGTCCTTTGTGGGCAGTTTATGTGTCAGGTTTTCCTTTAAAGACTTCTGTCAGCCTCTTGTTTTTCCCAAATGTTTTCTCTGCTTCAGGCAGATGTAATGTTTAACAATTACCGGTGATTGTTGATTTCAACAAACGTTCCAGGCCATTTACATTGAGCCAGCTCTGAGTCTGGTTACATAAAGACAAGCTCTGAGAGTAGAGGTTTCCAGGGAGTTACCAGACAGGTCAAATAGTGACAATTCTCTAAAGATGAGGCTTTTAGGGTGCTCCAAACATGTTCTGCTTTCTCTAGTGGCTGCTAGGATGCTGATTTTCACCACTACCATGGTTGTGAGGCTGCTGGTTTTCAAGGCTCTTGTGATGCTGAGGAGAGGGGGATGGGAGTAGGACAAGTTAAAATGCCACAGGGCTCTTTGTTCTTATTGAGATTCAATCATTTTCCCTGAATAATTACTCCTTGTATTGTTGCAAATCTTTGGTTAATTTCCAGAGTTCTGAGAAGTTGATTATAACAATTTTTGGCCAATGTCTCATTGCTTTTATGGAGAAACAGATTTTGCAGAGGTTCTTACTCTGCCACTGTGAATGTCAGAACCCTCAGTTGCAGTATTTTCTAAGTAACCACATCACCTTGCTCACTCATACTTCACTTGTAGTCACCAGAATCCCTGAGTTTTTTGTTATCAACCACTGGTTACTCCTTCTTGTGGTTGATTGTTTTAAGTAGGTTTAAGACATTTCATTTTTGCTAACTAAATTTCATTTTCTTAATTTTTGTTATAGTTCCAGGATAAATTATTTTGAATCCTGACATCAATAAGATTTTTTTTTAAGTTTCTTTTAAGTCATAGATAACATTACTGGTCAAATCAGTGCATAGATCAGCTTTTTGGGTTTATTTATTTATTTATTTATTTATTTATTTATTTTAAGTCAGAATCTTGCTCTTTCACTCAGGTGGGATTGCAGTGGTGTGATCTTGGCTCACTGCAGTCTCTGCCTCCCAGGCTCAAGTGATTCTTGTGCCTCAGCCTCCGAAGTAGCTAAGACTACGGGCTCACACTACCGTTCCCAGCTAATTTTTGTATTTTTAGTAGAGACAGGGTTTTACCATGTTGGCCAGGCTGATCTCGAATTCCTCCTCTACTGGATATCCCCTCCAGGGGCACATTTGTTCCATTAACTTGTTTTGAAATATGTGTCTATTTTCAAATTGTATCTCTAACATGACAAAATCTTACCAGTAAGACAACTTTTTCTAAAAAGGAAAGTTGGTTTCTAATGATTTATTCATAGTGAATTTTCCCAACTCTTACTGTTTACTATTTCTTTACTCTTCACACATCATTTGCTTCTACAAAATATTATACTAACTGAAGTATCAGGGATCCATCATTGTTTTTGAAAAGTGGGGCAGACATCTTTCTATCCTCAATTTTCTAGGCTCTCTTTCATTTCCCCACACATTTCTCAAAGGGCAATAGTAATTGTGTGAGAATTCAATTTGCAACCTTAGCAATCTTGTCCCTGGTGAAGGAACGGCCAGGAAGAACATAGTCTGGGAGAAAACCAGCTACACTGGTGGGTTCCAATATGGGCACCCTGGGCAGCTAACAGATAGCTGTTGGTGAGATGTGGAAAATCAACCACATTGGAGTTCCAAACCACACTCACAGGGATATGGGGTGGTTCAGGGCTGGCTATTTTTGTAATCATGACAGCACCCAGTCAGTAACTAGTGGATGGAGTAGGGAGGATCTAGCGCTCCCCACCCCCCAGGAGAGGGAATTGGGTGAGCATGCTGTAGGATAATAAAGCCCAGCCAAGGTGACTGAAATTCAGAGCTGGAGCTTCAGATCCAGTGCCTAAGACAGGAGTCCTGCCCAGTGAACTAGGCCAACTATGCTGGAACAGAGGGCACTAACCCTATTGAGACCCACTGCTGACATGTTTCCTGTCTGTCTCAGGACGGTTCCAATGAAGCGTGGAGCATCTGTGATTCCAATCCTGAGGGGTAAAAGAAGGCAGGAGCTACCCAGAAATACGACTTTTGAGAGTTTGCACAGTATAATGGAAATAAAGATTTGGGGAGGCTAAGTAGACTGTAGTCAAATCCCTTGGCAAGTTACTTGATATCTTTGAGTTTTAAGTTCCTCATTGATAAAATAAGGATAATAATATCTCTCTTGCAGGATTTGTATGAAGGAAAAAGTTATACCTCAAGGACTCAACATGCAAGAGGCCCAGGAGGGGAATTTCATTTCGCACGTCCATTTTTTTCTCAGAGCAATTTCCCATCTTTACTACCAGATGGCGCCCGTGAGCAGTGCCGCCCTTCCCTATGGCTTTTATTTCCACTCTTCGGGCGCTAGGTAATCTTCCTCTCTCTTAGTACTCAGGCTGGCATTTAAAATCCAGTGTTGCACACAGACTTTGTGTTTCTAATCCATCTGCTCCATGAAGAACTGTGAAACCCAGAAATACCTATTTCTAGCCAGACACCCATTTCTCCAATAGGATTTTTCAGATGATAAGGCTTTGTGATATAACTATGCAGCTGGGCATTCAAAAGAAGTCAAACAACCCTTAATTAAGAATCTGGTTTTTTGTACATTTACCCCCACTATAAGAGTGTAGAGACTTAAAGGTCAGGCCCTGTAGGTTTGAATCTCAATGTTAGCATTAGGTGGGTGACCTTGGACAAATTATTTGGCCTCTCTAAATCTCACTTTCTTCATCTATGAAATGGTTGTAATAACAGTAGCTGCTTCATAGGATTGCTGTGAGGTTAAATGAGATAACATACATAGGATACTCAACACAAAACCTGGCACACAGTAAGTGCTTACTAAGTGTAAGCAATTATACTAACAAGAGCCTGAGCTTTGAAGTCAGATGAAAACAGATTTGACTCCTAGCTCTTCGACTTAAAAATTGCATGATCTTAAATAAGTTATGTAACCTTTCTGAGCCCCACTTGCCTCAACAGTGCAAGATTAGTATGAATATGCAGAGACACATATGCGATACCTTTTACTTTTTATTTGTATTATGACCCATTTCAAACAGGATTTGTGCTTACCTACCACAAACAAACAAACAGAAACAGCCCAATGGCTTTCATTAAAGCAAATAATAGAATTAGCGTGTAGAAAAAGCAAAGGCAGGAAAAATAAGAAAAAGTCAGAGATAACACTAGGCTCTTAGATAACATCATAAGATTAGGTCACAAATTTGGCTTTGAGCTTCTTAGCATCCAAGGCAATAAAGAAGGGAAATATGGTTCGTTAGATGATTCATAGTGCCAAGATAAATGCAGAGGAGTTCTGAAGAAGAAACCCAGCTATTCCTAGTTCTGAGACTTAAGAGACTATAGCACATGGTGGATACACAATAGATATATAAATGTTAGCTGTTCTCATCTACAGCACAGAGGAAAGAGTGAGTCTAAGAATAAGAGCAACATGGGAGAGGTAACTTTCTAGCTGAACAAGACTGAAGAAAGATTTTCCAAGTGCCTGGGGGGCTGGAGAGGAGTGGGAGCCTGTACATAAGGGAAGCAGGTGACAGTATCTGGACTGTCCCCACACATTGACAGCAAGGCAGCTTTAAATGGGGTTTCACACTGGGGTGAAGATGTTTCCCTCTGGCTGAAAGGCACAGGAACTTTGTCGTATGAGGAGGCTGGAGGGAAAGGATGCCTCGCAAGCATTGTCCAAGCAGCTGTTTTGGTTTAAAGGCTCTCCCTACTGGACATCTGGTGTTTAATGGCAATCCTTTTTTTTTAGTGTGTTTTCTTTTGTTCTGTTTTCCTGAGGACCCAGACTTAGGGTTCTCAAGGAAAGAAAATGGTCAAGACAGTTGTGGGGAATGCTGCCCTTTTCCTTCAATGTAATGGCCTTCTCAGCCATTAGAACCAGTGGAGAAATTGTCACATGGTGAAAGGGATGGAGCTTGGAGGTACAAGTGAAGAAGGAAAGGTTCTGGTATCATTTAAACAGTAGGGAAAACAAAAACATAGGAATATTGCTTTAACAGGACACCCACATTCCTTTTCTCTGTGGCGTCCCAGAGAGGAGACTCTCAGAGCTAGAATTTTAGCTTCTAGCTCCTCAGTTTGCGGATGAAGACTCTGAGGCCCAGAGGGCTCAAATAAACATGTTTACATCATTTAGATCACACAGATAGTTCACATCAGAGCCAGGTCTAGGACCTATGCCTATGGATTCCTAGGCCATAGGGCATGTAGAAGAAAGTAGTCTTCTATAACATATGTTATGATCTAGAGAAGAGACCTGAGGAAGAAGTTTGGGTGTCAGTCTGCAAGGCAGTAAAGCACATGTGAAATAGCTGTGAAGATATGGTCAGGGGCCTTTCTGCATTGTAATGACTATGCGTTTGCCTCCTGGTGCTGCAGTGGCCACAACCCAACAGCTGCAATCTCCATGGAGCTCTCCCTGCTGGCCTGCCATGGGAGAGCTCATTGCCCTCAACCCACCTGGTACCTATGATGCTTCTTTGCTCAGTAAATAAGCATCTGTTCAATCATACATTGTGCTTCACAGTGGAGGTTAAATAGACAAGGGTAAATGTGATAATCATTATATTAAAGGGTTCTGTGGGAACACAGAAGAGAGAGCATTTAGCCCTGCCTGGGAGTGGGAAGTGGTCAGGGAAGGTCTCTGAAAGAAAGGCTACCTGAACTTAGACTGAAGTGGGAGTAGGAATGGACAGGAGGGGAGGGAAGAGGGCATTGTAAGCAGAGAGTGTCACCAGGGAAGGACACCATAGCATAAGAAGGCATAAAATGTTCGGAAAATGGAAAGTGGTTTGATTTCCCAGAGTTGGGTATGGAGAGGAGATATTTATTATGGCAAAAACTGCAATTACTTTTGCACCAACCTAATAGTACCATACACATCTCTTTTCTTTCTTTTCTTCTTTTTTTTTTTTTTTTTTGAGATGGAGTCTCTCTCTGTTGCCCAGGCTGGAGTGCAGCGGTGCCATCTTGGCTCACTGCAACCTCTGCCTCCCAGGTTCAAGTGATCCTCCTGCCTCAGCCTCCCGAGTAGCTGGGACTACAGGCGTCTGCCACCACACCCAGCTAATTTTTGTATTTTTAGTAGAGACAGGGTTTCACCATGTTGGTCAGGCTGGTCTCGATCTCCGGACCTTAGGCGATCCGCCAGTCTCGGCCTCCCAAAGTGCAGGAATTACAGGTGTGAGCCACCACTCCCGGCCTACACTTGTTTCTTAGAGCCGCTGTAACAATACACCGTAAACTCGGTGGCTTAAAACAACAAAAAATGTAGTCTCTCATAATTCTGGAGGCCAGAAGTCTGAAATCAATATGTCAACAGGGCCACCATCCCTCTGAAGGTTTAGGAGGGAATCTTTCCTTGGCTCTTCCTAGATTCTGGTGACTTCCAGCACTCCTTGGCATTCTTGGGTTGTAGCTGCCTTACTCCAATCTGTCTCTATCTTCACACGGCTTTCTTCTCTCTCTGTGTATCTATCTCTTCTGTGTCTGTATGTCTTCTCCTCTTCTTATAGGGACATCAGTCATTGGATTCAGGGCCCATCCTAATCCAGTATGACCTCATCTTAACACATTACATCTCCAAAGAGTTTATTTTCAAGTAAGGTCACATTCTGAGGTTCTGGATGGACATGGATTGTGGGAGGACATGATTCAACCCACTGTAAGTACTTTACTGAAGAGAGAGTAGCCATCACTGTTTAGATTCTCAAAAAAAGACCCCTAATCCAAATAGCTTGAATCACTATCTAGGTGAATTTTGAATTGGGAAAGTAGAAGAGAGACAAGAAGCAGGTTACTCAGACTTATCATGACCCTGTCACCCAGTTCCTAACCCCACAACCCAATCACCTGAATGAGCTGTTGACAGCCCTTCATAATGACTTCTTTGTGTACCTCCTAGTACTCTTCACCTACAGGATGCCCAACCAACCAACGGGAATGAGAAACAGGATGTTACTGGGAACAAGTGTCTCTTTGCTCATCTCAAGTTCCTTCAGCCATAAAATGGGGGTAGAAATCATTGCCCAGCCCACCTTAGAGGGTTGCTGGAGGATTCTAAAAGATAACTGATTGAAGAAGTATATTGCAAGCTGTAAAGCCCACAGACTTGTTAGAGAATGGTGTTCTGATACCCTCTCTTCTCATATCACATTCCCCTCGACACCCCTCTCCCCAACCCTCTGTCAGAAAATAAGCAGGGGTAGTGGGATAAACCTAGCAGAAATCTGTGTTTTCTTCTGCTTTAGACATGTGAGGATGGCAGGCTCTGTGAAGAGCATCCAAGTCCTCCTCTTCTTGGGACTTTGCCCTAAATAACCTTTGCATGGACAGAGTGTTGTTGCTTCAAGGTGTTCATGCCCAGGGCGTTAAAAATGAGCTAATTAGGGATTACGATTAGGTTTGAATTCCTGAACGCAACACTTGGTATTATTGCTGCCCTCTCAGAGACAATTGAGTAGTCACTAATTTCTAAGACTTCAATACCTTTAGGGCTTCCTGGACTGCCTAGGATAGGCATAGCATGATCTCATAAGCCCAGGCTAGTAGCTTATTATCTCAGCAATCATCTGTTTTCTAAGAATTCTCCCCAGGGCCAGTTCCTGGTATAGTTCTGATTGTTATCTTTGTACCCTCTATGTGACATTCTAGCTCACTCTGCCCAGGCATAGTAGAAGGGGACAGGATTGGAGATCAGAACATCTGGGTTCCAGGAATGACTGTCACAGACAAAGTTGGTGGCTTTGGTTAAGTCACTCCTATCTTCTGGTCTTCAATTTTCTTTTCTATAAAAAAAAGTATTAAAATATTTTCATATGTGAATTTTTCCCGTGGAAAGTGTCTCTGACTGTCATCATTTTCTCAAAAGCGTCTATGACTAATAAAGATTAAGAATCCTTGGACTGGTTGATTTATAATCTAATTTATCTTTTTTTGTTTCTTTTTGAGACAGAGTCTCACTCTGTTGCTCAGTCTGGAGTGCAGTGGGGTGATCTTGGCTCACCTCCACCTCCCAGACTCAAGCAATTCTCCTGCCTCAGCCTCCCAAGTAGCTGAGATTACAGGTGTGTGCCACTACACCCGGCTAATTTTTGTATTTTTAGTAGAGACCAGTTTTGGCCTTGTTGGCCAGGCTGGTGTCAAACTCCTGGCCTCAAGTGATTCACCAGCCTTGGCCTCCCAAAATGCTGGGATTACAGGCGAGAGCCACTGCACTCAGCCTTATAATCTAATTTAGGATGATTCTTTGGTTCTGTACATTTAGGGATATCATACATCTAACTGTTGAGCAAGTTTTTGACTGCCAACTGTATGCTAGGTCCTTTGATGTGGCCCAAGGATGCAAAAGTAATGAAGACACCTTCCAAGGAAGCCACTCTCCCATGGAGGAGACAGATCCACAAAAACAAAACAAAAAAAGCCTTAAAATAAGATGTCCAAAATACAATGATGGAGAAACACAGGGCATTTGAGGAACAGAATACCTGGAAATGTTTGTAACTTCTCCTCCTCACATGAAAGTCACAAACTGCTGAAAAGAGAGGAGTTTTTAAGAGTTTCCTTGCAAGTTTAAAAAGTAGAGGGCGCTTTCCCTCTCAGTCAATCTGAAGGCCCAGGCTCCCACCGAACTCCTTTCTCCACGACCCTCCAGCCATGGCCTCTCTCCTTGTGCTGCTAGCAAGCTTGTTGAACTTAAGTGGGAATGGGCCTCTTCCTTTCTGGATATAACCCCGAGTATGTATTCCTCAGACCTCCTCCTTCTGGGATGAGAAGCCCCACACCTTCTATTAGCCCTGGAGTCCTACCAACATTCCTTTTCCTGCCCTTGTTGGGGGGACTCTCTTGGGCCCCTTTCGCATCCAGCACTCCTGGAGTGGACTCAGGAATGCTGATGAATGCATTATTATCACACAGGCATGCTATTCTTGCTTGAGTGTCAATTTGAGCAGTTTCCAGTGAACTTATGGCTCTGCAGAAAGCATTGTTAAATGGGAAATTTATTTAAAAAAAGAAAAGCAAGAATATTTATATGGCACATGGCAGGCCAGAGAGGCAGATGCTATAGAGGTCTGGGTTCTAGTCCTGGTTTCCTTACATGTGCCCTGGGTCCAAGCCTTTCCATGTGTTGCTACCCCGTAGTCCTGGCTACCATCACCTCTGCCTTCACTTAACTTCCATGTATACCTCATCATAATTTATTCTCCATATGGCAGCCAGAGGGATCTTTTTAAAATGTAAATCAGAGCATGCCACTCCCCTGCTAAAAATTTTCAAATAGTTTTGCTGCACTTAGGATGAAATCCAAACTCCTCGACTAATCCTGTAATACCTTCCATATTCCGACGTCTGCCTACCTCTCTAGCCCTATCCTGAACCCCTCTCCTCACTGTCTAAGCTCTCTGACCTTCTGTCTGTCCCTTCATCACAGGAATGTCATTTCTGCCTCAGGACTTTTGCATCTGCAGTTTTTGTTGACTGAACTATATTCCCCCAAGACCTAGGCATGGCTCCTTCCTCTTACAAGTCAGGGCTTAGTTTCAAAGATAACTGTTTTTTCTTCTTTTTAAAGAGGTCTTTTCTGATCATTTCATCTAGAGCTTCCCCACTTACTCCATCACAGCTTTTTTATTCTGCTTTCTTTTACTCTTTTCATGGTATTTATTTATTGTAATTTGAAATTATTTTGTTAGTTTGTTACATGCCTTCCCTGTTCCCCTCATCGACTGTCCCAATCACTAGAGCATCTAGAATAGGGTGTAAGCATAACAGATCATCAATAAGTTGTTGAATGATCAAGTGAGTAAGTATGCTAAAGGTCATTTAATATACCTGAGCCCCAAATTCTTTAGCAATAAAATGGGGAAGAAGGTCTGCTTAGCTACATATTGGATCTTTTTTTTTTGGAGACGGAGTCTCGCTCTGTCGCCTAGGCTGGAGTGCAGTGGTGCAATCTCGGCTCACTGCAAGCTCTGCCTCCCGGTTTCACGCCATTCTCCTGCCTCAGCCTCCCGAGTAGCTGGGACTACAGGCGCCCACCATCACGCCCAGCTAATTTTTTGTATTTTTAGTAGAGATGGGGTTTCACCATGTTAGCCAGGATGGTCTTGATCTCCTGACCTCGTGATCCACCCACCTCGGCCTCCCAAAATGCTGGGATTACAGGCGTGAGCCACCACGCCCGGCCTACATATTGGATCTTTAATCATTGTTAGAAAACTCTCTGTGGTAGATATTGGTGTTATAGCCGCAGAAGAAATGGAAAGCCAGATGGGCTAAATAATTGCCTAAAATCATAGTTGTGGCCTGAAAGTTTATCCTCATTAAGATGCCTATAAAGATTTGGGAGAGAGAAGCAGGGGAGAGAAATTTTCTATGTTCTTCCAAGTTTTAAATCTCCCCAAAAAGCCACTCATTGGAGAATGGAGTCATATACTATCTATCTAGTACTCCCGGCAGCAAGGTCTGTGGCTAGAACTCTATTCCCACACAGAATTCTTCTGCATCTGATTCATTCTGAGCACACCCACCACATTCAGTCATTCATTTGCTTGTATAGGTTGGTGCAAAAGTAATCGCGGTTTTTGCTATTACTTTCAAAGGCAAAAACCACAATTACTTTCGCACCAACCTAATACATCAATTCATTGCATACATGCTGTTAGCAGCCAGTCACTATTGTAGCTTCAGGGAGGAACCCCCTGATTCATAATAAGGGTATGTCCCTGGAATCCCCTAGAAAGGGATAGTCCCCAATGGGGTCTATTGGTCAAACTCGAATTCTTGAGGCTAATTAAGGTAAGGCATTTAAAAAGCTTGTTAGGCCAGGTGAGGTGGCTCACGCTTGTAATCTCAGCACTTTGGGAGGCCACGGTGGGCAGATTACTTGAGGCCAGGAGTTCGAGACCAGTCTGGCCGACATTGCAAAACCCTGTCTCTACTAAAAATACAAAAATTAGCCAGAGGAGGTGGCACAGGCTTGTAATCCCAGCTACTCAGGAGGCTGAGGCAGGAGAATTACCTGAACTCGGGAGGTGGGGCTTGCAGTGAGCTGAGATCGTGCCACTGCACTCCAGCCTGGGTGACAGAGCGAGACTCTGTCTCAAAAAAAAAAAAAAAAATGAACAAATAAATAAAATGCTTGTTACCCAGGGTTCTGGCATGGAGTAGGCACTCAGAGATGTTAGTGATAATGATGTTAGAACATGGACCTTTTTCCTCAGCCAGGCTGTCTAGAAGAGGAGAAAGATTTAAAATGCCCTTGGCAATTTTTCCCTCTCAGAGTCATCCTGTTAGAGAAATCCAGCTCACATGATTCCCATTGCCTTTTCCGAAATCCACAGCCTGTACAAGCAACTGAAAGTAATAAGCATAATTTAAATGCTGTGTCTTTCCTAATTAAAATCCATCCAGAAAGGGATGCCAGGGTTATTTTTGTCTATGTGGCAGAGGAAGTTTTATTATATAAACCCAGCCTTTTCAACAGTCCAAGAGGAGGTGTGTCCGTGTGTGCATGTGTGTGTCCCTGTGTGTGCACGCATGCACCCATATGCATGTAGCAAGAGTTTGGGGGTGCAACCAGGAATGCATAGTTGGCACTGAACAGGTTGAAGGGTCTGAATTTTCAAAGGAAGCTGTTGATGGAACCACTGGCAATTGCTTCCCAAGGCATCTTAGGCTGGTGAAGAACCCTGGAGTCTGCCTTGGCCCTCCTTGCTAGTTCTAAAGAAACATGCTGGGATGGCTTTTCCATGAGGGGATGTTGACCTAGCTCTCTCAGCAGAGGCTCCGCATGCTTGGTGGCTCTTCTTGGAAACACTGGTTGCCAGAGCAGCTGTGTCAGCCTGGTTCTCCAGAAAAGACGGGAAAGCAGGCAAGGAGCCCTCTGCTAACCCAAGGGCCTCTTTCCAGGGCACAACTCCCAAGAGCAATCCACACAGGAAACTCAGTCCAGATAGAAAAGAGATGACAATGGAAAAACAAGGAGGAAAAGAAGAGAAGGAAGGAAAACGAAGAAGGGCAAGGAGATTTAAAAGGCTTAATTAAGAGACATTCTGAGGATGGGTTTTGCTTTTCAAGGGCAGGAGTTCATTTCTGTGTGGGAGGCCAGTTGGCTGAAGTTTGAAGATAGTTTGGGGCACACGTTTCATTTTCAAGGGACTCTTCCTTCCCTTCACCTGGCCCTGAACCGTTGCTGTAACTCTGCTAATACTTGTGAGATGCATCTCAATGTATTTTCTCATGCTGGTAAATTTGTTTCTTCTCTGGCAGCCCCTCTGCCACATTGCTACTGGGGAGGAGAATGTCCTAGAGTAGGCAAGAAGGAACATATGATGCTAAGGGGACTTCCTACTCAACAGGAAAGAGGTGGGGAAACGCACCTGCAGGTCTGACGAAGGGGGCTCAGAAGAGAGAGATGACAGGGCAAGAGATAAGAGATGGGGTGTTTCCACCCCCTAACTCAAACACAGGGTCATTGTGGGTAGGAGGAGAGGAAAGAAATTGGGCAGGAGTCTCAAAACTTCCAGATAAGGAAATAGGATCACTTACACCTGGGAAATAGAAAGGTCTTGGAAACAGCCCATGGTTAGCCAGCACAGCATCTGGCACAGCACAATGGCAGCAGGCTACCAGGGCTGAGGAAGGTCCACGTGAGTGGGCTGGAGGTCCAACTGGCCGAGATTTGCTGATTTCAGCTTGGTGCAGGGAACACATCTGAGGCCCCCAGGGAGATGCAGAGGCTGAAAGAAATGAAGAACCAAAACAGCCCCCAGGCTGTAGATAAGGGGGCTGCAGGGGGCAGGGACCTCACCTCTGGAGTCCAGGTCAGGGATCACACACAAGGCTCTGAAGGACAAGGTGGGATTTGCCTTCCCAGGCAAATATGCGGGAACCAGACCAGAACAGCCCACAGATCAGCACAGACCAGCACAGACCTGAGGCCAGCATGGGAATCTGAGACTCCCCACCTCATTGCCATAGAATCTGTGAGTTCTACCTGTACCCAGCCACAATCTTGAGAAAGAGAAGGTGAAAAGATCTTGAGAGAAACTGTCCTGGATATTTGTACTTTGAGTGAATTGAATTCTTAACCCAAAGATATCAAATTGAGTGAAAGATCCTGCTTTAAGCTGGAAAAGAAGAAATTATATGTAACTGGCTGATTAAGTTTTTAATGAACTCAAATAAGGATGAAATCAAGATTAGATCATTTTAAGAGCTGCATTTTTTTCACAACTCAGTTGTAGTATAAAGTTTTTGACCACTTGGTAATGACCTTGCATATTTGCAAATAAATTTAGAGTGTACAAGTCATTTTCACATGTTATTTTTCTGAATTTCACATTGAATCAAGATAGATGTTAGTCTAACTTTACAGATGCAGAAAATGGGGGCTCAGCAATAGTAGGAGACTTGCCCAAGCTCAATATAGACGAAGGTCTGCTCTAGGGCCATTTCAACTACAAACTGCAGTCTCAGTCTAATACAGTGATGCTCAGCTGGGGCAATTTTTTGTGGCAATTTCAGTTGTCACAACAGAGGAGAAGGGGTGCTACTGGCATTTAGTTGCTATTTAGTAATCATATTTAGGGGTGTTGCTAAATATCCCACAATGCACAGGACAGCCCCAACAATGAAGACTTATCTGGCCCAAAATATCAACATTGCTGAGGTGGAGAAACCCACTATGATATTACAGAGGATTCCCAGGGTGGAAAATATCTGCCTCCTTTCACACTTGCAGAAATGGACAAGAACTCAGAGCTGAGACAATTGCAACTTAACAAGAAAGCCCCCACTAACAAACTTACTTGCCAGAAACATAGACTTATTGGAGCTTCATTTCCAAAATGCTGTTGGCGATGGGTGAGTGAGAGATCTTGCCAGAGGATTAAGAAGAAATTGTGTTCACGATGGGCGGGGGAGTACCCAGGGGTATACTGAAAGCAGATAGTCTTTAATCTCCCCTTCTTTGACAACACAATTATCTTCAGTAACAATCATAAAATGAAACAAATAATAGTGACTGCCAGAAAACCATGATTTTTAAAAACTTTATTGAATGTCATATTAATAATCATGTCATAAAGATGGCAACAATAGACACTGGGGACTACTAGAGGTGGGGAGGGAGGGAGCGGGGAGCAAGGGTTGAAAAACTATTGGGTGCTTGCTCATTATCTGGGTGACAAGATCATTTGTATCTCAAACCTTAGCATCACACAATATATCTAGTATGGTTTGTCTGTGTCCCCACCCAAATCTCATCTTGAATTGTAGCTCCCATAATTCCCACATGTTGTGGGAGAGACGCGATGGGAGATAATTGAATCACTGGGGGCGGTTTACCCCATACTGTTCTTGTGGTAGTGAATAAGTCTCAGGAGATCTGATGGTTTTATAAGGGGAAACCCCTTTTAGGTTGGCCCTCATTCTCTCTTGTCTGCCACCATGTAAGACGTGCCTTCTGCCATGATTGTGAGGCCTCCCCAGCCACGTGAAACTGTGAGTCCATCAAACCTCTTTTTCTTTATAAATTACCTAGTCTTGGTATGTCTTTATCAGCAGTGTGAAAGCAGACTAATACAATATCCATGCATATATGTCCCCTGAATCTAAAAAAAATTGAAATTATTAAATAGCAATGATATCAGTAAAATAAATAAGTAAATATAGCAAAACAGGAAAAGAGCAGTAGACAACTCATACTTTTTAATTACATTAGTGTATCTTCTTTTAAAAGAAAAAACTTATACCAACATATCAGGCTGTGGCAATAATGTATAATCATATTACAGATTTTGTGTTTGTGCCCGAACTTCTGTAAATTTGTTAATAATTTTGTCAAAATTGGTCTTCTAGGCATATTTGACTGGGCAACCAGATTTATCAAGCTATTTTCACTCACAGTTGATCAGAGAACTTTTAATTAATTTTAATTTTGAAATGTTCTTTCACACTGAGGAACAGATTTGCATATAGTAATTTTAATACTGACTTGAGGGCAAGTTTAGAAGAGATTCATAAAAATCCTATTCCCAATAGGTTTCAGAAATTGCAATACTGCCCATGTCTTTGTTTCATTTCAGGATTTCTCCTAGCAGCTTTCCAGAGTCTTTGCAGTTGAAAATTCCACTAAAATACCTTCAGCAGAAATTTCATAATTTCTATTGTAGTTGATAAAAACTTGAAAAACTTTTCTTCTGCAAAAGAGAAAAATGCTGAATAATATAGAACATTGATATCATCCCTTTTAAAATCGCTCCAGACGAGGTACCCTGAACTGCCTACACTATGGGCTAACCCACCCTGCTGCTCAGCCCTTGGATGCTTCCTGGAGGAGGAATGCTTCATGGTTTAGGGGAAGGATCTATGTGGTAAGGCAGGCTTTATTGTATCACGATATTCCAAGATTAGATTTTTTTCTTTTTTATGTTTTTTCAACTTTGCAAAAAGAATATGAAAATACAGAAACACATTAAGGAATAAATATCACACATTGAATTAGTTAGGATTAGGTTTGTTTGCAATCCATAACATCATCTCTGTCCTCAAAAATGCTGGCATCTTTGCAGAAGTGACTCAGCTGTGGACAAATGTATTGAAATTGCGCTGCAGAAAGTTAGCCATGGCAAGAGAGGGACATGTGGAGCGCTTGGGTTGGAAGTGGGGTGGGTTCAGAGGAAGGAGTGACTGCTTCCAACTGGGAAACTAAGGAGCATTTCATAGGAAAAGTGATGAAATTCAACATGAAAATGGGTAGGATTTAGATACTTAAAGACTGCTTAGGCCTAGAAGACAGCAGACTGAAGCAATGAGGCTTTTTGTGCCTCCATATTTCCACCTGCAAAACAAGAATCAGATCATCTTTGCCCTTAGGATCCTCCACAGAAAATAGCCAAAGAGGAGACAGGGTGCTATATTGAACAGCCTGGCCTGGGGAGCAGGGGGTGGCTGGGATTGTATTTAGCTGTGTGTAACACTTGGCAGGTCACTTTCCTTCTCTAGACCCCAAGGCTCTCATCTAGAAAATGAAGAGATTCACCAGATGGAATATATCAAAAGCATCCTCTGACCCAAACATTATCCTGTGATCCTTACAGTGCCTTGGGGAAGGTTTCTGAGAATGGGTAATGGGCTTCCTGCTCGCATAGACACTTTAATGAACGGGTGTCAAAACTGTGGCGTGGTTACAGGGTCATGGTCAGGGGGCCAGGATGTCTGGGGTCCTGTCTGGGCTTTTTCTATTTTCATCTATCTGCCTGGGCCCTCAAATCTTCATCCTCACTTCACCTATAGTCATTTCCACCTCCCATCCAAATGCACCCACTCCTACCCCCTCCTCCACCACTGCTGCACACAGGGGAGAAAAGTAAGAAGGGAGGGAGCAGAGGGAAGAGGGAGAAACAGAGAAGGAGGGAGATAGAGAGGGGTGAGGGGAGAGGGAGGGGGAGAGAGAAAAAAAGAGGGAGGGAGTGGAGGAGTAAGGTAGAGAGAGAGTGAGAGAAACAATGACAGAGATGGAGACAGAATGAGAGATGAGAGGAAGGGAGAGAGAGTGGGAGAATGAGAGAGAGTGGGGAGGGAGAGAAGGAGAGGGGGAGGGGAAAAAGAGGGAGAGAGCGAGCGAGAGAGAAAAAGAATGAAAGATTGAGAGAGAGAGAATGACCAGCTTGGTACACAAATAGCTCAAATCCAAGGTTCCCACTGAGAACCCTGAGGCTGGGGGACGTCTCCCCTGTGTCTCCTCTTTTAAATGACGTTTCCTCTATTTCTGAGATTCATCTTCATTCAAAAGAAAGAAAGGCACTTTGGTCTTTTAAGGGCTCCTTTTCATGAAGCCTTTCTTGTGTCAGCTTCCCTCTGTAGTTCTGGGGAGGCTGCAGGGGGGATGGGGCCTGAGAGAAGGGTGAAGGAGTTTCTGCAATGCTGCCCAGGGAAGAGGCGGATGGGCTGGAGACAGGGAGGGGCATCGCAGGACAGGCACAGAAAGCTCGTCAAAGCACACTCATTTTTTGGCTTCAAAGCTATGAACAGAAAAGTTAGCAAGAGGAGAATAAGGTTACAGGTGGGGGAGGCTCATTTTAGGAAAGGCAGCCCTATCTCAGATGGAATCAACTGAGCCCTGGCTTCTCCCTCCCAAATCACAGGGAGTGGGTGGAGGAGCACCAGGAGGCAGGCTGGGGAGTCAGCGAACTGTCAGAGGCATTTACTTCTTTCAATGTATTCAAAATTAATTAATTATAGCTGAGGACATTGGGGTATATTTGCAGGGGGTTGAGATGGCACACATGAGGTCTTCCCAGCCCATACTCCCTTGGGGATTTGGGATGTCAAAACACTCAGCAGCACAGACCTCCCAGCTCCCCTCTGACCCTGGGTAAGGTTTGCCATCACCAAATCTGTCTCCTTGTTTATTGTACCCTGAGTCCCTCACAGGGTTGCTGAAAGGGCCAAAATGAAAAACAGATGAGGGACTGTTAAGCTGTACAACGGTGTTCAGACGTGGCGGGATCCTGATCCCATGGGCAGGAATCATGTTTCCTTCCCTGAGTGCATCGTCTTCACAGGCAAAGTTCATGAGGGACCCTCCTTTTTCTTTCCTTCCTCTCACCCCCTTCCCAGGCCACAGGATGCTGCACAGAGGAGGGACAGAAATGACGACTGGGGAAGAAACCTGGATTAGAGCTGGGCCTTGTGACTCATGCTGGAGTCCATTGTATCTACTTCCAAGGAAAATCACACAGTGCTCAATTGGCTGTGGATGTGGGGTCAACTAACGGGCACTGCCTTCCAGTCTTTTATACCCTGGGACTCATTTTCAGTAGTGGCTTCAGAATTTCTACATAGAAGTGACTCAAGAGCTGCAGTCTATTTAAGGGATAGAAGGTGCCGCCACAGGAATTGGAAGCCATGTTAGCAAAGCAAGGATCCTGGTTTTACTTGAGTATGTGCAAATTTGGGATGGCTTTTGGAAACGAGTGGTGATCATGCAGTACAAAAGTTCATGATGCTTGCACTATCAATTTACCTTGGGGACGGAAGATAAAGATGTGATGAGGATTGTTTGGGGGCAAGATTGATGTCACGGCACGAGATCAGATGGGAAGTTTGCAAACCTAGGATAGAATCCAGTCTCCAACAGCAACTATTTGACTTCTCATCTTGAAATAAGGATAGTAGATGAGAGATTATCTAAGACTCCTTTCTTAATCCATCTTCTGCCTCTAGTAGGTCAGGATAGAAACCTTACAAGTAAATCTAGCCTAAGGGACAAAAGCCCCAAATGGTGTCATTGTGTTTTGTCATGTCCCTTGTGTTATTCATTTAATTTTCAAAGGTCAGAGAGAGAACACTAATCCTGAGCCACTTCCTTCAAGAGGCTCCTTATCCATCTCCTGCAAGGTCCAGGGAGAAGAGAGGGGATTGGGCAGTACAAAGGAAGAAACTCATCCTTGCTGAATGTCTACTATTCCAGGCCTCCAGATGCTTCATATTTCTTATCTTGCCAAGTACAAACAATATTAAGATGGCACTAATGACTCTGAGTTCAGAAAGATTAAGTATAATGTTACCAGCTAAAAAGGCCTTCTCCATAGTGGACGCTCCATAAATATCTGTTTCTGAAATAAATGGATGCCAGAGACAGGGTTCGAACCCAGTTTTAATTCAACTCCAAAGCCTGTGCTATTCACACTGCATCCTCAAGCCCAACTTGGAAAGGAAGATGGTGATTGAACTTCTTCAAAGGCTGCCCGTCTTTGGCAAGCTTTGTCCAAAATGTCATTCAGGAGAAACGCTTTTGAGACCTTGCACCAAATAATCAGTGATGACTTCAGTTCCCCACTCCACTGACGAAGCATTCTGCAAGGCACATTGGTTGATTCAAACAAAAGGAAATTTAAAAAGCAAGTATGTTGTGGCACCTGTGGTTGTGTTACAGTAGGTAATTAGTGAGACATGAGCAGGGCAGAAGAGGACCCGCCTCCCCCACCCCCACCACCGGGACTGTCAGGCAACCATCAGGTGTTGGTCAGGCAGTTGTTAAACTGTCTCTCTAAAATAATAATTGGCCTCAGCCAGCACAAGGAAAAGGCCAGCCTCCCAACAGATAAAAACACCTGAAACTGGTGATCAGCAGCTTCCCTATGCGGTCTCAGGAGTTGGGCGAGTGGGCTCAAGCATGTGCGCTAAGAGGCAAAATGGTGGCATTTAACTGGCATATGACCTTCTTCTAGGAACACTTGACTGATAAGGGAAGAAGGCCTCGAGTGAGCATGCATACAACTTCAGAAAACACTGATCGTGCGGCTCCTCCCAAGTGCTGGCAGGCCACTGTGCATGTGGACAGCCCACCCCAAGGGAAGAATCAGGGGAGAAAGGTGCACTCCACCCGCCTGGGAAGCATGCTGATGTATAAAACCCCAAGGTAAAGGTCAAACCACACACTTGAATCTCTCAAGTGGCCTGCTTGGCCCTCTTCCAAGTGTATCTTACTTCCTTTTGTCCCTACTCTAAACCCCCCCCTTTTTTTTTTTTTTTTGAGACAAAGTCTTGCTCTTGTCCCCCAGGGCTGGAGTGCAATGGTGCAATCTCGGCTCACCGCAACCTCTGCCTCCTGGGTTCAAGCGATTCTCCTGCCTCAGCCTCCCGTCTGATCTAAACTTTTTAATAACCTTTCACTCCTGCTGTAAAACTTGCTTCCGTCTCTCCCTCTGCCTTATGACCCTTGGTCGAATTCTTTCTTTTGAGGAGGCAAGAATTGAGGTTGCTGCAGACCCATAAGGATTCGCTGCTGCTAACATACTTTGGTGCTGCGTGACTCGGATATGTTTCCTAGTGCTAACAGTTGCAAGAGATAGAAGCCTACTCAAAGTAGCCTAAAAAAAGGTGGGGCGGGAAAGGGTAATTATAATGCTAGATATTGTTCAGAATTCAAGGGAAGCGCAACAGTTAGACATCAGGAAGGGCAAGAATCAAGGAAATCCAAGGACTTTGAAGGATTGCAAGGACATGTACTAATCTGCCATTCATTCCTCCACTGACTCATTTTGCTCCTCTGCGGTTTGTTGTTGTTGTTGTTGTTTTATGTTTTTTGTTTTTTGAGACAAAATTTTGCTCTTGTTGCCCAGGCTGGAGTGCAATGGAGCAGTCTCAGCTCACTGCAACCTCCGCCTCCCAAGTTCAAGGGATTCTCCTGCCTCAGCCTCCCAAATAGCTGGGATTACAGGTGCCCACCACCACGCCCAGCTAATTTTTTGTATTATTATTATTATTTTTTGAGATGAGGTTTCACTCTTGTTTCCCAGGCTGGAGTGCAATGATGCAATCTCGGCTCACTGCAACCTCTGCCTCCTACATTCAAGCGATTCTCCTGCCTCAGCCTCCCAAGTAACTCGGATTACAGGTACCCAACATCACGCCCAGTTAATTTTTGTATATTTAGTAGAGACGGGCTTTCACCGTGTTGACCAGGCTGGTCTTGAACTTCTGACCTCAGGTGGTCCGCCTGCCTTGGCCTCCCGAAGTGCTGGGATTACAGGAGTGAGCCACTGCACTCTGTGTTGTTTAGGGGAGAACTTTGCAATCTGCAATGTGCATAGGAATCATCTGGAGATCTTGTTAAAATAGAGATTGTGATTCAGGAGTCTAAGATAGGACCAAAGAGTCTACGCTCCTGCAAAGCTTCCAGCTGATATTGATGCTGCTAATTTGTGGACAACATTTGGAGAACTTTGATCATAGTTCATAAGCTCCAATTGTAATCACCTGGAGAAAAAATTGTAAACTATGCCTGGGTTCCACCCCCTTCCCCATTTCCACCCCTCCCATTTTGATTCAGTTGAATGGAAATATGACCTGGTATCAGGATTTTTTTAAAGTTTACCAGGTGATTCTAATGAGCAGCAAAGTTTGAGAGCCACTATCTTAGATATCAGCTGATTCAATGGAGTGGCTCCTCTGGGGCCAGGTGTCCCTCCTAGTCAGGCAGCTGTGGATGGAGGCAGGGCTGAAATTATGAACACATCAGCCACACTCAGGAATATATAGGACAGGTGGTCAAACAGGAAGCAGAAGTGGGCAGGTAGGCAAGGATCAGCACGTCTGGAACAGGAAGGGGCTTGAAGTCCAAGTAACTTGGGTTCAAATCCTGGCATTACCATTTCCCTAGTTATATGCTTTGCTCCAGGAATTCTGATTTCAGAACTCTTTGAGCTTTGATTTCTTTAACGGAAAGATGAAGCCTACAATTCCTGGCCCATATTCCTCTCACCCAGAGAGTGCAGAGTAGAATAAACCAAGAGAGCTTTCTAAGGAAAATGGGCTGGCGTTCCACACCAGAGGCTGCAAATTCAACGAGTCACAGGGTGGTGCCAGGCATGGGTGTTTTTGCAGACTCCTGAGAGGATTCTTATGTGCATCCCTGACCGTGAACCATAGATCGACCGAGATCATGGAACTTAGAGCTGTCCTTGACCCCTTCTACTAAACCCTGCAGGCTAAACCTTCCTAGATAGCTCTGAATCTATGCACCCACCTCATCCCTAGAGACTTACTCAGAGACTAAAGTAGAAATCTCCCTCACTCTTCCTAATTCTTTGCAATCCATCTTCCTCTTAACTGCCAGTATAATATTTTTAACATAGAAACCTGCTCATGTCATTCTCCTGGTCAGGCTAAAGTCCAAAGGCCTTAGAGCAGCATGCAAGGAATTTCATGGTCTGGTCATACCTCATTTTTTACCGCTCACCGTATACCCTTTGCACCTACCATGCTGTCGCCTGTGGGAGTGTTCTGTTCTCTTCTCTTACCTCTGTGTTGCCACCTGGGATATCCCTCTCCATCTCTTCCTGACAAGCTCCTGCTTATCTTCACTCACTTCAACCATCACCTTCTTTCTGGGGACTCCCCAGACCCATCCTGTGCCCCATCAGAGCTTATGGGAGGCATGAGGCCAATTCTATTTTAGGGGCTATAAGGGACATTTCAAAAGATATAGAAATGCCAGAAGAAAGTTACAAAAAAAGTTGTCATTCTATCTTTAGGAATATGTATATTCACTTGGAAACAAATCAAACATTCTAATTTGAGCCCCTTCAAAAATGTTAGAACTGGCCAAATAACCCTTCTGCTCTTTTACCTCCATCAGCCCCACTCTAATGCCCTGCTTTTTAAGTCAGCAGGACACACATCTAGTGCTGCATAAAGTATATCCAAGGGATATATTTGCATAGGTAAGTCTTAAGGGAATTTCTAGGCCCTCAAATTCTATACGTATTTTTTCTTAAAATTGACCTGCCTGAGAAAGTGGTTGTTGATGAGGCCTCACGCTGGTTGGTTTTTTTTTTTTTTTTTCCTTTCCTCTCCTTTTACAATCACATTTCTCTCGTTTTACAAAACATAGGTATACTTCCTACCCAGGCTAAATCTTACTCTAGCTCTGGGCTCCAGTTCCAGGCATAAAAATGTTTGTGGCACCAGACAAAGGGACAACAAGGAAGTTTGTTGTCTGTGAAGTCTTTTTCTTTATCAGTTATCCACAACCACTCCTATCCATCTTCCTAGATTTGTAGTCCTGTTAAAATTTTATTTTTCATGGATAATAATTATTTAAAATTTTACTATAGACATGGTTTTGATCATGCATGTGCTAGTAATGAAGGTAACCATAACTCATACCTAAAGATAAAAAATTTATGAGCCTTGTTTTATTTTTTTTGAAAATAAAAATAAGAATCTCAGTCTATAGCTGTTGTTTTATGACTGAGAAATACGATGGAGGGACAATATAAGACTTTGAGGCATAAAAATATATTACATAAGAGACAAACTCAGTGAGGAAACACAATGTAAATAATTATTTTGATTAAAAAAAAGTGGTGTACAAATTCCAACTCTATTTTTCAAATGGATGTTGGTTGGTAGTAAATCACTAGGGTTTTAATAGTTCATCAGATATATTAAAAAGAGTCATGTAGTAGCTTATTTTTAAATGCCAGTACTTAGAGCAGCTATTACATCCTTTGCAACTATTTAAACTTGTGATTAAAAAAATTTTAGTTGTCAACTTTATAATGTGCAATGTGGATTCATGGTTTAAAAAGAATTTTTGGGAGCATGTGAGCAAAAAAACTGAAAGACCAGTGCTCTAAGAAATGGTAGGCCTCATCTTGAAGTGAGTACCTGAATAACTGGGGCTGGGGATGAAGGGGGCACTGAGTGGCCAGGGAGAGAATTTGGATTCGGGAGAGGATAATGAGTAGAAAAGCTGATCTGGAAGTAGAGGCTGCTTCCCCTGTGATATGGTTTGGCTGTGTCCCCACCCAAATCTTGTCTTGAATTGTAGCTCCCACAATCCTGTGTCATGGGAGGGACCTGGTGGGAGGTAATTGAATTATGGGGGCAGGTTTTTCCCGTGCTGTTCTTGTGATAGTGAATAAGTATCACAAGATCTGATGGTTTTATAAGGGGCAGTTCCCCTGCACATACTCTCTCACCTGCTGCCATGTAAGATGTGCCTTTGCTCCTCCTTCACCTTCTGCTAGGATTGTGAGGCCTCCTCAGCCATGTGGAACTGTAAGTCCATCAAACCTCTTTTTCTTTATGCATTACCCAGTCTCAGGTATTTCTTCACAGCAGCACAAAAATGGACTAATACACCCTGAGAGCAATTGAACAATTCTGGACAGTGTTCAAACGCAGGATAAATGGAGGGAAGAGGTAGGCAGTGATGTTCTGAAGGTCCAACCCAGTAGGCTTAGCCTAACCAGGGTGGGAGGTCTGTCCAGAAGGTGGACAAACCTCAAAGTCAGGTATGTGAGGGGTGATGAGCCTAGATTACAGTTGGGAACCTGGCAAAGATGTCAAGACCTCAAATTAAGGACACTGGGCTTCAGAAGAAGGTCCTCATATTAGGGTTAGGCTAATCAGCAGTTAGGCCATGCAACAAGAAACCCCAGTATCTCAATGGTTTAATACAGCGAGGCTTTTTCCTTCCTCGTGTAACAGTTTGATGACTTAGTGTCATGCCAGACCCCTATTAATCTCAACAGGGAAGGAACCATGTTTGAGAGGCTGAAGAAGAAACCCAGAGCTAGCAAATGAGATATAAATTATTATTAGAGGAAATTTACATGTAGGGATGGTCCAGTGGCAGTGGGCCAGACAGAACTACAACCACTTGCAAATAGTATGTAGTTTATAAAATAGCATTTCCACTTCGCACCCTCCCCTTAACAACCTCCACCTGACAACCTTCATTTAACCCAAAACAGAGGACTATGATCCCCTGTATGGCTCGTGGTCCTTGGGACAGGCTGAGGGTTCAGATGTTCGTCACAGATAAAGAATGAACCTCCAGGCTGGCCACTCCCAGATTCCTGAGCTTGGAACTCTGAACACACATTCAGCTGTGTCTGCCATACAGGGTCATTCTCAGAGTATGCTGAAGTTATTGCTGTCAGGTGCGTTTGCCATATACTCAGGGACCTGGGTCCCTTCCTTCTTAGTCTCCATCTTCTCCAGGAGCCAGAAAAAAAGGAGAGAGAGAGCATCAGGTGGCACTGTTTATGGGCCTTTCATGGAAGTGACACCTGGGGTTACTTCTGCTTATGTTCCTTTGGACAGAATTCAGTTGAATGGTCATACTAGAGGTAAGGGAGTCTGGAAAAAGTGGTCTACTTGAATGTCCAGAAGGTAAATAAATAGGTTTGGTAAACTCCTGATGTTTCCCACCCCTGTCAAACTCTGGGGTCAGGCTTTGGTCTGGGTTAAAAATGCTGATTACCTAATTTCCATAAGCCTGTTTCTTTATCTGCAAAACAGGGATAATAATAGTACCTGTTTTGTAGTGTGAGGATTAAATGAGATGTGGAAGGCACAGGTTTAGGACTCAGTAACTGTTATCTCTCTATACCATTTCCAGGCATTGTGCCAGGCTTTGCAGGATAAAAAGAAGTTAGAGACAGGGACTTTGGATCCAAGTCCTCCCTGACTCAAAACCCAGAGAGGCAGAGGATGCTTGCCACCTTTGACTAGTCCTATCTCCTCCAAAGGGTCCTTTTGATTTATTAGCAAGAAGCCATCTTCTGACCACAAAGACAAGATTTCAAAGTTCTCACCCAGTTCCTAGCTAAAGATGTCCAAAGAGACTTCTAAGCCAATGATTTTCAACAAGGAAATTGAAGTTGTATGCTTTGAAGAGAGGGGCTTGATTGGGTGGCATCTTATGCTTAAGTGTGCATGGAAGAGCCATCCTACATGCAGCATGTGATGGGCCCCCAGGGACTGAGGACTTGTGTATGACTGGGAGTCTACGCAGCTTGGCTTCATATCAGTTCTTGCCATCTCGGATCCAAATGCTCTCCAGGCATGAAGTCATTTCCTCCAAGAGATTTGAAGATGCCCCAGAAGAATCTTAGGCTAAGGTCACTATTCTTAAGCTAAGGTCACTATTCTTATTCCTCTGAGAAAGGTGAAAGGTGGGTTGGGTGCAGTGGCTCACGCCTGTAATCCCAGCACTTTAGGAGGTCGAGGTGGGTGGATCACGAGGTCAAGAGATCGAGACCATCCTGGCCAACACGGTGAAACCCTGCCTCTACTAAAAATACAAAACTTAGCTGGGCATGGTGGCACGTGCCTGTAGTCCCAGCTACTTGGGAGGCTGAGGCAGGAGTCGCTTGAACCCAGGAGGCTGAGGTTGCAGTGAGCTGAGATCGCACCACTGCGCTCCAGCCTGGTAACAGAGTGAGACTCCACCTCAACAACAACAACAACAAAAAGGTGAAAGGTGTTTGATGGATGAAAATAGAGCTGAACCCTAACTTGTAACCACTCAATTTTAACTAGAGGTTGTCACCAAGTAAGAGATGCCCATCGACCTTGTGCACAAAGCTGGCGCTAGTCTATGAACTGTTGGTGAAGTCACACTATGAAACAACGTCTCTACCACCCATTCCCATACCATCAGCCATCCTGCTCTGGCATATGAGCAGGGGAATTCTTTTCCGTCCTCTCTGAAGGAACGAATAGTCTGAAATATTGAATTGGAAAAATGCTCAAGGCATCCATTCTACTCTCGTGGGCCCCATGTAGTTATCTGTTGAAGGCCTCGGATGTGCCAGAGACAATTCATTTGTTGTCATTAGTTCCCCCCACAACCCTCAGAAGTGAGTATACCTTCATGTCACAGATGAGATTATGTTCAAAACGGTTTAGAAGCTGCTCAAGGTCACATACCCACTAGGTGACAGATTTGAATCCAGAATTGTACTCCTCAACACAGAGCCCCCTTCTCACTATGCCGGAGATGCTGAGTTTCTTGGCCTGGGCTGCAGCCCCACACAGCCGGTTTTGAGCTCCCCAGGTGAATCTACTGGGCTCCCTGGGCTGAGAACCACTGCTCTACATCAGCCTTCTTACATGAATCAGGGGTTTTATTCCGCCTTGCATCACAGGTTCCTTTAGGGAAGTAAAAAAAAAAAAAAAAAAAAAAAAAGCTACAAGTCTTCTCTACAGCAAAATAAATGTTTATACATAAAAAGTTGCATACAATTTCAGATAATTATGGCATCTCTGAAGCCTCTGCGTGGATCCCCCAAGGGTCATGAACTTGAATTAAGAGCCAAGTCTATAAATCCTTGACACCAATTACTTGGCTGCAGATGGAAGTTGGCTGGGATCAGTTTAAAAATTCAGATTTCTGGGCCCCATCCAAGAACTACTGATTCAGAATCTCTGGATTTATACTCCTAGATGTTGCTGAATTATTCTTTATATATTAGAGAACAAGACAGTCTGTGGACTGGCTTTTGGGAACCACCCCTCTAAATAATGCCCACTCCAGGGATCAGAATTCATCTCAGCCACTTTTACCTCTGTAACATTAGGTAAGCTACGTGACTCTCCTAACTTTCCATTTTGTCTTCTGTAAATGGGGATAATAATTGTCCCTACCTCATAGAGCTAATATGGAATAAAATATTCCATCTAAGTGTTTAGCACAGTGTCTGGCACATAACTACCCAATAAATGTTAATTTATTACTAATTATATAGTATTATCATTTTATTATCTAGGTAATAATCTCTACAAATGGTCTCTTTGCTACCGAGGTGGGAACAGAATACCATTGCTAGCCAACTGTTAATAAAAATACATGAAAGAAAGGAAAAAATTCAAAGTTTATTCAACATTAAGAATAACAGACAGATAAAGGTTTGGACTTAACAGCATAAATACCACCAATATCATGGTGTACAATTAAACTAACCTCATGTCAACTTGTACCTGTTTAACAGATGCGATCTTTGTGGTGTTGCCAAAAGGATAATGGATTATTGTTATGTTTGGTAAGGTGCTCAAAATTAAAGACTTTATGTCGACTTATTCACACACATACACACACACACACATGCACGCACACACACACACACACACTCTTACACTTAGCCTCCTGCAAAATGTATTGACTTTAGTTGCTATATCCGATTCGGATAAGGCTTTGCTCATTTTTTAAATGACATTATTAATTGCAGAAAAAACGTGGAGGAGACCTTGGCCTTGCCAGTGGGGGTACCTAGGAGCAGAAGGTGATCGCCACCTGGAGGGCAGATCACTTAGTCTCAGACACCTGCAGGGTGCTGAGACCCCAGTGCTAAATCCAGATCTCCAATTGCCATCACACATAGGCAAGCAGGCCTGGTCCCATGCCTTGGGATCGCTCTAATTGACTGTGATAAAGATTGAGTTTTCCTTAAAGGAAGAATAGGGTAAAATGAGATAAACTACTAGAAAAACCAAAGAATAGCTTTGCATTTCACAGAATGTCTATTGTTTTACACTGGGGGCAGTGGGGAGGGTGCCACTGATAATTCTTGCTTCTTCCGAAAACAGACCCTAGACATCTGATTGTACATTTGGAATTACTGTGAGTTCCCCACCAAACCAGTGGGTTAGAAGGAACCTCTGGGTGGTCTAGTACAGGTTTCCATTCCACCCACCCCACTGTGGAATCCCATCTGTACTCTCCTCAAAGGGTCCTTCTGCTTTGAGGGATGGGTCAGTGGAGGCCTGTTGTATTTGAAGACAAAAGGCCTATCACAGTCTTGCCTAATGTGGTATTTGAATGGTTCAAAGTGGCCACTTCCTGAAGAGAAAGAAGTAATGATCTACAGCCCTCCCCTCAACAAACTACCTCCTTAAGGCAGCACCAGCAGAAAGATAGGCTGGTCAATTTTTGCCTTTCTTTGCCAAGTCTAGTTAAAAGAAACAACAATGTGACCTCATCAGGAGGTCCTAAGCTGTTCCTTCCAAATCATGTCTAGATGATGTCAGTATGATATGATTTGGATTCATTGTTAATGGCCAAATAATTAATCTCTGAAAGATGCTTAGGATGAAAAGGTGAAAAATGACAAAGGGACTCTCATAATAGCTGCAGCGTGCAGACATGCGTCTGACTCCGGTTGACCCAAATCACTCAGAGTCAAGCCATGGCCTCCCGCTCCATGAAGCAGATCTGCCTTGTTTGCTAGTTAACTGCCCTGGATGGAGAGGCAGCCAGTCCAGAGGGAGTGTTCGTGTGTGTGTATCGTGACAATGACCTACATATAAGGCACCTGTACAGACTCCAAAGTGTTTAAATTTGTAAGACGAGGTAGGTTTCTGAAACCTCTCCTGGCACACAAGAGAATACATTTTATTAGAATCTTTTTATTTTTTTCTGCAGAAAACATTTGAGATGCTCATTTGATATAAACATCTAATTCCAAGAGAGACCAGTGCTCAAATATAGTTTTTTCAGCTACCATTTGATACGGCCATAAATTTGGATGGTCCATGTTACAATCCTTCCACAATTCTCCACTTAAAGACATCATTTTTCTATGTTTTTAATGACTATTGCCATCTAACAATTCTACAATTCGCCTCTTTGCCTGTAAAAAGGCCAACTCTACGTCCACCTGTGTCTCATATTGCTATCTTTTATTTATCTCTGCTTAAGATTGCAAAAGTTTTTGATTTTATTATTCACCTGAACAATGTATTGCAATTCCAATACACCCCCATCTCTTGCTGTTATCTACAGCTTGTGACAAAATGAACACCTTGTAGAAATATCCTACTGGTTGGGTTTCCCAAGTCTATGACACTATGAGAGAAGCATTGCTGATGGATTGACGAGGAGACCACCAGATCATTAAAGGATTAGATACTCTGAAGGCAGGAAACTAGAAAATCCCATTGATGAAAGGATATTTTAATCTAGCGTAAAATGTTTCTTTGTCGTAACAGCAGAATTTCTTGACATTTTACAACTTAATGAAACAAAAGAACAATCATCTTTAAAGTCAAACATCTATCAAATTATAAACCAAACACATAGCACCGATATCAACCTCATAAAACGTGCGGGCCCGCAGGGTAGAAAAGAACTGTCTGGGGCACTGGCAGCAACGTGCCATTCCAGGAACTCAGAATTTCGAAGTGAACATTTTTGTGGCAGATGCTTTTCCTAAAAAACACTGTATCATCCAATAAATATTTGACTAAAATCCATTTTGTGCTTTTGGGTGACGTTAACTGACTTCTTTCTGAGGCCTAATAAGAAACAAGAAAGCTCCTTGTGTATTTTAGAGCAGGATTCGTCATCACAAGCCTCGATACTGTCATAAAATTTTAATTTAAAGCAGAAAACATGCTGATGTGTCAGTGATAGGGCTTAAAATATTAAAGACTTCAAAAACCCCCAAGCACTTCTTCTCTGTACAACATTGGTGAATATATATCTTTGCTATATAATTTTAAAACATGGAATAGTTTTCCTCTCCTCTTTTCTATATATAATATATGTCTTCCAAAATACATTGTCAGTATTTATATCTGAAAAATACTGTACAAAAAAGAACTTCCTATAATTACTCTGTATAAACATTAAACGATTTAATAATCTCTCCTTTTGGTCTATAGTAAACATTTAAATTGATTGGATTAACCACAGTTTGTGACAACACCATCCCCTTCTGAGATACACCAGTGTCTTTTACATTCATTTTTCAGAAGTCCACTTTATAAGAGCACATACGTTCAAAAGCAAACAGAGAATAAGAAACATAAGCTTCAGAATCATTAATTTATGAGGCATTCAAAAATGACACCACTAGGAAAAAGGGCCTTAGAAAACATCAACTTATTAACTTAATCAACTGATTTTCTTTTTAAAAACAACAAAGTATAATTCACAAAAATATATATATTACCAAAAAGTGGGAAAACTGAATCTTAAGTAACTGTTTTGAATGTCAAGAGGGATATGGAAAAAGTTAACTAGAAAAGTGGGGGCGAGGCAGGGTGTGAGGGAAGGGGAACAACAAAACCGAACACATCAATGTCAAAGGCTAATCCAAGACGCAGTTTTTGGCTCATGTACTGATAAATTAACCCCTCATCCTTAGACCTCCCATTTCCCTCTGCTTCCTTGTCCTAGGGAATAGTCTGGCCATGCTCAAATGCATTACTTTACTTTTTGTTTTTTAAAAGACAGTGAAATTCTTAGGTAGGGAAAATATCCTACGTCCACTAGTAATACTCAGGCAGCATGCTCTAGCGTACAATAGGATTATTGCTTTAGGTACAGACAGTGCAAAAACACACTCTGTGTTCTATTAATAGTACTCTTACTTATCTGGGGTTGGTAGAATTAAAAGGAAACTTAGTAGATAGCAGTAAGTAAATATGGGATCTAATAAATCTAAACAGCACTTTAATTTGAAGACGATTATCACCAAAACTGAAAGTAAGAGGAAAGCAACTTATAAAGGACTAGAGCTGCGGAGTAGTGCTAAGTTATTGTGTGCACCTCATTAGCATGGTAACTTACGGACTAAACAGAAACAAGAGCTTGTACTCTTAAAAACTGAGATCCACTATTTTACCAGGGCCCTTTTTAGTGAATCCAAGCAGAGAGTCCTGGAAGAGTAGGTAAGCTCGAACATGAAGCAAAGCTGAGGAGGCAGGAGTGAAGGAGGGAGGGGATGGGAGACCCGCGAGAGGGCTCCTCAGTCTAGTAAAGACATGGCACCTTTCTTTGTTGGAACTAAAAGACGATGAGAGGGCTACCTTAAAATGGCAAGAGCAAAGGAACACGCACACGCACATACCGCTGACCACACACATGAGCACAAGCACATATACACGCACACACACACAGATGCACACCAAAATGGGAGTCAGTTGTGTTTATGCCTCTGGTAAAGTGCTGATGTCAGAAAGGTTGGTTTGCGTGTGGTGCTATCAGACAGGAAACAAACTGTCCATCTATTCCAAAGCCAGCCTGCAAAAATGCCATCCTACAGGGGCCCGTGCCTGGCCTCATACTTGGCAAGTATGTTCTTGCATTTGCCCAGCTCCTTCCTCAAGTCAGCCACCTCCTGGCGGAGGGCCGAGTTCTCCTTCTCCAGGAACGAGGCCCGGATGGCGATCTGGTTCTCTTTCAGCCTCCGGGCGTCGCGGGAGCGCTTGGCTGCCATGTTGTTCTTTCTGCGCCTTGCCCAGTACTTGTCATCCTGCTCATTAGTTACAGAAGGGAAAAAGAAACAAGATATTAGATTTCAGCAAAGCCCAGTGCCAGCCAGGGCACGGGCAGGCTCCAGGATTGTGCAGAGGTGCCAGCCCGGGTTTCTTAGCTTGTGTCTCCTTCCTTTACAGTTTCTGCATGTCTGAGAGTGTGGCCCATGAGCCACACTTCCTTCTTGGAGCAAGGACCCACCGATCTGTCCCAACAGGCTCCTACTCTTTGCCCAGCAGAGGCGTGCTCAGTGAAGCAGAGATCAGAGGCTGGATGAAAGCAGGTGGCTCACCTCACCCTTAAATTACATTTCAACTTTCTTTACTCTCCCTGCTCAACATTTTAAGAACCCTTTTCCTTCAAGGGCACTCATATGCTTTTTTGGGTATGAGTTGGTACAAAAATTTTAGAAGGCAATTTGGCAATATCTATCAACTATTTAAATGGATATACTATTCATCTAGCACTCCACTTCCAGGATTTTGTCCTGTAGCAATCTCCATACATGTGCATGTACACACAAGCATAAACTGTTCACTGCAGCATTATGTGCAGTAGAAAAAATGAGGAAAAACTATGCATAGGAGATTTAACAACCACGTTATGATACAGTCATACAAAGGGATACTTGGCAGCTGTTAAAAATAATGACCCACCTGCACCAGAAAGATGTTCATATGATATGCCACTATGTGGGTGGAAACAATGAC
The DNA here is from genome assembly GCF_000001405.40 of Homo sapiens. Lineage (NCBI taxonomy): Eukaryota > Metazoa > Chordata > Mammalia > Primates > Hominidae > Homo > Homo sapiens. The sequence goes on along the minus strand of NC_000017.11, from coordinate 55,319,951 downwards.
AGTTTACACACAAATATGTATGGTCTCATCCCAGTTTGATTAAAAATCATATATTCATAGAAAGAGGCGCAAAAAGATTTATACTAATCTATAAAGGTGGAGCCTCTAGAAGGGGGATTGGCAGAGGCAAAGATGTAAGACTTTCTACCTTTTATATTATTCTGAACTATTACAATATCATATAATAGATACATACACTTTGGTAATTAAAAATAGAAATTAAAAAAAAAAATCTTCAACCTGCCGCTAATCAATGTACTCATATTGGTGGCCAGAATTTACATAATTTACTCTAATTTCTTGTTTAACCATTCTCTAGGCCTTAATTAGCCTGAGTAATATTTTACTGTGGTCAGTGTAAAAACAATCCCTCCTTCCCTGCCCTCCACCCCCACTGCTGCCTCCCTGACAGAAAGGAAAAACTTCTTAAGAAGACTAAGAAACAGGGATCTTCTTTTAGATCTTCCCAATTCACTGATGGTGGCACCTGGTGAATTTTGCAACTCCCCTTTTTCAACAATTTGCAACAGCAAATCCCTCAGTCCTAGCAATGCTACTACCTGCAGTTACATGCCACCCAGAATAAATGGGTCAGGCCAGTGCTTGCACCCCTCAGAATTCCAAGGGGCAGTTGGCATTGAAGGAGGTCACATGGGTTGGGGCCAAAGCTGCAAGGAAAGTCTAAGGTCAGCGGTCCACCCCCAAAACTGCCCATTACCCTCAACAGGCATTTGCCCTGCACAAATACAGAAAGTGTGGGATAGAAACTGTGTAGATACCTCCTATCTGCCATCCACAAACTAGTACTATCATCTTAAATAAAGCACCCCCAGCTTTTTATACATTTCATAACAATATGCAACAGGGTAAAAAAACGATTTTCAAAATAGATGTTACCAGAATTCTTCTGGGTAGGAGGGAGGAGGCTGCTCTTTGAAGAATACCTGGGTGAGCAAGCTAGGGCAGGTGTGCAATGGTTGTTGGCCGAATTTGTTGTCTGTGCTTCTGAAAGCGAGCAGGGGAGCTGGAGGCAGGGGAGAGGCTGGGAGGAGTCAGGCGAGTCAATGACGTCATGGTGGTGAGGGGGCCCAAAGTGGTGAAGCCTCCAGTTAACAACAGTGGTGAAGCCTCCAGTTCTGATGGAAGTTATTTGTGTTTTGATAGAAGCCTGGGTTCCAATCCCTTCACAGTATCAGTAAATCTATACCCAACAATGTGCCTGGGAGTGCGGTTTCCAAGAGCACTCAAAAGAGGACTTGATTTAGGATGTATCAGAGTCTGCACACGGGGGAACAGGAGCCCAGGAGGCGAAGGGGTACATAAGAACAAGCCCCTGGAACACTGTAGAAACTGCATGTATGTGATGGGGGAGGAATGGGGGGTCCCACCATAGGCCACAGGCTTGATGTGGTGTAAGACAATTCTGACCAGGTCTTAATGACCAGGGAGTCACCAGCTGACTTCAGGGTAACAACCAACTTCTCTCTAACTTATTAGAGCTCTTCTCACTTCTAAAGTGCTCTCATTTCCCAGCCTCACCTGTCCACACATGCAGATGAGCCAGCCAAGGTGTGGAATGCAAAACAAACCTTTCAGGTGGGAGGGAGGGGAGCTGGGAACCGGGTCCAGAAGAGGATACAGAAGGCAGGAATGACGAAAGGAGTGTCCTGGACTAGAAAAGCCTGCTCGCCTCCCTTTGTTATCGCAGAAGGGTTGCGGGCAGGGGGGAAGCGGGATTTTGAGCGGGGCTGATAAACTTGGCACTCCATCCTCTGCCCCCTTTCCCTCTCCCAGTTGCTGATGCCATCTGGCTACCCAGTTACCTCCATGCAACAAGGGACCCACTTAGCCCCGCCCCACCCAACAGATCAACACTCCCTGTTTCTCACCAGACTACAAGTTCCATGAAGGCAGGAACAGTATCAGTATTGGCTCACCTCGGTATTCCCAGCCCCTGATACAGGGTTAGAGGGTTGGCACACACTAGCATTTGAAAAAATTCATCAAGTGAATGAATGGACCATTAAAAGCATTTAAAAAATCAAGGTAATTAAATGGATTTTCAGCTAGGTACCCCAGCATGTCAACCTCAATTCTCCCTTCTTTCTCCAGCGCATGCATGCTAACCCTAATGATTGGCTCAAGAGAGGAAGTTCAGGCAGCTACAGGGAAGATCATTTTTAGTGGGGCCATTTCATTGAACTGGTTTACTTGTCCAATGCTGGGGGCCAGAAACACCTTCTCCTCCATCTACCCTTAGCTCAGACCTTTCTGCCAGAAGGAGAAACATGTTACAGCTCTGCTTCCTGCTTTATATTAGCTCATGGTCTTTAGTTTGAGACTTCGTCCACAACTAAAAAATATCCAAGGACACCTGGCAGGACAATGTTCCTGCCCATTCCCCACCTGCTATGTGGAAAGGTCAGGCCTGACCATGACAGCAGCAATATGTGTAATTCCAGCACAGACGGTTTTTGTCTGGCCTCTTTGTTGCCAAGGTTACCTGGGTTATTAACTAATCTTGCTCTTTGATAAATCTGGAGACTTTGTGAAAGTCTGGCTGGAAGTTCTGTCTATCACTCATAGCAGCATCCTTTCAAACTACCCTCCATTCAAGAGAAAATCCAGGTTGAACAGGATCCCTGGCTTTAGTTTAAGATACGAGGCTTTAAAATACACAAAAAAGGCCGGGCGCGGTGGCTTACACCTGTAATCCCAGCACTTTGGAAGACCGAGGTGGGCAGATCACAAGGTCAGGAGATCGAGACCATCCTGGCGAACACGGTGAAATCCCGTCTCTACTAAAAATACAAAAAATTAGCCGGGCGTGGTGGCGTGCGCCTGTAGTCTCAGTTACTCAGGAGGCTAAGGCATGAGGATGGCTTGAACCGGGGAGGCGGAGCTTGCAGTGAGCTGAGATCGTGCCACTGCACTCCAGCCTGGGCAACAGAGTGCGACTCCATCTCAAAAAAAAAAAAAAAAAAAACACCATAAAAAATTGGATCACTAAGAAGACAAGACTAGGAAAGGCATCTCATTGAAATAAGGTACCTAATTGCCCAAGACCTGAGCCCATGGTGCCCCTTTTTTACCCCATCTCAGTCTAACCATCAATGTCCTGACTAGTTTAGATTTTCTGGTGTTTTTACCATGTGATTTCCTTTTTTGATTCTCAGGGTGACAGCCATTGATTTGTCACCCATGGGCCCCCGTTATAGCCCTTGTCAGGGCCAACATGCTGCTGTGACCTTTTGGGAAGCAAGACAACCTGGGAGCCAGGCTAAGCCTTTCTCTAACAGGTAGTGATCCGCTGACTTCAGCTTTCCATTTTCTGCATTTCCTCAACTGCAAGTGGTAATTTTGGACAAATGAATCTCTAAGGTCCCCTTCAGCCCTGATGTTTTCCTATTCTGCATCAATTAAGGTAATCTCAGGAATGTGGATGACAGCAGTGATTTAAATTTGCCAGGTACTTCTGCTTCCAGCATTTTTTCTAGCTATGTAAAGCAGGAACAACTGGTCTAAGCCAGTTCAGACGTTGTCTCAAATTCCTATTTCCCAGCCTAGGAGTGTCTCTACATAGGAACAATAGTTAGGTTTGAGAGATGGGGGGCAGACAGTAGAAAAGGGCTAATTATGCCTGGTTCCAAGGCCTTGACTACATAATAATCATATCTCTAGTACCCACATGATTGGAAAGAAGCATGAAAGTTCTAAGCAATGGTTAATAAGAAATGGTTCTATTTTGGCATTAGCAGACATGGCATAATTTTGGAAAGAATTTTCATCCTAAGATGTCATTATTGTGTCTGGTTAATTTTGTTTTAAGCTGTATTTGACTTCCAAGGTAAATCTATTTCCCTTTATAAATAAGGTGTCCCTTCAACACTGCAGAGAAAACCTACTTAGAATTAATCTAGCGGTGAGATATTCAAGTGATCGTTACTTAAGATACATATAAATGGTGTCAGGGAACTACCAGTTTCCTTCACAAAATCCCACCCTGGTCATCCAAGGTTGGCAATATGGAGGAAGGTCCTATCTCTGGCTGTTATTCCTCGCAGCCTACAGGGAAATGGCAGCAGCAAATTATCAAAAATTTTCTAAAAGGAAGGTAACCCTTCGAGGGCAATGAGGTTCAGATGCCCTTCTCAAATGATTTTCTTTCTCTTCTCAACCTTGAAAGATGTGGGGTTTAATTTTATTAGACTTTTGTGGGTTTCCATGCAGATAGGAGCAGGTTTGTTTCCTTCATGGGTTTAAAATCACTCCAACATTTTACTGCTTCTCCTTGTTTCTGTTCAGCATCAAGACATAAAAGTGCATTTCAAAAAATACCCAGAGAGGAAACAACTGGCCTAGAAGTCACATGCCAAGAAACAGGATCAGAAATCAGAAATCCTTCATGCACTAGCTTCTGGGATCATCCTGGGGTCACCCTTTTAATCTGTCTGTGGATCCCACTCTCCATTTGCCCAAAGACTGATTACCAGTTCCAATTTACCTTCAGGTCATCAGGGATGAAGACTTTGCGAGCTTTCTTGATCATGGGCTGTGGCTTCAGTTCTTCCTCAGAGAACTTGCGTTTGCGAGGGTCAAACATTTCCTGGCCAGGGATGCTGGAAAGGGCAAGATCTGCTGGGTCTGGCTCATAACCCACTGGGACCTGGATGGTGTCAGGATCAATGGGACTTGGTGTATTGCGGTTTGCTGGCAACAGCTGACCTGGAACAACACAGGAGTTTTAATTCATGAACACCCTAGAGAGACCCAGTAGGCAGCTACTTAATGGTGCTCTGAGATGAGTGGTAAGAGTCTTCAGCTCACTTATATATGATGCTAACATGATTTATCTTACTCATCCGCACTGCATTTCTGAGAACACAGCAGGTTGAGTATGACTTGACTCACGTCACATCAGGCAAAACAGAAACCCACATACACATGTTCAAAAACTAGAGAAGGAGAAGCCCAATTTAAAAATACACATTCATTCTTTCCTATCACACAGCGATGTGCCAGGCACTCTGCAAGATGCAATGAACAGAACTACGTAATTTTCACCTTGAGGGTGGTTTCCAGGTGAGTCAGGGAGACAGACCAATAACTAGCCAGTTAGGGGAGAGTACAGATGTTGGGATGGAAGTAATTCTCATGTGCTTCCACAGTGTGAGGAAATGGTACGTAACACAAAGGAGGTTAGGGAGCATTTCCTAGAGATGACTCTTGGTACAGCCGCATCTTGAGACAAAGAGTAATTAGCAAAAAAAGGGTATTCTAGGTGCCAAGACAAGACAGAGGTTTGCATTTTTGCAGAACCACGTATAGTCTTGGGTAGCTGTCACATTGAATCAGAAGAAAACAGAGTGGGGAGAGGTGCAAGCACAAGAGATGTGGCCAAGAAGGTGGGCAGTGGGGATATGATTTTGAACAATCCAAATGTCAGTGAGAGATGCTGAGCAGTGAAGTGACAAAGAGCTGATGTTTGGAAAGAAGAATCAGGCAGCATGATGAACGGATTGCATGAGCCACGGCTGCAGACTGATGAGATGCAAGGCTGTTGTGATAAACAGTGTACACATTAACGGTAGCAATGGAGATAGTGAGAAGGAGATTAGTTCAAGAAATATTTAACAAATTAGAAAGAACATAATAGAGACAATCTAACTTCCACTTGAGGGTCCTACAGGCAAAACCACTGAAATGCACAAACATCCAGAGAACAATGGGTTTCTTGTGTTTCTCAATGTGTCTTACTGGTGAAAGTGAACTTCATACCAGACCCAAATGTTTATACTGGGAGCTCTGAATTTTAACTTCTAGTTTTCATCTGAATTTTACAATCACTCCTCTCACGCCCCATGAATAAATGAGAGGATGTCGTTCAGCTGTGTTTGGCCCATCTCCCCCTCTTCCTCACTGCCAATGGTAGGTCAATGTGTGAAGTATTCTTTAGGTTTCATTAAAACCTACCCCAGGTCGAAGCATGAAGCCACTGGCTCGGATTCTAGCAAAACTGTGAAACCGTGATCATCTGTCTTCTGGAAAGGCCTGGTGGGGAGTTTGCAAAATGAATGCTCTGGGTGACCTTCTAGGTCCCACTCTGCTTTGCGCTCTCTTTGTATCCTGCTTGCCAAAGAGGAAGAGATGGGCCCTGAGGTGCTGGCAGAGGATGGAGAGTTCTCATTAGCCAAGCTGTAGCTCAGCTCCAGCTTCTAGAGACTGCTGAGTTCTGTACTGGATGGTGTCAAGCTAGATTTGATCTTGTGCCTCTTGAGATTGCCTCAGAAAATGAACCACCTGTGATTCAAATGGGGATTTTATTTTCCCTTTAGAAACTCTTTGAACTTAATAACAAAGCTACCCAATGCCAATGCCCCATCACTACAATGTCCCCACCTCCCCATTCTTACACAGGCATGTGCACCCATCTCCTATCATCATGTAACACCTCTTAATACTTCCCAAATCGAATTGCTCCAAGCTCCTCCTTAGTACTCCAATATTGTTTATTATGCTGTATCAAAATGTTCTCCTTTATTGCTTTATGTTCTTAAGCTGTACACACACACACACACACACACACACACACGCACACACCTCCTCCTCTACCATACCACATGGTCTTTTATGTTTTATTCATTTATCCCCACCTGACTCCTCACCATGATGCATACTTCAGAGTTCAGCTTCTACAAAGACTGCTCCTCATTTAATGATGGCCTCTGAGATGCTGGACTCTGACATTCATTCATGGACATTCTAACAATAACACTTCCCATTCAGGTGGAACCTTTCTTGACATTCTTTCTCTCTAGGTTTTTCCTCCAATGGAAGTAGGTCAGCCCTACCTGCAGAGTGGAGAAACCTAACTGGACCACAGACAAGGTACGTGGCTTCCCCAGTATCAAACAGCAAATGGCAAAGGACCTGCGAAACAAAACCAGGTCCCGTTTCTCCCCAAAGATACCTTAGTGCCATCTTATATATTTATATTTTCTGCTGAATTAACTCTACTAAACTCATTTTTTCCTTTCATTTCAAAATGTCAATAGTATCAAAAGTAAGGGGTATTTTTTCCTATCTCCTGTGGATTTTCAAAATTTTAGTATAAGAATTGTCAATATAAGAATGCATCATTAATTTTTTAAATGATCAAAGATGTTCGCTGCGAAATGTTAACAAATACAGGAATGTGTAAAGAGAGTGAAAGTCCTGGTTCTTGCTATTCTCCTCTTCCCCCAGTCTCACTCACTGTCTTTCCAGAGGTGATCACCCTTAACATCTTGACGTGAACCTCTTATATCTTGGTTTTTACACATAAGTGATTTAACCCAAATGGTATTATACTACCCACATATCTCAAGTTACTTTTTTAATCTATCAATATACCATATGCAATTTCCAATGTTAGTACAAATAAAACTACTTTTTCTTTTTAAAGGGTCAAGAGGATCCCATAGTTTGGATATATAACGATGTATAATTCCTCAACTGATGGATTTTTAGGTATATGTTTTTATAGAAGTGATTTCTAGAAGTGAGACTGCTCACGCAAGAGGCATGTACATTTTATATTTTTAAACATACTGCCAGAATGGCTATTAAAAAGTCAAGAAATAACAGATGTTGGTGAGGTTGCAGAGAAAAGGGAACATTCATATACTGTTGGTGGGAATATAAATTAGTTCAGCCCCTGTGGAAAGCAGTTTGGAGAGTTCTCAAAGAACTAAAAATAGAATTACCACTTGGCCTAGCAACGCATTACTGGATTTATACCCAAAGGAACATAAATCCTTCAATCAAAAAGACACCTGCACTCGCATGTTCATCGCAGCGCTATTCACAATAGCAAAGACACGGAATCAACCTAGGTGCCATCTCTAGTGGGTTGGATAAAGAAAATGTGATACATCTACACCACGGAATACTATGTATCCATTAAAAAGAATCAAATAATGCCCCTTGCAGCAACACAGATGCAGCTGGCGGCCATCATCCTAAATGAATTAACACAGAAAACCAAATACTGCATGTTTTCACTTCTAAGTAGGAACTAAACATTGGGTACACACAGACATAATGCTGGGAACAGTAGACACTGAGGGCTCTAAAAAGGTGGAGGAAGTGAGTGGGGCAAGGTGTGAAAAGGATCTATTAGGTACTATGTTCACTCTCTGCATGAAGGGTTCAATCAAAGGCCAAATCTCAGCATCACGTAGTATATTCATGTAACAAACCTGCACATGTACCCACTGAATCTAAAATTAAAAATAATAATAAATTTTAAAAACCTACTGCCAAACTGTGCTCCAAAAAATGTCATAGCTATTTACACTTGCACCACCATTTGTAAGAGTGCACGTGTCACACAATATGATTTTTTAAATGTTGGCAATCTGATATGCACAACTATTACTATTGTTTTGTTTTTGTTTTTTTTTCTTTGAGACAGACTCTCGCTCTGTCACCCAGGCTGGAGTGCAGTGGCGTGATCTTGGCTCACTGCAACCTCCACCCCCTGGATTCAAGCCATTCTCCTGCCTCAGCCTCCCGAGTAGCTGGGTCTACAGGCGCCCGCCACCACGCCCGGCTAATTTTTTTTTGTATTTTAAGTAGAGACTAAAATTGTTTTGTATTTTTTAGTAGAGACTACTCTTAGTAGAGGGTTTCACCATGTTGGCCAGGCTGGTCTTACTATTGTTATAATTTCCATTTCCCTTGTTACTGGTGACACTGAACATCTTGCATGTTTATTGGTTATTTGTTCTTTTTAGAAAATTTTCTAAGGTACTTTTATACATATACTCTTCTAGGTAAACTTCAGAATACATTAGTTAAGTTATATTTAAAGTTACCGTTTTAAATATAATAATATTTGGCATTTTTGAATTACAATTTCACAGGTAAATTTGAGGACAACTATCTTTAAAATATTGAATACACCCACAGTATGCTCTCCATTTTTATTTTTTGTGGGCTTTTTTAAAAACATGTATCAGTTTAGTTTTATAGTTTTCTTTATTTTAGCCTTTCACATTTCAGTTTATTCCTTAAATGTATTATAAGAGTTGTTACTAGGGTATATTACCCTATTATATTTCCTAAGCGGTTACTGCTGCTATATAGGAAGCTACTGGTTTTAAAAGTTACTGGTTTATATCCAGCCACTTTACTTTCTTATTAGTTCTAATAGTTCTAACAGTTCTAACATCTCTTAGTTTTTAGGTGAACAATCTCATCTTCTGCCTCTATAGACAGAGGTGGCATCCTTTCTATGTTTATAATTCCTACTTTCTTTTTAATAATTTTCAGTCTCACTGCATTAGCCGGTTTCTGCAAGACAATGAGAAGAAAGAGAGACTGAGACTAATGATCACTGCTTGTCCCAGACTTTAAAGGAATATGCTTTTAATTCTTCAGATCCTTCAATATAAAGGCTTGTTCTAGTATCTTAGTAGATACAACTTGACAAAGTAAGGCAGTTCCAATTCTTCCAACCTTGTTTTACTAATAATTTTTAAAACCAGAAATAATGTATTAAGTTCTCTTAAATGCCTTTTGATATTTATTTATTGAGATAATCATGCCATTTTTTCTCCTGTATTTGTTAAGTCTGAGCTTGGTATTTCCAAAGCTTTATTTAAAAGATCCATAGTGGACAAGATCAACCCCATCATGTAGCCTCTGCAGTTACTGGAACATTGTTTTTCGTTTTTTTTGTTTTTCTTTCTAAAAGCTTCTTGCTGAAAGTCACTTCCAGAAGAACCAAGGAGGGTTTCTGGAGGAAAGGGTGGAACAAAGGGCTTAAAGAAATCTGGAAAAAGAATAGAAGTTACCTTCAAACCCAAAGTTGGCCTCTACTTTTGTCACAGATTAGGCAAGGCTAAACCTCCAAATAGTATAACTGGAAACAGGATATTTCATATTCTTTCGTATTTTAGCAAGAATTTAGCAGCTTGTGTTCAATTAGCTCATTAGCAAGCAGCCATCAATGAAGGGGAACAGCAGCACTCTGTCTTTATCTCTTCTCTAGTCAGTGGTTTATGTTTTAAATTGATGTCTGCATCAAAGTCACAAATTATAGTGTTACTTATTATTTCATCCTAAAGGCTAATTGCAACACCTCCAATCTTTCTGATGTGCTCCTCATTCAGGCAGTTAATAAAGCAGGAGATTTGCAGCAGTAACGTCAAAACACAGTAGTCTAATGTTGATCACTGATGAGCATTAGCCAGCTGATAACATTATCCTCTATCAATTAAGGCTGAGGAAAGAGAAGACAATTTTTATTTTGGCCAAAGGGTTTCCTTTAGAGCTGATGAGTGAAACTCCTAGTGATTCAAAGTTTGGTGCCGAATCTTTCCCTCCTGCTCACCTCTGCCCTCCTCCTCATCACCAGTTTAGGGTCTGTTCACTTGTCATGACTTCCTGGATCCCACGTAGCCATAATCTGAAATAGTGCTTTTACCCTCTTGGCATCCCTCGATGATGATACCATCATCAGGGATTACAGCTGACTTTGCTACAAACCATGCCTGCCTCTGAAAATCCTTTTACATTCAGGGAGCCAATCAACTTAGGAGATGATAGCAACACTATAAGGTCAACGAAGAGTGCTCACGATATATACAAAGATTAAATTAAAACCTCACAAATACAGCCTAAGGATATGGGCTTTCGGGACTCAGGCCATATTAGCTGGTCTCCATTCCCGCAGCAGGAATCTGTTATTTGTCCAACAAGTCCTTTCTGCAAAAGCTTAACACTAACGTCCTGATGGCCAAAGGCTCATTCCTAACCCATTCATGTCCTATTCCATGGGACCTGCACTTCCAGGCAGAGCCTATTTCCCTACCTCTTGCATCTGGGCTGGTCTCTGACTTGCACTGGCCAACAGAATGTGGCAGAAATGATAGTGTTAGTTCTGAGGCTGGGCCTAAAGAGGCTTTGCATGTTTCTGCCCCTTTTCTGTAGCACTTCTGTCATTACCATAAACATGCCCAGTCTAGCCTGCTGGAAAATGAAAGAAGAGGCCAGCCTAGGTCAGCTTAAATCACCTGAACTCTAGATATGTGAGTCCGGCCAAGATCAGCAGAGCCACCTGAGCAACCCATAGCAATTACAGATGAGTGAACAATAAGCCTTTATTTGTGTACGGTGAGTTTCTGTGATTGTCTGGTAAACATTCTCATTGCAATGGAGACTGACCTATAAGCTGAGTTATTGCATAGGGGGAGAGTGTTTACACCCACAATAACATTATAGCAGGATTTAAATTTGTACAGGACAGTCGTTTTACGCTGTGAAGTGAGTCAGACCTGGGTCTGAATGCTGATTCTGTCACCTGTATGTTATAAACTTGGGCCTTTGTAAATAAATGACCCCCAAAAAATGCCCCTCTAAATCCTAATAAGGTCTGTATTGGGGAAAGGGACTATCGTTGACTTTTTCCCCCTTCTTTTCTTAACCTACCTGAGTTTCAATTCCCTTATGTGTAAAAGGAGATTACTATGCCTGATTCTATGTGAAAAATGAACTAGATAATACATACAAAGTGCTTAGCACAATCTGTAGTACCCGGAAAGTGTGCAATAAATGGTCTCTATATAAACACATATACAAAATACAGATAATAGTTCAGAGATACTTGAAAGTAAATCAAATAAACAGACTATTCCCCTTGTCTAAGCCAGCACTGTCTGTCCTCTGAACTACTGCAACTTTTAACCATTATCCCTTTTCTATCTCCCACGTCTCCACAGCGGTACACTGTGATAATTCTAAACATGCAGACCCGTGTGGGTCACATCTCCATATCAAACCCTCCCAAGGCTTCCCATTGCCACATATGATCAGATCCACGGCTCTACCTCACTCACACACTTGGCCACACTGGCCTTCCTTCTGCTCCTTGCGTCCCCTGAATGTGATCCCACCCAGGCCTTTGTATTTAGTTTCCTCTCTACCTAAAGCATTCTTCCTCTGCTCTCTGCCTACCTAGTCCTCCTACGTTATGTAGACATTAGCATAAATGCCAATTCCTCGAACCCTCTGACTTTCCTCTACCCCTGCTCAATACCCATCAAACAACTCTGTTTGATGTTTTTTTTTTTTTTTTACAATATTTATCTCCATCCCAAACGATCTTTTTTATTTGTTTGATATTGCTGATCTCTTCCCTCCACTCCCATGTAAGCCCCACAGAACAGTGACCTGGCCTTACCTGCTGCTGCCCCAGATTCTAGATGGAACCTGCATGGAGGGGACAGCACGAGCTACTGAGCAGCTGGACATAACACCCCCCAGATCCTAACAGGGACTTTTGGGAGGAACAGGGGCAAATTTTAATTCTTATTTTCAATATTTTGCAAATTGTCTATAATGAGGATCTTCACTTTCAAAATCAGAAATTAAAAATGTTATTTTTTTCACTTTGTGCATGTATGTTCCAGGAGTCTGTGTTAAATGCTACTGAGAGAAGGCTGGGCATGGTGGCTCATGCTTGTAATGCCAGCACTTTGGGAGGCCAAGGCAGGCAGATCACTTGAGGCCAGGAGTTCGAGACCACCCTGGGTAACACGGTGAATCCCTGTCTCTATTAAAAAATAATAATAATAATAATAAATAATTAGCTGGGCATGGTGGCGCACGCTTGTAATTCCAGCTACTTGGGAGGCTGAGGCAGGAGAATCACCTGAACCTGTGAGGTGGAGGCTACAGTGAGCCAAGATTGCGCCACTGCACTCCAGCCTGGGTGACAGAACCAGACTCCGTCTCAAAAAAAAAAAAAAAAAAAAAAAAGGCCGCTGAGAGGAGACCATTCAACCCCCTTGAAAGGAAGAAGAAACCAAAGAGAGGGAGGAAATGGGATGAGGAAAAAAAAAAAGAGGAGGTAAAAGCATGTTGCTCTGCTGCTGGCTGTTTTACCAAATCAAGGAATACATTATAGCTGATAAACCAACCTAGCTGAGATCTACAGGGTTCCCATCCAAAAGGCCACAGCAGCAGATGCCCTTCAATGCATCTATGCCCTGAGGTCAGAAGTGTATTGGGCAGCAGGGAGGAAAGGAAGAGAAAGAAAGAGGAATTAAGAAACCAAGAAGAAATACAAGAATGAATCAAAGAAGAAATAAAGAAAGAATAAAGAAAGGTATTATGGAAGGAAAGAAAGGCATCAAAAGGGAGGGGGAGAAAGAAAGAAGAAGAAAAAAGAGATAGAAAGTCTTAGCCAAAGATGAAATTGGAAGGTGTCCTGGATCCCAGTAGCTGGGAACCTGTCATAGCTCTGACATATTTTAAATGTCCTGCACATTACACGGTTGATGTACTAATTTTAAGGCAAAAACAAATCATGCATACACATACACATGCATACACACACACACACACACACACACACACACACACACACTTCCTTTTTGCCTCATTCAGATGGCAAGTGCTCAGTAAGTTTTCAGTCCATGATTACAGAACAAATATACTGAAAGGCCCATTGTAAAGATCCCTTTGATCTCAGTGGCTCTTATCCAGCAATTCTCTCCACACAGTAACAGGCTGTCAACAGAAATATGGGTAAAGCATGATGCTAAGCCAGTTCAATCCATTACGTGTAAACATTAGGAAAAGAGTCTGTTGCCATTTACTGAGAAGGTGAATGCAATGACGTCCTGTAGGCTGGTAGACGGGCTTCCCTGGCCTACTGAATAATCAATATCAGCAATTTTTTTTTTAAACAGGATCTTGCTCTGTCTCCAGGCTGCAGTGTAGTGGCGTGATCATAGTTCACTGAAACCTTGAACTCCTGGGCTCAAACAATGCTCCCACCTTGGCCTCCCAAAATGCTGGGATTACAAACATGAGCCACCTCTCTGGTAATATCAGTAATACTGATAGTAAGGTTCTTCAGAGATTACTTCATTTAATTGTCACAATAGCTATATGAAGGCAGAATAGTTCATATACCCATTTTCCATATGTGGAAATAAAGGAATAGAAAACAGAAAGCTTAAGACAAGCTCAGATATGCTAAATAATTTGCCCACGCAGATGGAAAAACAGAGACTCATCTCCCCATCCTTCTCACTCTAAAGCCCATGTTCTTTTTCATGCGAATGCCCCAGGAATGCAGCCAGGAAGCCTAATTGTGCCCCAAGGAGAGCCAGGCACCCAGCCTTCCAGAATGAGAGTCCTGCATCAGGACCTGGGCTGGAGCCTTGTGCACAACACTCCACAGAACCATCAGCCTCTGCGAGGCGGGCACTGTATCCCACATTTTAAAGAGGAAAAAGTGGAGAGGGAGAGGGGGTGAAACCACCTGCTTAAAGTCATACAGCTAGAAAGCCAGGGGGAGGCTGGGTGGAGTGCAGACTCCAGTGGGCTCAACCATAGCCCACGCTCTTTCTGCTCCACTTCACTTCCTCCTCATGGGGGCAGAAGAGAAAGGAAGGGGAGACTCTGCAGTTCCCCTCCACTCTAGCCCAATAGGTTCCTGGACAAGAGTTGGCAAACCCCAGAGAGGTAGGTATGGCTTCCTCTCATGGACAAGAGCCCAAGGAAGCTCCAGGCAGCCAGGCATCCTGCTTCCTTTCCCTCCCTTCTTTTACCTCCCTCTCTCTCGTCCACTTCCTCCATCCTCCTGAATGGCGAGCTGTGCCAAGGGCAAGATTGCATTTGACAAAGCAACTGTTGACCCACAGGCCAGGGCTCCTGTCAATGCTACATCTCATGCACTAGTATTTTTAAGGAGCTTCTGGATAGGCCAGAGACCACGGCTCACTAGGAGAAGGGTAAGGATTCCCGGCAGACAGGGTGTCTGATGTATTCCGTCACATGAAGAAGAAGTTGGCTTCAAAGGTCACTTCTTGGGGGAGGTCTGTATTATATCTATGCCCTTAAACTATTAGTATGCAAATTAACGTTTGGTTTGGGCAGACAGACATTTTGAACCCTGTTTCAATGCTCCCACTCTGGCCTGAGCCCCTTTCCTTGGGCCTGTCCTGCACGAGGTAGCTCAGTTCATCAGAAGGTGTAGACAAACAGGATTCATCATGACTCTGACACTACGTAGTTGTGTGTGGCCTGGGGCCAGTTACTCTGCCTCATGGTCTGATTCCCTTATCTGTCAAGTGGGAGAAATGACGCCCACCTCAGGGCGCTGAATGGGATGGACAGTATGTGGGAAGGCCCCTTGGTAGGTGGAGAGTCCACACTTCCCTCCTGTCACACTCCCCAGCTCCCATTTCCCTCTAGCTACAGCCCAAGCAAAGCCTGTTAGATGTCACCCAGTGTGACCCTGTGCCCAGAACAGCACATCGCCCTGGGATCATGCATCAGTACTCAAAGTGGCCCAGACTAGACTCCTCAGCTTCTAACTTGGCAGGAGCTTGGGCTGGATTAACAAGGCCTCTCATTCCAGTGGTGTTTACCATCATGCTTCCTTGCCTATGGTGTCAGCAAAATCTGCCCCCTTGAACCCACTGAAAGGTGAGACCAGCGGAACTCATAACCACAGCCGGTTAGAAGTCAGTTAAGTTGGGGTACAACAGACATGACAACTAATGGCCGAGGCACGTGGCCCATGAGCCTTCTCGCCATTGCCCCCTGTGATGGTTATGACAGTGCACCTTCCACCTCCTCCTCCCTGGGCCGGGAGCCTCTCCCCAGACATGTGGGGTCACCGTGTGGCAGAAGGTGAGGCAAGAATGGCTCTGTGCCTTCTACCTTGGCCTCCTCCTACCCGATAGCTGTGCCAGTACCTTAGGGCAAGGAAATATCATAGGGTGACCAGAAATGAACCCAGAGTACCAGAGACAAACACCCACATGAGGTATATTTCAGGTCTGGCAACACTGGGCCCACTGAAGTGGGTAGGGATGGTCACGAATGGGAAACAAGAGGCAATGGCTTCCCCTTTCCCACACTCATATTGAAACCATGCCCCAAAGACTTAAACCAGTGACTAACAGAAATTCTTGAGCTTACAGGATGGCAGATAAGAAAAAAAAAATTAAATAAAAGCTTGTGGAAACACTAAAACTCCCTCTACTGGAAAGATAAGGCTGGCTAAAATTGTTTGGGACCAATATGGCCAACTGGAGTCTGTGCAGAACGAGCTTACTGACGTCACAGCCAGAACTTCCGCCACACGTTTCACATTCACCCCCCTCGCTGAATTTGCACAAACCATCCATGAGGATGCAGAGAGAGATAACCGTGCATGCCCAAGGACTTTCCAGACCTCACCCTTCCTGCCACCAATCACCTGCTAATCCCAAAATCCACCCCTTAAACCTTTTCTAATACAAATGCTGCCTGAAAGCCAGCAAGCACAGGGAGACAGATTTGAGCTGGATCCTGTCTCCTTGTTGGCTGACATGAAATAAAAGCTTTTCTTTTCTTAAAGACCCAGTGCCATAATACTGGCTTCTAGTGCACTGGACAATGAGCCCTATCACCTGGTAACAATGCCATGCTTCTCACTCCATCCCAAAGTTACAGAACTATGGTGGGAGAAGGGTAGCTTTCTAGTTTCCTCTGTACTTGCAGGGAATGGATGGTAGGTTAAGACCTGGAAAACGGGAGGTTAGGTCAGCTGGTCAACTGCTGGCCAGCTCAAAGTCTGCAGTGTTTTGTGCAACAGTTATCCCTTCTTGAGAGAGTAGCAGCCAGTCCCTCCTCCCAGGGCTGCCATGGTGATGGTGGGTGTGATGACCATTTCAAGCCACACTGCAACTCTACACACTAGAGGACAGGCAACAAGAGACAGCTGGAGGAGCCTCCAGTCCAATGCTCACCTCAGCCCCTTCTCATATCCCTGCTATGGTGTGCAGAGCGGTGATGGTGGTCAAGGCTGCCAGCTTTCCCCAGAGGAGTCTGAGGGGAGGGGACTTCTGCTTTTGTCAACATTCTGCATCTGGCGGACCTAGTCCAATGACATGCTGCCTATCTATAGCCTCATTCTGCCCTCCTAACAACTCTGCGAAGTAGGTAGGGCCAAATGGGCCCATTTTAACTATGTAGATGTTGAGCCACTAAGCAATTTACCTCGGTCCCCCTAGGATGGGCTACCTTCTCCAGCAGAGAAACAAGTTCTCCCATACCTGGAGTCTATTTTCAGAAATAGACTTTCCATTTTAAATGACAATATGCGCCACTTGAATCAGCACCACCTAGGTCCCTGGAGTCTTTTTAATTGTCTGAGTTGGTGAAAATGTGCAGGCCTAGTTATTTGAAACCTGCAGTTTTCAAAGAGCTGCCATGGCTAGTTATTAAACTGACTATTCTCCTTTGGGCTACATTAAATATTTTGTTTTTAGAAAAGAGAGTGAAGCAGGAGACGAAATCAGCGACAATATTCGCTGATGTTCACTAAGAACCCCTGTGAACTGCAAACAAATGACCCATATGCTCCCCCGGTGACACCCTTCCCTCCCCTCCAACCCCCTAAAACCAAACGAAACAAAACAAAGGAAGAATAACAAGGTTGTTTTAAAGTCTGCGTTTCTGGATGAACATGAATAGGATTCAGGTGTATCTGCTGTTCTGCAGCTTCTCAAAGAGATCCACAGATTCTTTCCCGCATGAGTCTCTAAGTTAAGCACTCAAAGGCAAACATGCCTTTCCAAAGCCTTCTTGCCTTGGCTCCTAGCCAGTGTTCTCTGTAATCTCTTCCACTAACGTTCACAGAGTCCTAAACTGATCTGTGGACTGCTGGTCATTGCCTCCAATCCCTCTGTCATTTCTAAATCAACATGTTTAAGCCAAACTCATCCTCCAATCTCCTATAGACCATCAGCCTCTCCTGCAGGTCACCTCATGCCTGTGAACTATTTCCCCCATTCTTCCAGGCTTTAAACTTTAACCACCCACTTCCCAGGCAGGTTGGGAAAATGAGACAAGGATTGGAATCCAAAGACCCCATCAGTTATGGGAACCTTGAGATTAGTCCTCAGTTTGCCCACCACTGTTAAATAATAGGATGAGATGTTTGGGATGATAGCAAAGGCTCCTTCCAGATCTAGCAATAAATTATTCTTGGAGTGCAGTGGAGGCTTTCCTTTGTGTTTCAGATCCCTGTCACAAGACAGGTGCAGTCATGAGGAACTTGGACAACTGCAAGATCTTCCTAACTGGTCTCTGCCACCTGCAATCCCATCTGCCAACACAGCCACCAGATTACTCTTCCTAGAGTATCGCCACCATGATCAAAGGAAGCCAATGGCTTCCCATTGCCTCCTGGTCTGAAATCTTTGTCTACTGGGGAGAGACCTCCACAGGGAGGCATATTGTTCCTATCTCATGCTCTCTGCTTAAGCCAATGGTCTGCTTTGTTTCTAGACAATCTTGCTTTGCGTCTTCGCCACTTCTATTTGTCCTAACATCCATATCAAGGTCTAATTCAAGCCCTCCGACTCCTGACTATACCAATGTTGGCGACAATTCCTCCTAACTTCTCTCACAATGTCTATACTGATAATTTTTTTATCAGATTAAGTAACTCTATAATTTTTAATCAACGAGATTGCAAATCTTTCCAGGCAAAGGCCATGCCACTGCCTTACACAGAAAATGATAAACTATGTCTTTGTTGATTAAGACATTCATTTGCTTAAACACTTTTATTGAGCCCCTACTATGAGCCAGGCTCTGAGAATATATAAATAAAACCCAAACTTTAAAAGCATGCAGTCTGGAGGTGCAGACAGGTAAGTAAAAAGGTTATTAGATTGCAGAATAATATGTGCTATAAAAGGGCTTTGCCCAGGGAGTCACAGGTTGGAGTTGAAAGGTTGATCACAAATCCCTATCTTTGGAGGGAGTGCAGGGACAACAGGAAATGTCCCTCAGAGGGAGTTGCCATCCTGGCCAAGTCTTGAAATTGGCCAGAAAAGTAAATGGGATAAAGGGTAACCAAGGCAGAGGGAACAAAATATGTGAAGGCATGAAGATATGAGAGAATTCATGGGCCAGTCGGGGAACTGAGAGTAGCTGGTGTAACTGGAGCTCACGGCGGGTAAGAAGAGTGGTAAGCATTGAGACAGACACAGAAGGGTCTTAGATGTTCAGGTTCTATCCTCAAGAGAACGGGGAACTATCGATGCAATTAGAGCAAAGGACTCACTTGATCAGATGACTCGTTTCAGAAAGATTGTTGTGGCAACCAGGCAGAGCTTGGCTTACAGGGGAACCAGGAATGGTAAGAGCTCACCTACATCAACAGCAGAGGACTAGGTGGATTCAAGAGTTATTAATGAGATGGGGGCAACATGAATTGTTGCCAACTGAACATGGGGAAAGAGGAGGAGAGAGCAAGATTCACTTTTAGGTTTCTGGCCTGGACACCTGCAAAGGAGGTGTTGACATTCACTGAAATAGGGAATATTGTGGAGTGAGCACATTTAAGGGAAAATAAAATGTCTCATTGTGGATCCATTGAGTTTCAGATGCCCAGATGAAGAAGCCTAGAGCATGTGGATCTCAGCTTCATATACCAATGTAGGCTATAGAAGGGCAATGTAAACTGGAGATGCAGATGTTATAATCTGATTATCTCCCCAGGAGAGCACACAGAACAAGAAAACCAAAGAAAAAGTCCTGGGGAACACTGACAGTTTAGGCACAGCTGAAGAGGAGGACTCTGTAAAAGGTACTTAGGAAAAGCCAGAAAGGTAGGAGGTAAACCAGTTCTTGAACAGGCTAGTGAAACGGGACTGACCAAAGAGATGTTTCCCTGGTTACACTGTTGATCCCTCAAGAGCGGTCACTGTGCCTCCTAATCAAGTGGCTGCATTACTATATCTGTTAAACAAATGAGGAAGGCCAAGCACTCACACCTGTAGTTCCAGCACTTTGGGAGGCTGAGGAGGGAGGATAACCTGAGGCTTGGACTTCAAGACCAGTCTGGGCAATGTAGCAAGATCTTATCTCTAAAACATATTTTTCAAAAATTAGCTGGGCCTGGTGGTGGCATGTGTCCGTAGTCCTAGCTACTTGGGAGACTGAGGTGGGAGGATCGCTTGAGCCCAGGAGTTCAAGGCTGCAGTCAGCTAGATGGTGGCACTGCACTCCAGCCTAGGCAACAGGACAAGACCCTGTCTCTTAACAAAGAAGAAGGAAAAAAAGCAAATGAGGAACAATATGACTGGGAGTTCAAAACCAGCCTGGGCAACGTAGCAAGAACTCATCTCTAAAAAATATTTTTCAAAAAATTAGCGAGGCATGGTGGCACGTGCTTGTAGTCCTAGCTACTTGGGAGGCTAAGGTGGGAAGATCGCTTGAGACCAGGAGTTGAAGGCTGCAGTGCGCTAGACGTGTGGCAGGCATGCTGAGGTGATGACATGCTTCTTGGATGTTAGGTGCCTGCTTTGTGTTCTCCTTGGGAACATTTTGTTAGAAGTGTTCATAAGAGCATCTTGGTATGTTGAGAACCAAGGCTAACATAGGTGCTTCCTTTTGCTGTCTATTGCATCTAGTGTCTGAAGTTCCTGCATCATCTTTCATTATTTTTAAATTTCATGTCTGGAGAGTGTATGTTTTGTGGGGCATAGGTTACGGAAGTAGGCAGGATAGGTGAAAATGCCCGTAGAGATAGCCTCAACAGCCTACGATCGGCACCACAGGCTGTCTCCCTATTAGTTAATGATCATTCTGAAAGGTTACTAAGTAAGTGTTGCTAAGCAATAAGTGTTGCCTGGAAGTGTATGCTAAAGAATATGGATTACTGGGGACAAATCAAGTTAATTCCACAGAGTCATCTGGTACCTAAACAAAATGGACTTTATGCCTCTGGCATCTCATTTGGGGTACGGTGAGCAATCTCCTAATACTGCCAGCCTTTGCAGTTCTTGCTGGGCACTTCAGTGTCTGCTTCATGTAAGTATTCACTGCACAAGTCCTGTTATTGACCAACTGATATATACCTTTGTGATGAGGTATCATGGGAAGAACTAGATTATAAGGAAGTGACAGTTTGGTCTTCAGTCATGCAGGCAGAGGGAAAGGAAAGACCACAGAGCAGCCTATATAGTTTATAGCTATCTATAATCTGAATTAACATTCATTGAGCATGCATCTGATTTTTACATTCAGATGCAAGCCAAGACTTGGGAAAAGGCATACACTCAAGTTTTCTCATATAAATTCAAGTCCTACATAGGAGAAAAATGGCCAAACAGCCACTGATTTACACACGTAATAAAAATGGGGTTTATTAAACCTACTTCTTTCCACCTCCATGTTGGTAGGGAGAAGTAGGTAAATTTTCACACATATTTATAGGCCTGCAGTAATTCAGCCTTGCTTTACAGTCATACAGATCCCTAACATACACTAGAATAACATTCTAGACCAGACAATTTCTTAGAAATATGTTGTTTCAGAAAAACTGAAATTTTCCAGCTTGCACTAAGATTAGCCAAGCTAAACCCATCTGTCTCCTGCTTAATGTAGTCTATGGAGAAACCTTCATGGGACAAAAATCTGCCTTTATATTTCACAGGCATAAGGTAAGGTTTGTGTGCCTCGTGGGTAAACAGACCATATATATGAAGTCATCATCAAAAGATCAGATTCTGAGTTCCATGCGTCTTCTTTCAGCTTCTCAAGCCCATGCCCACCAGGACCTATATAAGAAGGAAATGCCACCGTGGTCTGCAACCTTTGGGTAGACCAAGAATATTCCAACATCTCTGAAGTCCTTTGTCATTTGAGTACATTGACAAAATCCTGTCCCAATCAGTGTGTAGTTCCCCACATAAATCCCCTGAACAGGGGATCTAATCTGACCTAATCATGGGAGTCAGTTGGTTGATAAGGAGACCAACTGTGAAGATATGCCAGGCAAATGCTGGGTGGGAGTAGACAGGACTCAGTTTCTTCAAACAGGAAAAGAAAGAAATGCTGGCTGGGCGCGGTGGCTCATACCTGTAATCCCAGCACTCTGGGAGGCCGAGGCAGGCACATAACCTGAGGTCAGGAGTTCGAGACCAGCCCAACCAACATGGCGAAACTCCGTCTCTACTAAAAATACAAAGATTAGCTGGGCATGGTGGTGGGCACCTGTAATCTTAACTACTTGGGAGGTTGAGACAGGAGAACTGCTTGAACCCGGGAGGCAGAGGTTGCAGTGAGCTGAGGTCGCGCCATTGCACTCCAGCTTGGTTGGGTGACAGAGCGAGACTCCATCTCAAAAAAAAAAAAAAAAAAAAAAAAAGAAATGCTGTTAGATGAAGACACGTGGTCCTCAGGTTGGTGGGAGTGTAAGGGGTGAGGGTAGGTGACTCTCACCCCTTACAGCTGCTCAGGGGACAGAGGAACACAGCAGAGGGTGACAAGTCATGGCCTCAAAGGAAAGGATGAAAGAAATGAGGGCTGGGAAATTTTTTTCAGGCAGGCAGTAAAGAAGAGCAATAACCACCCTAATTTCCTAAGATGGATAATTCTTAGAACAGGTTTTCTGAAGAAGAGATGTCCATTTTCTTTCAATCTATTGAGGCTACCTAAGCAAGGGAAAAGAGACACTTCCAGTTCCCAAAGCTATGTGCCAACCTGGGAACATTTCAAACTGAAATAAGAGAAAGACTTTCAATAACTACAAACTCTACCTACTGCTAATGAAATCTGAGGCCACACCAAAAGGAATTAGATAATTCTTCCTTGAAAGCCTATAAGAAGAAAAAATGGTTTATGAACAAATAACTACAGAATAACAAGAAAAGTATCAAACAGAACCTAGATGGTACCTTGTTGCTTTAATCATACATTATCTTAATAAAGATGGATTAATGTTTACATTTGTCTAAATAAAGACCTCCAGTTTAACAGAAATTTCAGAAGAAATGGGTCATTCAATTTCTCCCAATTAACCACATTAAAGGAGATCTTGCAATTTGGATCTGAAAGGACATGACCCAGGCATCATCAGTGGGAGCTGCGTCTCCTAATTTTACACCCTCTATCTAAGGCCATAGATAAGAACATATGTAAGTTCTCAACCCTGGTTACAGATCAGCCTCACCTGTGGAGCTCTGTAAAAGTACAGATACTTAGCTCCCCTCCAACCTCACCCAGAAGATCTGAAAATGGGGCCTGGGCTCTGTAAAAAAAAAAAAAAATTTTTTTGAATGGAAGAGGAAACAGCTTTCTCACACACTTTTAGTGGGAGTGTGAACTAGTTCAATTCTTTTGGAGCCTACACACTTTGATCCAGCAATTCCACATCTAGGAATGAAAACTTTAGATATACCACACAAGTGTACAAAGAATGGAATCCAACGATGAAAACAATCTAAATCCCTAGAGGCATTGTTAAGTAAATTATAGCATATCCAGATCATAGGTTCTATGCAGCCGGCAGATCTATATGTATTAATATGGAAAAATCTCCAAAAAATATTGAATGAAAAAGGCAAGATGCATAACACTATGTATTGTATGCATATACATATATTTCCATATTTCCATACACACAATATATACACACCCACCCCCATATATATGTATATAAATGCTTATAAACACAAAGGGAACGTCTGGAAGAGTACGCAGAAACTGTGGACAGTTAAATCTGGAAATGGAATATGGGAACTCAAGTTACTCTTTATACAGTCCTATTTTACAACAATCGTATATTAATTTTGTAATAAAATGTTTAAATTTCTTTTAAAAAAATCACTGGTAATTCTCATGTGAGGCCAAGATTGAGAACGACTGGTCCAGAGGAAACAGCCCCTGTGGATGTAAGGAGCTTGCAAACCCTACCTTGTAAGGAAACCAACCACCCACACCTCAGGAATATTCACACCATGTCATACCCATGACTCCCCAGAAGGTGGTGCTCCGGAGGCAATCACTCAGGCCTCCAACCAAAACCTGTCCAACCAATTTTGCATTAACCTGTCTTTTTGCTACTCTAAGGACTATTTATGCCCCAAAGCATTCTACACTACTGCTTCTATCAAGGGCATTTTAGACACACAGATGCCATATGCATTTTTTCCCCATAAAAATCTACCAGTTAGTCAATACATTCTAATATAACCCTGGGAAATGTTGACCTGAAAGGAGTTAACACTGCTTGCTCTGGCCTCCCCCTCCTCCTCCACGCTATTTCCCTGTTGTCTTTTCTCTGATTTACTCATCTTCTTATCTTATTCCAGGGTCAGTTCTACAAAGGCAGGCAGCCATCAGCCATGTGAGGCATTTGTCCTTTTGAATTTGTTCATACCTTTGGCATAGAACAGGTGGTACGGGACATAGGGCAGCCCAGGGCAAGTACCACGAGTTTGCCTGCCCTCCCACTAACACTAATGTTCTGGAAGTGGGTGTGTTGCCACAGCAACTGTCAAATCCCATCCATTACACCGCCTCTAACCTTCCAACATCTTCTTTAAACACCACGTTTGAGACGTGTGGTTCTGTTGCCCTGGCAGTGCAGAGCCGCAGGTCCCTTGCCAGGCGGCAAAGTTCTCCTTATCTGGGCAGGAGGGAGTTAGCCCCTCTGAATATTAGCCATCATAAATAAACGTTTTAAATTTTCTGTTTTTTTCCCCTCTCATTATATTTCAGACCAATGTCCCATAACATTCTGACCTGATCATTTCCTGTGAATTACTGGTGCATATTTAATGAAAATTCATTCTTAGTATCAGCCAAGAAAAACTCAACAAGTCACTTATATTGTATCCTTTCTTTCCATGAATATAATTTTTGCTCATTCTTCAAGACACAACTCAAGGATCATCTCCCATCTTCCCTCCTCACTCTATTCAGAGCTGGCCATTCTTGCTTTCCTGATTCTACCTCATATACAACCTGATGCTATCTACCACACTCCATTCACAATTAATTATATCTCTTCGCCATTCATAAGCTTCTCAAGTTTAAAGGATGACATCTTCCTTATCTCTGAATTACCAGCACCTTGCTAGGCCCTCAGTAAATGATTAAAAATACCCATACTAATGATGAATAAATGCACTCCAAAACAAACATCCATGAGCTTGTGGTTCTCTATAAATTTTTATTATGTTATTAAATCACCGATATAACAGATGACAGCTGTGTATCCGACTTGACAGCAAGACCTAAAAAACCTACATACAAATGCTTTTTAAAAGGGAGGATATAGAAAGGTCCATTTCCTGAGACTTTAGAGCCATCCTCTTTCTTGTTCTTGTTTTTCAGATCCAGGAAGTGCATGGAAAGGGAGCCTTCTCCATATGGAGAGAAGCAGTGAAGTCCTGAAGAAGGAAGCCGTAACATTCCTTGAGTACTCACAAGGCGGCCTGACATCTGGTCCACACTTGGGGAAAAGAGGCCACATCCCCACATGGAGATCTATTTTTGCATTCTGAGCTGCGGATGCTTTGCTCGTACAACTTGCCTTACACACAGAAAGGGGA
Source organism: Homo sapiens (assembly GCF_000001405.40). Classification (NCBI taxonomy): domain Eukaryota; kingdom Metazoa; phylum Chordata; class Mammalia; order Primates; family Hominidae; genus Homo; species Homo sapiens. The sequence continues at coordinate 55,294,548 of NC_000017.11, read as the reverse complement.
AGGAAACTAATATTTACCAAGTGCTAGCTACATGCCCTGTGCTGCTTTCACGTGCGTATCTCTCCCACTACGCTGTGTATCTGCAGACAGCTCACCAGGTATGTCTCTGAAAAGCACATGGAGGTGAACACTGAATGCCTCCAACTTCCTCCACTCACCTGGCTGAGGGCCACACGCACAGCTGATGCCCAACACATCCATATATTCATGTATGCTTCTTTACAAGGACTTCTCACCATGGTCGAAGGAGAAAATCTATTCGTGAAAGACACATTCTCTTGACCATATGCGTCTCCCTGTTGCACTGGGGCAGATCAGCATAGTGTGGGCACAAGGAGAATGAAGCTTTGACTGATATGGACTGTGCCGTGGGTTTAGCACCAGCACCCTCAGGGACACAGCCACACTGTTTCCAATCCTCCTCTACTAGGCTGTCTCTAAATCTTCCTGGACTGATGTGTTTATCACTTCATGGTGCTTCTCTTTTAAGACCGTTATCAGAAGGAACTGTGGCTTAGAAAGTCATCCCTCATGACTTAAAAGTAAAACCTGTGTTAAAAACTACCCTCTCTGTGTCCTTTAAAATTAAATTCCCTAGGAATTGGCTGAGGAGACCTTAGGGCCTCCCCAGAGGTGCATATGTTGCTCCTTTCCTCCTCACTCCCTCCACATCTAGGTCCCTGGTACATATCTGTCACCGTGTTGTACCATCCACACAGGTGTTCTGATGATTTTAGACATTCTACTACCTTCCACAAGGCAAAGCCTTCTACTGAGAAGCAGCCCATTGAGTTGGGGCTCCATGAATGGGCTTTGGTGCCAGACTGTGGCTTCATGTTCCAGCCCTGCCACCTATTAATCGCCCCCAGCACCATTTTGCTCACTTTCTCTGGGCCTCAGTTTTCTCATCTGTAAAACGACAATAATAATAGTATACCTACCAAGTACTAACAGTCGTTCCCAGAGATTGAGTTTTAATGATATAACACATATAAACCTCAGTCCAGTGCCCAGACTATAAGAAGCACTAAAGAAGGGTTAGCTATTATGACAACATTCCTTTTCTACCCATCCGTTTGATAGGAGCTCTGTAGTCAGAGAAAACTTGGTGCTTAGCTGACTGCCCGGTTCTCAGGACTTCACCAGCCAGCAGATAAAGGGGGAAGCTCTGCCTTCTCTCCTCAGAGCACAGTGGCGATCGGCCGTTGCCCAGTCCAGCTGCCACATGTAATGGTCGTTCCACCGGCATCCCCTATAACTCCTCAGGCACATATAGCACCTCAAATCTTAATTAAAAAAATGTATATATTAATATAGTACATGGGATATTTTGATACATGCATATAATGTGTAATGATCAAATCAGAGTAACTGGGATCATTGATCATTTCTTTGTGAAGGGACCATTTCAAATCTTCTATGTATTCTGAAATATACAATAAATCCTTGTTAACTATAGTCACCCTACTGTAGCTATTGAACACTTGAACTTATTTCGTCTGTGTTTTTGTACCTCTTAACTAACCTCTCTAAATCCCACATCCCAGCCCCCGCTAACCTTCCCAGCCTCTGGTAACCATCATTCTACTGTCTACCTCCATGAGATCAACCTTTTTAGCTCCCAATTTGAATAAGAACATACAATATTTGTCTTCCTGTGAATGGCTTATTTCACTTAACATAAATGACCTCCAATTCCATCTATGTTGCTGCAAGTGATAGAATTTCATTCTTTTTTATGGTGGAATAGTATTCCATTGTGTATGTATGCCATATTTTCTTTGTCCATTCACCCACTGATGGACACTTAGGTTGATTCCATTCCTTGGCTACTGTGAATAGTGCTGCAATAAACATGGAATGCCGGTATCTCTTTGAAAGACTGATTTCTATTCCTTTGGATATAAAGGCATACCTCACAGATATTGCAGGACCGGTTCTAGACCACTGCAATAAAGCTAAGAATCCAATAAAGCAAGTCACATCATTTTTTTTTTGGTTTCCCAGTGCATATAAAATTTATGTTTATGCTATACTGTAATCTATTAAGTGTGTAATACCATTATGACTAAAAACAATGTACATGCCTTAAGAATACTATATTGCTAAACAATGGTAAAGATCACCTGAGCCTTTAGTGGGCCATTTTTACTTATGATGGGTCTTGCCTTAATGTTGGTGGCTACTAATCGATCAGGGTGGTGTTTGCTGAAGGTTGGGGTGGTTGTGGCAGTTTCTTAAAATAACACGACAATGAAGTTTGCTGCATCAATTGACTCTTCCTTTCAGGAAACATTTTTCTGTAGCACGCGGTGTTATTTGATAGCATTTTACTCACAGTAGAACCTCTTTCAAAATTGGAGTCGATCCTCTCAAACCCTGCCACTGCTATACCAACTAAGTTTATGTAATATTCTAAATCCTTTGCTGGCATTTCAACAATGTTCACAGCATCATCACTAGGAGTAGATTCCATCTCAGGAAAGCACTTCCTTTGTTCATCTGCAAGAAACAATTCCTCATCCATTCAAGTTTTATCATGAGATTGCAGCAATTCAGTCACATCTTCAAGTTCTACTTCTAATTCTAGATCTCTTGCTATTTCCGCCACATCTAAAGTTATTTCCTCCACTGAAACCTTGAAGTCCTCAAAGTCATCCACTATAAGGGTTGCAATCAACTCCTACTAACTTCAGTTTATGTTGGAGTTAATTAATGTCCCTTCCCATGAATCATGAATGTTTTTAACGGCTTCTAGAGTGGTGAATCCTTTCAGAAGGCTTTTGATTTACTTTGCCTAGATCTATCAAAGGAATCACTATCAATGGCAGCTATTGTCTTAAAAAGTAAATTTCTTAAGTAATGAGATTTGACAGTCAAAATTATTCCTTGATCCATAGGCTGAAGAATAAATGTGTTAGCAGGCATGAAAATAACATTAATCTTCTTGTACATCTCCATCAGAGTTTTTGGATAACAGGTACACTGCCAATAAGCAGTAATATTTTGAAAGGATTTTTTTTCCTGAGCAGTAGGTCTTAACAGTGGGCTCAAAATATTCAGCAAACCATGCTGTAAACAGATGTGCTGTTATCCAGGCTTTGCTGTTCCATTTACAGAGCACAGGAAGAGTAGATTTAGTATAATTCTCAAAGACCCTAGGATTTTTGGAACAGTGAATGAGCACTGGCTTCAACTTAAAGTCACCCACTACATTGCCCACTAACAAAAGTCAGCCTGTCCTTCGATGCCAGGCATGGATTTATCTCCAGCTATAACTTTTACATGGTGTCTTCTTCCAATATAAGGCTGTGTAGTCTATATTGAAACTCTGTTGTTTAGTATAGCCACCTTCATCAATGATCTTAGCTAGATCTTTTGGAAAATTTGCTGCAGTGTCTACATCATTTCTTGGTGCTTCACCTTGCACCTTTTTGTTATAGAGATGGCTTCTTTCCTTAAACCTCATGAACCAACCTCTGCTAGCTCAAACCTTTCTTCTGTAGCTTCCTTACCTCTCTCAGCCTTCACAGAATTGAAGAGAGTTAGGCCCTGGCTCTGGATTAGGCTTTGGCTTAAGGGAATGTTGTGGATGGTTTAATCTTCTATCCAGGACACTCAAACTTTCTTCATATCAGCAATACGGCTGTTTCACTTTCTAATCATTTGTGTGTTCACTGGAGTAGTGCTTTGAATTTCCTTCAAGAACTTTTCCTTTGCATTCACAATGCAGCTAACTGTTTGGCTCAAGAAGCCTAGCTTTTGGCCTGTCTTGGCTTTCGACCTACCTTCAAAATTAAGCTTACTCATTTCTAGCTTTTGACTTAAAGTGAGAGACCTGCGACTCTTCTGTTCACTTGAGTGCTTAGAGGCCATTATAGGGTTATTAATTGGCCTACTTTCAATATTGTTGTGTCTCAGGGAACAGGAATCCCAAGGAGAGGGAGAGAAATGGGAGAACGGCCAGTTGGTGAAGCAGTCAGAAGAACATACGTAACATTTATGAAGTTCACCATCTTATATGGGTGTGGCTCATGGTGCCCCCAAACAATAACAATAGTAACATCAAAGATCACTGATCATAGATCAACATAGCACATATAATAATAATGAAAAACTTGAAATATTGCTAGAACCACCACAATATGACAGAGACACCAAGTGAACACATACTGTTGGAAAAATAGTGCCAAAAGGCTTGTGCAATGCAGGGTTACCACAAACCTTCAATTTTTAATAAACACACTATCGGCAAAGTGTAATATGGTGAAGTCCGATAAAACGAAGTACAGCTGTACACCCAGCAGTGGCACTGCTGGGTCATATGGTAGATCTATTTCTAGTTTTCTGAGGAACCTCCACACTGTTTTCCATAGAGTACAGCACTTTAATTCTTGAGGCTGTACCAAGGCCTTCTGTTAATGTTGGTTGTGCTTATTTGTCTGGTTTTCATTTTCCAGCACTGAGGAAGAAAGATCATTCTGAGGCAGGTTCTCCTTGGGTTGTCAAGAGAGACTCCTTTCACATTCCAAAGCGAAATATCTTGGAATTCTGTACCAGTGAGCCCCCTTCTCTCCAACAAAGAATAACCAAAGGGAACGCAGAATTCTAATGAATGAGGCTGGCCTTTTTTTTTCTAACTAGGCTGAAAACAGGCTTATTTATTAATACAATGAATGCAAAGTGCTAGGAAGGATTAAGAGCTGAGAAAACAGACTTGGAATTATCTCAATCAGGCCTTACGAACTAAATGCATTTCTTTTTATAAAAAGTTCCCTGAGACCCCCAAGTGAATCTGCAATGTCTAGATTCACATATGAATATATAGGTAAATTTATATATGAATATATGGCAACTGTACTGAATTGTTAATTCTGGGTGATAAGAATAAGGATGTTTGCCACATTTAAAAAAATTGTTCTGTATTTTAAGTCATTCTCAAAGTAATTTTTCAAATGCCTTGTCATAGGAATAATTTTATGCACTATTTTATGCAGAGAACTCTGCTATCTCACCTTGGCAAGAGGGGTGTTATTTTCCCCAGCATATTAGTAAACTGAGGCACACTAAACTGAATAGGAGAAGCAAATGTGAGGAGGCTCAAGCAACTCTGGATATTGCCAGAGGCTCACACTATATTTCCTGCTGTGGGCACATAGGGCCTGGGGTACATAGAATGAATTCTGTGCAGCGATATTGAGGGCACTGCAAATCCAGGGATCAATCTGCTCCAACTCTTGAGTCAGTGAACCAGAAGGGCAGCTTCCTGCCAGCTGTACATACCTCTGTGGTGGGGTCAACTGCTCATGGCCTGGTGCTTGGAAGCCTTTAGCAAGGCCAAGTCTGTTTTAGTGCCCCTTATCACTGGCTGGCATGGGGAGACATGCCATTCTGTAAACCAAATCCTGTGCTCAAAGAAGCTATACCCTGACATGCCACATGGAGAGAAGAGGCATTCTCCTGCATCTATTAACCAAAGAAACATAAGTTGATGTTTTTTTAAAAAAATTTATATCCATCTGCATCCTCCCTTCCCCACACCCAACATGGAGCTTCTCTACTTACCCAGTTAAAAATCCCAATTAAGAACCTGTGGGATGAGTTTTAAGAACTCTTACAGGTGATCTGGGAACATGCAGGCTGGAGCTGCTGACTTCCAATCATGTCTCTGTGATTAAAGGGTGGAAAATTGGGGGGTCAATATCCACTTTTATTTGTAAGCATCTAAATCCTCTTCTCTGAAAACACTCTTCATTCTTGAATATTTTTTTTAATTTAACTTTTTTTTTTTTTGAGACAGGGTGTGGTTCTGTTGCCCAGGCTGGAGTACAGTGGCGCAATCTCAGCTCACTGCAACCTCTGCCTCCTGGGCTCAAGCGATCCTCCCACTTCAGCCTCCCTAGTAGTTGGGACACCACACCACACCTGGCTAATTTTTTTCTGTTTTTGGTAGAGATGGGGTTTCATTACATTGCCCAGGCTGGTCTCAAACTCCTGAGCTCAAGTGATCCACCTGCCTTGGCCTCCCAAAGTGCCGGGATTATAGGCGTGAGCCATGGCATCCAGCCTTGAATGTTTACCAATCAGAAAACAGTGAAACTGGCCGGGCGTGGTGGCTCACACCTGCAATCCCAGCACTTTGGGAAGCCAAGGAGGGCGGATCACTTGAGGTCAGGAGTTAGAGACCACCCTGGCCACCATGGTGAAACTCCCTCTCTACTAAAAATACAAAAATTAGCTGGGCATGGTGGTGCATGCCTGTAATCCCAGCTACTCGGGAGGCTGAGGCAGGAGAATCACTTGGGCCCAGGAGGCAGAGGTTACCATGAGCTGAGATTGCGCCACTGCACTCCAGCCTGGGTGAAAGAGTAAGACTCCATCTCAAAAGAAAAAGAAAAAAGAAAAAAAGAAAATAGTGAAACAGTCACGAGAAAAACAGCTCACTGAAGTATTATGAGGAGCCTATCAGCAGGGGTATATCTGCACTTCGCCTCCTCCAAGACCATCCTGACTCACATCTGGCCCAAAGGCGTGCATCATACTATCATAACCCTTTGCAAAGACCAACCATGTTGGACAAAATTCTGCCAACACAAGCACTCATTTCAAACCATTTCTAATGAAATTAGTATCTTTGTTACTTCATTCACTCAACAAATGTTTCCTGTATATCAACTCTGGTACAAAGCAGCTGCCTAGGTGCTGGAGATAAAAGCCAGTCCCCACCTCTGGGAAACTTGCAAGTCAACAACAGGGAGTCCACAAGGACCTACCAAGGTATCCAGAGTACTTTGGGAGTTTGGAAGATGGACTTCAACAAACCTTCACCTGTTTTATGCAAAATGAGAAAATCTTGCAGGATTGAAGTATTTACACTGGTATGAGGATAGGCCAAACACAGGTGCAACAACTTAAACTACTGATTCTCAAAGTAGTCCAGACACAGTCCTTTCTGAATAATAACTGTCCTGCTGTTAGAATCCACCAAGGAAATGCACTGTGCATTGTTTCACTTAATTATAAAATGAAATTACATTCCCTGAACACTTCCCAAGTGCAGGCAGGGGGTAGATGCCTTATGGTGTTGTTATGCTGGGTGGCAACTGGCCAGGGCTTACACAGTGACCATGGCTAGTATACCAAAGAGATAATCTACACATGAGTAATGCAGAACTGACCCTTGATACTGGCTGTAGATGACTCTCAATCATCAACTATGAGAGTGTTCATCGATCAAACAAAGAAAATGTGGCTTTTAAAAAATACTGGTCTTATTTACAAGGGGAAGGGGGAGCAAAGCTCCAAATAAAACTTCTGAACTTCAACTATTTCTCAACACTTTCAGAAGACCTCTTTCAATGTACAGGGTGACTTCACCTTTTCAATAACCTTATCTAACCTCCCCTGGAATGACTAATGTGATTGCAACAGTATTACTCTTTGAAGCAGCATGCTTCTCCCCTGCCTCCCCCCTGATTGAGCTAATGCATCTACCAGCCACGTGAGAACTTGGCATTATTTTTAAAGTTAATTACCAGCAGGTTTCTGAGACAGGTGGAATGGGTTTCTGTCACCTCCCTTCTGCAGAGTAAGCAAAGACTGTACCCACAGACTGGCAGGAGGCTGTATCCCAGTCCCTGAGATTTTGGGCATCCTCTATGACAAGGGAGGCCTTCCATCATGGAAGGAAGAAGCAGCCTGGCACATGCATCTAGCTGGAAAAGTTTCTGTAAGTCTTGATTGGTTGTTGCTTGGCTGGATGATACTGATGGCAAAAGTAACATTCCAAAGCAGTAAATATAAGACTCTGAATAAGGCTTGGCGCTGGGAAATCCTTATGGAATTTATGGCTTGGTGTGATGGGGAAAAAGAGTTTATTTTCAACCGTTTGTTATGAGAGGGGTCTATTTCATTGAGAAAAGAAACGTCATTATTATTCCAATAAATCTTTGTTTTCTAACCATTCAAGTCTTTCCTAAGGAAGGTTTAAAATTCCAAAACCAACTTTATTTTCAAAAGCAAGTCAAGCTTCAGGTGGCCACCTACAAGAACAGACAATAGAGGAGCTGAGGGAAGCGAGATTACCCCAAGAAATGAATTATACCACCTCTTTCTCCTAATTCCTCTTTTTGAAATTAGATATTTGTTTTACTGAAGGCAAAACAGCCAGCTTGGCCCCTGAGAAAAGTGAGATGAGAATGGGAGTAGGGGTGGAGAAAGGGGGGTACTATCGAGAGGTAAAGTACAAGGGTGGGGGGAGAAAAGAAATAAAAATAGACAAGTCAGGGAAAACCAAATGGCAAAGGTCCATTTGTTTATTTTAACAGTGTTTGCCATTCCAGGCGGCTTGCTGAAGTTCCTTCCTTCCATGGCTGGCCTTGGACCAACATTAGAAAGGTCTTAGATCTTTGGAAAGAAGATTTGGACAACAAAGTTGTTTTATCTGGGAGGGTAACTAGCTTACTCAAGAGTTCCAGGACTTTGGTTTTGATGTTATTACCTTGGCCTAAGTTTCCCTGTCCCAGGCAGTCCTGGCTCTGTTTACTGATTTTGCAAGAGAAAAGGGTGGCCCGAGGAAGGAAGGGGCTTCTCTCAGGCATCACTGCCACATTTAGCTGGATCACCTCAGTACCTGGGCACCGCGAAGAAGATGAAGACAGGCGCAAAAGTAAAACATTTTCTAAAGGTCCTATCTCTCGACACTCATAAGAGGCAAACAACACTTCTCTAACTTACTCCCCAAATAGACACCACCGTGGATGTTCTGCCAAGGAGTGATGCGAAAGTGTGTTCCGAAGTGAAATGTAAGCTTGGCCCAGTGCCCAGCTCTCTGCTGTATTTTGCACAGAGTGCTGCAGGCTGAAGGACCAAAGGAACACATTTCTCTCCACGTGACTGCAAGAGCCAGGCAGCCCAAGCAGATTTCTTTGTGTTAATAAAATGTGATCTCTAGACTGTACACACCAACAGCCCTGGAAAACGTGAGCCAGAGAGAAGGACCCAAGGAAACCCATGGCCCTGGCTGAAAAGGGACTGCAGCTGCTGGCACACTGTGTTGTATCAAGGCAGAGGCATTGCAGGCCTGGCAAATGCAAGTGAGAACACAGCCAGAGATGGAAAGACATGTCAAAGGCTCAGGGGAATGCTGCTTAAGAAATGAAAACAATCCATGGAATCCCATCAAACATGATCCTGCACAAATGTTTACTCTTTCTTGGTGGCTACAGACCAAAGTCCTCAATGGACACTCTCAAGACTTTGGATATACCTGGGATCCAAGGTACCACGTCTCAAAACTGAGACCATTCCAAATATAGCAGGAGCTTGACTCCTAGGTTAAACTGTATATCTTCTGGTCTGGTGTAAGGTGTGACTAATACACATACTTCCATACTCTCACCCCACAGGGACCCAGGCAAATGCAGTCAACTCTCTATGAACGAGGGCAGCCATGGGAGGCAATCACAGGGAACCCAAACAATCACCATGGGGTGGCCTGGACTCTGGGGAGCTTTGCTGTTGTGGGCAGTCCCTGACTCCTTGCTTCAGTGGTCTTGGTCTCCACTGGCCTCAAAAGAGATCCATTGCTCAGGGTCTCAATCTATATATATCTATATCTTGGGAAGGGAGGAGGTTCCTAGGTTGAGGAAGAAAGGGGATTAGTGGCCCCTGCTCACTGGGCCCTCTTTCAACATATGACTTAATCTCCGGACTTTCAAATTCACTGTGCCCTGTGGTCAACTTGTTCCCAATTTGAACAGGGTGTTGGGGGCAGGAGCTGAAAGGTAGCAGGAGCAGAGCACCAGGACCCAGGTAACTTCTGAACCTCTCAGGAACTGTGCTGGAGAATGCAGAAGTTTACAGGGCTAGAGGGCACCTCTGGTTGGAGAGAGTAGAAGGTCCTGGAAGAAGTCATCCCTTGGTCCCCCTCCCCTGCAGTCGCCCAGTGCCCAGGCTTCCCAACCATGGGGCAGGCAATCAGCCATCACCAGCTAATTATGGAGCAGCTGAGTTGATGAGCGACTCCCAGGCCCAGGTGAGCCTTCACCTTGGTTAATCTGCAAACCAGTTAATCAGCCTCAGGATAATTGAAAGTTAACCGTATGCAGAGCTCAAGTGCAGTTACTGGAAACAACAGGAAACAGCAGTAGCAGAGGAAGTCAGGCCCACTCTCAGTGAACTCTTTTGTAAATCCCTATAGCCAATGTTTAACCTGGAGCCCACTTCACCCTATTGCCCAACACACTCTTGGATCAAGTCCTTGTCACACAGTTACCTGGATCCCAGGGAGCACACAGTAAGTGCTCAACAAATTGCAACTGGTTGATTATTTCCCTGGTGCAGTTCATGGATTTAAAGTTAGGAGGCTGGAAGGGCTCAGAGACATTTGGCTGGCTATGTTAGAAACATACTGGGGGAGCTGCAAAAAGCACTACACTCCCCCTCAACCGTTCTTTATAGAAAGAAAAATCTGAAGAGTTCAAACCTTACCAGGAAAGCAGATCAACAGCACAAAAACGCAAAGCACGTTCCACAGCTGAGGAGAAATAAACTTCAGATTATCTGTTCCTTTAGCATGGATAACTGAGAATCACCTTCAATCCTAAACAGACTGGCAAGTTCTCCAAAGCTTCCTTAAAGAAAGTGGCTGCACTTTGATTTTGATTTCAAATATCAAGAATCGCAAGTATGGAGTGTACGGCTGACTGCCTACCGAGGACGCAGTTTCCCTGGAATCTGCAGCCATGACCTCTGGCCACAGGCAGCTTACCAGGGCCTGTGGTTTGTGGCTGCCTCTGCTGGATCAGTGGCACCTATGCCTGTGCTTTACTGGAGTATCCATGGACTTACGTGTTGGAATTACAGCTTCCCTCCACCTTGCAATTCCTGTCTCGTGACCAAGGAGCTGAATCAATAGACTTCCTTTCTTCCATACCCTCTGTTAAGCTAATCAGAATAAGCCTCCTTCAGAGAGTAAAACATTATGTGCTGGAGGCTCAGAAAACACTTTTCCAGGACATCGGAAGCAACACCGGCCTGAGTCCTTGATCTGCTGCCCAGTAGAAGGACAACTACTAAAGGATCTTCCAAACCTGCTCTGGCAGGACAGCAAACACCAGGCACCAGTACTGCCCCACCCAAGCCAAGGGCAGACATCACTAATTAATCACAGAACTCTTCACTGAGCCCAGACCGAGCCTCAGACCCTTTCAAAATGACTTCTCAGGCACCTACTAATCCATCAGAGCCAGTTGCAAGATGAAACCTACTATCACAGGCAGGTCCTACAAACCTGACTCCAGCCACCTAGAGGAGCAGCCAAAGGCCCCCTCTGGCCACTGTCCTCCTAGAAAAGTTGCCATCAAAAGAGCCAGCAGTGGGCCCTGGGGTGTTTCCTTCTGTGGGCTTTCCTTTTTTTTTTCTTTTCTTTATAAAAAAATTATTTTGTCTGGCTAGTAAACGACCACTAAGAAATCCAACCGTTGGAGCAATGATTCCAGCCAGATAATTTATTTTCAGGGTTGTTCTGGAATGCTGAACACCAGAGAGAATCTGGTGGTTTCCATTCGGCATGAAGACCATTTTTTAAGGAAGTAACTAGCTTGATTATTGTTGATTTTTTTATTCCAAAAGGTGTCAAATGTTTTTTGCTTTTCAGCGTTAGTTTTTAAACTCTGTCATCCTTTATGAGTGGAAGAATGTCAGATTCTTAATCCATCTACTACTTGGCTTGGGAGCAGCTCCATTACCCCCAAGAGGCTTTAAATTTTTTTAGACATTCACCAAAATGTGAATGTTAGTCGTCTTCCAGCACATAGTAGTCTTTGAACACAGAGTCGTAGAGCTAGAAACAGCACCTACATTTTATAGACAAGAAAAATTAGGCTTTGAGAGATTTGGTGACCTGTCCTGTCCAGAGACATCTAATGCTGACAAACTGGCTTTAGAACCTAGATTGGCTGACTCCAAGTTCAGTGCTCTTTGGAACTGGCCTACCTTTGAAATTGTTGCTACGTGTTTTCCATCTCTTGCCGCCTAAAAGCCAATGGAAATAATAATGGACATTGATGTAAACTGTTTGGTCAGTTTTCTATTATGACATACTTGTAAGTTAGAAGGACGTAGATTATTCCCATTTTACAGATGAAGAAGTAAAAGCCAGAGAAGCTGAACACCTAAGGTTATACTTGCAATTAATAGCATAGCCAGGACTACAGATTAGATCTCTTGTGTTCCCAAAGCAGCATCACGGAGCTTACAAAGACCCAGTCCAGCAACTCAAAAACCTGGAAGCAAGACTCCAAAGATATTAACTACAAGTGCATTTTAGAACGTGGCCTTTAAATACCAGATTCGGACTCCGAATTAAAACTCACTGGGTGACAATCCGAGTAGGCACAGTCCCACATCCTTTTTACTGATAGCTTGTTTAATGTAATTTAACTTGCATGACAATCCTGCAAAATAGGCCATCATGTTCTGGATGAGGAAATGGGGGCTCAGAATTCAAGTGACTTGCTCAAAAGTTTCCTGGCTTTTCAGTAGACCCCTGATTCCAAATTCAATTTAGCTTGGTGACTAAAGGGCCCCACAATCACGTGCCGATGCTATTAGGACTGTGTTTCTCTGAATATCTTTATCAACGCCTGTTATTTCTGCCTTGAAAATGATTTCATCCTGATCTCCATGGTTTTTGGCCACTGAGATATGCCCAAATTTATTTTTAAGCTGCCTGTAGTCAGAATGGAAGGGCTGATGGAGAAAAAAAGAAAACATACTTTGGCAATGTATTCACAACATTCAGTCCTCTTGGGAACAGACTAAATTCCAGGGACCAATATCATTTCTAATATGAGTTGATTTGCTACAACTACTTACAGTCAGTGTTTAGGACAATGCTGGTTTTAACACATAATGGCTATTGCTATGATTTCATACTGAATTTATCTGATTTAAACTTAGGAGCATTGTGTTCACTCTTTTATAAAAGGGGAGACAGACTCAGAGATATTTTTTGTTTTGTTTGTTTTGTTTGAGATGGAGTTTTGCTCTTGTTGCCCAGGCTGGAGCGCAATGGCACGATCTTGGCTCACTGCAATCTCCGCCTCCCGGGTTTAAGCGATTCTCCTGCCTCAGCCTCCTGAGTATCTGGGATTACAGGGACCTGCTACCACGCCTGGCTAATTTTGTATTTTTCGTAGAGACGGGGTTTCACCATGTTGGTCAGGCTGGTCTCGAGCTCCTGACCTCAAGTGATCCACCCTCCTCAGCCTCCCAAAATGCTGGGATTACAGGCATGAGCCACTGCGCCTGGCCGCGACTCAGAGATATTTGATGGGATACAAAAATATGCTGAGGGAGCTTTAGCTGAAATTCAACATCCCTCACAAGAGGCTAAAATCTTGCCTAGTTTCATGCTGATGTACTTTGTAATCCCTCAAGACTGCTGTACCTTTAAAAGCCTTACCCTGCCACATCCACATGTACAGTGCACAACATACTGTATCAAGCGTGACCCATGCCAAGGGCCAAGAACCCCACAGCTGTAATCTAGCTGGAAACCAAAGTCATACCAGGTTAATCTCAATTCTTAAATCGATCAACTTCTAGTTGTCCCCTTTGTGTAAAAACCGTTTTTAGACATTTCTTCCAAATAATCTATTTTTGTTTTTACAATTTCCTTGTATTTCCATTTCACTTCAGCAGAAGAGTCCATTCTTTCCTATCTGGACCCCTCTCTGCCACGTTTCCCTCTGGTACAGAGAAAGGAGAGTTAAGAATTATGTATTTGAGAGACTCACACTAAGGAGAGCAGAAGGCCAGGGAGTTTTGTGACCATTGAAAACCCATTATCCTGCCTCCACATCACTCAAGAGCCCATCAACAACAACTAGAGGACAGCCAGTTCACTACTTTATGGCCCAGAAGTGTCACCAAGGGTAAAAAGAAGAAACCTAAAACACAAATCTGGCAGTATGTTGGAAAGGCTCTAGAGCACCAAAGGAAATGTATTCTAAATTCCCTTTCACCCTTACCCACTCAAGATCTTCCAGGCATAGCACCAGAAGACATATGCAGGCACAGCAGGGCATATGGAGATGGAAGACACAGCCAGGGCTCACAGAGCATACATCTATTCAAAGAGCTATCCAAGAAAGCAGGCAATTACACTGTGACATGCTAGGGTGATAGGACCACAAATGGTGTTTGAGGTGGGATGTATCTTCTCACAGGTGTAAAAACACAGGGTGCTCACCTGCTGTATCTCTTCCTGATCCTTTCTTCCCTGCAATAACTCAAAAGCAGTTTCCAGGCCATCACTGCTATAGCATTGCTGTAACACAAGATGTGTTCCTACTTAAGTGTCCATAAAATAGCCATGGAGGTGGAAGAAGAGAAGGAATAGTAATTGTAGAATAAAAATAAAACTGCTGAAAGCTGCCATTTATATACTGAGCACTGTTCTAAGTGCTGTACATGTATCATCTCATTTACTTCTCCAGGAATCCTCTGAAGCAGGTATCAGCACCCTCACTTACAATGGAGGGAACAAATGCAGAAGAGTTATATGGCTGGTAGATCCCACCACCTTTGCGGGTTGGCCGATGACATCCTCTCTGGTGGCAGGTAAATGAATGAAAATAATATTTTGGTTCCATATACTTATATGAAAATTTAATTTTAAAGATATGAAAATTGAGTGGTGGGGGGGAATGGAGAAGGGGACAGATGGAGATAACTGGCAACAATTTGGTGGGAATGCTAATCTGAATTACTGAAATGTCAGAATGAAAAAAATTCTTTTGCTATTCACTAATACGCACTTGTGGTTCAGGATATTAATTTATATATACACAGTTAAAATCTTTAAAAACTATTTTGTCCTCAAGTTAACTCTGTGTCCCAAAATTATGTTTGCATAATTAATCTGTTTGGTAATATTTTTTCTTTTTAAATTAAAAATATATATATATAATGTAGAGATGGGGTCTCACTCGGTTACCCAGGTTGGTCTTGAACTCTTGGCCTCAAGTGATCTTCCCACCTTGGCCACCCAAAGCACTGGGATTACAGGTGTGAGCCACTGTGCCCAGCTAGTAATATCTTTCTTTATAAAGAAGACAAAGATATAAATTTTAGTTTAACCAATTCAAGATAAAATGATCATAAAATCTCAATCAATGCAATGCTACTGTCAGGCAAGTGAGAGGTTCAAAGGAGAAATAAAATAAGTAGACCTAAATTGCTTCTTTATACCTAGTTTGTGTAATACTGAATCTTCCTGTCATCAGTCTTCCAGGAAGCCAATAACTAAATATCATTATCTGGCCTACTATGTTTGGGTAAATTTCACTTATAATGTTAAAAATAACTTTTTTGACATGAATATAAATATTATTTTTAAATCATTTAGTTGTCACTGCCCATTTGAAATAAACATGCTTTAGATTTTATGAGGAAAAAAGATACTCACTTCCCCAGGAAGGTGTACTAATACAAAGAAATCAATCATAATGAAATGAATTTTATGAAATTCTTACAAGGTCAGTTCTGCAAATTTCTCTCTTCTTGTCTTCAGGAACTCTTTCAAGGCTTTATTTCCATCTTTACATTTTATATTACTTACTCTTTCCTCTATAAATCTTTCAATGGCCTTTGGCCTTTTAAAAACAATACTATTTTGATCCAGTACTAATTGGATCTGAGATCTCTGTCCTGTTTTCATAGTTCTCTAGTAAAAGCCTGCATGGTCTCCTTCAGTGTTACTAACTCAGCCCACATCATAATGACTAAGGTGAATTCAGTCTTCTGCTCAATCCTCAGGGCAGGCTGAGTTTAACTGTTTGCCACTATCCTTAAAATAACCCCTCATATCTTGGGGTATTGAGATTTCTGTTCTGGGTAATCTGATTACTGCATATCTAGATGATCTTGTTCATCTGGTTTGCTGCATTGATTCCCATTGGTCAGGGCCTGGTGGCATCCTTCCCCCAAACAAACCTTCGCCACTCAAATCAATTCAAGAGGCATTTATTGGGTACAAATGGACAGGCGTGCTTAACTCTTTCCATTAAGTGCAGAAGCACTTAGAGAGCAGTGATGAGACTTTCCTGCTCTACTGTCCATGCCTGGGTTCCACAGCAAAGACACCACAGCAGACTGTTACCCAGAGCTAATTAGAAAAGAAAGCATTGCTCTTCCCCACTCAAGGAATTTCTGCCAAAGCATTTATTTCTGCTGATCCATTTATGCAATTCCACTTTCTAAGAGAACATTTTGTCACAGATGATTTAGTGTTGTAGCTCCCTGAAGCATCTTTCTGTAGCATGCACTCATTGTTTTTAGGAATCTAGGGTCTCCCAGGCAAAATTTGAGAGGCAACAGGGTTTAATAGCCACAAGCCATGTCTCATTATAAGACCTCAAATTCCAAAGCATTCTTCCAAAGATCATTAAGGAAACAAATCCCAGATTAAACTTCTAAAAACGAAACTTTTACGAACCCTGTGTGACAGGGGAGCTGTGTAGTTTTTCAGGAAAGAAAATGAGATTGGATGGGTAGTGAGTTAAGAGAGTAACATTAGTTTGTAAAAGTCAGAAAAGAAGGAAAACCAACATTTTAGGAATTTCCACATTCGGTCATGGAGTCTGTACCCACCACAAGCCAATTTAACAGAAACAAATACTATAGTTTCTCCCCCAGCAGACACTCGATTCTGCCAACACTCCTGTAATTGTCTACTCTATGTAGCTGGAGGTGAAATTGCCCACCTTGACAGCTATTTTCTATTTAAGTGAACTAGATTGGGTTATGGCAACTCTTTCAGCCTTCTGAAATCTTGGCTTGATATCAGAGCACACTTCAGGGGGTGCTTGAGCAAGTCATTTCATGCACTTGACATTCAGCAGTCCAACCCCCCCCAATCCGATCCCCTCCCACAATGTCCCTTTCCTTTACTAGTACTCCCAATATGAAACACACACACACACATCCCATATCTAAGCATGATGTACAGTTCTGTTTTCAGGGAAGAAGGGAGCCACAAATACAAGGTCAGGACTCAAGAATGCAAAACTGTAATAATGACTCCTTTGTTTCCCAGGAGTAAAACTGATTTAAGCTAGCCAGAAACTTGGCTAAGTATTTTTAGCTTGATATTACTGCCCCAGGTAATCCTTACAATCAGGTACTATTTGTATCACTGAGACATTAACCTTCCCACCCCCACCCACAAACCCAAATGCACGCATGCCCACGTACACATGCGCGCGCACACACACACACACACACACACACACACACACATACACATAACATCTGGTTCAATATACTTATTTGCAAACCTAGTAAGCTGTATAAAATAGAGGCATTTAAAAGTGATGAACGTTAATGAGTTGGGTTTATTAAAATCTATTTTTCTACTCCTATGAGACCAGGCCTGCTTTTGGACTTTTAAATTCTGAACCAGTCAAATCCCTCAAACTATTTCCTTGCCAAAGAGTGTTTCCCCCAATCACCAAAATTATGGGTTTTATAAATGAAACCTAAACCCTGTGTTTTTGAATTACTTTCTCTAGATCATTAGAACATCGTGTTTTGAAAAGCTGTTTGATGTTCAAGGGAGAGTATTTATTTTCAAAATAATAAAAATAAGGAAATCCTGGCTTGCCAGAGGAAACTATTGTCAAGTTTCTAAAAATGTTTCAAATCCAACCTTGAACTCAAGTGGAAATGTTCACATGCACTTTCCTGCTGAAAAACCTTCAATGGCTCCCTATTGCCTACTGGATAAAGTTCAAGCTCTGCAGCCTGGTACTCATGAAGTTGTCAGCCTGACTGGCACCAACCTCTCTGACTCATCTCCCTGACTCCTTCATATGAATTTTCTGCACCAGCCAAATTGGATCTACACCCTGTTGCCTAAAACACCCTGTGGGCATTCCTGCCTCTATAACTTTGTGGGGCATTAACCTCTCCAATCTGGCTCTCTCACCCCTCCTTCCGGGCCCATCACAGGCTACAACTCTTCCAAGAAGCCTCGCCCCAGGCACCTTTGCCTTGAGCAAAGGCTTCTTCCTGTGAGGTCTGGCAGCTCTTATTGGCTATACTGCTCCCTTATTTATATTCATTTTCTTGATTAATCTTTCAACCTCCTCTTTTCAGCAGATATTGGAGGCCTCTATATACCCGTCATTTGACACTGAGAACATGCTAGTTTGTCCTGTCACTCATCACTTTGCCTAAAAGTCTTATCTTCCCTACTAAATCACTGTCTCTTGAAACTAGCAGCCAAATTGTACTCTTGTCTCTCTTCCTCAGGGTGCACAAATCAAAACACCAAAGCACAGAGCAAAAACAGATGCTATTTCTGGGACCATACACCTTGCTCTTCGCCTCCTAAAACCTCCTCTGTTGCTTTCTCTTTAATTTTTAATTTTAGATACAGGGTTGCACTCTGTTACCCAGGCTGGAGTGTAATGATGCAATCAAGGCTCACTGCAGCCTCGAACTCCTGGGCTCAGGCGATCCTCTTGCCTCAGCCTCCCAAGTAGCCAAGACTACAGGCACGTGCCACCATATCCAGCTAATATTTTTAAAAAAATATTTTGTAGAGATGGGTCTTGCTATGTTGCCCAGGCTGCTCTCAAACTCCTGGTTTCAAGTAATCCTCCCACATCAGCCTCCCAAAGTCCTCTGTTGTTTTCTAATCATGGTATCATTTCTTAGAGAAAAGTAACTGAACTGACTTATGGTAAAGGCTTGGCTACTATGTACAGGGCACCAAGCTGGATCTTTCTTGCACAGTAGCTTTAGAAAGCTCACAAAAACCCAACAAGGATGTTGCTTTGCAGAAGAGACAATCAAGGTTCAGAAAGATTAAGGATTTACTCATTAAAGAACCCCTTGGGGAGAGGAGGAATTATTATTCTGGAATGCTTATGTAAAGTCTTGCTTGCAAGCCGGAGGATAAACTGAACCTTCTCCTTCTGAAACACCATAACATACCTTTATGGTTTCCTTACCCCCAAGGTCACTATATTGCCTTTAAATATAATTATTAATGTCTATTGTTAAAAATTCAATGGTAGCAGTAACTGACTGATCTATTAGCAAATATGACATGGAAGAAATCTAATCAAGAACTTCTTTGGGCAGGGCACAGTGGTTTCCACCTGTAATCCCAGCACTTTGGGAGGCCAAGGTCGGTGGATTGCTTGAGCTCAGGAGCTCAAGACCAGCCTGGGAAACATAACAAAACCCTGTATCTATAGAAAATACAAAAATTAGCCAGGTGTGGTGGTGCATGCCTGTAGTCCCAGCTACTTGGGAGGCTGAGGTGGGAGGATCTATTGAGCCTGGGAGGTTGAGGTTGTGGTGAACCATGATCGCGCCACTGCTCTCTAGCCTGGGCCACAGAGCATGACCCTGTCTCAAAAAACAAACAAACAAAAAAACTTCTTCAAAATGCATTTTGTTTATTTAATCCCATGAGCCAGGAAGAATGAGTAAAGGGTACAGTTAGCTACTCAAGGTCACCTAAAATTCAAAGGCTAAGAGAAGGGCAAGCAAGACTTGGCAGAGAAGCAGGAGAGAAATCCAAATTTCTTGACCAGTGTTCTTAATTAGCTAGGAAGGGAAAAGTATCAAGACTCTTTCTGAGCCCCACGCTTGGTCCTCCCATGGGAAATGAGATTAGATGGTGGTGAAGGTGCTGCTTGCAGCAGCTGTTATTAAGCACTTGCTGTGTGCGAGGCACTGTGACAATTACTCTGCATGCATTGGCTCATATGACCTTCAACAGTCCTATGAGGCAGGTCCAATGATTATTCCAAAGTTCCGGATGAGAAACTGAAAGCTCAGAGCATTTAAATGACTTGCCTGAGATCGTGAGCAGCTAATGAGTGGCAAAGTCAGGATTCACACTCAGGCTGTTTTGTTTATTCAATTCTGTGCTCTAAAAAACATTACTGCTATATTGCCCGTATAGACTGGTGTCTCAAACACAGGACATTCTGACAGACATTGTGCATGGTGAGACAGAGGCACCTAAGTCTGAGGGAAATTTAAATTTATAGAAAAACAGTGGTTTAGTAGCTTTAGGACAAGACATTTGCTGGGGGAGGGCCAAATACTATAATCAATATTAGCTGTGACCAATATTCTCACCCACACCCATTACAGAATCAAACACAGGCCCTGTACCTCTCTAATATGTTATTTTCTACTTTTTTTCATCTTATTACTTTCTCTACTACCTTCCCTCTTACCTCCATTTTCATTGCTGAGACATAAAAAATGATTCCTGGGTAAAAGTGATTAGTGCTAATTGGAAGAGAGGTTTCTGAGAAACCTAATAAATCACGGCTGTCTTCCCCTCCTCTGGCTTTCTACATTAGGATGTTATCAAGGGTTTTTTTCTTCCCACCTCCCCCACCCCCTTTCCTTCTCCTCCACCTAATTCTGTCTTTATATTGCTATTTTTCTAGTCTGGTAGGCACAGTGCTGAACTGGAAAGACTCTGCCAAGACCCTTGGCAGGAGCTGGCCTCCAGGAATCCTGCCCACCGCAGCAGTGCAGAGAAGACAGGGCCTCTGGGCAGACAGGCAGGAGAGAGGGCCAGGTTTGGGGTCTGGCTAGAATGTTGGACAGAACAGGTTTCCCTGGCATCTGAACTGCCCTCCAGAGCTCAGCTTTCTCATGCCAGGGTCAGGATTACAATTGCTTGCTGGCACTTGCTGTCATTCTCCTGGGAAGGGAAGCGAGGGGGAGGAGGGAAAAAAAAAAAAAAAAGCAAGCCAGCACACCACACAGCGTTGGGCAAGCTCCACAGGGCACAGCCACGTGCCTGGAGCACACGGTCATGCAGGCAGGCAGCCAGGGTTGCCAGGGCTCACACGAGAGCTGGGGGACTGGGCACCCAGACAGTGGCTGTTTCCACATTGGCAAAACAGGAGTTGGTAACCCAGAAGCCATGCTGCGGGGTTAACATCAGGGAACCGATTCGTCCCAACCCAGAAGGAAGAGAAAGGTCAGGCTGTAAGTGTTGGACATGATGGGAAAGAAAAAAAATGCATGAAAGCATGTCCTATTTTTGCAGAGGGAAGGGGACTGGATAAATAAATCCCTAAATAGAAAACAGGGATTGGGAATCCAGTCATTCCTTTCTGTACCTCATGCCACTGACACCATAACAGCTGAATGCACCCAGTACTCGTGCAATACACACTGGCCAGACTTGTCACATGCGATCTTATTTAACCCTGCCAAAACCCCAAGGGAGAGGGACCATTTATAATTTCCATTGTATTGACGAGTAAACTGAGGCTTAAAGGGTTAAGAAATTGACACAAAGTTACACGGCAAGCCAGGGGTGGGTCCAGGATGTAAACCCAAGCCCCTGAGCCCAGAGCCTACAATCCTAACCACCAAGTTGCCTTGCTTTCCAGACATACCCAAAAATACCTTTTGCCACAGGCTTGGGACTACTATCCTGTGAATGTCAGCAAGCCTGTCCTCTACAGGGATCCGTGGAGAAGATAAACTCTACAAGAAACAGAAAAATGTCTACCTGTCTCCAGAACCATGCAGACTCCCTCCCCTTCAGGATCTCCTAGCCCCTGATGAATGAACAGCACTTCCAAGATGCTTGAGACACCGGGCACAGCTACTATCAGTCATGGCGCTCCCAACCTGCAGACATTATCAGTCTGCTGGACTGGAAAGATACACGAACTGCACGCCCTTAAGCGGAGCTTCACCTCATAATATTGGGAAAAGTAAGAGAATCCTCTGACCTTCCATAAACCCAGAATCACCTGCACAGAACTTCCCTCCATCATTACTCAGATTCCCAGGCCAGCGTTTTCCTTCCATACCCAAACCTTCTCACAAGGAAGGTCGGCAGAAACAGAATACAAACTCCATATTGCAAAGGTACAATGGGTTCTCCCCCACCCCCGCTCCTTTTGTGCCACCCACTTATGCCATCCTTTTCCCACACACAACCACATGGAAGGGTTTTCACTTTACTCTGTAACCAGCCTTCATCATAACCCAGTCTCCGTGCTCAGAACTAGAAAGACAGCCTTCTTAATTCTCAGCGGAATATGGGCCTAACAGTGGTAGGACACCCCCCAGCTATTCAAAGAAAAACCACCAGAGGAAATAATTTCAAATCTGGCTTTACAAGCATGTAATATAAAAATAACTCTGCCTTTGTCTGCTATAGATGACTTTCCCTAAAGGGATGGCTGTCCTTAAAGCAATCGCTCAATTCTCATGGCAAACAGATTCTTCTTTTTCCAGTACCCAGCACATATTCGTCCCTCCAGGAGAGCACCCCCACATCCCACCTCTGACAGTATCTAAAATGCAAACATTGAAGTCATCAGAATGACTCCTGTCATCTCTGCTGGCCTAGGAACATTCAGGACACTGCACCTTGGATGACCGAGGAGCCCCTGCAGTTAGCTCTGGCCTCCAAGAACCACTACTCTTCCCTTCATTAAGATGTCAGCCCAGAAAGCTTGGTGATCCCACAATAGCCACAACAGGTTTTAATGAATCCCTGGATTGTTTCTTGAAAGAAAACTGGATTTCTTCAGATATTTGATTCATTCTTTGATCAGACAGTTAGAGGAATAGGGATGGGGTGCTCAAGATAAGAAAGGGGTTGGGGCAGTCATGGTAAATAGTATGAGAATTCACAAAAATGGGCCAGGTTGTGGTGGCTCACGCCTGTAATCCCAGCACTTTGGGAGGCCGAGGGGGTGCGGATCACTTGAGGTCAAGAGTTTGAGACCAGCCTGGCCAACATGGTGAAACCCCGTCTCTACTAAAAATACAAAAATTAGCCGGGCATGGTGGTGAATGCCTGTAATCCCAGCTACTAGAGAGGCTGAAGCAGGAAAATAGCTTGGACCCCGGAGGTGGAGGTTGCAGCGAGCCAAGATTGTGTCACTGCACTCCAGCCTGGGTGATGGAGCTAGACTCCATCTCAAAAATAAATAAACAAATAAGTAAATAAATAAATAAATATTCACAAGAATGCTCACCTTGTCATTCCAAGACATCCTTGGGGTAGACCTAGAAATGCATACTTTATCAGCTCATGGTTTCATTGCCCTTCAACCAAACAAGAAGCACTAACACCACAACGGAGCATAGCTCAAAAGATGCATGCTGAGTGAATAGCCAAAAACAATTGTTTGGTAAACTACTCTGCAATTATCTCCTGATTAGCCTGATGGCTTAGTTTTATTAACTAAAGTGTATAATTATGCTCTTATTAATATTCTATTTCTTCTTGGCAACCCAATGTCCCCTGACCTTCTTAAAAGTTTTGCCATAAAGCATTGCAGGTAGTTTATCCATGCGTGTGACAGGGTCCTAAAGTAAGTCCAGATTTTGCTGTCCAAATTGAAGTTCTAGACCAGTGGTTCTCCACCGGGAGTGACTGTATTATGCCCAGGGGACATTTGGTAGTGACTGAAGACATTTTTACTTGTCACATCTGGGGCACTGGGGGTCCTACTTGCAACTAGGAGGTAGGGGCCGCGATGCTGCTAAGCATCCTATAAAGCGTAAGACACAAGATTTACCCAAGGCCGGGCGCGGTGGCTCACGCCTGTAATTCCAGCACTTTGGGAGGCCGAGGCGGGCGGATCACGAGGTCAGGCGATCGAGACCATCCCGGCTAAAACGGTGAAACCCCGTCTCTACTAAAAATACAAAAATTAGCCGGGCGTGGTGGCGCTACACGGGAGGCTGAGACAGGAGAATGGCGTGAACCCGGGAGGCGGAGCTTGCAGTGAGCTGAGATCGCGCCACTGCACTCCAGCCTGGGCGACAGAGCGAGACTCCGTCTCAAAAAAAAAAAAAAAAAAAAAAGATTTACCCAAAACATTAACAGTGCCAAGGTTGAGAAACACCAATCAAGACTGAAATTATACAGCTCCCAGAATGACCAAGGCTACATCTGTGCTCTTCCCTTCTGAGGACTTATTTTCCTCAAGATTAACTTGGTACTTCTATTCTGGTCACTCCTGTGAGCCACACAGAATAATCAAGAACTTTCTCCTTTTTCAGGTTTGCTTGCAATATCCATCCATCAGGCCAACATCTCTTAGAATTTTATTTTGCATCTTTATAATGATCAACAATCTATGAACAGCAGAGTGTTATTTTACCTGAGTTTGGTATTTGAAGACGAGGTTTAACTTTTTTCCTTTTCTATGAGGACTATCGAGTTTTCAACTCCAAGAAGGAAACTATGTTGAAGTGTGTTTCCATTATTTAAAATAAGACATTTAAATGGAGAACTTATTTCTAGACCCTCAGTGTTCCCTTTGATCCCAGTGTCTTTCCACCAGAACCTTACAAAATGACATCCCCTGAAACTCAGGAGTTCTTTGCTATGCATTGCAACTCTGATTGGGCATTCCAAGCCTTCTGAGAGTCACTGATCAATACTGACTCTAATGAGCTCTGACAAATGAGTTTTCAAGCTGCTTCAAATCCCAAAACCCCAATTTTTGACTCTCAGTAGGAACCAAGGTGTGAACACCCAATATGTGCAGGTCTCCTGGGAAAAAATATAGTATTCCTAACATGGTACACATCCTAAATTTGGTAGGGGACTAAGAAATACTTGTCAGTTGATTACAAGTGTTGGTCAAAATACCCCAATCCAGTAACTACTGGGCAAAATCTCCTGACATTTCTCTCCAGAGGAAGGGTTATATACAGTACCTAGTTACCTTACGAAGATATTTCAGAAGACAGGGATTGAAATAAGTAATAAAAGTTGACACATACAACAATGATCACAATTGCTTCCACAAATAGAAGACTCATTGCTAATCAGTTGACCCTTTATACGTATTATCTCTAATTTTCACAATAACTCAATCAAATAGAAATTGTATCCTTCTACAAAAAAGGAAACTGAGGCTCCAAGAAATGATGTTGCTTTCTAAGGTCACACAGCTACAAAGTGGTGATTCTCAGTCTACAGAGCACAATGACCGAGGCATAACTGTGTCTCTCACTGGGGCTCTGTTCCCTTCTCTCCTGGCTGTTTTCCCACTTTGAAGGGTTATTCATTTTGTTGCTTGTTCCTACAAAAAAATTGAAGATAGTGGTACCGCACATTCTAAGTAGCAGGGGATCAGGATCACATAAAGGCATGTTTTCCCAAGCTCCCACAGCCTCCAGGGGTGGCTGGAGGCTAAGAATTAATTCCATTCCAGCCAGTGGCCTTGAGTTATAATTCAAAGTGAATTTTGGAGAAGGGGCCAGCACACAGAGGTCTGAAAGGAGGAACTTCAATATGAATATATCGAGGCAGGGGTATTCTCTTCCTCCTTTACATCATTTCCTTCCATTTAAATCTTGCTCCATGTGCCACAGAAATTTCTACAAGAGTCGAGGACACGGAGTTCAGTAACAATCTCTAGCACAAGTTTCGCATTGTCCTGCTTTCTGTCTTCCCCCACAGCTAAGGCCCTCAGCTCTGTGACCTTCCGGATGATTTATCTGGCTGAATCTTTGTTCCTGGTTACCTGTGCACATGAAATCGTCTTTCTTCCTGTTCATTTGGTACTACAGGGTGCTAAAGGCATGAATTCAAAGCTCCTTCAATCTGTGTTTATATCTGAGCATTAGCAGTGGGTTTTGAAGTACTGGTCATTTCAGGTGATATTTTTGTGTACTATTTCAAGATCATTTACAGCTGACCTTGCAGCCTTGTGGGCTTTGATACAGGTGGACTGAGTGTGATAGACAGATGAAAATGAAAAAAAAAAAAAGATAAGAACAGTTGGGTTTATGGGAATAGCAACGAGAGAGATGGAGTCTGGTCCTGAAGAAGGCTCAGAAACACAATATGAGAGCCTGCTTTTAGATTCTACTTCTCAGCTAATGACAAAACAAGATGAAAAGGATGGAAAAAAAAATACCTGCCCCATATCCCTACTCACATTTTTTTTCCTTCAGGACAGACAAGAGTGAATATAGGTAAACCAAACCCTATTGAGAGTCTACCTGTTATCTACGTGTTTAGGGAATGAGGAAAAGAGATACAAGATGCGATGGAGGCTTAAATTATCCAAATCATTAACTGTAAGTTATTTCTTAAACTGCAGCCCTTGGATCAGCTGCATTAGAATCCCATGGGGGAGCTGGTTAAAATGCATATTCCTGGGCCCTCATTCCAGACTTGCAAAATCAGAATTTCTAGGGGTAGATACAAAGAGTCTGTATTTACCGGACTCTCCAGATGAGTGATATGGATGCTCATTAAAGTGGGAGAGCCTCTGCCAGGAGTGGAGCAGAAGAAGGTACCTCTCTTAGGATCTTTGCTAAAACCTGAGTGTTAAGATGTTTATGCTAACTCTACCTTGCCTGTCCCATTCACCCTCCTCCTCCCTTTCTGAAGGGAGAATCTTCAGGGCACTTACCTGGTCTGATGGGGCTCTGCATACAGTTCGGAGATGGGATGCCAGGGTGAAGGGGTGCAGAGGCCCGGCTGCTGAGGTCCATGACCGAGGGGGCAGCCGAGGAAGCTGGCTGCAGCCCAGGAGGGTGAGGGCTGTGGTCATGCTGAGATGGGCTGGGGGGAATGCCATTTTCTGACAAAAACTCCTCCAGGTCCATGTATTCCAACTGGAAAGTATCTCCGTCATAGGGAAGGGTTTTGTCCCATAAGGTAGGCCCCAGGAATGCCGACTGGGGGACCGTCGGGCTGTTACTCTCATCATCCAGCTTCTTTTCCTTGTCTTTATCTTTACTAAATGCTGCAGAAGAAGGGAAAGCTGGACTTAAAAAAAAAGAAAGAAAAGAAAAACAATACCGCTCTTTTATCACTTTTCCTGGCCTGTTATAAGACTATTTCTCACGAATGGCAGGGTCCTTCTCTGGCTGCTGTCTTTTGTAGATCTAGAGTTAAAAGTTCAGGCAGGACGTGGATCTCTGCCTGTTTTTCAACATCTTCCTATTTACTTTGGAAAGAAGGCACTAGTCCTTGGGGCAGGGCTACAGGCTGATCTAGGATAAAAACCAGAGAACAGTCTCAGCACATTATTTGAGAAGAGTAATAACTTAAACCTAAAATAGGAATATAACATCTGTGATTATATACAACTGCTGTCATTTTTAAGAAAACAACAGCCAATAACCAGGCTTGAATTATCTTCCAGGAAT
Source organism: Homo sapiens (assembly GCF_000001405.40). Taxonomy (NCBI): domain Eukaryota; kingdom Metazoa; phylum Chordata; class Mammalia; order Primates; family Hominidae; genus Homo; species Homo sapiens. The sequence goes on along the minus strand of NC_000017.11, from coordinate 55,267,344 downwards.
TCATCACAGCAGCAATAGGAGGTCATTCAGACTTACAAAGCCAGTGAGTTAGTGGTCTTAATTTTGGTAAAGCAGGGACCTTCCACCCTTCTTTAACATCATGTTTAGAGTACCTACTGGATACCTGGTTCTTTCCATATATTATCTCAAAAATCTCACAATAAACTTGCAAAATAACAATTACCTCCATTTACAACAAAGACTCGGAGGCTCTGAGACTTGAGGGAACTTGACCAATGCCTCATGTTGGCAGAGAATGAGAACTTTCTGAGCTCACATGTGTTTGCTTCTAAAGCCACTGGGGCACACTGATTTTTACAAAAGGAGTTTAAAAAAATACAAAGTGTTTTCTTCCTTCTCTTCTCCAAACATTTGAGTATGATCCAATTTACAAAGAGTATGCATTTACAAAACCTTTCAAAAGCAGAGCTATTGGAAAAGGTGAGTTATTCTATACATTTATGTTGGAAGTATGCAGCTATTTGCTACCTGGAAGTACTGCTCGCCCATTAGGTCTTTAACAAGCATTCCGGATCTTGCCAATTCTAGTATTCAGTCGTGGGTGGAATCTGGGATTAAGGAATTTGCTTCTGAGTTTCATCTTCAGAGAAACACAGCCTCCACTGCCATCCATTCTAACCCTCTACCATCTCATCTGAAAATCTGACTTAAAACACCCACAGATGCAAAAGCCTGCAGGCAGCCCCTTCCTCCCAAATGCTCTTCCTTAAAGGATAGTTAGGGAGGGGTCCCTGGCTATCATCTGCAGATTGCAAACTCTTGCAATGCAACAGGTTGTCCTCTCCTAGAAAAGAAGGTGCAAGTACTCCCAAGCTATTTGTAGCCAAATAACCTTTCAGAACTTTACACTGTGAGCCGCACGGTTCGCATTTGCTACTGTGATACCGAAGGCATGAAATCGCATCAACCCAAATCCGTGGCATCACTTAGCCGGGTTTGGGGCCTCATCACACGTACCCCTCCTCTACTGCTAAGGCCAAGGTTGTCTTGGGAAGGTTTGGGACTTACCAAGAAAGGGCTCAAGCCAGAGGAGGCTCCTGCGCGGTTACACGTGAGCCTGCTCCGCTCTCCCCTCCCACCAGAAAAAGTGCACCGGGAAAGTGTCAACGCTGGAGGCGTGCACGGCTTCCCGCCGAGAGACCACTCCCCCCACCGGCCCCAGCCCCCACCCCGCTTTCTCAGCTACCCTTCACCAGAAGAAAACGAGTCTTCTCTCACACCTCGTGAGTTCCAAATACTAACCAGTAACAGAAGCTGTAACACAACCCCAAAACCCAGGCTACGCAGTGAAACCCCCTCCCTCAAGCCGACCCCCGCCCCCTGCCCCGCACAGAACCAGGCCCCAGGGTTTCTCCTCCCCAGCCCGGGAGGCTCTGCCCTCCGCAGGCGGGCTCGCTCTGCGTGCGGGTGTGCCTCGTTCTAGGGAACGATCCTGACCTGTCAAGTTACACCTCCCACCCGCGCCGCAGGAGCGGGACCCAGGGAGGCCGGGTGCCCGAAGCTCTTTTAAATGTAGCTCAGGAGGGGTCCCTCCCCTTTCATGGAGGAGGAGGAAGGGGAGGAAGGGTGCTGGGTGAGCTCCTCAATTTCATCAGCGCGGGGCCGGGGCGCCGCGGGACAGGGCGGGAGCGGGGTTGGGGGATGCTCCAGCGGGCGTGCCCGGCCGCGGAGGGGGACCCCCGGAGCGTCGTCCCTTCCCGGAGCGGGGCCGCGGCAGCGCTCACCGTCTTCGTGGTGAAGGGGGAGCTTCAGCGGGTTCTCCAGCAGGGACCTGAGCACGCCGTAGGGAGGCGGGATAAAGGTGGGATTCAGGGGGAGCGGTCGGGACATTTTCTCCATCGCGATGCACTCAAATTTTTTCCCCTTAAAAAAAGAAATAAGAAAGAAACAACCGCCCCCTAAAATGTTGCTGAGCTTTTCCTCCGTCCTTTGCCAAAAGTACTCGCTCTCAAGGCGGTGGAGAAAAGGGAAGAAAAAAATTACTTATATCTTTATAAATACATCTGCATAAAAATATATATTAAAAAAAAACTTTCGGGTTTCCAGTGCAGACGGTCCCAGGAGAGCGCGCCAAGTGCCCGCGGGCTCCCCGGCGACGTGCAGGATGCTCTCACCTGCCTCGAACCCCTCGTTTTGCAAAATGTTCAAAATTGAAAAAAAGAAAGAAAAAAAAATGTCGACGGCTGCAGAAGGGCAGAAGACACCGCGCCGACCCCAGCCCCTAGTGCCAGCACCGGAGGCGGTGCGCCGTCCCACCCCACCCCCCTCCCCGCGCCGGCGGCCGCTGCTCCCCAGCGCTCCGCGGCCCCGCAGCGCCGGGCTCAGCGCATCCGGCCGCCCATGTGCCGCGGCCCTGACAAGAGTGACGTCAGGGCCCGCACCTCGCGCCCATAGGCGTGCGGGGGCGGGGCCACGCGCGGCACCGCCCGCCTGGCCCGCTCGCCCCGCCGCCGCGTGTTTAGCGTCGCCGCTCGCGCCGATTTTCGGGGACCTTGCAGCACTGGCTGGTTGCAGGGGAGCAGGTGCCAGATTCCCTGGGCCATCAACTTAGGCTTAGATTTTTTTTTTTTTTTTTGGTCTGGGTGGGAAGAGGAATGAGAAATTTATATCCATAGTTTTCAAGCTGGGAATAACCTGAGGAGTTTTAAAAAAATCGCGATACCCAGGCCGCATCCCAGATCAATTAGATCAGAACCTCTGCGGTGCTATCAGGGCGTCCATAATTTTTAAAGCTCCCCAGGTGGTTCCAAAGAGTAGCCAAGTTTGAGATGATTGGTTTAGATCGGATGGAAGGTAACGACCCTTCTCAATATTTCTCCTGGCCCCGGCCAAGCTTAGCGTCTTCTTTCTTGCCCAGTTTCCACCACCACCAAAAAATAACTACTTCCTATAAGTCCGAATGGGATGCAAAAAGCAGAGCGGGAAGCGGAGGACTGAGCTGCTGGGCACTGTTTCCCACGCTGCAGAGAGGTGTTAACGGTGGGGGGAGAGGGGGGGTAGACATTTGCCTGAAACGGAAAGAGGCGGGAGAGACACAGACACACTGAACGGGATTTTAGGAATATTTACTCTGGGTGAATACAGGTGATTGCGCTTGGGTCAAGTTATTAGGTTTGCACGGTGATTAAAATAATTTTGTAAAGTATCCCCTAAGGGGGCTTCGGCTTTCCTTGCTGTTACAGCAGCTGCAGCGTCTCCCTCTGCCAGTTTGACCTCGTGGCACCCACGGTCCCCGAGATCTGCGTGCGACCCCCTGTGTGATAACTCCCTTCCCGCCTGGGGTGGTGCGGGCGCTGGCGTGCAGCCGCGACGCCCCCTGCAGAGCTCCGCGGGGGGCCAGGCAGGTTCTTCCCCTCCCTCCTTACCTCTCCTTACTAAGACCCTAGTCTTCGATCTGGGGAAGGGGCTGCAAGAACGAATGGGCACAAATGAAAGAAAACCGTTTTTCAGTGGGACGTAAAGGCCTTTGTGACCCCAGGCTGAGTCGCTGGGGAAGGATGTGGTGGTGTCTTGATGGGGTTTACTTCCCCAGGAGAGGGTTGTAAGAGAGGAGGCGCCTGAAACCCCAGAGATCAGGAGCGGCGGCGCAGCGGGGTTCAGAGTTCCCTGGCAGGGTGATTCCGGCAAGTGCCTTTCTGCCCTGAGCTGTAGGTTCTTCATAAAAGGACACGTAATCTAGTGACCTCTACTTCCTCACTCTAAAATTATGGCAAAAGGGTAAGGCAACATTCTAAGTGAGATGTTGTTGCAGTGTTTCAGGTTTCAGACGAATTCCAGAAACAGCAAACTTTTAGTTAATGCCACATGCATTTATTGAGCACCACGGTATGTATGCCAGCGACTATGCGGGGGCTAGTGAAAAAAGATGAATAAAACATAATTTTAACCTTCAAGAACTCATCGTTTAGGGTTTGGCATATAAGCAAATAATATAAAATAGGCTTAAAAGAACAAAAATGGATAGATGGAGGTGACAGGGGCACTTACATTATTAGGAAAGGGATTCTAGAGAAGGTGCCTGAGCTGGGCGTGGAGGTAATAGTCTCTCGTGAACGGTCTGAATCCATCAATTATATTATATTGTTTTTTTAAAAAATAAAAAAGGGACCTCATCTCCGCTATCCTTTTGGAGACAGAGGCTATTTCCCTGTCTTGAGTTCCTTACATCCCTGTAAGTCCATAAACTGGCAGGACTGAGAGCATCCTCTCAGCCTGGTTAGAAATCTGTTAGATTGCAGATTCCAGGTGCATGAAAGATGCGTTACCTAAGCTTTGTGTAACAGTCCACTGACATTACTCAGCACGCCCAAAGTGCTCCACCTGCTCATGATTCTCCGCATGTCCTCACTTCCCCATGTTTCCAGACATGAAACTCTTACCAGGTCAAGTAATCTGGTTTCCCAGGGTAATCTTCTCCTTACCACCTGACAGAACCAAATACTGTGGCTTGGAAATTGCATTTCTCATTGCAAGTGGATAAACTGGCGTTCTGGTTGATCAAGCAGTTTCTTGGGAATTTGGTTCATTTAATTTAATTTCCCTGAGCCTGATCAACATGTCACGGACCAGATTGAGGACCAGCCCCTTAGACCATGGTGACTCCCTCTCACTTCTCTCCATCCTTCTCTAACTTCAAAGGTATTTCTTAGAGCCTCAAAAATTATAAGCATTGGCTAATCTTCAATCTAGCCCCATTCCTTAACAAGATAAATGAAATTGGTACATCTTTTCTACTCTGGCCATTTGTAAATGTTATTTTCTTTTATTTTTTTAACAAACCATGAACATCTTTCTTTCTCTTTCTCTCTCTCTCTTCCCCAGAAGCAGTTGTGGATGGCTGCTCAAGAGGAAGGAGAGGGATAGAAGAAACCAAAGGTTATATTGGTTGGGTAGTAAGACCCTCTGAATTCCACAGGTTAATTCTCAAATGGACATATCCCTAATGAGCACTAACCCCAATCTGCACATATGCCCAGAGATAACTGCCGCTCACAAGTGCTTAGCACTTGTCCACTTACAGAGCCCTTCCATATGTGTCATATCACATACTTCTGACAATTCCATGAGGAAAGCAATGATGCTGATTATTGATTGCTGTGTAACAGATCACTCCAAAACCTAGTGGCTTAAAACAACAATCATTTTATTATTTCTCATTATTCTGCAATCTAGGTTAGGCTCAGCTGGGATACTGGGCTGGCTGGCCTTCTCTTTCTCTTTACATGGCCTCCTTACACCATAGATTCATTTTGCTTGTTTTATAATTTCATACAAGTGAAATCATACTGTATATACTCTCTTGTGTGTAGCTTCTTTCACTCTGCACAGTATTTTAGACATTCACCAATGTTGCATATAGTTCATTTCTTTATATTAGTGAGTAGTATTCCGCTCTATGAATATACAAAAGTTTATCTGTTGTATTGGTGGACATTTGGGTTGTTTCCAGTTTTTAGGCATGAATAAAATGTTTATGAGAATTCTTGTCTGAGTTCTTTTGTGAACACATGCTTTCCTTTCTCTTGGATAAACAAATAGGAGTAGGATTACTGGATCATAGAAAAGATGTGTGTTTTACTTTAGAAGAAGCTCTTCTATAGTCTTCTGAAGCAGGTAAATTGTCCTGCATTTCCAGCAGCAGTATATGAGAGTTCTGGTTGTTCTAGCGCCTCACCAATATTTAGTGGTGTCAGTTTCTCTTAAAACTTGTAGCCATTCTAGTGGGTGGATAGTCAGTTCTCAATGGACCTTTCATCTGAATTTTCCTGATGAAAAATGATGGCATGTGCTACTTCATGTGCTTCTTAGTAGCTTGTACATCTTCCTGTTCAAGTCTCTTGCCCATTTTTGAATTTGGTTATCTTTTGATTACTGAATTTTAGGAGTTCTTTTATATACTTTGGATAGTCTCTTTGTCAGATGTTTGTGTGTTGTGAATATTTTCTTCCAATCTGTGGCTTGCTGATTAGTTTTTATAATAACGTCTTTCCATGAGCAGTTTTTAATTTTGACAAAGTTCAATTTATCAATTTGTTTTTCATGATTATTGCTTGCTATGAACTAGGAAACTTTTGACTACTCCTGAGTTCTGGAGATATTCTCCTATACTTTCCTTTATAACTTTCATAGTTTAAGCTTTTTCATTTAGCCTTATGACCCATTTCAAATTAATTTTTGTGTATACTATGAGGTAAGGATTAAGGTTGGTTTTACTCATGGGGATATCCAATTGTTTTAGACTTTCATTTCCCCCTTGAATTGTTTGTTGTTGTTGTTTGTTTTGTTTTGTTTTGAGATGGAGTCTCGCTCTTGTTGCCCAGACTGGAGTGCAATGGCGTGATCTCAGCTCACCGCAACCTCCGCCTCCTAGGTTCAAGCAATTCTCCTGCCTCAGCCTCCTGAGTAGCTGGGATTACAGGCACCAGCCGCCACATCCGGCAATTTTTATTAGTATTTTTAGTAGCGATGGGGTATTAGTATTTAGTATTAATATTTTTAGTAGCGACGGGGTTCTCCATGTTGGCCAGGCTGGTCTCGAACTCCCGACCTCAGGTGATCCGTGGACCTTGGCTTCCCAGAGTGCTGGGATTACAGGCGTGAGCCACCGCGCCCGGCCCCCCCTTGAATTCTTTTGATGTTATTGCTGACAATTATTTGACTGTGTATTTGTGGGTGACCCAAACTTTTGATCCCGAGGAAAAATGGGTATTTTATCACTAAGGACAGAATAATGCTATTTCTATGTTCTTTCTAAGTTTCCTGGGATCTGATTCATATCCAGCAACAGAAAAAAGTTCACCAAAGTTTACGGCTAAAATGAATGCCTCACTTTCAGTGGCTCATTCAGTTTGTTGACAAGACCTCTACAAAGTTGTCCACATTAAGTTAGATAAGAGCCAAAAGCAGAGGCATTATCCAATTTGCTTTTTTGTGTATGAGCAAATAATTAAGCCTATTGGATGTCTTTGGTTACAACTAGTAATGCCTCAGTGCTCCTGTCTTAACCTGCATGTGCTTAAACAGTAAGTCAAAACTAAACCTCTTTGTTAGAGAAATTCGAACAAACAAATACTAGATAAAGAACATTTGACAAGCCACTGAAAAACCCTTCAGTTGGCCCTTCAAGGAGAAAGGAATAGCAGAAGCTCTGGAGGTTTAAAACTGTCCTAAAAATAGGAATGACCATAGAAGAAACGTTCCCCAGAATCAACTTCTTAAAGGATGCCAGCACAGCTCTCCTCTGAAGTTCTGGAAATCAGCCTTTTGCCCAGCCAGTGGTTGCCACCTGTCCTGTCATTTCAGAGGTTTTGATAGTGAGATTGGGTGGGGAGTCCTTTGTGCAGCCCGGTGGGGGCAGACGTGAGGCAGCCATTTTGGCACCAGCCTTGCAGGTCTGCAGAGAGAACTTTGCAGTGTAAGCAGTGTTTATGTTTCAGATTCCCAGTGGGTGTGAAGCCTTGTTGAGCACACAATGCCTGCCACTGTAGCCTACTTGGGGCTAGGAGCCTGGGGTGGATGGAGACGAGCACTGTGGTTATGAAGGGCTTTATAGTCTAGTGAGCCAAACCTCTGGATGAACCTGTTTATCTCGTTGTCAGAAAGGGTACTTTATCCAGGGAATTAATTCAGAAGTGAAAGGCATCACGTGGGAGTTAGGCTAGATATGCCTAACCCAGGCTTCTTCCTTCTCTCCTTCCTGAAACCTCTAACTCAGCTAAAGCACCAAAAAGGAAAATTATATCTAATTAGCTTAACTACTGGAGACCCTCAAATCTCTTCACTTGGTGTAGGATCATGGAAACCAAAACAATAAAACATTTGTTGGGAATGCCAAGCCCTCCTCTGAGACTGACTTATGTAAAGGAGCATGAGTCCTTCCCTGTGCTTTCCTTGAGGCTTCCCCGTCCTTTCCCTGAGCCCTGTATTGTTTGGGTAAATGAGTGGGAAAGACTAAGACAGGTAGATCGGTAGAAGAGGTACTAAATCAGGCATGTGTCTGTATGTGTGTTTCAAATCAGAGGATGGTAGGATTTCTATACATGTGATAGGAAGGAGGATGAAAGAAAACTGTATAAAAGAGAAAGAAAAAATACGCGTGGCAAAAGGAGAAGAAAAAAAAATCAGTGCAGTGTGTTGCATAGAATGAACGCAGGATTTGGGGCCAGATATACATTGACACCTGCCACTATTACTACTTCTACTACTACAACAAATGCCAACAACAGCATGAAGAAGGCATAAATTATTGTGTGTTTAACTGTGTTCTGGAGCAACATTAGACCTGTTAAATATATTATCTTATGTATTACTTGGGACAATGATATAGGGTATATTTCATTATTCCCATTTTTCAGATGAGGACAGTGAGGCCCAGAGAAATTAGTGACTTGTCATGATCCTATGGCTAGCTAATACATGGAGAAGCTATGAGTTGAAAACAGGTCTGCTTGACTCCAGTGCTTGCACTCTTAACCTTGCTCCAGTAAATGAAGGACAAACATTCATTCAATAAGCTTACACCGTTTGTAACTGGTTCAAATCCTGCTTCTGTCCCGTGACCTTGGATAACCTCTCTGATCTCAAGTTTCTTTGTGTGAAATATAAACTAATGCCTGTGCTTCCCAGCTTGCAGAGTTGCTAGGAGGATTAAATGAGATAACTCATGTGGAGGTGCTTGGTACATTGTGAAGCGCTAAACAAATGTGAGGGCTTGCTATTTGGGGCTTTTTTGCATTTTCTGGTTTCTCTGCTCCTTTGCAGAGATGCTCCCACTTATGAATCTGCAAAACTGTTGATGTAGTCCATGATATTAGAAGCTACTTTTCATCCAAACACACATCCTTTTTTCTTCTCACCATTTTCTCTCACCAGGGGCAGCTACATTCTATTGCTCCCAGTCTCCAAAAGGGGAATTGAACAATGAGAACACATGGACACAGGAAGGGGAACATCACACACCGGGGCCTGTTGCGGGGTGGGGGGAGGGGGGAGGGATAGCATTTGGAGATATACCTAATGTTAAATGACGAGTTACTGGGTGCAGCACACCAACATGGCACATGTATACATATGTAACTAACCTGCACGTTGTGCACATGTACCCTAAAACTTAAAGTATAATTTAAAAAAAACCAAAAAACACAAGTTTGAAGTTCAATAAAAAAAATCAAATATAGCAGATTCCAAATAGCCACTCAGCCAGAGTCAGGAAAGAATAGATATTTCCTATATCTTCATAAAGGGTGAAGGAATAGAAGTTTGTGGATTAACTAACACTTTAAAATTATTTCAAGTCTAGTAAATGCAACTGAAGGTAGAGACAGTTGAGCTGTAGAGGCAGAAAATCACCATGACTCAGAATCTAGTCTTTAATTTGCTTAGGATCCAATGTCAATTAGGCTGAGTGAAACTGACTGACATCAACCACATTCTAAAATATAACTTGAAAATCAAAATTAAAAATTATATATAATTTCTAAGCTGCACTTCAGGCTCTTTTATGTGCATGGGAAATATAAGACCAGGTATCCTCAGGTGATCAGAGTTTATTTTTAAGCTAAGCAAGTGGAGAGCAAGACCACAAAACCATGCTGAGGGTATATGCATGCTCTGGTGGACCAAGTATTTTCATGACCAATGCATCCTGAAAACCTGGGGAGAACTTGAACAATGGCCTGTCATCATGTAGGGCATCAGGACCAACTTCCCTCCCTTTATTGTGTCTTAATCCCAAAACAAAGGTTCTGATTCATAGACATTGTCACCATTTTCTTTGAAGTTTCTGCATTGGGTGGAGTCTCACAGGAGCCATCTCATAAGTGATTGGCTAACCTTATACCTGTAAATGAGTATCTTTGTTGGAACATTGGTAATTGATCCAATTATAGAGCCCAAGGCAACTGGTTTGACTCAGACACTGGCATGTACCATGTGCAACCAGATTAGCCCGGCATAGCTTTCCTTTAAAAAGGAGGTCTTTCTAAGGAGCATGCCAGGCGTGTTGAACTTCAAGCAATACTTAAAAATTTGTGTCAGCTGGACAATGTGTTCCCTGCCCTGTAGGGATACTCTCCATGGGAGCTTTCTTGCTGAGCGTGGAATCAGAGCAAGGGGAGTGAATCGCATGACTTTAATGACATCAGGCAGTGCCAGCCGGGTGCGCATAGCCTTGCCGAGTACTTCTTTCCAATTGAGCATGTGGATGTGAATGTTTCCATCCCAGGGACTTGCAGCCAGGGTGAGAGAAGCAGGAGGAAGCATCCTGAAGGGTCTTGCTTGGCCCGCTGTGGTTTTAGATCTTACACATCAATAGACACATTCTAGGGTTACTTTCTTCCTACTTATTATTGCCTCAAAGGCATTGCATCTGCTGGTCTTTGTACAGCACTGGAGGCAGCATTCCTGACTCTTTCGACTTCACTTTTACTAGGTTCCAAGCACACCATTCCCCATCTGTTAATGCATTTTTGGTGTCAGGCAGGGAACATTAAGATTGATGAGCTTTCAGCAGGTCTGCTTTCCTGAGACGACAACTTAGTCCTCTGCTCCTCAATGCACACAACACTGATGGGAGGGCTTTCTTAGGCCAGGCACTGTGCTGGGCACTGAGGACTAAAGCAAGGAGGAGAAATATGGTCACAAAGGCCTTACAGTCAGGTGGGGATATAGCAACTTAACCAAATACCTATCTCAGTGTGATAGGTATCATTGATAAATAAGGAAAAAGGGAGTATGAGTGGGAAAGTGATTAACTCTGTCCGAAGGGCTCAAAGAAGTCTTTATAGATGAGCTTCAAGTAAGGTTCTGTAGACAGAATAAGAGTACATCAGGGAGGCAGGGAGTGGGCGAGGAATGCCAGTACGGTCTACACAGGCAGGAATACCACAGTCTGAATACAAGCTGTCCAGTTTTCTGGAATGCAAAGCTTACTAGAGGAAGAATGCCACTGATTATTGTAACAGTAAGAACTATTATTTGCTGACTACTGACTGGGCTAGGCACTGTGCTAAATTCTTTGCATGCATCATGGTAACCCATCTTTAAAACAACCCTAGGAAACAGGTACTACTATTTCTTACTGATGAAAATTCTTTCCTATGTCATAAACCCAAGTCGAACTGGCTTAGGCAAATGCAGGAGTTTTGAAAGCCTTTTCAGTCTCTTCCTTCTCTTTTTGTGTTGTTTTTATTCTCTGCAAACTTAACCTCTACCACACACTGGAGCATGTGACTTCCAGTAGCTCAGGAGTTTTACATATTTGCCTTTCCTCCACCAGAGAGGGACTAATTTTCTTTCTCAGTTTTAGTTTAAAAAATCCCAGAGAGGCCAGGCACGGTGACTGACACCTGTAATCCCAGCACTTTGGGAGGCCGAAGTGGGCAGATCACTTGAGGCCCAGTTTGAGACCAGTCTGGCCAACATGGCAAACTCCTGTCTCTACTGAAAATACCAAAATTATCCAACTGTAATGGTTCGCACCTGTAATCCCAGCTACTCAGGAGGCTAAGGCACGAGAATCGCTTGAACCTGGGAGGCGGAGGTTGCAGTGAGCCAAGATTGCACCACTGCACTTCAGCCTAGGAGAAAAAAAATTCTCAGAGAAGAGTTTAGATAGGCCCAGCTTAGATCAGCTGTCTATTCTTGGATTAATTAGTAATGGGGCTGTTAAGAACATGACCATTCCAACTGGCACTGATGGTTAGAGGGAAAGGAGGAGCAATTTCCAAGAGGAACGAACCCCAGGCAGACAGAAGTACATATGCCCACTGAATTCTTCATTTTGTAGATGAGGATATTGAAGCTTTGAGAGGTTGAGTAACATGTTGAGGTCACACAGCTAGTAAGGAGCAGAAACTAAAATTCAGTCTAAGTCTATCTCAGTGGTTCTCAAAAAGGAGCTCTGGAACAAGACCACTGGAGCTCAATGCTGGTTCCACCATGAATTAGCTGGGTGGGTGACTTTGGGTAAGTCACTGAGCTTCTGGGTGCTTCAGTTTTCCCAACTGTGAAGTGAGCAGAATAATTGTACCAAGCTCACAGATGAGGATTAGATGCATTAATACCTAGGGAAAACTTAGACTAGTGCCTGGCACAAAGGACAAGCTCAATAAATATGAGTTGGCGTGCTCTCATGCTTCATGCTAGCTTTCCTGTCCTGGTCAGATGAATGGCTGTTTCAATCTTCAGGGCTCCGCTCAGCTGCCTTCCTTGGTGAAATCTTCCTGATGCCCCCAGAAAAAGTTAGTCCTCCTTTGTGCTCTCAGGAGCACAAAGCAAAACACTTTTGCTTTCATGTCCATCTCCCTGACTGCTCCTCAAGGGTGTGGTTCTTTCTTCTTGACATGTGTCCTTCCACCAAACAGTATACCCACTACATAGAAGACATTCAGTAACTGTTTGAAGGCTTAAATATACAGATTTCACTGGGGCAACACCAACATGGTGGGTCATTGAAAGGTGGGTCATCTAAACTGATCAGTTTGCCAAGCATTGTTTTTTCCAACTCTCACATTTCAACTCTTCTTATTTGCCTGCCCCTGAAGGAGTGAAAAATATCGTTTACAGAGTTCAGTAATGTGGTCCTTCCTCCTTTGCTGTCAGCTTTTATCCAAATCTGAATGTTGGTCGTGTTTGTTATCAGCGCTTCCCATAGTCTCCATTACCTCCCCAGCTTGGGTTTCTGTTTACCTACTGTGACTTAACCCTGACCATTCAGCTCTCCTTCCTTATTAGTTTCTGCACACCCTGAGTCAGAATAACTTCCTGTCCAAGTGGGACCTACTGTCGTGTTTGTAGGCTTGTGGGTCCAGTTGCTACTCAGTCAGTGCTTAAGTAGTTACAAGCCGCCGAAAACTAGTAATCTGGGTATCTCATACCATTGCCTAACCATTCTGGTTCTTTGTTAAGAAGATGGCAGGCAGCCCATGGGATTTTCTTTCTTTCTTTTGCTTTTTTTTTTTTTTTTGGAGATGGAGTTTCATTCTTATTGCCCAGCCTGGAGTCCAGTGGCGCGATCTTGGCTCACGGCAACCTCCGCCTCCTGGGTTCAATTGATTATCCTGCCTCAGTCTCCCGAGTAGCTGGGATTACAGGCATGTGCCATCACGCCCAGCCAATTTTGGTATTTTTAGTAGAGACGGGGTTTCTTCATGTTGGTGAGGCTGGTCTCGAACTCCCAACCTCAGGTGATCCTCCTGCCTTGGCCTCCCAAAGTGCTGGGATTACAGGCATGAGCCACCGTGCCTGGCCTGGATTTTCTTTTTTTTATTAAAAAAAACATAAACCTTACAATTCAGGATCATTTCAGCACTGAAAGACAAAAGCCACACTCAGTTGTTCTTCATCAGTAGCTGTCAAACTTTATAATACCACAGTTTAGAGGAGCTGGTTAGAATGCAGATTCTTGGTCCTGCGGCTAAAGATTCCTGTTGAATAGTCTGGAATGGAGTTGAAGTATCTGCCTTTTTAACAAGGTGGGTAGTTTTCTATGGCTGCCCTAACAAATTACCATAAACTCAGTGTCTGAAAACAACAGAAACTTTTCTGTCACAGTTCTGGAGGCCAGAAGTCTGAAGTTGAAGTGTAAGCAAGGCCACGCTCCCTCCAAAGGCACCAGGGCAGAATCCTCCCTTGCCTCTTCCAGCTTCTGTTGGCCCCAGGCATTCTTTGGCTTGTGGCTGCATCACTGCAGTCTCTGCACATGGCCCTTTTCTCTGTGTCTGTGTGTCTGAAATATCCCTCTCCTTTCTCTTATGGAAGAACACCAGTCACTGGATTTATGGTACACCCTAAATACAAGATGATTTCATCTTGACATCCTTAACTTAATTACAGCTACAAAGATCCTATTTCCAAATAAGGTCACATTCATAGGTACTAGGGGTTAGGATTTGGACATATCTTTTTGAAGGGACAGAACCCACTACAAAAGGTTATTCCGACATATTATGCGGTTCTGTTATCATACTGCAAAAACACTGTCCTAGTTTCTAGATGAGTATTAGAGCTTATCCTGACTAGTTATCATGCAATCTAGACAGTTCTACAGTTGAGTACTAGTCAGTTGAAAAAATTAGAAATGGACCAGGCCTGGTGCCTCATGCCTGTAATCCTAGCACTTCGGGAGGCCGAGGCGGATGGATCACTGGAGCTCAAGAGTTTGAGACCAGCCTGGGCAATATGGTGAAACCCCGTCTCTACAAAAAAAAATTAGCCAAGCGTGGTGGCTTGCACCTGTACACCCAGTTAGTTGGGGGGCTGAGGCAAGAGGATTGCTTGAGCCCAGGAGGTGGAGGTTGCAGTGAGCCGAGATCACACCACTGCACTCCAGCCTGAGTGACAGAGTGAAACCCTGTCTCAAAAAAAAAAAAAGAAAGAAAGAAAAGAGAGAATGCTTTCCCCTGGCGCATCTTCCTGCCACTGCTTGCTGAGTTGGTTGGTAGGGAGGGCAGGGGAGGAAAACCAGAGGGGCTAGCTTCTTTCCTCTGCTCCATGTTTCTCCCTCTCTCCCTGGCTCTCTCTCTCTCTGTCTCTCAACTCCCCCACCTGCCTCTGCTCTGAAGTGCATGGTCTTTTCCTCTCCAGCTACCACTTTTAGAGACTTTGGCTGTAAAAGCAAAATTCTAGACTCAGACATTGCCTCTTAGTCAATTGCACTGAGTTTGAATGAGTCTGAAACATAAATATCAAATATATGAATGGATAAACACACACACAAGAATGGAAATATTTTCTCTTCTTTTAATTCATTCAGGATTTTGTATATTGCACCTTGAAAAAAATCAACCCCTTTATCTCCTATAATCCTCATCCTGGTTTTCCCCACCCAATATTTTATCAGTATAATTTTACCATCGAGATAAGCTTCCTCCTCTTTCTCTTCCTGTGTGTTTAGTCACCTTTCCCATCCTCTTTCAAACCAAAGAAGGCTTTGAAACCAAGGACCTACAATAATACTGTTCTTTCTGCAAAAGGCATCTTAATATCATGGCTGCAATCTGCCTTGTCTACAAGAGCCTCATCTCCTTTACCATATGTTCATTTCCTGAACACCTAATCCTCCAACGATCAGTTACAAATCCTGTAGCCAGTGCCCCCTCCTAAGACCAGATATAGTTCACCTTTCATGCAGTCCTCAGTCTTTTCTCCTCCAAAGTGATACCAGGTCCTATAACCCTTCCCAGAAGCTATGACTCCTCTTTGACATCAGAAATCTGGTCCATTTGCCTTGGGTTCCAGCCCAAATCTGTCCCTCCCCCTGCTAACTGCATTATCAGGTATTTTCCTGTAGCGGAATCTAGCTAAATGTACCTCTTGACTGGGGTCCACCTCTTTCATTTTTGTAGCCCTGCTATTCGTTTTACCCTCAGTGAATCCACTTCACACAACACGGCTGATGAATCCCACAAATGTAATGTGGAGAGGGTCAAAGAAATCAGATGTAAAAGGGTATGTGCTTGCATATAAATATCCTATGATTATGAGTATGATTAGCAGCCATCATACTCTTGAGGGTGGGTGGGGGCCTGATAAATGTTTAACGACTGGCTCTCCTCTGAGCAAGAAAGCCATGCTGGCTAATGTCCATGGTGTAAATACTCCTAACCATTGCCAATTTCAACCTACTAACATGACATCACTTAACATGGAGTAGGAGAAGTGTGTGCTATAGCATAGCATTATGTGATATTTCTACTAGACAGATACAATAGATAAATAACCTCAAGAGCATAAATAAGTGTATAACATAGTGAAATAAATAGGAAGTAATGAATTTTGAATATTTATTACCTATTACTGTGTGCCAAATGATCTTTCTAGCATCTCACTCTCCTACAAATGTAAAGCCCCAACAGGTAATGTCACCTGAGAACACAGGACTAAAATGACTGCAAATATCCAATGATACTCTCGATTTCCACCATCTTTGAAGACTCCTAATCTAGTCCATATTTATTTATCTTTTCAACAAATGCTTACTGAGCATGTTTCAGGCACTTTTTTCTCTTTGGTAGTTTTATTGAGGTATAATTGACATACAATAAACTATACATGATAAAGTATACAATTTGATAAATTTTGACATCTGTGTACACCCATGAAGCCATTACTATAACCAAGATAATGACCATATCTATGATAACTGGCACTCAAAAGCCATAGGAGCTAGCTTCAGCACAGGACTGGGTTGGGTAAGTGAACGGAATGGAATATGATCAGAGATGCTGGAGTTGGGATAATGTTCTATTTCTTGATCTCCGTGATGGTTAAATAGGGATTTCTGCATGGTTAAAATGTATTGAGCTGAACACTTACAATGTGTGGACTCTTCCCAGTGTGTGTTAAACATCAATAAAATTCACCCCAAAAAGGGAGTAGGATTAAAGAGGGAAAGGGGTCAATTACTTCTTCTGAACTTAAAATTCTCTGGCTTTCTGTTGCATTTCAGTTAAAATGTCAGCTACTTCCCACAGCTTTCAAGCCTTGCTTTGCAGCTTCTAACCCCTGACTGTATTTCCGGCTTCACTAGCTCAGGCCTCAGTTTCTCAAAGCTGTCAAGTTCCTTCCAGTCTCAGGGCCTTTACATATGCTGTTCCCTCTGCCTCAAGCTCTTTCTGCCACTGTGTTAGTCCACTTTTGTACTGCTATAAAGGAATACCTGAGACTGTGTAATTTATAAAGAAAAGAGGTTTGTTTTAGCTTGCAGCTCTGCAGGCTGTGCAGGAAGTGTGGTGCCAGGATCTATTTCTAGTGAAGGCCTCAGGGAGCTTACAATTATGGTGAAAGGCAAAGGGGGAGCCAGTATATCTCATGGAAAGAAAGGAAGCAAGAGAGAGGCGGGTAGGGGGGTGGGGTTGCCAGGCTCTTTTAAACAACCAGATCTCCTGTGAACTCATAGAGTAAGAACTTACTGATTATAGCAAAAACAGTTCCAAGCCATTCATGAGGGATCCGCCCCCATGATTCTAACACCTCCCACCAGGCCCCACCTCCAGCACTGGGGATCACATTTCAACATGAGATTTGGAGGGGACAAATAAATATCCAACCATATCGGCCACTTTTCCCAAAGCAGCTACTTCCTTCTCATCCTTTAGAGCTCAGCCTAATCATCACCTTCTGAAGTAGCTGCCTTCTCTAAAGTAGTGTTACTCTTTTTCTCAAAGCCTTATTCGTTTATTTCTGCATGCTTTTTAAAGTAACTGTTTCTTCATCTGTTTGCTTTTGACCTTTGGCCTCCTACTTAACTGTAAACTCCATGAGGTCAGGGATCACAGGTTTTGTCTTATCAGTGTAACCCAGACACAATATAAGGAACCTAGGAGGTCTTTAATAAAAATGTAATGAATGGGCCCAGGCGCGGTGGCTTACGCCTGTAATCCCAGCACTTTGGGAGGCCAAGGTGGGCGGATCATGAAATCAGGAGATCGAGACCATCCTGGCTAACATGATGAAATCCCGTCTCTACTAAAAATACAAAAAAATTAGCCAGGCGTGGTGGCAGGCGCCTTTAGTCCCAGCTACTTGGGAAGCTGAGGCAAGAGAATCGCTTGAACCCAGGAGGCAGAGGTTGCAGTGAGCCGAGATCGTGCCACTGCACTCCAGCCTGGGTGACAGAGTGAGACTCTGTCTCAAAAAAAAAAAAAAAAGTAATGAACGAAGCAGTTAATTCTTGGTTTTCTTGGGGAATGCAAGGAAGCTGTGCCCCAGAGGATGTGTGTAGATTTAAGGAGTGGGAGCAGAGGAGTCAGTCTAATATGCTGATTACGAAGCCGTTTAGGTGACGCCTTACCAGCTGCAGATTCCACGTCCTGCTTCCTGCAAGAGTCTGAAGGTTCACATCAGATGAGGAGACTGAAGCCCTGAGTGCCTAACGCCATGAGCAGAGGTGGAATTGGAATTGCCATCTCCTGATTCCCAAACTAGAGCTCACCTCTCTTTGTTATATTTTCAGAGGCTGGAATTGGGGAGTGGGGAAGGAATGAGGAAGGGGGAGAGAAGGAGCATGAGCTTTAACACATGCAGACATGGAAAAGAATCTGGCTTTATAACTGCCTGGTTCAGCATTCTTAGGCAAATAGCCAAGTCTCCCAAGCCTCAATTGTCTCATCACTAAAATGGGGAACGTAATGACCATTTTATAGGAACCTTGCAGGAAATGGAGGAAACAATATATATAAAGTGCATATCTCATCCTTGGTGTTTAATGAAAGCCCAGTTGGTTCCTTTTGTTCCCTGTTGTGGCAGCAGCCGCTGGGGGCTGGGCGAGATGAGGCGTCCCCTCGCTATTCCACGAATGTCCTAATCATGACTCTGATCGTTGCCCAATTTAATTAATGCCCTAGCAGTGGGTTGACATTCTCAGGCTTTAACTGTCTAAGAAAAGCGCTGGTATCACGATGCTGTGCTAACACATCAAGCTTCTCCTCTTGAATGTCTAATGAATTCATTCCTGTAGGCACTCTGAGAAGAGTGAGAAGATTAAGGCATAGATTGGATGTAAAACGATGACAGTTGTAAGGCATAAAATCAATAATGCCCCACTTTCCCAAAAACCTGGAACCTTTGTCATGTCAAAAATATAGTGAGGTATCTTCTGACATACTTATGTAGTGATGCTATTCTCCTAAGAACAATTTTTTCTAATTACAGGTATTTAGCTTCTCATTAAAACTTGGTTACACTGATTTTAGGGTTCCAGGCATTAAAATGATGTACGGAGTGAAGTGCAGGGAGATGAAGGAAAGTGATATACTTTTAGTATTTACTTTCTTGCAGATACTGTGATAGCTGTTCACCTCCCATGAGATAGGCATACCCTTCTTCATGTTAAGAACTTCAGATTTCACTTAATTTTAAGTAAAAGACGCCAGTTGGGTAGAATCTAAGATGCTGTAACAGAGACTTGGAAAGTAGAGGGGTTCCAACAGGTTAGAAGTTTGTTTCTTTCTCATATAACTGTCCAGAGATAGGCAGCCTGGGATTGCAGGGTTGCTCTGCTCTCCTCAAGATGGTGCTTCCATTTCTGAAACTAAGATGGCTGCCCCCTGCTGCCATTGTGTTTGCATCCCACACAGCAGAGACAGGGAAAGGCAAGGCAATCTTTTCTTTTAAGGGCATGATTCAGAAGTGGCAGACATCATCTTTGTTCATGTCCCTAAAGAGCTTAGATGATTTAAATAATACAGAAGTTCATTCCTCTGACATGTAACAATCTAAGGGTAAGCAGCCCGAGGGTTTCCACAGTATCAGGAGCCACATTTCTTGTTTTTCCACCATCCCCCAGGGTTTGTCATCTACACAGCAGAGGGCAGCTTGCCACCACGTGGGTCCATATTCCAGCCAAAAGAACTGAGAGAAAGGAAGAGAGGACAATCCTTTTCCTCTTGAGGGCACAACCTGGAAATTGTTCACCTCATTTCTACTCATATTCCATTGGCCAGAATATGGTCACATGGTCAAAATTAGCTGCAAGGGAAGCTGGGAAATGTGCCTAGCTAAAACGGGGTAATTTGGTTACTAAAGGAAGAAGGAATAAATGGTTTCTGCTAGAAAATAACTCCTCTGCCATAGGAAACCATTATAAGGATTTGTGCACGTGATACAATTTATTTGTCAGAAATTTTGTGACTGTTGGATATAAAGTGCACTGTGGAGGGTAGGCACAAGCATGGAAGCAGGAAGAGAAGCTGATGAATAAAGCGGCCTGGTCTAGGGTGTAGCAGCTGAGATGATAAGTGGTCTGATTCAAGATATATTTTGAAATGTACTTTCAGATGCCCTCAGCACACACACAACAATAATAGTATTAACACAAATTTAAAACGCAAACACCTAAGCAGGATTTTCTGTGGGGTGGATATGGAGTGTGACAGAGAAAGAGGGGTTGAGGATCTTTGGATGAAAGGCTTTTTCAAGTCACTCAGGGTTCAGCTCAGTGAAGTTTCCTTGATCCACTGGTTCATGGCAGTCATGCTATCATATCAACCTGGTTTTTCTTCCTAAAACATATCTCTATCTGAAATTATCTTGCTTAGTTTTCTGTTTGCTTATTTTCTCTTCCCACTAAAAGATATGCTCCACGGAGTAGAAATGCTTTCTATCCTATTCATTATTCTAGTGTTGGCACCTAGAACAATGCCTGGCACACAGTAATATTAAGAGCCAACATTTGTAAGCCGACATTTACTTAACACTTGTTGAAGGGATGAATCAGTTAGATAACAGTTGGTGTTTCTGAAGATGATAAATGAATAGAAAGAAAAATTAAATGATATAATAAGGAAATAGAATGACAGGAGCCAGAAATCTACATATTGAAGAGGCTACAATGTTTTTTAAAAATGATTAAATATTGACCAATGCTGTCACATTTGTGATGTTATTTATCTAGAGTTTACAGTCCACAGGTACCCTAGTAGAAAAATCAAGTTACTTTAAAAGAAGAAATGATCAGTCTGCTCTCAAATATCTCAACTCTCTCTTTAGCCCAGTAGATTTTTTTTAAAGGAGTCCCTAGAGATTTAGAGGGAAAAGAGTACGACTCAAGAATTCTAAAAGCAATCAAATTGTCATTCAAGCATGTAAGAACTGTGGAAACATATCACTTGTACATTTTTCCTGGAATGGAAAGATATCATTAGGGGCCCTGGGCATGATTGTGATGTTGAGGCATATAAGCATTATTGGTGAGCATTAAAATATATTCAACATAAAATAAAGTCTGAATATTTTTAATAATTATGGTTGTAAAACATAAGGGAAATGTTACATTTCTTGTAAGAAAAGCTACACAATGTAAAATAATAATAGAAGATTAATTTGGCTGCTTTAACAGATACCAAATTAACACAGTTTAAACAAGATGAAGTTTATTTCTCCCTCCACAACAGTCTGATTATACACAGTCCACAGCTGCTCTGGGGCTCCATGGTACTAGGCACACAGGTTTCCTCTCTCTTGTTAGTCTGCATCCCCTAAAGGGTGGCTGTCTTCAGCTTTGTTGAATAGGGTTCTCGACCACGTTCACTGGGTTCATGTTCTAGCAGCAAGAAAGGTTAGAAGGTGGAGAGGGAGCAGAAATTGAACACATCTGTTTTACTCACATCCAATTAATCATCCTATGACCACACTTAGCAGCAAGGAAGGCTGGGAAATGTGGTCTTCAGCTGGGTGGCACATGTCGACCTAAATCCTCTATGATTATAGAAGTAGTAGAGAAAAGACATGTGTGGGGAGGGAAACTATCAATCTTTGACATTCTACTTCAGGTGTTGTTGTGAGAATGAAATGAAATATATCAGGACACATGCTTAGTATTTGCCCCTAAATATGGTTAGTGTTCAGGAATAGTAGGTATTCTTTTTAAATGAAAATAACCTTATTTTTCATTATAGAAATGATACATGTTGGTTATAAAATATTCAAACAATATAAAGGAACATAAAAAAGTTAAGATCACTCTGAACCTCATCTTCAGAGTCAACCACTGCTAACACTATGCCCACATCTGATAATTTATCAAATGTGTATTTGAGTCCCAATATGTGATATTAGGGACATAATAAGACAAAGAGGCAAATATGAGCCTTCCAAAATTAGTCGATTTCCTTTTGAATTTATCTCATTGATATAAAACTATGAAAAAAAGAGTAACTCTTATAAACGTTTCAGCACTTAAACAAAATGTATTCTCTATAGAGTAAATAGCTGGTATATATACCTGTTATTTCAACTATATTAATTGTGTTATGTTTTTATGTTATGTTATTTGGTGCAAAAAATTTATGATAGTTTTATCTTCTTTGGGGACTGGACCATTAATAAGTATAAAGTCTCCCCTTGAGTTTGAATGTCTGATCTCAATATCACAACCCTTCCTTCCTTTCTTCTTCCACTTGTCTGGATTCTTAGGTTGATATATGAGTTTGTCCCCAAGCAGGTTCAGAACCTGAATAGGTTAATCTTTTTAAGGGCTCAATTTTCTTCTCTCATTCCCTTACAACAACCAGGGTACAGTTTACAGCCACCTGCTTTGTACTTACTAATCTTAGGTTCTATAAGAACCTGAGATATTTTAAACACTACATATCCTATTTGGATACATTTCCCCCACATTGAAAAAGATCGTGCCAAGTTGTAGCAGCAACTCAAATCTAGAGAGTTTGAGTTTTCATTAGATTTCAAGTGAAGCCATCAATTCACAGCTAATGTGTAGTTCAGAGGCATTGTACAGGGTTCCTTTGATGCCTTTGAAAATGTCACGTATACCTTAACATTTTGTGCTTCATCTATAGAGAAGCAGCCACTACAGAGTTGGCATCTCTATTTACAAAGAGGCAAATATGAACCTTCCAAATTTTGTCAAATTCCTTTTGAATTTATCTCATTAATATAAAACTCTGAAAGAAAAAAACCAGTAAATCCTGGCTTGTTCACCTATTTTTTTTCCTAAGAAAATAATAAAAATGATGCCTGTGACTATTTGAGGGTGCCCATTACGTGCCAAGCATTTCACATGTATCATCTCTACTCTGATCCTCATAGCCACCTGCCATATGAGTGTGATGACCACCTTTGGGCAGGTAAGAGTACTGAAGGGAATGTCACAAGTACAGCTGCACATGTAGACTACCAGTGGCAAGAAGGAGCTGGGGGTCAAGACTGTTCTGTTTCACTGCGCAACGTCTGTTTGTTCCACTGCTCTAAGAGCTGGACTTCTGAAAGAAATGGGCAATTCTTTGTTTTACTATGTTTTGTGTTTTGAGTAATGTTTCCTCTTTTTCTATCCCTGGACGCTCTTTACTGGAGTCTAATAAGAACAAATTCCATATGCAGCTACAGAAATGCAAGTCTGAAGGAATGGAAGGCTAGAACCTGTTTTATTTACAGTTCGGCAAACAAATACAATTTGCTTAAATAAGCCCACCAGGAGGGTTGGTGGAATCAAGTCTTTTGTTATTTTAGTGCTGTAATTCCAGAATGTACCTCGGTGATTAAAAAAGAACACTGATATCAAATATTACTCTCTATTTATCGCAAATACCATACTAAGTTTTTGTTGCTGTTTACAATATGTAAGCTCCATAGCAAAACATTATATCTAGTTTCAGAAATGCTAACTGCATTTGGATCACAAAACAGGTAAAATTTTCTGGGGCACTTAATTGTGTTTCTCACAACCAACTAAAACACTTAATATGTAACTTTGGGAAAGAAAGAGTTGTTTTTGTTTGTTTATTTCGTTTTGTTTTCTTTTTTGAGACGGTGTCTCACTCTGTCGCCCAGGCTGGAATGCAGTGGCATGATCTTGGCTCACTGCAACCTCTGCCTCCTGGGTTCAAGCAATTCTGGTGCCTCAGCCTCCCAGGTAGCTGGGATTACAGGCGCCTGCCACCACGCCCGACTAATTTTTGTATTTTTAGTAGAGATTAGGTTTCACCATGTTGGCCAGGCTGGTCTTGAACTCCTGACCTCAGGTGATCCACCCGCCTCGGCCTCCCAAAGTGCTGGGATTACAGGCGTGAGCCACCACGCCCAGCCGAATTGTTCCTTTCAAATGCAGGTATATTTCCAATAATGTGCAATACAAGGTGATTTGGTATAACTGACTAAAAGGACCTGGGAGTGATTTAATGGAAATGAAGAAATGGTTAGACCAAACCCATAGCATTATATCTGTAGGACTTTTCCACAGATTCAGGCCCTCCTTCAGACTTACTGATTCAAAATTTTGAGAAGTAGAGTTACAGACATGTGCTTTTAGAAATTTCAGGGGTAATTTTGATGCGCATCCCTGGTTACAAACCTCTGAGCTGGAGCCAGGTGTGTATCTTTAGTACACTGACTAGCAACAAAAAGATATTTTCTTTCCAATGCTGGCTGCTACTACAAACAGTTGTTCTTCCCTGTCTCTTTCCTCACTCCAAGAAAAAGGAATTTAGGCAATGAAATAAAGATGGGCAGATGTTCTCAACAATGGGCGATATGGATCATCTGATTCTCAAAGAAATGTACCTTTCTTGTCTGCCATGAATACCTGACGCAGATGGAGCTTAATAGACACTTGCATGCTAGGAAAGGGTTTCGGGAATGATAAATGAAGTTTTTTTGGGGGGATGGGGTCTGGGTCGCTTCGTCACCCAGTCTGGAGTGCAGTGGTGTGGTCTCGGCTCAATGCAACCTCTGCCTCCCAGATTCAATCAGTTCTCGTGCCTCAGCCTCCCAGGTAGCTGGGATTACAGGCATGTGCCACCACGCCCAGCTAAGTTTTGTATTTTTAGTAGAGACAGGGTTTCACTACGTTGACCAGGCTGGTCTCGAACTCCTGACCTCAGGTGATCCGCCCACCTTTGCCTGCCAAATTGCTGAGATTACAGGCGTGAGCCACCATGCCTGGCCTCAGTTTTTACTAGCAAAGAAATCAAAATACTTTTTTTTCCAATCAATCATATGGTGAATAGATGGACACAACATTGGAAATCATGGAGTCCAACTGTCTTATTTTACATTAAGAGAAACTGAGCCCAAAGTGGGGAAGTGACTTCTATGTCACACAGCTTTTTCCTGCAGTACAAACCATTCAATTCAATGGCCAACCTCAGAATGCAAACCAAGCTTTCTATTTGTTTTTGGAGCCTTGCCTCACTGAAATTAGAAAGAACACAGAAACAGCTGTTCAACCATGTCCAGAAATGAGATTCCATTCTTCAGTAAAGCACCAAAACTTTAGCTAAGAATTGTTAACGGAGAAAAAAAAGATCAGCCTGAAACAGATTCTTCAGCAAAGTTGCCCATCCTCACGGAGGCTCACAAAGAGTTAAATAACCAAAGTTATCTTTATATTAGCTTTCCTGTCATCAATGTGAATTGTCCTTCCAGGACAGATATTTGAGAGTGGGCTTAGCCAAATCTTTATTACATGCTGTTTTTCTGGATCTGTTCTCAGAGAGGAGCTTTCGTATTCTCAATCTCTCTTCCTTTCCTAGCCCCTAAACAAAAACTTGGAGAACAGCATTTGTATCAAGGTAAAGATCTGGTATCAAATAATCCATATGATATTATTAATGCCTTTTTGGATGTTATCGACCAAATTGTGTCCCCTCCCCTGCCCCATTCATATGTTGAAGTCCTAGCTCCCAGTACTCAGAATGTGGCTATATTTGGAAATAAGGTCATTGAAGAGATACTTTAGTTAAAATGAGGTCATTGGGGTAGGCCCTAATCCAACATGACTGGTATCCTCACAAGAAAAGGAAATTAGGACAAAGACACATGAAGAGGGAAGACCATGTGAAGAAACAGGAAGAAGATGGCTGTCTACAAGGCCAGGAGAGACTAAGAAGAAACCTACCCTGCTGACACATTGATCTTGGACTTCTAGCCTCCAGAACTGTAAGACTATAAATTTCTGTTTAAACCACCCAGTCAGTGGTATTTTGTTATGTCAGCTCTAGCAAACTAATACATTGGATGTTTTATTCATTTGTTACGGATGTGAAATTTAATTCCATTCTTTAACAAGTGCATGCTCAAAATGGAGTGTCTGTGTCATCATTTTGACCCTTTAGTTAAAATGAAAACCTGGGCTAGGTGTGCTGGCACATGCCTGTAATCCCAGCATTTTGGGAGGCCAAGGTGGGTGAACTGTTTGAGCCCAGGAGTTCAAGACCCACTTGGGCAACATGGCAAAACTCCATCTCTACAAAAAAACTTAGCTGTGTGTGGTGGTACATGCCTGTAGTCCCAGCTACTTGGGAGGCTGGGGTGGGAGGATTGCTTTAGCCTGGGAGGTCAAGGCTGCAGTGAGCCGAGATCATGCCATTTCACTCTATCCTGGGTGACAGAGTGACACCCTGTCTAAAAATAAATAAATAAAATAAAATGAAGACCTAGACATTGGTATCAGGATGTCTGCATTGACAAACACCTGAAAACCCAATTCTAATAATTAAGGTAACAAATGGGATGCATTTAGCTCAAACAGCTCAAAGGTCAAGAGGGAGTACAGGCTTCAAGTGTAGTTTGATCAGGGTGTAGCTTCCTCTGCTTCTCCCTGTTTATCAGGTGTGTGGTTGGGTTGGATCCTCTCGAGGTGGAAAGAGGGCATCAGTAGTTATACCTGCTCTTCCATTCCTGTCCAAGGAGAAAGGATGGCATCGAGTAACTATAACAAGTCCAGGCTTTCCTCTGATTGAACCAGTCATTGTTACACTAATAATAACAACAGTAACAACAACTAATACTTCATGTACTCTTAATATATGTCAGGCACTCTTCTAAGTGCATCTGCTGCAGGAACTCTTTCAATCCTCATAAAAAGAGGAATGGTGGAAACAAACTAAATGTCTATCAACAGATGAATGCATAAAGCAAATATGGTATAGACATACAATGGAATTCTATTCAACCATAATAAGAAGGCAATTCTGCAATATAAAATGAGATAGATGAACCTTGCATACGTTATGCTAAGTGAAATAAGCCAGTCACAGAAAGACAAACACTGCATGATTCCACTTATCTGAGGAACTCAAAATAGTCAAATTCAAAGACTCAAAAAGTGGAAAGGTGGTTTCCAGGGGCTGGGGAGGGGACAAAATGGGGAGTTACCAATTAGTGGGCATAAAGTTTCAGTCAAGCAAGATGAATAAGTTCTAGAGATCTGCCGTACAACATTGCACCTATAATCAACAATAATGTTTCACACTTAAAAAATTTTAGAAGGGTAGATCTCATGTTAAATGTTATTATAATAAAATTTTAAAGGCAAATAAATAAACAGAAAACCCAAACGAAACGAAACAAAAAACAATGGGACCACCCTGATTTGTTAATTTGGTCAAGCCCAACCCCTGAACTGAGAGAGGAGGTAAGGCCCCCCACCAGCTGAAATTATAAGACTGATACACAAGGTGAAGGATAGATATTAGGAAAATAACCGCAGTATGAACTACAACCATGTGTTTGAAAAGTTATAACTCTGTTCCATGCTTCAGATTTCCTTAGTGATCTAGCTTAATACAGGCAAAACCAAGATACGTTCTCCTTTCATTGTCCACATTACTTACATTACCTTTCGTCACAAATGTTCTAATGTCACAGTATTGTTTTCTTCTTGCAGATACAGATGCCAACAGAAATTGAGTTAGGAAGCTTGCAGGCTTCCAGAAATTCATCAACACCTGATCAGCTTTTCTGCTGCAAGTTAAAGTGACCTCTGAAGAGGTCAAACCCTAGGTCCCTTTGATTCTGCTACTGTTCTGACATTTGCAGAGGGGTGTGAAAACCTCTTTGCTTGTTCTGGCTTGTGTGAGCTGCTTTATCTCTTACCCTAGACGTACAGTAAGAAAAGAGCAATCAGAGACAGGCATTTGGTGAGGCTTTAGTTTGTCCCACTTTCACTCCTGCCCCCACCTCCCACCTTGTCCATGTTAGGTGTTCCCTGTAAGAATGAAATGTACTGATCCGATATTTTCCCATTTTTAAACTTGAATTCAATTAGACTTTTGTCATGGGTCATATAAAGCAGAAATGCATGTGTATTATGATTTCTGGCATATTCTAATGAATCAAGTGTTAATGTCATAAGGCTTCATTGATTTGAAATAACGGGCAATTTACTGACTGAAGGCTAAATATTGGTACAAATGAGTACAACATATTTTTGAAAATAATTTGGCAATACTTTATCAAAAGTTACAAAATATTTGTGTCTTTTATATAGCAATCCCACTCCTAGGGGTTATTAAAAGTGGAGGGGGGAAGCCTCATGCACAACAATGTTCATTCAAGACTGTCTTAGAATAATATAAATGTAAACAATACATATTCTAACCATATGCATGACTAAGACAATTATAGTAAAAACTTCTTAGAGGAAAATATTATGTAACTATTAGTTATTCCCTTTGTTTGGAACACTTTCCACCCCCTCTGCCTTATTTCTCTGCCAGCTAACTCCCACTTAGTCTTCAAGACTCAGGGTACCCACCACTGTGCTTATATAACACCTGGGCACACCTCTATTAAAACATGTATAGCCCACTGCATTGTAACCCATGATTTTGCCTGTTAGTGCCCTCCACTGGATTGCAACTCACTGAGGCAGAGTCTGTCATTTGTGCAACAAGTTAAAAATCAGAAAGCAATGGGGCAATAAATAAAATTATTTCTGATATATAGAATTTAGCTTCAGCTAATTCAGACCTGCCTTCGTTCCCTGCTCCCAACCCCCTCCAGCCTCCAGCAGCAGCAGCAGCAGCAGCAGCAGCAGCAGCGCCCCTGAAGTCTCTTGTGGAAGGTGAGAAATCTACCGATAAGCTTTCTAGTAGGAGTGTCTTTGGGGAGGGAGTGAGTGGGAGATTAGAAATGGGGCCGGTGGAATATTCCTGCAAAACTCCAGGAACCATTAGCATTCCACTTCTTCTTACAAAGATTGTTTTCATGTCTGAGTTGCCCTATATAGTGCAGAAATTGAGAATGCAAACGTGCAAACGATCGGTGTGATCTACTGAAAGGCGATGCGCGTTCCCTTCTTGCAGGCAGAACTGCCTTAGGAAGCATGAAAGTGGACGCAGCCCGGTGCCAGGTGTCAGCGATTTGAGCTCGCTTCCGGGCCCCATTCATTTCCAGCCCGGCTCCCAGATACTTCCCGAGGCGCTCCCTTTTGCCCGCCCGACTTCTGAGCGGAGCGCTCGGGTGTGAGGAGAACCGGCAAATCCTCGCGGGCGCTGGGCGCTCGCGGAGCCGCCCGCGCCCAGCCCCGTCACGTTGGCTGCCGAGCGCATCCCGGCTGCGCCCCGGCGGGGAGGCGCCGAGGGTAGCTAAGGGGAGCAGGTCACGTGAGAGGAGGAGTCTGACCTACTTTCCAGGCGGTAGGCGCATGCGCACTTCCCATCTGCGCTCCGGCCGGGAGGCTCACGTGGAATCGCACGTGCCTGGTCCTGCAGCTAGGGGCTCCTGGCCCGGGGCGCGCAGGGGCGGGTCCGCGGTGGGACCCGCGGAGAGGGGCGCGGCGGGGCGGAGCGCTTGGAGACTCAGTCTGCGGGTCCCGCAATCATCATCCGTGACAACCACAGCCTCTGGAGAGCTGCTTAGGCTCCCTGCGGGGCTTCCCACGAATTCATCACATTCAACATTCGTGAATTCAGAAATTAAGACAAAGACTGCACCTCTGCCCTGTAAATCACTAGTTCCGCAACTCAGAATTTATCCTGCAAATGGGCTTCTGCTCCTGCGAAGTGAAGTCCCTGCAAGGATAATCATTACATCATTGTTGGACATCACAAACGGCCAGAAACAGTCAAAATGTCCAACGATAACACCGGTTAAATTCATAGAAACGTAAATTATGGTTGGGCCACACTTGAAGTTGTCTGCAGCTCTTAAAAACAAATAGACTCTGCTCTCTAGACACTGATATGGAAAGACCTTCAAGATACATTATGTGATTTGTAAAAAAAAATGATGCAGAACAGTGTCTGGGATGCTGACATTTGTGAGGAAAAAAATTATATATGTATATATGTTATGATCAGACTAGTTCTGGAAAAATATATTGGATGACTGGGGGTGGGGGTCAGGGAAGACGCGAGACTCCATACTTATGTAACTTTTAAATTTTGTACCATGGATGATTAATCTTTTTTTTTTTTTTTCCAAATAACATTTAAAAACAGTTATTTAGCACTTACCCTGTGCTGGGCACCAGCTTTTATGTAAATCATTTCCTCCTAGAAAGTTTGTCATGTACAGTATCTGCCGCATTTCCTGTTCTGTTCAGCTTGAATCTTAATGTCTTAAGCTTTCTGATACACAGTTGAGACGTTTTTTAAAATCCCGATATGAACAACCGAAGCCCTCCACATCTTTAAGATTCTTTTCAAGTTCTGTCTCTTGAGGGAAAGTATCTTAACCAAGAGGCTCTCAGCAACAAATACTTGCATAATAAAGCTGACACAGCAGTTTCACATATGTGATTAGCTTTTACTCTCCCGATTGTGAGTTTGTAGTGCAGATATTATTATCACTGTGGTTAGTACATATGTGCCGGTTATATTCGGTTGCAAGTTAACTAAAAGTCCAACTCTAAGTGGCTTGAACGGTAAAGCTCATTTAACTTCAGATTGGATGTTGGATTTCAGGGATACATCGATTTGCCTGCTAAACAATGCCATCAGGAACTTGTTTCTTTCTAATCTTCTGCCAAGGTTTCCATAGTGTCAGCTTCATCTAAAGCTTTGGGAGGCCGGGAGCGGTTGCTCACGCCTGTAATCCTAGCACTTAGGGAGCCTGAGGCGGGCAGACTGCCTGAGCTCAGGAGTTCGAGACCAGCCTGGGCAACATGGTGTAACTCCGTCTCTACTAAAAAATACAAAAATTAGCCAGGCGTGGTGGCTCACGCCTGCAGTCCCGGCTACTCAGGAGGCTGAGGCACGAAAATCACTTGAGCCTGGGAGGCGGAGGTTGCAGTGAGCTGAGATCCCAACTGCACTCCAGCCTTGGGGATAGTGTGAGAACCTGCCTCAAAAAGAAAAAAAAAAAAAAAAAAAAAGTAAAGCTTTGGGAAAGTCTCATTTAGTAAAAGTGCTTCTTCCCAGAAGCAGCAAGTAAACATCCTCCCTATACTCTTGGCCTCAAGTTGGGGCAAGTGCCCACACTTGAACTAGTAACAATAGCAGGAGAAGGAATTATGCCAATTCGTTTGTGTTACTCTATTAGTCCATGTGCTTTGAGGGGAGCTAAAGAAAAAAAAAAAAAAGACAGCCTATGGATGGTGTGAAGTGACCACAATGCCTCTTAATCATTACTGTCACTCCCACCGCTATTATTTCCCTCTTTCTGGTGTGGCAAACTGGATGAAGTGATAGCTCTTGACTTCCTGAAGATTATGTAGGCAGTATACTTGCATTTTCCCTCTACTGTATACCTTCCCAGTGATGGAGTAAGAGCATGAACACATCAGAAAAGTCTATCTCCAATCTAGCAAAACTACTTGAGTTATAATGAGAAATCAGTGATACCATTATGGCAGAATTATATACAAGGAAGTGTGCAAACACCACATTTACGTTCTATCTCTTCATCTACCCATCGAATAAGTATCAAAAACTTCTACTGTCTGTGGAAGCATAAAGGCTCATACAGAAAAAACAGCAGATATTCATGACCAAGCCCCTGAACTCAGAGGGAAGACAATCAAGTTAGGCAGGCAAGATAAATACTTGGGAAACGCTGAAATAATGATATGAGACAGCATGCAATTAAATGTCTACGTGGATGATAATACAGTGTGGCAGATGTTGAGAGCAGAGGCAGGGATTGGTTGAAAAAAAATATAGCAAATAGGAGTGGGCCTTGAAGGATTGCTAAGGTAAGATACAATAAGCACCGGAGAAGGGAAAGGCTGTATAGATAGTTGGACAGTATGAGCCAAATAGTACAGGTGGAGGCTAGGCGTGGTGGCTCATGCCTGTAATCCCAGCACTTTGGGAGGCCAAGGTGGGTGGAATCAGGAGGTCAGGAGTTGGAGACCAGCCTGGCCAACATGGTGAAACCCCATCTCTACTAAAAATACAAAAATTAGCTGGGCATGGTGGCGTGCACCTGTAATCTCAGCTCCTCGAGGAGGCTGAGGCAGGAGAATTGCTTGAACCAGGGAGGCGGAGGTTGCAGTGAGCCAAGACCGCACCACTTCACTCCAGCCTGGGTGACAGAGCAAGACTCCATCTCGGGGGGTGGGGAGTGGGGGAAGAGTACAGGTGGAAATGAATTGGGTGTTCTCAAGATTAGAGAAAAGACCTATTGGCATGGTGGTGGGGGGGGACGGGTGTTTGTGTTGGAGGAGCGAGAAGTGATGCTGAAAATGTAAGAAACCAGGTGCCCCAGGCCCCACCACCCTGTGGATATAGATGCGTTGTAAGTATTTAAATTGCTCTGACTCTATTTCCACCTGCTCGTTGTTTCCAAGTCTCAACCAGTTAGAGAATACCCGAGGGTCTTTCACATGTGTTCACAGATCAGTCAGCCAGTTACTGTCACCCCACAGCATCTGCCGTGCTCTCCCTCTCCTGTTCTGCTCCCCCTAACTTCACCCTTTCCTAGAAAAGCAGGATGGAGGATGTCTCACCACCACTCGGCTAGTTATATGAGAGGAGGGGGGAAGAGTCAAGAATGATTCCAAGCATATCCACATTGCTGCCTGGTATGTCAAAATGAGACACATTATACACAGAACATGCCTGTAATTGGCATGGTCATACCGGAAGGAGAAGGGACCTCATCGAACACATTAGGTTTTAAAATATTTAAGTATTTAACAACCATCAATTCAAGGTTGAGGCATTCTCTCAAGGGCAGCCTAAGGCCAGTGCAGCTGCCAGGGTGGAAAATTTAAGGAGGCGCTCACTCTTGGGGTGATGCAAGGGTGAACTCACAGGAATAATGTGCCATCGTATTTGTCTTGTGGTCTGGACAGGCCAAAACTAGAAACTTTAAAGTGTCCATCTGAAACTGTAAGGCCCACAGCTTAACAGTCTTAACAGTAGACAGAGATGGATTCATACCCCTGTATTTATTTGTCTGTGCTTCCTTTTTTTCCTTGTAAAAGTCTTTCTTACTTATCCTTCTTACTACAGCTCAAATCATACTTTAAACTTTGAGTTTTTAACTAGATGTGTGAATTTTTGTGAACATATATGCTGTATATTCATTTGACAGTTGAACAAACATACATTAAGGATCTGAAAGGATAGATCAGGAGATTCATTAGTTGTTGGGTCTATGAAGAAAATAAACAAAAATCAACAAAAGTCCTATTTTCCAGGAGAACCCAACCTAGTAGGGGAGGTAGTCTATAAGGAGAAGACAGCCAGTTGTGAATGTTTGTCAGGATGGGTGGGGGTCGAGGACCTGAAAGAGTGAATGGCTGTCTCTACCATAGTTGGTGGTAGATGGGAGGTAGCATCTTACTTTCATTAGCATGTGATACCTGAGCTGGGTCTTCAGAGGTGAGACCCCATAAGTCAGACATTGTACAGGCATTTGGGGTAGAGAAAGGAGGAGTATTTAAATCCCAGATATTAAAAAACCTCTCACAGTTGGAGACAGGCCTGAAGACAGAAAATGGTGAAGGTCCTGAGAAATGGTCAACAAAAGATTCTACTCACTGTTATGAAGGGACAGGAGAATGGTCAAGGTGCCTGATGTGTGGAAATTGGGAGGAAGTTTTGGGCATGACGAAGCCATCCATTCCATAATTCTTGCTATAGAAAATGTAAACATTACGGGGCAGGGTGGAGCATATTTGCATAAGGAGACAAGTTTTTACAGGCCTGGAAACTCCCTTTCTCTTTCCCTTTTGATGCTAAACATTATTTGAAAATCTCTGATGGAGATAGTATGCCCTGAGACCAGTAGGTAGAAAAAGATACCGAAATGTCATGGTGATAGAGAAAGGGTGTGATTGGTATCAGGCTCTCAATTGTCACTTGAGGATGAAGCATGTGTCTGATGGTGGGGCCATCTTATCATCAAGGGAGTATTGGCCAGAAATGACCATAACATTGGGAGCTCATAGGTGAGCATAAGGGACCCTTCCTTGTTTTCCCTTCCCCCACATTTTCTGGAAAACAAAACTTTGTGAAATGCTGTGGCAGGAACATCCACTGGTGAAGAATCTTTTGGAATATCAGGCCGGGCCTCCTGCTTTGGCAGTGCACTTGTAATGCAGTAGCTTGTTCTTAGATAACCAAGTTACTGGTATGTGTCAGTCAGCATAGGCTGGAGTGGGTCAGTTACAAAAAATCCAAATACCAGTGACTTGAAAGGGTAAAGATTTATTTCTTTTTAAAATTAAATTATTTATTTTGAAACAGAGTCTTGCTCTGTGGCCCAGGCTGGAATGCAGTGGCATAATCATGGCTCACTGCAGCCTCAAAGTCCTGGGCTCAAGTGATCCTCCTATCTCAACCTCCCAAGTAGCTGGGACTACAGGCATGCACCACCACACCTGGCTACTTTTTAAGATTTTTTGTAGAGATGGAGGTTGTATTAGT
The DNA here is from genome assembly GCF_000001405.40 of Homo sapiens. NCBI lineage: Eukaryota > Metazoa > Chordata > Mammalia > Primates > Hominidae > Homo > Homo sapiens. The sequence continues at coordinate 55,233,268 of NC_000017.11, read as the reverse complement.
CTGTTTTCATACTGCTATGAAGAATACCTGAGACTGGGTAATTTATAAAGGAAAGAGGTTTAATTGACTCACAGTTCCACATGGCTTGGGAGGCCTCAGGAAACTTACAATCATGGTGGAAGGCAAAGGGGAAACAAGGCACATCTTACATGGCAGCAGGCAAGAGAGAGAGCATGTGTAGGAGGAACTGTCAAGCATAAAACCATCAGATCTTGTGAGAACTCACTATCACAAGAACTGCACAGGGGAAACTGCCCCCATGATGATCCAATTACCTCCCACCAGGTCCCTCCCTCGACACCTGGAGATTATGGGGATTACAATTCGAGATGAGATTTGGGTGGGGACACAGAGCCAAACCATATCAGGGGTCTTGCCTTGTTGCCCAGGTTGGTCTTGAACTCCTGACCTCAAGCAGTCCTCCTGCCTCAGCCTCCCAAGGTGCTAGGGTTACAGGCATGAGCCACCTTACCTGGCCAAAGATTTGTTTCTTGTTCATACTACATACCCATTGCAGGTTGGTGCTCCATCTCATCATTGTTCTCACTTGAGGACTGAGATACAAGCTACAACCATTATTTGAGACATTGCGTGGCAGAGTGAAAATAGAGCACTGGAGGGTCCTGCATTAGTGCCTGGAGGTAACACTCATTGCTTCCACTCACAACCCATTGGCTAGAACTTGTCATGTAGTTCTTCCACACAACCACGGTGGTTGCATAAGTCAGTTCTACTGATGCCAGGAAGGAAAAGGAGCTGGAATATTTGTGAGCAGCTTCAACAGCTACTATGCACGTGACATCCTTGGCCTCAGGTTGGCTCACCAAATTCTGAGTCCAACAGGCAAGGAATGATATTGATGGTAGGAATAATAATAATAAATACTTTTTATTGAGGGCTTTCTATTCTATTAGAATAAAGCTAGACATTAGTCTAAGCATTTTCCCTACAGAAGCTTATTTAATTTTCCCAACCATTTTGGATACAGAGGTGATCACAGAAAAGATCATTCTAGCATAGGGAGGAATGTAGTCTCTCAATAGGGAGTGTAGCCTTAGAGTCAGATTTCATTAACAGAAAAATAAACTTATTTTATAAACCAGGAGTAGGAAGTGGGAGCTATGAGTTTCATATGTATTTCCACTTTCACTGCATAAAGAATTGATTCAGTGTGTAACAAAATCAGGAAAATATAAATTCAAGGTCACGAATAAATTAACTAGGACATTGTTTCTTGTACTTCACTTCCACAGTAATAATAGTTACTTTATTAATTTTTGCACATTTTATTACAGGCTTTCTTCATTCCAAGCAACCACAGGCTTTTCAAGGAAAATACTGAGTACAATATCTTCCTCCATATTGGCTCAGAGATCATCCCTGGAGGAACTACGTTAGGAGTGTGCTTACCATGACATATTGTTTGCAAAGCTCTAGCTGAGGGATATCTGGAAAAGGGGTGTGTGTGTGTGTGTGTGTGTGTGTGTGTGTGTGTCAGAGAGAGAGAGACATGAAAGGGAGTCCGGGGATGGAGGAGAGAACACGCATGTCTGTGTATCCCTAAGTGTGTTTTTCTTTTTACATCTGTATACCTTGCCCGACTATTCATTAGCAGCTTATTGAGTCCTTCTTTCATAGCTATTTCACAGCCTAGGGGGAATCACCTACCAAATATTTCTGAGCAATTGGTGCTGATTTGGAAAAATGTTTTCTGAATTGCACACAAAAATAGTGAGTAATATTAGCTAACATTTGAGACTTCATAACCAAGCACCTTGTTAATACGTGCGTTATGTTATTCATCCTCGAAATAACCAGTGATGAGGTGAATACTATCATCTGCTCAAGTTGACACAAGACAAAACTGAGGCACTGAGGAGTGACACTGCTGTTCAACAGAGCAAAGAGCTTACTGACTCTGGAACCCACACTTGGGACCTCTGCAGTATCTTGCCCTCTGGAGCTTTCCTATGGCCCAACTGAGTCTGGCATTCTGTGTTCTAACTCCAACCCACCTTTACAAGCTTATTGTCCTCCACTCACTTAAACTTTCTGTTGCTGGCTGTTTGGCTGTTCCCTGAACTCCTCTAAGCTTATTAACTCAACTTTTCACCCACAGCTCATTCTGCCCTCTTCTGGAATGTCCTTTTTGTCTGCCTGCCAGAGTCCCACCATACCTTCAGGCTCATATCAAGAAATGCCTTCTTCATAAGTGCCATCTCATCTTAACCATGTCTAACTACTGCCCTCTTTTTTCATCTTTCCTGTGGGTTTCGCCTCTGTCCACCCTATGCTGGAGGAGCATGGTATGTCATATGCCTAAGTTTATTCTTCAAGAACCTAGCTGACCAAGTGGTACACATGATAAGTGCTTGATGAATGAACAAAGGGGATATTTCTATAGGCCTGAGAAAATGTTAAATGGTTACACTGTAAAATGAGAGCATTATCTTCCCTCCTCTAGTATTTAAGGAAAGACACATTGTAAAACAGAAACTAATGAAAATAAAGCTTGTTATAGTTGACTTGAATATTCTTTGATCAAACCATGTTCTTCAGAACTTACTGATGTTCTAAAGGAAGTTTGATATAATCTGGTCATTCATCCATGTATTATTTATTAAGTGACTACTATGAAAACAAGTGCTGTTCTAGAGACTAGGGATCCAGCAATAACCCAACAGATAATAAACAAATAAGTAAGGAAATATATAGTATGTCAGATGGTAATAAGTGCTCTTGGGGTAGAAGAAAATAAAACAGTATGAACAGGAAAACCTGTGGCTGGAGGGAGCGATGTAATTGTGTTTACAGTCGTCAGATAAGCTCTAAGCAAGGAGATGACATTTGAGAAAAGAGCTGAAGTAAGTGAGGGAGTGAACTATGTAGAAATCTGGGAAGAGGGCATTCTAGGAAAGGGAACAGCAAGGGCAAAGGTCCCGAGGCAGGAGTGTGCTTTGTATTCAGGAACAACAAGAAGACCTGGGTGGGGGTGGGGGAGGTTGCAGTTCAAGGCACAAGGAGGAGAGAGAGAGAAAAGGGGGTCATCGAGGTCATATGTAGTGGGGCTGGTGCAGATTAAATAGGGCTTTTTAAGCTATTGAAGGACTTTGGCTTCTAGTGAGTGAGATAGAAGTCATGGAGAATGGTGAGCAGAAGAGTGGCATGATCCAACCTCCATATCAGAAGAGCCCCTCTGGCTGCTACACTGAGAACAGACTGTAATGGGGCAAGGAGATGGGAAGACCAAGTAGTTGGCTATTGCAATAAACCAAAGGAAAGCTGGACAATGACTTAGTCTAGAGCAGTGGTTCTCAACAAAGGGCAGTGTTGCACCCCAGGGGACATTTGCCAATGTCTGGAGAGGTTTGGTTTGCCACAACTCGGGCTGGTAGGAAGCGGGTGCTGCTGGCGTCTAGTGGGTAGAGGCCAGGGGTGCTGCGAAACATCCTCCAGTGCACAGAGTCACCTCCTCCAACGAAGACTTATCCAGCTCTAATGTCAGTAGAGCTGAGGGAGAGAAACTGGATTAGAGTGGTAGCAAATGGTGATGGTGAGAAACGATCAGCTTCTGGATGTATTCTGAAGGCAGTGCCAGTGCGATTTGCTGATGAACTGCAGATGGAGTGTAAGAGGAAGAAAGGAGCCAAGGGTGACTTAAAGTTTGTTGCTGGAGCAATGGAGAAAGTGGAGTTTCCATTAACCCAGAAGGGGAAGAGGCTGGGAGGAGCAGATCTTGGAAGCACAGCCAGGAATTTGGTTTTGGACATGTCAAATTCCATCAGGGCGTTGCTCCCATCCCCAGTGTTAAACAGGGGTCTCATTATATATTGCCAGTGAAAAATGCACAGATAATCCAAAGCAGATAGCTCCTCAATTATTTATATTTTGCTGGACTGCATTATATGATATTCTCCCAGCAAGTACATTATCCTATTTATATTTTGCTTATGTGAGTATTCACCTGGGTTTACAATTTTGGAATGTGGTCTGCCTGAGAAGAGCAGATGAGAGATCTTAGGAAGCAGGAAACTAGGAGAGAGCTAATAATAGCTTAGCATTAGGGTCTAGGCTGATGCCAAAGACTATCTTGTCTTTACCAGTGGCTGGTGATCAGTCTCTCTGCTCATGGTCATGGGTGGAAAGACTGGGATGTGATCACTTATCCTTTTTTCAGTGTGACACCTGGTACAGATGCCACAATATCTACAGTGAAGTATCACGTTAAGAGTGTCCATGTCCTGAAGTGGGTAGGTGCTCACTGGAGCCGGGCGGGGCCACATTCCAGCTTTGCCACTGACTGCATCCTTGTTATGTGTGAGTTTTATGAATTCTTTGAGCTTCAGTCTTATCATCTGTCGAACTGGCACTACAGTAGTTCACTCAAAAGGTGATGCAAGGATTAAACGAGTGAATCATGTAAAGTGCTCAGACTACTGTTAGACACGTAGTAAGTGCTCAGTAAACATTTGCTTACTGTTGTTGTGAAGATGCAGTTTAGGGGTGGGAAAGATCCAAATTCAAGTTCCAATTTTGTGGTCATAAACTTTCTGTGACCCTCAGTTGCCTCATCTTCAAAATGGCTATGATAAAAAATATCTATATCCAAGAGATATGAGCACTGCATGAAACAGTCTACATAAAGCAGGCAGCAGATGGCCTGACTTGCAGCAAGCACTCAGAGAACAGATCTAGATCATGAGCAAATGAAACCAAAATCTCGTAGGGTGACTTGAACAGACCCAGATCTTGAAACACCATGGAGACCCTTTATATACTTCCAGAGGCTGCTGAGGAGCCAGAGCCCCAGAGAACCTGATGCCACCAGCTAGAATTCTTATTTCTAGACAAGCAGTCCTAGGATGGAAGGGACAAGCCCAGGACTGGATGCAACATGTCTATGCTATGCTATGCTATGCTATGCTATGCTATGCTATGCTATGCTATGCTATGTTATGCTATGCTATGCTATGTTATTGTTTCAAAGGAAGAAGACAAAGGAAGAAATGATAGTAGTTTGAAACACATGAAGAAAAAATAAACCCCAAATTAAACCCTCAGGACTCCATTGTGCCTGAGAAAGGACAGCAGGCTCCACAGAGAGTAGATACTCGGATGGGCTTGCGTTGGGAATGGAACTCTTGACACCCTTCCAACTAAGTCCAGAATGTGGTATGGGGCAAAGCAGGGGATTTATATGTAAGTCATGGGAGAAGGTGCATGTTTTATATTTTTCAGGCCAGGACAGCAGCATTCTGAATCTGTATGTTCCCATCATTCAGTTCACCCACATTTACTGACTGCTCGCCATTAGGCCAGGAGCTGTGGCAGCCATTGGTATACAGAGGTGGATAAGATACCATCTTTACCTTCAACTGTCTTACAGGACGGTAACAAGATAGGCATATACACAGCTAGCTCAGATGCAACGCTGGGTAGAATTTAATGCTTTATCAGAGGAGGTGTGGGAAGCAGCTCAAACTTAGCAAGAGTCATCAAAGATGATAGAGAAAGGACAGCTTTGATCCAGCCACAGTGCAGAGGTGAGAATGCAGGAATTAATAGAATGCAGTCCCTGTCCTAAAGCAGCCCCACAGCCAGTAAGGCCCAGGATTGGCAGTGTGTGGCTCATCTGCCATGTGTAGGCAGCTGATCTTATCCCGCCGTAGAGCTCAGCTTCTCCGCAGTAACCACCTTTTGCCTCCTTCGACCTCCTTCCACATCGAGCTATCACCAGCTTTGACATTATGGGATCAGAAACTCACACTAGAAGGACTCCTCAGTGATTATTCAATGTTTTTCTTTATTTTATTTTATTATTATTACACTTTAAGTATTAGGGTACATGTGCACAACGTGCAGGTTTGTTACGTATGTATAAAGAGCTTCTGCACAGCAAAAGAAACTACCATCAGAGTGAACAGGCAACCTACAAAATGGGAGAAAATTTTCGCAACCTACTCATCTGACAAAGGGCTAATATCCAGAATCTACAATGAACTCCAACAAATTTACAAGAAAAAAACAAACAACCCCATCAAAAAGTGGGCGAAGGATATGAACAGACGCTTCTCAAAAGAAGACATTTATGCAGCCAGAAAACACATGAAAAAATGCTCACCATTACTGGCCATCAGAGAAATGCAAAGCAAAACCACAATGAGATACCATCTCACACCAGTTAGAATGGCAATCATTAAAAAGTCAGGAAACAACAGGTGCTGGAGAGGATGTGGAGAAATAGGAACACTTTTACACTGTTGGTGGGACTGTAAACTAGTTCAACCATTGTGGAAGTCAGTGTGGCGATTCCTCAGGGATCTAGAACTAGAAATACCATTTGACCCAGCCATCCCATTACTGGGTATATACCCAAAGGTTTATAAATCATGCTGCTATAAAGACACATGCACACGTATGTTTATAGCAGCACTATTCACAATAGCAAAGACTTGGAACCAACCTAAATGTCCAACAATGATAGACTGGATTAAGAAAATGTGGCACATATACACCATGGAATACTATGCAGCCATAAAAAATGATGAGTTCATGTCCTTTGTAGGGACGTGGATGAATCTGGAAACCATCATTCTCAGCAAACTATCACAAGGACAAAAAACCAAACACCGCATGTTCTCACTCATAGATGGGAATTGAAAAATGAGAACACATGGACACAGGAAGGGGAACATCACACACCAGGGACTGTTTTGGGGTGGGGGGAGGGGGGAGGGATAGCATTGGGAGATATACCTAATGCTAGATGATGAGTTAATGGGTGCAGCACATCAATGTTTTTCAAATGTCCTGTAGGGATGAAGTTTTTTGGACTTTATCCCAAAAGTTCCAAGGGGCTCTCATCAGGGCAGCTGGAGGTAAGGAAATAAAGGAAAGAGAAATGAAGCCACATCCTCTTTAATTTCAACCAGAGCAGTTCTGTTTTTATTTATTTTAATGGTCTTCGTTTTCATGTAAGATTTCACTTAAACAAAGGGTTATGCAGCTGGAAAAGGTTTGGGAGGCACTAATTTTATTTTTATAGAGACAAGATCTGGAAGAGAAATGGCTTTTCAAGATATCAGAGTCAGAGAAAGCTGAGAGCCTGGGTTTCCAACTTGTGGGCCACTGAGCTTTCCACTGTGCCCACTGCCTCCCTGTGAAGTGGGAGCACATCTGCAGGGGAGCCTCAAACTTCTCCCTAAAGTGAGTGGAGCAAGGTCGTGTGATGGGTTTACACTGGGGAGGGAACGGAGGAGCGTGGAAGAGCTGTTGTTTGTGGGCACTGCTTGGCACCTCCCCCTGCCTGCAGGTTAATGTGGTATTGGGTGGGGATGTAGAACACAGGCGTGTGCTGGGAAAGAACCCAGGCGCCTCTCCCTGATTCTGGAAAATAGAGCTCTGTCGGGAGCTTCCTGGGAGTGAGAATTGGAAGATGGCAGGAAGTAAGTGTGTTTTGAAAGAGGGACAGCTTAGGAAGTGCCCCAGAAGAAACAGAAATAAGCAGCTTTTCCCTGGGCACCAGAAACTTGGGCAGCTTTTAGGTTAAGGGTTCATTTGCTGAATGCCTATAGGGGAAACAAAAGTGAATGGTAGGTTTGTGTTCTGTAACATAAAGAAACCTATAGCCCAGTGGGGGAAGTTAGAACAAGTACATTTATAACACAGGGGTGAAAGAAAGAAGGTCAGAAGAAATAAGGAGACACAGACCATAGGAGCTAGACCATTGTGAAGGGGAGATCGCTGGCAATGCCTGGTGCAGGACGCTTTGAGGTGGAGCTTGAAGCCATGTAAGCCAGCAGGAGATGGGAAAGGACACCGCACACAGAGGGCACAGGAGGAGCAGGGACAGAGACAGGTCCTCACTGGCTCTGAATGGGAAGAGGGATACTTTGGTCTGGCTTGAGTATACAGTCTCTGAAAGGCTACTGTGGACTGAATCACATTCTTCCAAGAATCTGAGGTGAAGTCCTCAGGGGTCCCTCTTCTCTGAAATATCAAGCAGGCCATCGCTGACGTAGGTAGGTTTGGGAATTTGGTTTTGCTGCCTAGGGAGAGGGAGCCAGGTTCAGATAGAGATGGTAGGAGGCTTCCAAATGAAGTAACATTTCACCTCTTCTTCCATTCCTTTCCAGAGGGAGAAAGTAAGAGCTGATGACCTATGGGGGCCTGTGAGCTATGGGGTCTGGGAAGGTGGTATGTGGATGGCATTCACTTGGAACTCTGTCTTCCTCTCCTAACTTGGAAACTCTGTCTTCCTCTCCTAAAACAGCTTGGAAACCAGCTGGAGGTCAAGGGAAATTAGCAGCCTCCCCAAACCAGGATGAAAACGTAGTTATTGTTTCTTTGGCACTCCCCCAGGTTAGCCACCTGACACAAGTCAGGGAGAGGAAAAGGCATGGATCACAATGAACCAAGAGCAGCTCCTCTCTCCAGGTGAAAGCGTAGAAAGATGCCAGAGGTGGGGAGTGGGAAGGAGACATTAGAGCCAGCCTTGAATGACATGGCTGGATCTGATGAATTTCAGTGCTTACAAAACGAAGTCATTATCAAAGAAAACTTGGGGATAATGAAATGCTTTCCAAGCTATCTGGTTGCCCTTGATAAAATAATTACATGTCCCACTATGGATGTGTGACCAGGTGAACCAGGGTTACCGCTCAGAGTCTCAGGCTAGGGAGCCAACAGGTGAACATCCTTTTGAACTAATTTTGAATATTTATGTTTTCCTTTTTTTAAAAAAAAAAAAACATCAGAATTAGAATAGAAGTATGCCTGCTGTGTTCTCAAGGTTAAAAGACAAAAATCCATCTCTAAACTTTTGTAAATTTTTAACGTGCATTCTCTAATAAACCTGCAGTAGAAAAATATGAAAGAAAAATCATGAAGATACGTTTTTTTCTTTTTTTTTTTTTTTGAGACAGAGGCTGGCTCTGTTGCCCAGGCTGGAGTGCAGTGGTGCGATCTCGGCTTACCGCAATCTCCACCTCCCAGGTTCAAGCAATTCTCCTGCCTCAGCGTCCCCAGCTGGGACTACAGGCATGTGCCATCACGTCCGGCTAATTTTTGTATTTTTAGTAGAGACAGGGTTTTGCCATGTTGGCCAGGCTGGTCTCAAACTCCTGACCTCAGGTGGTCGGCCCGCCTGAGCCTGTCAAAGTGCTGGGATTACAGGGGTGAACCACCGCACCCGGTCTTACATACATATACTTCTGTGCTTATTTGTCCTCTCCAAATTTCTTCATTGAGCCTACCTTTGTAATTTGCTAATTTTTTTTTTAAAGAAGCAAGGGGATTCCTTGTTTCCTTCTTCTCTGGGAATAAAGGGGAGACATTCGATTGTAGAATCTGGTTTCAAATCCCCTCACCTTTAATTCTTGGCATACACAGCATATGTGGTATGCAGAAGTGGTCCTAGCTCAAGATGTGGTCTGACTCTGCTGGAGTGGACAGGGAGAGGCAACAGCCTCTCTGTCCTTAGTGACCCAAATACAGCAACGTGGCTCAAGCCTACACTGGTGTTTTTATTAGGCTGTCTCATGGTTAGACCATTTGCATTGCACTTCTAGCAGGCTAAGGACTTGCATTTTCTTCTTGTGTGCCAAGATTGGTCAATGCTTCAAGCGTTCTGTCCTTGAGCTATCTGTGGCCAGAGAAGGTGCCAGTATGGGTCCCAATGAATGGGCTCACAGGGCAGGGAGTGTAAGCCAGAAGTCAAGGCAAGAACAAGAGGATCGCAGTGGCAGAGGAGACCCCATGGTCAGAGCCAAAGGGTAAGTGTTTAGTCAGAGTCAAAGAATGGAACAAAAAATCAGGAACTGAGGTACCCAATGGGTCAAGAAATGAGTTAGGCTGGGCACGGTGGCTCATGCCTGTAATCCCAGTGTTTTGGGAGGCCAATGCAGGAGGATCACATGAGGCCAGGAGTTTGAAACCAGCCTGGGCAACATAGTGAGGCCCCATTGAAAAAAATTAGCTGGTGCATGCGCCTGTAGTCCTAGCTACTCAGGAGGCTGAAGTGGAAGGGTAGCTTGAGCCCAGGAAGTTGAGGCTGCATTGAGCTATGACTGTACCACTGCACTCCAGCCTGAGCAACAGAGTGAAATCCTGTCTCTAAAATAAAAAGAAAGAAATTAGCTGATTACCCCGGTGACCTTGGGCAGTAGGGCTCTAGTGCTCTAGACCTGGGCTGTGTAAGGTGTCTGAGACTGAGTTTTTCAGGGTATTGGCCGTGTACTTGGGAATGGCATGGTCGATTTTCAAGAATTTAATTTAGCTAGCCAGATACGTGATTGATTTGTTGAACCCAAGTGCATGCTTTGATATGTATCTCTATTAAATTCAGTCTTGCTAAATTCAGCCCATTGTTACAGCTCAATAAGATATTTCTGGGACATGATTCTGCCACCCATGTGTTTGCTCTCATTCCTAGCTCTATGATCTGGATTTGATCAGAATGTATTCCAGGTATTTATACCAATCTGTTGACGTTCATAACCAAAGACCCCGGCTGCATCCTCCAGAGATGGTTATTCAATCATACATCAATTCACTCACCTTTTACCTTCTTGTTTATGAAAATAACCTGAGAGACTCCACAAAATCCTTTGTTGTAGAGCGTTCCTCACATACATCAGTTTAATGACCTTAACCAAAAAGACTTAAGGTGAATTTAACAAGACTTGTACTTGGCAGATTATATCTCTTCTCAGCTTCTCAGCGTTTTCTCCTCTAAGCTAAGTATCTCAAGGGCTGTAATTTTTTTGACACCAGAAATGGGAATAATGAATTGCAATGTAATAGAGTGACAATAAGCTAGATGCATTTACATAGAGAGAATGTCCAAATTTGCATTCATTCCTAAAACATTTTTATGGCTGTGCAGTCACATTGACTGAAGATTCCAGCTGTCTGGATACCCAGATACTCACAAGGTAACCTGATCTCGGTACTAGATATGGCCTGGGTCCAAGCAATTAGCTCTGTTTGTCTAGAAATGTTTTGATCAGTTCCCCAGAACTGAACAAATTCAGGAAAATCCACCCATGACAAACATCTGCACATTCAATAAATTCATTTGGAAAAAATGTTTCTTGAGTGTCTACTTTGTGACTGGCACTGTTCTGGATACTGGGATACAGTAGCAAATAAGATAAAGTTTCTTCCCTCATAGAGCTTACATCAGAGCAAAAAGGCACATAATAAAAAAGTAAGCAAATAAATAAATAAATAATAGGATTTTAGATAGTTGTAAGTGTCATGAAAAAAATAATGCAAGGTAGGGGCTAGAGAGTGACTGGTGCATGGCTGCATGGTAACTGATTATGTCTATACAATCAAAATATATATACTGATTATGTTTGTATAATCAAAATAGAATTTGTAATATGAATTCCTCTCCTATGGCAGATGTTTGTGTCCTTACTGCAGGACATAATTTTTTCAGATACAGAGGGCAGGAAAGCTAAATTGAAATACATATCAGTTTGGAAAGTGAACAATTTGTATGAAGGGAGAAAGATGGTAGGATGTGGTAGGTTGTGGACTGTGCTGTTGCACTGAAACCTACAGTGGACACAGTGAAATGGTAAGAAATGAAATATGAAAGTAAGAACATTACACAACTGTGGTTCAACAAGAAAATATATACCCAAACCTAGGTGACGTCTTATAGACTAGATACGATATAGCCCCTTTCTCCCCTCACCTCCCAAGCCAAGGTTAAAAGGCATAAAGACAATGAGTGTGCAGTTCTGGGCTCTTCTGACTTGACAACCTGCTCACCCTGTTTGAGCTGCTAGGCCAACTCCATCTCAGGTTCATCACTCGAGAGAGGCATTGGACATTACTCGAGAGAGGCTTACTCATGCCAGTATGTATTTTACTGGTTTATATTCTGTGTGGTGCCTAGTAGCCAAAAGGGCCATTTTAAAAAGTCAACAAAACCACAGCTGAGTCTGACTTATCAATTTTGCCATCCTCAGACCTGCATCAGCCTCAAAGAAGGGTGGTCTAGTTCAGAATAAGAATAATCACTTCACATTTTAAGCACTTTCTGTGTGCCAGGCACTATCTCATATGTTTTACATGGACTCATCTCTTTCACCTCTTACAACAAAACAGGCAGTGTATCGCATGTTTATAGCAGCACAATTTGCAGTTGCAAAAAATATGGAACCATCCCAAATGCCCATAATCAATGGATAAAGAAAATGTGTGTGTGTATATATATATGCACCATAGAATACTACTCAGTCATAAAAAGGAATGAAATAATGGCATTTGCAGCAACCTGGATGGAATTGGAAACCATTATTCTAAGTGAAGTAACTCAGGAATGGAAAACCAAACATTGTATGTTCTCACTCATAAGTGGGAACTAAGCTACGAGGATGCAGAAGCATAAGAATGATACAATGGACTTTGGGGACTCAGGGGAAAGGGTGGGAGAGGGGTGAGGGATAAAAGACTACACATTGGGTACAGTGTACACTGCTTTAGTGATGGGTGCACCAAAATTTCAGAAATTACCACTAAAGAACTTATTCATGTGACCAAACACCACCACCTGTTTCCCAAAAACCTATAGAAATAAATAAATAACTTAATTAAAATAATTAGGTAGTGTATGAATTAAGATGGCTAACTGCTAATATCAAATAAGTCCCCAAATGAAAGGTGATTCCAGGTTGACAAAGGGGCTCTGCTCCACACAGTCATTCAGCTACCAGGGATGTTGGAGGTTCTGCAACATCTAGCCAGTGGAAAAGTAAAGAGGAAGGAAGATTGCATATGGGAAGTTTTTATGGGTCGGGCCTGGAAAGGTTGAACAACACTTCTGCTCGTATTCCACTGGCTAGAAATAAGTCACATAGCCACCCTTAAAACTGCAGGAGAAGCTGGGAAACGTGCTCTCACTGTGTGCCCAGGAAGAAGAAGCAACAAGGAACTGTTATAATTATCTTGAATTTTTAGATGAAGAAACTAAGGCTCAGATAATTTAAATATCTTGTCTAAGATAGTAATTAATTAATTAATTCAGTCAGGACGCTGGTGTTGAAACCAGGTTAGTCTGACTATCCTAGAGACATTCTTAACCAATACGTTATATGGCCTCTTGAAGGGAAATGCACACAGGCTTTGGCGACTCTCCCAGATTTCCCCTGGAAAGAACTGAGCACACAATGCCAAATTTTGCCTCTGCAATCCCCATTTTTCTACACATTTTTGGCTAAACAACCCTCTTCTATTGCCATAGACTTTCTTTGGTTAGGTTAATTTTTATTAAGCTGGTACAAAATTGCCTTTTCCTTCATCCAGGAAAATTTTTCATATCATATTTATGCATTAATTTTGCTGTCAAACTCTCAGAAATCTTGGGTGCATTTCATCGTTTCTCCCACTTAGATGATTCTGCTATTAGTCAATAAAATCACTATACTTTCTAGGCATCACTTTTACACCTGTGCATTCAAAACAGTTAAGCCAACACTCTCTTTTGTTGTTGTTACCAGGATGTCCTCTTCTCAGCTGTTACCACTCTGAACTCCCTGGATAACACAGTTCTGCTATCTTTAGTCAATTTTACTGACCTCATGAACACACTGTCATCATGGGAGTAGGCAAATAATGACAGCACAGAGGTTTAAACTTTCATGAAGGCTTATAATTATTCAGGTCCTGCCCTGTCCATCTTGCAACAGCAACGTCTTTCTCAATTCCTTCTCAGTTCTGCAAACATGCTTCCCTCACCATAAAATCTACACCTCATAATATGCAAAAGGAAGGAATATTTTCAAGATCAACAGGAGAAATGAGCTTGTCTTTTGACCCCAGTTCAGTAGTGTTTGTCATCAGGGGCTTCATTTGGTGATGGAGTGGTCCATGATATGCACTGATAGATCAGCAATCAAAAACCTGCCCCTCTTCCCAATTCGACATTCCAGCCTCCTTATCCCAGAGAATGATGTTCAGAACCACAAATGTCCTTTTAAGTATGAACAGAATAGGCAACTATGGGCAAGGTGAAATTATGATTTTGACTATCTAACTAGATTTTGACCAGGAAAACCATATCTTTCCCTAAGAAGAAAGGGAATGCTGGTTGTCCCTGCAGTGTAGGATTTGGGGGAAGAATAAAAGAACTATCCTGAATTAAAAGGATAAAGAAATTAATTGTTTATCATAATGTTTTATTAATTGTTTTCATAATGACCCTATGGGCCCCTTGGGAAAAATAATGAGAAATGTAATGGAGAGCTGGTGATATTGGATGTTTGCCTTATCCAGATATCATGTTGAAATGTAAACCCCAATGTTGGAGGTGGGACCTGTTGGGGGGTGCTTGGATCATGAGGGTGGATCTCTCATGAATGGCTTGGTGCCTTCCCTATTGTGGTAAGTGAGATCTCACTGTCTTAGTTCACATGACAACTGGTTGTTTAAAGGAGCCTGCCTTCTCCTTCTCTTCTCTTGCTACCCCTCTCTTGGTCCCACCCTTGCATGTGACCCAAGGGCTTTCCCTTCACCTTCCGCCATGATTGTAAGCTTCCTGAAACCCTCACCAGAAGCAGATACCAGCACTCTGCTTTGTGTATCGCCTGCAGAACCATGAGCCAATTAAACCTCTTTTCTTTATAAATTACCCAGCCTCAGGTACTCCTTTATAGTAATGCAAAAATAGACTAAAAGCTGGTTTCTGTGACATGGTGATAAAAATCTTTGAGAAAGGTAGTAGAAAAAGGCATGTGAGGGAAAGTGCCTGAGTGAGCAGGAAATTCATTCTAAGGGGGAGAGATGAGAAAGTCATAAGATGCTGGATGGGAATGAATACTTTCGGCCCAGGAGGTGCTACCACTTGTTTCTCTGCACCTGAGGAACTTATCTGAGGTGTAGTGGGAAAGGGCGGCAATAACAATACTAGACTGTGTGCTCCACGAGGTCAGTGACCATCATTGCCTTCTTCTCCACTGTGCCCCCAGTTCCAAGCCCAGTGCTTGGCATGTCATAGCTGCTAATTTAGTATTTGTTGAACACATGCTTCATGAGTGAATGAAAATGACAAGAGCCAGTCTGCTTTTTGGGATTGCTTGTAAAGAAGTTATCATATTAGCAGGGGTAAAAACTTCCCCCCATCAGGCTAGAGTAATATAGCCCGAAGGCCGGGGATGCAGCAGAGGGGTACAAAAGAAGCCCTGATGGTAGAAGCCACCAAGTGGCAACTGAGGTCACAACATGACAGAATGGCAAGAAATGAATGCATGAACTCCCACCCGACAGGGTCTGCCAAGGGAAGGGCATGGACAGGAGAATGTTGGAGTCAACATGTTTACTGAAGATATGATGTCAAGCCACTGCCATTGTTCTCTGTGCCTTAGCAGTGCCTTGATCTCTCTCCTTTTATTTTTTCTTGCTTCTCATCCTGCTTGAAACATGCTAATTGTGATTTGGAGCAATGAGGCTATATATTTTTTTTAATGTTCCTCCCTGAAACTTAAACCTAATTCTGCCTTGTGGAGGAAGACACCCAAATGAGTCTAATTTCTTTTCTGCAGGTTAGTCCTTCAAATAGAGAAAGATAGGCTAGAAAAGATTGCCATTTTCCTTTCATCTGAGAAAGAACGAGAGATTGTTTCCTTCTGCTTACATTCCAATTGTGGTTGTTGGAGAATTTTGCTCAAGCCTACCTTCTAGGCCCTCCTCACCTTCTTGAGGCTCAAGGGAGAATTTAATTAATATATCTCCTCAGTTCACTTTTTGGACAATTCCAAAGTCATTTCATGTTGGAGGTATATTAATCTCCCTTTGTTACAAAGTTAAAAATATGTTCACTGTCCAATATGTAGGACCCATTGGGATAGAATTTCTTTATCATTTATCTCACATTGTCAAATTTATAAAATTAAAATTGCATGTAAGCAGATAATTTTCTGAGTACTCAGAGCTGGTACTGATCAATAATTCCCTTCAGGTAAGAATGTCTTTATTTCTGCCTTTTGTTTCCAGGGATACTTCTGGTGTAGGAGAGCAAAGATTTGGAAGAAATCTGTCATGGCTGATCTCCATCACTTCAGTTTGCTTTGAAGTGTACTTTTTGGCAATTAATGAACATGTACATGTCTCTCTCCCTACCCTTAGGCTCAGGAAACTAGAATAGAAAGGAAGTGGATGTGCATGTGGTGAGTATTGTTAGATGGTTGGAGATTTGCAACGTAAGTATTACAGAAATATTAAATAAAGTTTGGTTCCTTCTTTCACACCGTGACCTGTTTCCTTTGACTCAGCGGCATTAATTGCCTCAGAGAGCATTCATGAAAGGGAGGCATAAGGAAATAAGAAAAGAGGTGAATTCTTTTTCCTTCTTGTATTTGAATTCCAAATGGACTCTTGAAACTCAGAGCAGAGGCATTAGTTTTTAAATCTAAAGCATTTATTTTTTTGGAAAAGGCAAAAGATGAGTTGGTTCCTTTTTTCTTTTTTTTTTTTTTAAGTTTCAAAGGCTAAAACTCTGCAGAAAGCCAGGTATACAGTTAATTCCCTCTATATATTGGGAATGGAAAGTGACAGCCTGGGTAAAGAGAAGCTTCAGAGAAGGATAAGGGAGCTTAGCTGCCAGTCAGACCCAGAGGCAGGCCTGGCCCTGTCTGCCTGCCTGGGAATAAGCCTGGAAGGGATAGATGATAGCAGACCGGAGCCCAGACAGGGAGGGCAACCCAAGAATAGAGGAGCTGTGTAGCTTCCTCCCCAGATAAAGCCTGAGGGGGTGGCAATGCTTTAGAGAAGTCCCCTAGCCCTGCTTTGGAGAGTAGCTGTACAGCATAAGTGGGAATAAGGCAGGTCTAGGCAGGGAGGGCTTGAGATAGCATCCCCCCACCCAATAGGCTCTTATGACATCTGAGAGGCAAGGGGCAACGTCCAAAAGTTCTACATGCCCCTTAGAGGGACCTAGAGTGGCTGACAGTATGCTAGCAGTGGCGGATCTGGGGGGGTCTGCAGCAAACTTGATTCTTGCCTCCTCGGAGGAAGGAATTTGGCTGAGGGGCATATGCCAGAGTGAGAGACCGAGGAAAGTTTAAGAGCGGGAGTGGGAGTTTATTTAAAAGTTTTAGAGCAGGAATGAAAGGAAGTAAAGTACTCATGGAAGAGGGCCAAGTGGTTGACTTGAGAGATCCAAGTGTGCTATTTGGCCCTTAACTTTGGGTTTTATACATTGGCATGGTTCTGGGGTTTCTGTTTCTCCTCTCTTCATTTTTCCCCTGGATCAGACTGTCCGCATGCACAGTGGCCTGCCAGCACTTATGAGAGGCTGCAGTGTGTTTACTGACATTGTATGCATAATCACTTGAGGTGTTTTTCCCTTACCAGTCGAGTGTTCCTAGCGGAAAGGTCATATACTGGTTAAAATCTGCTATTTTGCCTCTTAGTGCACATGCTTGAACCCACTTGCCAAACTCCTGGGATCTTACAGGAAGCTGCTGATCACCAGCTTCAGGTGTTTTCTATCTACTGGGAGAATGCCTTTCCCTGGTGCCAGCTGTAGCCAATCATTATTTCAGCTAGACAGGATTTTTTTTTTTTTTTTTTTTTGAGATAGGTCCTCACTCTGTCACCCAGGCTGGAGTGCAGTGGCTCAATCTTGGCTCACTGCAACCTCCACCTCCCAGGCTCAGGTGATCCTCCGGCCTCAGCCTCCCAAGTAACTGGGACTACAGGCACATGCCACCATACCTACCTAATTTTTGTATTTTTAGTAGAGACAGTGTTTCATCATGTTGGCCAGGCTGGTCTCAAACTCCTGACCTCGAGTGATCTGCCCACCTTGGCCTCCCAAAATGCTGGGATTACAGGCATGAGCCAACATGCCCGGCCTCGCCATCACCTGACGGTTGCCTAATGTTCTTAGGAGTGGGTGGCAGTAGCAATGGGGGGGTGGGCTGGGGGGGCTCTCCTGCCCTGCTCATATCTGCCTAATTACCTACTCTAATAAGATTTGCTTACCCAAGAACTTGGCCATCAGAACAAGAAGGATGGCTTCTGTGCTCCTACCAATGGAAGGTAAGGCAGGACAGAATATGCCAGTGTAAGGGTTCCCACCCTCCAGGCTGTGGACCAGTACTGGTCCGTGGTCTGTTAGGAACCAGGCTGCACAGCAGGAGGTGAGCGGTGGGTGAGCAAGCAAGCATTACGGCCTGAGCTCCGCCTCCTGTTAGATAAGTGGCGGCATTAGACTCTCGTAAGAGCGCGAACCCTATTGTGAACTGTGCATGCAAGAGATCTAGGTTGTGTGCTCCTTATGAGAATCTAATGCCTGATGATCTAAGGTGGAACAGTTTCATCCCAAAAGCATCTTCCCCTGCCCATCCCTGTCCATGGAAAAATTGTCTTCCACGAAACCAGTCCCTGATGCCAAAAAGGTTGGGGACCACTGTGCTAGTAGATACAGAAGGGACCCAAGGCAATGACCAGAGTTTATATAAGGGGAATTATATCCCAGCAGATTCCATCAGATATAGGTGGAAAGCTGCAGACCAGATACCCTATCCCACCAAAACTCTCCCCATAGTTAGATGCTACTTTGGGGGTGGGTGGGCAAAACACCCACCCCCAAAAGCTAAGTCTTAGCTTGTACTTCCTGGAAAGACACTAAGTCACTAAGTCTTAGCTTGTACTTCCTGGAAAGAAAATCAGCTAATTGACTGAATTTATCTGCATGGAATAGATGGTTTGCTACAATCTATTCAGATAGAATGAAGGCCCTGACTAGTTATGAAGCTGAGTTAGAGAACAATTTTGCAAAGTTATGTTCTTTGCGTTCATGAGTTTTATGGCCTGGTAATTAATGTCCACTCTTTCCGTTAGGGGTTCTCCCTGGCAAAGGCCCTGCTCAGAAACCATCAGATTTTACTTGATTTGAGCTCCTTTACAGGTTTCTTAAACAGGGGAGTTTCATCTGACATGGATGCTTTAGTTGTAACTCGGTCCATAGATGGAACAATGGAGCAGATAACCTTAATGGTCCATCCTTTGATTTACTGGTTTGATTGGGCACTTTTACAAATATCTTCTGCTATGTAAACTTTCTATGATTAATTAATTGGATTTCAGTTTCCTAAACTGCTCGACCATCTTCATGATTTCTTTTCTTATTTATTATTATAAAAATATTAAAATGTAAACAAATGCAACTGTTATGTTGAACATAGGAACTGGAAGGATATAGCAGACAACAACCTGATTCCGTTCTTCCCCCTGCACTGCACAGTCATTTGGAAGGGCACATTCTTTCCTACCCTTTTGGATACATTCCAGGAAGGGCCCTGTAATATTTCAGGCCTCTTTGAGATAATTAAAAACTCTTTGGGTCACTTTAATCCTGTAAATATTCTCAGTCCAGTTCAAAGTCCAAACTGCAAATTTAAACAAAAAGCTCCCATTTTCTAGCTTTGGGTGAGCGTTTCTATTCCTTCACCCACTTGCTAATACCATTGCTAATACTTCCAGAGTCAAAATGGGTAGGGACGAGGGTGGGAGAAAGGAGGTGGCAAGTGGGCAGGGAATGTCTTCTTTGATTGATATTGTGCATTGCCACTCTCTGGGCTCTGAGATGTTTTAAGGGCACTTTCTCTTGAAATGCTTTGTGGGTACTTTGCAGAACCCCTAACACTAAGGAGATTCTCTGGTTTTCTCACTTCCAGTTTCCTTACCTGGAGGATGTACACCTGGACTTCTCACACTTTTTTTTTTTTTTTTTGAGACAGAGTCTCACTCTGTCACCCAGGCTGGAGTGCAGTGGTCTGATCACGGCTCACTGCAGTCTCCAACTCCCTGGGCTCAAGTGATCCTCCTGCCTCAGCCTCCCAAGTAGCTGGAACTACAAACATGTGACACCACGCCCAGCTAATTTTTAAAATTATTAGTTTGTAGAGACGGGGTTTTGCTGTGTTGCCCAGGCTGGTCTTGACCTGCTGGCCTCAAGCAATTCTCCTGTCTGGGCTTCCCAAGGTGCTGGGATTACAGGCATGAGCCACACACCTGACCTGTTCAAGTCTTCTTGTGCTGCCAGATAGCCCTACTGGTTCTTACCTGGTCCCAGGAAAAACAGATTTCTTAGATCTGCTGTCGATGGGGGGCAGTTTCTTCCCAACCACCGCATCTACTCTCTGCTGGAGGCTGCTGTGGCTTCTGTCCTGTAGATGCCTCAGGCATGAATCAGATTCTACACCACGGTGTCCCCAGCTCAGGACACACACAACCAGTTTTCTGAGTGGCCCCAGTGGAGCTACTTTCACTTGACTTGAGAAGCAAGCATCCTACACTCTTCCTTAGGGTTCATGCGTGTCCTCCGTGTGTTGGTGGGGTGGTGGTAGAGGGGATAGATGAGATGAAGCACGCACACTGCTCTCTCTTCTAAAAAGTCTCTAATTTGCAAACTCTCCCCACCTCTCCAGTTTTAATCCTGATAGATGCTCAAGAGGATAACAGGATAAGCATCATAAAAATGATTCTCAGCTGTCTCCTTTGATAATCCTAGAAGGTGAAGTATCTCTCACTTTGGAATAAAGCATGGACACCTATGGACTTAGGTTTTCAGCCATTTTAACAAACAGTGAGAAGATGTAATAAAATATATTTTTAACAGCTAGCAAATACCTAGGAATAAGTAAACATGTATGGTATTAATGATAGAAGTGTACTGAGATACACAAAAGAGAATGCGAATAAATTGAGACATTCCATATTTCCAGATAAGATGACTAAATATTATAAATACAATAATTACGATAATAACCATATATTGAACACTAAACATGTATCTGCCACTATGCTAGGCATTTTTAATTTTTAGCGCTTATAATCTATAACCTAAGAATTATTATCCTCATATTTCTGGAAGGAATATAGATGGATTCATTCAATAATTTATTCATTCTTAACAGATAAGTATTTATTGAGTGCCCATTTGTGTCACGCTGGAAAGAGACTATGAATGATGACACCATGACCCTATAGTCCAGGGAAGAAAACTGAAGCTAGGGAGGATCAAGTAATTTGCCCAGGGTCACATAACATGAAAATAGCAGACAGTAGATTTGAACTCTTACTTTAGAAACTTATGTTCCCAAGTGCTAAGTATAGAAACAGCATTCCCCGGCAGGGCGCGGTGGCTCATGCCGGTAATCCCAGCACTTTGGGAGGCTGAGGCGGGTGGATCATTTGAGGTCAGGAGTTCGAGACCAGCCTGACAGACATGATGAATCCCGGTCTCTACTAAAAAAAAAAAAAATACAAAAATTAGCTGGGCATGGTGGCATGTGCCCGTAATCCCAGCTACTCAGAAAGCAGAGGCAGGAGAATGGCTTGAACCCAGGAGGCGGAGGTTGCAGCGAGCCAAGATCGCACCACTGCACCACTCCAGCCTGGCAACAGAGCAAGACTCCGTCAAAAAAAAAAAAAAAAAAAAAAAAAAAAACAACAAAAAACAGGAAACAGCATTCCCCAAACTAATTTGTAGGTTCAGCATGATTTCAGTAGGACATTAAATCAGTGGGGAAGCTTGTCAAATGGATTCTGAATTTCATCTGAAAGGACAAACATGAGGATATAGTTAAGAAAATATAGAAAAAAATTAAAACAAATGTGAAGCATCGGATATCAAAATAAATTACCCAACTACCTTAACTTTTAGGTAAGCTGCAAAAAACAATAGGGAAATAAGTGGAACAGAATGGAAAGCTGTAGAATCATAAATAATGTGTGATGAAAGAAAATTTACAAATAACAGGAAAGAGAATATTCAAAAACTAGTACTGAAGTAATTGCATATTTGAAAAATTCAAGTGAGAGTCTTACTTTACACTTCCCAGGAGATAAATTTCATGCAGTTAAGCTGTAATCCTAGCTCCTCGGGAAGCTGAGGCAGGAGTATCACTTGAACCCGGGAGGTGGAGGTTGCAGTGAGCCCATATCTCGCCACTGCACTCCAGCCTGGGCGACAGAGCGAGACTCCATCTAAAAATAAACAAATAAATAAATAATAATAAAAAAATTTGCAGTGGACACACATAAATCAGCATGATTGAAATGAATGATGCTCAAGGCTGGTGCGGGTGGAGTGAGATCTCAGCCTACCTCCCCTCTAGTGGGAGCCATACAGTGACAAATTTCATGGGGGGGGGCATTTCACGATAAAAGTCCTAAAAGTTTTAAAATGAGCACCTCTTTGAACATGAAAACTCCATTTCTAAGAGTTTAAAGACATAGCTGGTCTCAAGTTTATATTTAAACAACGGCTACTTCTCAGACGTACTTAAAATGGTGATTAATTAGACATAATCTTTACAAACAACGAAAGGGAACTCTTAATGATGATTTATGCCTGACTATGGTGGGATATTATATAGCCATTTAAAGAAATATTGTTTTCAAATAATAGTCAGTGGCAGAAGCAATGATAACAATATAAGATCATATGAAAAAGAGCAGGGCCCATATTTATGCATAAGGCAAGATACCAGTTTTACAACACATGTGTGTTCTTGGGTTTGTGTGTATATATCTTTATTTAAAAATATTAGAAGGAAATACACATAGTATACACAATATCTGTGTATATTTTAAGTGGGGAAAGATCTACCTGTCAAGAATCAGTTTCATCTTTCTAATTTTATGATTTTATACTCTAATGAAAACATTTTAAATTGGCACACTGAGTAAAACCATCCTCTTATTTGTGGCATTTGTTATTTCTCTTTTGAACTTTATCAAGAGAAGTAATACAGGCCTCTCAGATGGCAACCTGCCAACATCACAGAGCAGGATTTTAATGAATTCCCTCCTTCTGAGGCCTAATTTAAGCCCAATTTAAAGTAAACAAAACAAACATATTACTCCATAAAGGGGAATGAGCGCTCCTTTGTTGTGCAGACTTTGAATTTGAATCTCTTTAGAAAAAGAAAAATAGAGCAAAAAATGAGCTTAATAAGCTAGACTTCTCTTCTGCTCAGGCTTTTCTCATTAGGGTTTAATAACATAAAATGCCATTAAAAATTTAGATTTATAATATGGTGTATCTGTGAATTAGTTTTCTTCTCCCTGCATGTTGGGAACAAGTGAATATTCCAGATGCAGGGGGTCCTGCTTGGGAGATAATCTGTGGTACATCAGTGGGCTCGGTCCTTTCCATTCTCCTTCTTTCTCTCCCACTAAAGATATATGCACACGCAGACATGAACATGCCTGCATGCACACATGCACATGTGTGTGCACACGCATGAACATGCTCACATAGACGCATCCTTACCCTAACTTGTGTTGTAAACACAAGTTGCAATGTTAGTATAACCAGGGATGCCCAACCTTGCACACTCAGCCTGCCTCTTGGTGAAGCTCCAGATTCCACAGAATGAAGAGCCTGATTCCAAGAGGAAAATCCCCTCGGAAGAGGGAAGTAAATGGTGGGATGCAGAGCCATGTTCTCAGAAAGCCGAAGCTATCTTTCAGCCCATGATGTGACCTGGGAGACAACAATGACATGAAGTCCCCTGTTGTCCACAGCATCAGCATCAGATATGAAACAGCATTGACTAGTTGAGCACGTGTCCTCAGCTGCTCGCCCTTATCCAGAACAGGTGGACTGTACTTTAAAGACAATGGCCATGGTAAGGGAGGCATGTGTCTGCTACATTTTGTTTCTTTGAATTTCCACCTTATTCTGTAAAGTGGCTATTTTCATCTCAGATGGACAGATGAGGAAAGTGAGGCACAACTTGCCCAAGTAGTGTGTCTAGGGCTTGACTCTGACTCCCCAGCTCTGGCCCTTCCTTCATGCCCAGCTCCTCCCAGCTGAGGGGACAGGTTTGGATGCGCCTCAGCTGGGCCTGCGTATGAACTGGCATCTCTGCTGCCTCTGACCTGGTTCTAGCACAATCCTCAACAGAGAAGACCTACTCTTCTCCCAGCTCGTTTCCTTCCCCAGATGAATTGTTAGAAAGAACTTTGTTCATAGGGCATTTTCTCTTGGATGCCTCACTGGGTCTCCTAACACAGTCACTATCTGTCCGTCAAAAGTGGAAAATAAACAGTTATTTTTTTTTAATCTTCAGACTCCTCTTTCAGCCTTCTCTTCCAGATTACTTTCCATCCCACCTCTTTTATAATGTAAGACTTAAATTTTTAAAAAAAATTTTTTGAGATGGAGTCTTGCTCTGTTGCACAGGCTGGAGAGCAGTGGCATGATCTTGGCTCACTGTGGCCTCCACCTCCCAGGTTCAGGTGATTCTCCTGCCTCAGCCTCCTGAGTAACTGGGATTACAGGTGCCCACCACTATGCCCGGCTATTTTTTTTTTTTTCTGTAGAGACAGAGTTTTACCATGTTGGCCAGGCTGGTCTTGAACTCCTGACTTCAAGTGACTCACTCGCCTTGGCATCCCAAAGTGCTGGAATTACAGGCGTAAGTCACCGTGCCTAGCCTTAAAATGTCTAACTTATAACTGAAACTTGTTTACACAAATATACCATCTCCCTGCAGGTCTGTTTTATTTTCAAGATTCTTGCCTTTAATTGTGGAAGAATAAGCTTTATTCACTACTCAAAGATTTGCAGGATCATAAAACAACATGGTTGTATTCTTACTCCTCTCCTTTCCCTCCCTCCCTCTCTCTTTCCTTCCTTCCTTCCTTCCTTCCTTCCTTCTTCCCTCCCTCCCTTCCTTCCTTGCTTCCTTCCTTCCTTCCTTCCACCAACAGGGTGACCTTTGTGCAACTCCTTTGTGCATAACAGTACTGATTTTTCACGTTGTACCTATGTAACTATGAATAGCACCCACTTTCACTATCAGAAGTGTCCTGATTTGAATGATAAATTATATGATCTCCCAACCCATCCAACAAGCATTTATGGAACATCTTATAAACACCTACACAGCACACCGTACTGGGTGCAACAGGTGCACAAAAGCAGTTCACAGTCTGTAGTCAAGTCAACAACACTGTTTCTCTGCCTGTCACTTGGGCACTGCTATGAAGTGCTATGAAAGATTAAATTGCCATGGATTTCTGGAGGCAGACTTCCTTGTTTTTTAAGCCAAGCCCAGATTAGAACTTGGACTAAATTGACCAAAGAATTTCAGTTTCCTCATCTGTGAAAAGGCTGTAATTATGAAGCTGTGGAGAGGATTAAAACACATTATGTTAATAAGGCATCTAGTATAGCCTGGTACTTTGAGACTTAAGACTGCCAGCATTTATCAATATTTTATTATTATTACTACCATTACTATTTTATTCTTTTCTTAATTACAAAAGAATTGCATGGTTATTATAAGCAAATTCAATAATACAGAAATAGAGTGAAAAGTAAAAGTTACCATTCACACTGGCCTGCAATTCTACTGCAGAGATCACCGGCGTTAACACTTTGTGGGTATCCTAGATCTTGTTCCGCTCAACAAACTACATGTGTTTGCACACGTGCGCACGTGCGTGCATGAGAGTGTGTGTGGCATAAACGGGACAGAGTGCTAAATGGGATATTTCCTATTGTTTCAGATTTGCAGTCAACGCATTAAATTTGAAAACAATTGGTGATAAGGGTCCCCGTATTCTAAAGAGAAGCACAAAATACACCCCATAGGATTTTCTAAAACAAAGCAAATGGAGACCAGTGACATAAATACTAACAGCCTAGTAAAAGTAGACTAGAAATCAATTTGAAATAAGAGTATTTGAAGGGAATTTGTAGGAGTAGAGAGGTCGTTAGCTTTTCTCTCCTCCTCTGTTTCAGGCCCAGTTAGGGGGCTCCCTATGTGAATAGCTCATTCCTGTGTGGGAGGAAATGGGCACTCTATTCCTTGGCCGAATACCTGCTGAGCTGGGGTATTGGAAGCTCATCCTGGTCAGGGCACTGAGGTGGACTGAGACTGGAGGGTTATATGGGGGAGCCTCGAGTGTGTCTGTGGGAGTTGGGGTGTACATGCCTGTAGTGACAGGTGACTATTTTCCTGTAGGTGAAGACTGAAGGCAGGAGTCTGGCTAG
Organism: Homo sapiens; assembly: GCF_000001405.40. NCBI lineage: Eukaryota > Metazoa > Chordata > Mammalia > Primates > Hominidae > Homo > Homo sapiens. Next base: position 55,207,236 of record NC_000017.11, on the reverse strand, counting down.
GGCTGCCCGGGATGGCACATCCTGGGGAGAGTCAGCAGTTTGACAAGTTGTATATGGTGGAAAAAGAATGTGTGAGCGTCATGCGTAGAGATCCACTGGACTTTAGACATCTTGACAGAAATCTGCTCCAAAGAGTGGCCTGTTAGGGTGGAGGGACCCCAGAAGTATGAGCTTGTAGGGTGAACCACTGTGAGAAGTTGCAGGAGGGTAAGTGGAGAGTGGCTCCCTCAGTAATGTTGAAGGTTCCCATAAAGGTTTCCATGAAGGAGCCAGAATTTAGATGCCTGTCATGACAGATGGGATTATCACAGCCAGCACTGGCTGAGTAAGACATTTTGTCCTTTTCCTTTGACACCTCCTTTTTTTTTTTTTTTTTTTTCTGAGACGGAGTTTCCTCTGTTGCCTAGGCTGGAGTGCAGTGGCATGATCTTGGCTCACTGCAACCTCCCCCTTCCGGGTTCAAGAACTTCTCCTGCCTCAGCCTCTTGAGTAGCTGGGACTACAGTCACCCACCACCACACCTGGCTAAATTTTGTATTTTTAGTAGAGATGGGGTTTCACCATATTGGCCAGGCTGGTCTTGAACTCCTGACCTCAGGTGATCCACCCGCCTCAGTCTCTCAAAGTGCTGGGATTACAGGCATGAGCCACCGTACTCAGCTGACACCTCCTTTTTCAGGACTTGACCCTGTTGGAGTCATCAACAACGGTAGGAGGAAAGAAAGGAAGAGTGTAAGAGAAGACATTCTCTCTACCCCGCTAGGATTAGGATTAATCCTAGAAACTAGGATTAGGCCTGTGCTGGCAAGAGAGGAGAAGTTTTCAATTGGATGTGAAGTTGAAGTTTTCATTTTACTGGCTGGATTTCTTAATAGCTGCAAGTGATCAGAAAAGAAGCTTTGGGATTTGCCTGATATAGCAGCATATGAATGGGGTTGGGGGGCATGTAAACAATCACCCCACAGCCATTTTCTGTTGGTTACTGGGTTCAGCTCTCTCAACAAGCCCCTTGCACACACATACACAGACACATACACAATATATATATGTAATAATTCACAATAGTACATAGACACCTACACACATAATGTATATGGAATAATTCACAGAGGTTTTTCAAAGACATCATACTATAAAATTTTTATAATTTGCTTTTCTCACTAATCAATATAGAGTTTATGATAATAAGTATAGACCTGCCTTATGCATTTTAATAAGTATATAATATACTATTTAATATATTCACGAATATTTAATTAACCATTCTTTTACTTAGGGACATTTAGGTAATTTCCAATTTTATACTGCTAGAAATAATGCTTCAGTATATGTCTTTTACCCAAGTGCCAATATTTTTGTAGGAGGAAACTCCTAGAAGTGAAATGATATGAATGTTTTAAAGTTTGATAAATATTGTAAAGTAGCTTTCCATAAGATTTGTACCAGTTTGTCTTCCCACCAAGAGTATATGAGATCCTATATTTTCACAGCCTTGCCAAAAATATATATAAATATTTGTCAATCTAAAATATTAGAAAACTCTTATTTTGTTTCTCAGATTTTTTTAATACAATGAGGTTGAACATTTTTCAATGGGTTTATTGGCTATTTCTAGTACCTTTTATGTAAATTGTCTCTTCACCTGTCCCACTTTGTGTATATGTGTGTGTGTGTTTGTGTGTGTGTGTGTGTGCATTTGTCTGCTGTTTATGTCTTTCCCAGTTTGTTGTTTATATGTTTACCTTTTAACACTGCTTATGGTATCTTTTGCCCTATACAAGTTTTATATAATGTAGACAAATCTGTCATTTGTTTTTACTTTGTGTGCTAACCTACGAAAGGCTTTTCTACTTCAACATTATGATTGTTTGAATCTTTAGATCTTTAATTCATCTGACATTCATTTTATATGATGGCAAATGCTTCCTTTTATATAATATTTAAAAAGTACTATAATAAATATATAATATAACCAACATCTCTTGATACCTTTCTCTGTTATATAGATCTATTTCTCTATTCTTGTCTCACTGTCATGTGGTTTTATTACTAAAACTTTATAATATAAAGACAAATTCTCCTGAATTAAACAAAAATTTCCTTGGCTATTCTCTTGCATTTACTCTTCCAGATAAAGTTTAAGATTTATCCAGTCAAACTCCAACATAGTGGAATTTCACTTCTGGCCATGGCAAGCTAATTTGTTTAGACAAACTTACCTGCTAAGAACTACTAAAAAGGGTGGACAACATATATATAATATAAAATAGTATGTTTGGTAGTTATTCAATAGTTCTTGAAGGTATTGGAGAACTGCCAAGACAGTAAGAAATATAGATGTATATGTGTATGTAGCTCTAGATTGATACCTTTTTGAAGGGGTATGTGTGTTTGTGTGTGTGTGTGTGTGTGTGTGTGTGTGTTTAATCTTGAAGGCATTGAAGAGATACCAATGCAGCCAGTACTTGAGCAAGCAGAAACCCAGAGAAAAGTAGGTTCATATAGTTGAGCCCAACTGGTGTCATTTGGTGCCTGAAAAACTAATTAGAGTTTTCTTTTTTATTCATATAGGAGAGACATTGCTAAAAATTGAGATCAGGGCCCACCAAGGGGGACTAAGGAGGGATTAAGGTGAGTAAGTGATCTACTTTTATTGTGACTGTTGTCTCAAGCAAAAGTAAATTCTTCCTGAGAAAGATAATATCTTTTATAGCTCTGATTATCTGTGTAATTTTTTACACACAATATTTAGAGTTCAATTTTTAAAACCTGGCAGGCAAAAAAGGTAAGAATTAATCAAAAAGCACATAAAAAAGCAGATCACAGAAATAGCCTCACAAGTAATCTATATGTTAGAGTTTATCAGGAATAAACTTTAAACTGAGTATAATTAATACATTCAAGAAATTGGATGACAAAATGGAGAATTTAAGCAGAGAACTGGAGACTATGAAAAAGAATAAAAAAAACTGTAGAACTAAACAATATAGTAACTGAAATTAAGAACTAAATAGTTTAACACCAAATTAACCACAGCTAAAGAGACAATTAGTGAACTGGAAGATAGGTCAGAAAAAAATACCAAGAATAATACAGCAAGAGAATAGCATTAAAAATAGAAGGACAGGGGAACATGATGAAAAGGTCATATATACAGCTGAAGTCCAAAAAAAAGAAATAAAAAATAAAATAGAACAGAAGAATGTCTAAAGAGATATTGGATGAGATTTTCCAAAAATGACCCCAAAAATCAAATCACATTTTCAAGAAGTGCTATAAACTCCAATAATGAGTAACAAAGAAGAATATCTCTGTACAGAACACACTAAAACTAATAATTACCAAAGATAAAGAGAAAAATCTTAAAACCAGTGAAATGAAGTAAGAAAAAAAAGATCACCTTCAAAGGCACAAGAAAGACTGATGGCCAACTTCTTAACAGAAATAATGGAAGCCAGAAGATAATGAAATAATGACACTAAAATCTTGAAACATATAGCATTCCTTTCTTGAACACCTTTGGTCAGTTTGTGAAATAATCAGTTCTATTAGAGGATGTGTATGATTGGTAGAAATTTTCCTCTTATATTGTGCTAAAATGTATCTGCTTATAATTTTCACTGGGTCTAGTTTTACTCATGTTAATTTCAGAGAATTTAGAATTTCAGGACTTTTGGAGCTAAATTTTCCTCCACTTGTTTGTGTAGGATAATTTTCAATAACTTCTGAAGTTTGAGAAACAATTTTCAAACTCACCTTAGATCCCCTACCATCCACCCATTCTACAAACAATGAGCATCTATTATGTAGCTGTCGTTTTTTTAAAATGACATCAATGCAATGATAACTATGACTTGCTTACTCTCCATGAGGAGCTCTTCATAAAGAGGGTGGAAAAGACAATAGACAGTTATTGCAATGCGCTGTGATAACTTCAATTATAGGTGTAAACATAAGATTCTATTCGAGTATAGGGCAGGAACATCTACCTCAGCACAGGGGAAGAGGACCTAGTTCCTAAAGGAACAAAAACCTGATAGGATTAGGAGTTAGCTATATTTTCCTTTTTGGAGGGAAAAGCAAAACAGGTGTTCTAGAAATAGAGACCCATATGTGCAAAAGCATAAAGAAGTGAAAGAGCATGCCATCTGGTCTTTCTGCCTTTTTCTCAACTACAGCAGATGAGCTCCTTCCTGCAGCCAGGAAATACAACTTCCAGCAGCTCTAGAAAAATATTGCTCCAGTTTAGCAAACTTAGTGGAAAAATGAAGCTTTTTCCTATAGTCCAATGATCGTTTTCTGGAGACATGAATGCTGAATGACCTTTCTTGGCTCTTATGCCCATCCTCCAGACTACTTAAAGTGTTAAAGGAATGTAGTAAAAAGATTGAACAACCTTGAAGCATGTACCCAGCTTTTGGGGAAGAACAAGAAATGATTAGAGAAAGATCAATAATTTCCATCACCAATGGAATCACATAAAGTCAGGGAAGGTAGGATCTCAAGGGATAAGATGCTGGTCAGAAATAAACCACGCCTATTAAACAATGCCTATTAAATCCTTTCAAGACTATCTTCAAACCCATTCTCAAGAGCTTTTCTGTGTTCACATAGAAAGAGCATAGAATTGGCAGTCCGAATTCCTGGCCAGTTTTATTCCTCTTACTACCTGTGTTGCCCTGAGCAAGACACCCTTTAAACCAAAACTTCTGTGTTTATAATAATATGTGCAGTGTCATACTGGTTAGGTTTTCACAAAATTAAATGACATCATTTAATTAAATGTCATTTAATTAAATGTCATTTAATTTTGTGAAATTAATACCTGTGGTATTAATAATAAACTAATACCTGTGGTAACAGGTCCTACCTGTTTAGTCCTACTCAATACCTGTTTATATTTCCTTTGATTTTATCTTGGACTCTCAAGCATGTAAGGGATCAGACCTGGGGGTGAGAAACATATATATATGAATCAGGTGTTCAAGATTGAGAGACCATAAGAGCAGACTGTGGAAAGGCTGAGTTGGTAGAGGAGGAGTAGAAATTTGAGTAATGGTGAACAAGAGGATATGAGTGTGGGGCATAAGGTGCCCTAGCTTGTGAATTGACTCTGGCACTATGTGTGTGTGTGTGTGTGTCCCATATCTACATGTCTTGACTATATTGAACAAATTAAAGGTAAATTATTGTACTGATATAAATGATACTAAAGAATAAAGGACAAGAGAAAAGGAGAAACATTCAATTCCACCATGTAAATGTAATTTCATCTTTGTGAATTGTTTACTGTTTATGCTAATCACCCTGCAACATAATAAGCACTCTTAACATTATGAAGTATGTTTCAGATTAAATTTGCTGCAAGCTGCATTTGGTGACAAAAGTTAACTGTGTTCATGCATGCTCAGCCTTGCTGGGTTCTTGCTCGTGGAGCATAGTTCTCTGCTCAAACATTTAAATGTGAAAGAAAAACTGCTGATGAAGCAAATACAGAGAGAGCAGATCTCCTAGTGAGACTTACCTTGGTCGTCCCTGTCTTTGCTGTGAACATTTCCTTTGCTACGACCTTAGCAGTAACGTCTTGATTGGACTTCTTTCCTGGAATGTATTCAAATTTCCTAGGCATGCTGAGAAGAGAATTGGAAGCTGATGGGAATGAGAAATGCTGTAATTACTAGGTATCTTAATATTGAAAAAGAAATTTGATCTTTAAATTTATTTTTATTAATAACACAAGACACTGGCATCTTGGAACGTAGCTCTTCTCTTTTTGCTTCCCATCCCTCCCTTTCCCTCCTTTCCTCTCCTTCCCTCCCCTCCTCTCCCCTGCTTTCCTCTCCTCTCCTTCCTTCCTTTTCCTTTCTTAATTTTAATCTTCATTGTTTGAATAAAACATAATACTCACAATAACAAAATAATTTTGAAATGGATATTTATTATTTAAATAAAAACAGTACAATCATTATATAAAAATACCAAAGCTTAGCTGACTTTAACATTGCACTTGCGATTATCATTTTAAATACCAGTGTGACTGTGGAGGGGAAGGCTGTTTCTGCAGCCACAGCTTACCCGCTGCCATGGAAACATCTGGGCTGCAGAGTTAACAGTGGAGCTTGTCAAAAAAATCAACTTTGGCATGGGGAAATGACAGTGAATGGAACATAATTTTGACCATGGGGAAATGTCCATTAAGCAAAGCATGTGTAAAACTGTCTCCAGACAGAGAGAGAGACAAAAAAATATGGATGAGTCTCCTCTCTGTAACCATCCTTAATAAGATGGATAGCAATGGACTCCCAATTGGGTTAGAGAGAGAGAAAGGCCTGTTTACTTCACCTCTTCCATTGTCTTTGTTTATGGTTTATTTTTTGTTTCTAACATATGCACTATGTTTGTTAATTGTTAAAAATATACACTGAAAATAGATTTTCTCCAGCAAGTTAATTTAGCTGTACATTCAATCAAATTGGAAATCAAAGTATATTTCTCCTTCAGGGTAGATTCCTCTGAAAATCATCTCCAGACTTTGGCAAAGAGTAGCGTGACTGCAAGACAGGGAGAAGAATGAGGCAGGGAGGAGGGTAGGGTGAGGAAAGACCAGTGAATTAGATACCTGTGGGCCTGGGTTTGAGTCCTACTTCTGCCCCTTATTAATTTGTGATCTTGAGCAACAAAGAAGATACAGAAACTCTGAATTTACTTTTTTCTCCTATAACACAGGAAACAAAAAGGGGTAAAAGTGCTATGAAGTACTTGCTTTGTGAGTGAGAATGTGCTACAGATTATGGCAGTTATTATTCTGGGATTTAATTCCCCTTGAAAGTTTCCACTTCCTTTTTATAGACAAAAAGTCTTATCTAGGGAGGACCTCCTAAGATAGTTTCATTAGCTGTGACTGAGAAGAGAATGATGTCTGTTCCATTACAAAGCATGGTATGGCCACATTGTGAATTAATATAGCTTTCATTAAGTCACTCTTAGAGATATCTGATATTTATTGAGATGCGATTAAGTAAAAAGCACTGTGCTAAGCAGTGGAAATACTCTGATGAACAAAGGTAACTTAAGCTCTACCTTTCTTCAGATTTCCTCTTACTAGAAGACAAAGACCAAAAAAATCCATGCAAATAAAAATATAAATAACAAACTGTGGTCAGTGCAACAAAGGAACTTTAAAGAAGGGAATTTAAAAAGGCTTTACAACAGGAGGGAAGGTGGGGCTAGATAGATATGACCGAGGAAGGACTATCAAAAGAAATGAAGCTCTAAGGAATGGGGATAGGGGAAGTATTCAGGGCATGCGCCAAGGCCCTGGGGTGGAGAAGAAGTTGGCTGGGAGAACTGAAATGGGGCCAGTCTGTATGAGCTAAAGGAGAGAAGCACAAGGTAAGAATGGGGGACAGCTAGAGCTTAGATCATGCCGGGCCTTGGTAATTTATTCTATGTGAAATGGAAAACCATTGAGTAGGCTTTAAGCACTCGAGGAACAAAAATTTCATCTTGGGTTATTCTACTGTGAGTCTTCTTGCATTAGAATTCTAGTTATTTTGCTGAGTACCTTAACATACTTGAACATATAAGTATAAAATAAATTCTGATTATTACCACTCAGGGAAATCTGAAGATTAGGATGAATTCACTTTCCTGTCACGTTAGAAGTTTAAATTGAAAACAGGAGATGGTTTTATTAGCAGAAGGTCACTCCATCTTCCATTTGTAGTGGATGGCAAATACGATGGCGATGGTCTTTCAGAATCGAGAAACAGGAAAGAACAGACCAAGGCTTCTCATCAGGAAAGCATGCATATAATGAACCAAAATTCTTTGAACTTAACTGCATCTAGGGGAAAAACACATTGTTGGAGGACTTTGATCACTTCCTATAATTTTTTTTCTAAAACATTCAAGAATTCACAGAGTACTGTTTTCAGCAAGAATATGAATAAAACTCTGTTCTGTTGTGCTTTCTGTTTTAAAATTTTTGTTCTGGGCAGAATCCTGTCACTGAGCAAAAAATGCTAATTGGACATTTGATTCATCTGGACAGCTGTGAATGTAATTTTTGCTAACCAGCAGCAGATGTAGACCTAAAACAGCATGGCAAATAGCCATTGGCATGGATGTGATGTTAGCTGCATATGCCATGCTCTGATCTATCAGCATCTCAAAGTCTTTTTTTTCTTGAAAGATTTTTTATTAAATATTTCTGTAAATTAATCTTAGTAATTGTAAATGGCCAACCCAATCCATTGGCATAGAAAGACTGTGTCAGAGCCTTTATAGTACTCCAAAGAGTGAATTGGTGGAGTTGGATGGGAAATACTTGCTTTCCAGTTGAAAACACAGAGCAGATGCTGGCATTATTAACAGAACATTGCCTACTTGCAGTTCATGTCTTGGATGGAGTCGTATGCCACAATGGTTTCTGAGTAATACTCTTTAGTTTGTTTAGGAGTAAATGTCTTTGGAAGTGAACCATTTCAAAGCAAGAATTCTGTACGTTGAGAAAAGGGTGCTGATATTTCTCAGATAAGTTTGGTGAATTGGTGAATCGATTTTATATCAGATCTGCTTCATTTAAAGTCGTTATATTTAATGAGGAGTGAATCCCAAAAATTACTCATGGGGAATTTACGATAAACAAAAAATCATGGGTTCTATCTCCAGAGAAATCTTGATTTCAGACTTCTATCTTGATGATTTTTATGTGCACCCCTAGTTGAGAATCTCTCATCAAAATAAAACTTTTTTTTTAAAGTTTAAGATCTCTATCATTAGTTCAATGTGGCATACAGAAGCAGCCACAGCCCACTCATGCATCCTGTATTTCCCACTGAAGCAGGAGGATAGGGTCTGGAGGCAGAGAACCTGAGGCCAATTTACGCTGACTTCTTAGAAGTAAATCAAAAGGAAAACCCCAACTTTCCACACCTAAGTAACAAAAGGACCAGAGGCTACTCCCCTTGCAAACCTGTCCCCCATTTCTGTGTGGCAGATGGAAAATTAAGAGTATCTCTGACTGGTTGCATAAAGCAACCAATCAGATGTTTGCATAGGAGTGTAACTTTGTAACTTCACTTCAGCCTCTGATTGTGGGCCACCACTTCATTTGCATGGGGTGTATGCCAAGTGGCCAATGAGAAACCTCTAGAGGGTATTTGGACCCCAGAAGATTCTGTAAACCAGGCCCTTGAGCCGCTACTCGGGCTGCTCCCACCCTGTGGAATGTACTTTCATTTTCAATAAATCTCTGCTTTCCTTCCTTGCTTTGCTGTGCGTTTTGTCCAATTCTTTGTTTAAAACTCCAAGAACCCAGAAAACTTGCAGTCAAGACCCTCCCTGCCCCGGTAACACCATGCTGAGGGAAGAGTTGGGAAGAAATCCAACATTTGGTGTTTCCAAATTCAGCTAGCCTGTGCTCTTCCCAACAATGCTTTGTTCTGTCTCAGCCTGAATTTCTTTTTTCTTTTTTCTTCTTTTTTTTTTTTGAGACTGAGTCTCACTCTGTCACCCAGGCTAGAGTGCAGTGGTGCAATCTCGGCTCACTGCAACCTCCGCCTCCCCAGTTCACGGCATTCTCCTGCCTCAGCCTCCCGAGTAGCTGGGACTACAGGTGCATGCCACCACGCCTGGCTGATTTTTTTGATTTTTAGTAGAAACAGGATTTCACCGTGTTGGCCAGGATGGCCTTGTTCTACTGACCTCGTTATCTGCCCGCCTTGGCCTCCCAAAGTGCTGGGATTACAGGCGTGAGCCACAGCGCCTGGCCACTCAGCCTGAATTTCTAAAAGAAATCAGGAATTTCCACTGTACGTTGTCTAGTGAAAGCCATAGGCTTGGTGGCTTGGTTCCCAATGTGGGGAAATGTCCTGCCTTCCCTCCCATTCCAGGTAAAGTAGTAAATTTCCCATTGGTCACTTTCATGTTGAGGGGAATTGCATTTTCCTATGTCCACTTAAGTCTTTGGAGTGTTCCCTCTAAGCAGAGCTAAGAAGATCCACACAACAGTTCTCCATCTTGTCTGCACATTAGAATCACCTGGGAGTTTGTTTTTAAATCATGCCTGCCTTCCCATCCCCCAGAGATTCTAATTTAATTGTTTAGCGTTGAGGTGCCTAATTGTTTTAATGTGTCAGTAGTTTTCTAGGTGATTTTAATGTGCAGCCAGATGTAAGAACGACTGAGTGGCAGCATCCCAGATTGCCTTCCATAGATCTAAGGATCTGGCTTATTATATTAAAGACCATCAATAAAGAGAACGTGGCTTTCATTCAAATGTTGGCTGGATCTATTAGAAACATGTTGGAATGAATGCATGCTCTTCATCATGACATTGTTATGACTTGGCTATTTATATGTCATTCTGCAGATCCAACTGGTTTGTCCAATACCTGTGGGTTTAGACCTCAAACTTCAGAGAATTGTCATCAAGTCTATTCTAGGGTGAGGTGGGCTATTCTTAGAACATTCATCCATTCATTCATTATTTAAATATTCATTCATAAAACAGTTACTGAGTACTTCCTATGTGCTAGGAATGGTGATGGATGCTGGAGAGATGTATATCTTAAAGGAGCCCACAGTCTAGTTGTGGGGAACAGACATGCAAGTAGTTGCAATATAATGTCATACAAATTATTTACCAGAGCAGTGGACACAAGAGAAGATCACAGAAGAATACGTGATCAATTCTCTATGGTGAGTAAGGGAATACATAAAAATAAAACAGACAAGTTCAACTGGGTGAATGAAAGCTCAACAAGTTGATACAGTGTAGGGTTGAATAGAAAATTTTACACAAAGGGAAGATGTTTTGCAAAGCTATGAGGATTCTGAATAATGCTGTACGTGGAAGTGGAATATAATTTGGTGGAGCTGGCTGGAGTATGGGGTGTGTGGCAGGGAATGGTACGTGCTAGGCAGATAGTGATCACGGAGGCACTTGTCTGCTATCCTTAGGAGTATGAATTTTGATCTCTAGGCAATGGAGAGCCATTGCAGGGGAGAAAGAAGCAGATGAATCATGTAACATCTGAAAAACATGCAGGTCATCCTGACTGACCAGCTCTCCTGAGACTACCAATCAAGTCATTGCTGAGCCAACCCATATTGAGGGGGTTCAGAGAAGAGGTAAACTACTTAAGAAAATACAAACCATTCCTTCATCCACTTAGTCACTGAACAAACATTTATCAAACACCTACTATGTGCCAAGCAGTAGGGATATGGCAGGATTTCTGAAGCTGGACACTGTTGGCATTTTGGACATACAGGATATTGGGGAGAGTGGGTTGTCCTGTGAGCTATAGAATGTTCAGCAGCATCTGTGGGCTTTACCCACTAGACGCCAGTAGCACCTCCTTCCTCTCTCGCTGACACTGTGACAACCAAAAATCTCTGCTGGTTGAGAACCACTGGGATACAGGGATGAATAAGACATACCCCCTGCCCTCAAGAAGTTTACAGCCTAATGCAGAAAAGAAGAGATATGCATTTAAAAAGCCCAGTGGCTCACACCTGTAATCCCAACACTTTGAAAGGCCAGGATGGGAGGATCACTGGAGCTCAGGAGTTCAAGACCAGCCTGGGCAAAATTCCTACAAATAAAAATAAAAAATTTAGCTCGGTGTGTGGTACACATCTGTGGTTCCTGCTACTCAGTAAGCTGAGTTGGGAGAACCACTTGAGTCCGAGTTGTTGAGGCTGCAGTGAGCTCTGATCACACCACTGCACTCTAGTCTAGGTAACAGAGTGAGACCTGTCTCAAAATAAATAAAAAATTTAAAAAATTAAAAGGCACAGTTCAGGGCTAAAGAGGGGAAATACATCAAAGAAATACAAACTGTTACGAAGGCTTATATAAAAGGGAAACAATGTTCCCATTTGGGGTAAGCAGGGACATCTTCATGGAGGTAGAGGGTTTTGAACTGTGCTTTAAAGTAGCTCTGGATGAAGGTGAACTGGAAGGACTGAACTTCATAAGATCTCTGGACTCCCCAGTCCCATCTAGGCGTTCCTTCTGCATAATTTGCCCGGTGGATGGTAGCTATCTGCCATCTGGGCTCTGCTGATTGGCCCAGGGGTGCTCACCTAACCAATGTACACGCTGACTGTTGACCCATAAGGTGACCTAGATGTTAACATTTCTCACTCATTGCTTTAATAGGACTGTTTGTTTCAACCAAATCACCATCCCTCCCTTGCTTGGTCCAGATTGATATTTAGGTGGTATGCACAGGTATTGATATTTAGGTGGTATGCACAGGTATGAGTACTTGATGTCTAGGTTTCATTTTGATTGCTTGTTACTTGGGCTGTGTCAGCTCATTACCCTGGCTCTTCCACTCAAAGAGTACTGTTCAAATGATCTTCTATGTAAATGGTGCCCCTAGAAACATGCAACTCACACTGCTCTACCTGTCTCTACCTTTCTCCACCAGTGATATATAAAGTGAACTAGAATATAAAAGGCCTGACATTTCTCCACTGGACAGGGTTCAGGTATGGCCTTGCCTCTTAGCTTTTGTTCTCTTGGCCTCTGACCTTCTGGAACCTATGATTGATGCTTGTGCCTTCTGTCTGTCTGCATCAGTAAAGTAAATTTAGTTGAGGCAGAAGGTGAAAGATCCCACAACATTTTCTTAATCTAGTCATTAACAGACAGTAGGAGGGGCGAGTATTAGCTGCTTTGCATGTAATCATATTTAGACCGGTTCCATGCAACCACATAGGTGGTTCCATTGCTTTAGAGGCAGCAATGCGGGATGGGGGACAGGCCAAATAGGAGGAGCTCTAGATTCCTCACTGCTACTTTGTTCCCTTGTTCCGGAATAGTGTATGTGTTGTGTATATGTATATTCATATTTATATATATATACACAACACATACACACACAAATAAGAATGCCTACTATTTTAAAAATGTTTTAAAGTGCTGATGCAATATTTTTCATATTGCCCCAACTTCTCAGTCTGAGATCAGGAACTAATCTAAGAGCCAGCCTGCCTGGGTTCACTCTATCACTTCTTGACTATGTGATTCAGGGCAAGTTGTATGACCTTTTTCTGTCCATTCTGTACCTCTAGAATGAGGATTATCATTTCTGCCTCATGGGGTTGTTATTAGGATTGAATGCAGGCATATGTGTAAGGTGCTCTGAAATGTCTGGAGCATCAGAAGCACCATGCAATAGGAGGCTTCACATGGCATCACTTCCCAATTGCAGAAAGCCTTCTTTTCCCTGAAATTCTTCCTCTGTTGGTTGCTCATGCCTAGATTTCTCTAACTGAGATGATTACAAAATGCCTGCTTTTAAATGTTAATGCTTCTTCTTCCTGAGATTGGTGATGCTAGTCCTTGCCTGTCATGGACACCTTGCTGTAGGAATTAATTACGTTTTTTTTTTTTTTTTTTTCTGAAATCAGGTCTTGGTTAAGGCAAAGACAAGCAGAGGAGGAGGCCCAGGAAGTAAATGATGGAGGGTTCCAAAACCAAATTTCTAATTCTCCAAATTTTTGAAGTGATATTTAGAAGCCCCTTAGTTTAGAAACTGGTAGGGGTTTTTGTTTTGTTTTGTTTTGTTTTTCCTTTTTTTGTCCTCTTCCTCCCTGAAACTATTCATCTCACCAAACTGTAGATAACTTCTCAATTCACCATTTCCTTTCTCCTTGTATTTTACTGCCTAGCTCAAGCCATCATCACCTTCCTTTTGGGTGGCGGTCTTCTCCAAGCTTCTCCTTTGTTTTCATACATCCTGGTGAGATCTTCTCCAAACCATGATGAGAATTGATGTCAGGTTCTGTAGTAGGTTGTTCTCTCTCAAACTGTGCTCAAGAATCCTACCACCCAAACTTTTTTGCCTGCTTTCAAATCCCCATAATCAGGTTCATTTCATGTATTCACCTTTAATTTGATTCCCTTGCATGTGGTCCTTTCATCTAACGTGGTTGTCTCAGCTCTCCTTTACTCGCTCTACCTCTCAGGTCTCTGTTTCCTCATCTTCCTCATGAACTCAATCTTTTCTAAGCTCACTTCCTGCTCAGCAATCTAGAATTCATCCTAGTCCCTCAGACTGGAAAGTCTTCCTCAAAATATATGCCACCTATCTGCAAATATCAGCTCAGAACACCAGTCCTTTATGTAGCTTTCATGAGTGCTCCAACCCAAAGTCATGTTTCTCTTTTCTGAGTCTGTTGGCACTCAAATTTTTATTAAATCTTTTGTGCACTTGTGCAGTGGTTAAGTGCATGGTATTTGCAGTCAGAGAGATCGCTGCAGGTTTGAAATCTGGCTCTACTAACTATTGGCTGTGTGAATTAATTTCTCAGACTGTCAGTTTCCTCATCAGAGAGGCTCCTCTGGGTCAGCAATATAAGACAAAGATTTGAGTGTCTGTGTCTGTTCAGGTTTGAATCCAGCCTTCACTACATACTGGCTGGATCCCCTGAAAGTTAGTTAATCTCTCTAAGCCTGAGAATTTTCATCAGTAAAATGGGCATACTAAGAGTAGAGACTTCAGAGGCTGACTGTGAGCACTAAATGAGTAATCCATGTACAAAGTGTTTAGCAAATTCCTGGCACATAGTGATTATGAATGTGGGGGCTAATCATACATCTTGGAAAGAGTGATTTCTCCCCTCTTCAGGTATTTCCTTTCATCCAGAAGGAACTCAATTGATGTAGGAGTCCTGGTCTCTTTCCTCCATTTTACTCATTACACTTTGAAGGTGGCGTGTGTGTGTTTAGGGTGAAGTAACTAACTTGATAGGTTAATTTAGGAAGAACAACTTTCAAATTGAGCACATTCAATTGTCCCTCCCTTTCTTCCTCTTGACACCACGTTGCTCACATGAAGTAAGTCCACTTCTGTCATGCCATACATTTTACAGTGGATTGCCTTTCCATTGAGAGGTCTGCTGTGGTTCCAGGATACCTGTGAGTTTATTTACTTCTGGGATGTAGTATTGGAAAAGCCATTCATCTGAAAATATACACTCTATCCTCCAACCTATAGTTTATCAATAATAGAGATGATACATTTAGTCCCTTTGTCTTTTTATCAATTCACTCAGAACTCAGACAGACAGAATTTTTTATTGGATTCAATAGCACGTATTTCTTTTGGTTTTGGTTATGATTAAATTACATAATTCACAAACTTATATAGCACAATCCCTAGCCCTATTTGTCACTTCCATTTAGCTGTTCTTGAGTTATATCCTTTATAATAAACTGCTAATAGTAAGTAAAGCACTTTCCTGAGTTGGGTGAACTGTTCTAGCAAATTATCAAGCATAAGAAAGATGTTGTGGAAACGTACAATTTGTAACCAATCAGTCAGAAATACAGGGGGCCTGGGATTTTTGACTGGTGCCTGAAATTGGGGGAAGCCTTGTTTGACTGAGCTCTTAAGCTGTGGGATCTGCACTATCTCTGAGCAGTGTGAGAATTGAATTGAATTGCTGGATATCTTGAGTTAGTGCCTGGAGAATCAGAGAATTGATTGTTGGTATCGGAGAACACCTCAACTTGACACTGTACATTCAAGGACATAGTTTGGTGGTCAAGTATGAGAAAGAGTAATAGAAAAAGAGTCAGAGACTGAGGTAGATGCAGAAAGAGACTAAGAGAGATGGGGATGAGAACAGAGACAGATGAACTATAACAGAAGACGTCTATGTCCCCTGAAGTGTCAGGGAAATAAGTATTGCTTAGGTTGAAGTTGTTGAGGGACCACTATTTGGTATTTTGAAAAAATAAGAAGGATCCTCCATTGTCATAACCATTTGAAGAAATTTCATCTGGGAAACACAGACTATGATTATCTTTCATCAGGAAGAATGCGTTTTCTCCAGCTGGTGTCACAGAGCTGGAAATGCAGAATCTCAGGTCCCACCCCGGACTTATGAATCAGATTCTGCATATTGGCTCCCAGGTGGCACATATGCACATTGTAGTTTGAGAAGCCCTGTCCTGGGGTATTAGATCAGTAAAGCGAAAATCAGACTTGGGTTCTAATAGTCCCTTCAGCACTCTCCAGCCACATGACTCTAGAAAGAACCTATCTACCCTGAGTTTCAGCTTCCTCATCTGTATAATGGGAATAAAAGATCTGCACTCCTTGTTTTAGGATTTGTTGGGAAGAACCAATAAAATTGGAATATGAAGATACTTTGAAGACTGGAAAGGGCTCTGAAAATGGAAGCTCTCCAGTTGCTCAGTAAATGAGGCTAGGGTGGGGATTGGCCTTTCCCCTGACTATCACTTGTGAGTTTCACTTTACTGCTACGGTCATTCTCTCTGGCTCTGAGTAAACCCCACCATGTGTGAAGGAAATGTGAGCAAGTCAGCAGATGAAGTGTGTATTTTTGAACACGTTAATTTCTTTATCAGCTCTATTTTTTTTCTGAGGGCATCACTGTATTACATTAATGCCTTGAGTTGTTAACAATACCAGCTGGCACTGCAGGTCTCACTTATATACACAGTGTAAAAGCTCAGGGAGTAGCGTGGAAATTGCCACCCAAACCACAATGCTGGATCTCCTCCTTGGCATGCTTATTATCTCCCTCGGGAGCAGATCCACCATTCCTTCCTTTGTTTTCAAAACCCTTTATTTATGATATTATTTGGCATCTATGCAATTACTTTTGTTCTTCTGTGGGGTTTGAGGCCTTGGGAGATCACAGACTTTATAGTTTCTCTTTTATCTCTGTCTCTTCAGGGCTTGGCATGTAGCAGGAATGTCAGACATATCTGTGGCATATGAATAGTGGTGGTGGGGAATGTGAAATTGACCATTGTATCCCTACTTATTCATTCATTATTAGCATCAACGAATCTTTCTCAGATAAGGCCATCCTTGACAGTATACATGAGGTCTTGTGCACCCCTATGCTTCCCTGGAACCCTTTCAAAATGCTCATCACACATGCAGACATTTAATGAATATCTTTCCTGAGAGCTTGTGAGCTCTCTGAGGGCAGGGATTGTTCTGTTCCTTGCTGTATCCTTGGGTTCAGGACAATACCTGTCACATTATGGTGTTCAATAAGTATTTGTAGAATTAAAGTGATTCACTAGAGATTCCAATTCTTGAGGATTCCTACCTTCAGTATTCCTTTCTAAAACCAAATTATCCCAACAGTAAAATTTCCCCACTTGGAAATCTAGCCAATTTTTTCCCCGTTTAGAAAGTTTCCCTATCAATTCTTTTCTCCAGTGGCCTACTGCCTAGAGGAAAGGAAAGTAACACTTACTGAACTGCCTACTTTCAACAATATATAATAAGTGTTATTTTCTCTACTCTTCTAGAGAGGAGAATGATGTTCAGAAGGTAAGTGGCATGACTAAGAGGTACTGTGGGGCAAGGCTAGGATTCTAACCCAGGTTTAATCCAATTTACAGTCACTCTTCCCACTGAATCACACCACCTGGGTAGCACATAGATGACTCTTATACTTTCTCATATTTTTCGTCTAGCATCTGTTTTTCAGAGCGTAATCTTGTTTGAATAGGGCCACAGAACTGGCCAATGTCAGAGAGGACTGATATTCCAAATTTAATTACTTGTATAGGTTTATTTTCAACAAGAATTACTTCATAACTCAGCCTTCACTCTTTCAGACTAAACTGTCTCCTTCCATCTGGGGCACGTAACTTGACCGTGGCCTCACTTCGTCTCTGAGATCTAGGGCAGTGATGGGCAGCCTGTTTCTTGTAGATGCTTGTTGATGGAAAGGTTGATCCTTTCATCCATTTGTTGGAACTGGGTTAAGGCTCAAAGTAAGCTCTGATGCAAATGCATTTGGATTTTCAGAAAATCCATCTTTCTCTCTCTTAGATAAACTATCTGTCCTTAGCTTCAACTTACACAGGGCTTGTTCAAGTCACACATTTTATAAAGTCTAAAGAGGAAAAGTGGTCATCAGTGTAATTATTGTCTGGATGTAGACTCTTTGATAACCATTACTAAAAAATATATATTCTCATAATTTACTTTTCATTTAATCTATTAATGTTTTACTTGGTTTTTTGAAGCATCCTTTCAGCATTTTTTTTGCCAAATATATATTCTATGTCCCCCTTGCATCAGGCCTTCTGCTGGGTACTGAGCACGCAAAGGGGAGAAATCATGGATTCTAGCCTCAAGTATAATTCATTCCTACAAAAAGTGCCCACATCTGCTTGAGGGACTCAGAAAAGTCTTCCCAGAGGTGGCAGGCTTTGATGGAGACTGGGTAGATGAGGAGAATGAACAGGTCTGGAAGCAGACAGTGACTAAAAAAAGAATGAAATACGGATAATGTCTGGGTACAGTAAGAATTGATACAAAAGCAACCAATTCTGCAGTTCAGCAAGTTCTGCCCAAGCTCTTACTTAATGCCTTTTAATGACAAAAAGAAATTTTAACGGAAAGAAGAGGAAACTCGGAAAGCATTTAAGAACATAGTTTTGCTCTGAGACCATTCTAATAGATGGTTGCTGTCATTATGGAATCACTTTGGTAGAAAGGATCTCTGCACTTCAATTGCCAGGAACCAGGGTAAGAAAATTCTTTGTGGGATCCTTTAAAATCAGGAGTGGCCACAGTGCTTTTTGAGTGAGACAAAGAGGAGAATGCAGTCACTGAGAATGGAATGGCAGCTCTAATAAAGGGCCCTTCTGTTAGTGGCAGTGCCCTCTGCTACTATTCCATAAGGTGCTCTGGAGAGAAAGAGGTGCGTGTCTGTCCAGTTCCCAGGTATCACTGTTCTAGGGAGAGAGAAGCAATTTCAGATAGCTGGAACATGGGTCAGAATTACAATGGGGACTCTGGTTTAGACTTGATGCATGGGTTCTTTTAAATGCTGGCTCTCCATATGACTTATTCATCATGCCATATTTCCCAGGGAGCATATAGTCTAAATTCTTCTTTTCAGATGAGGACAATGTGACCCAGACACATCCAGCAACTTACCGTGAGTTACACAGCCAGTTAGTGCAGGTCTTCATTAATCCAGTGCTGACCTTATTCTGCCATATTCAACATTAGTTGATTATTTATTTCATTAATAATTATTTACCGAATGCTTACAGTGTGCTAAACACCTTGTTAGGCAATAGATTATCTTCAATGGAGAGGCAGTATCTAGTGATGGTTTCAAAACTCACTGCTGTTGGTCTTAGATTAGTTGCATAACCTCTCTAAGGTGCAGTTTCCTCATCTGTAAAATGGATATGATAACAGTGCCAATCACAGGGACATCATGAAGATTAAATGAGATAATGCATGTAGAGTTCGGCATAGCATCTGGTACACTTATTACCAAGGTTGCTATGGTTTAAGCTTTCTGGGCTCTTCTGTCAGAGCAAAGATCTTTGTTACTCTTTAATTCTTATGTCTGCCTGCCCTAAAGATGGTTATGAAAGGTTTATTTCTCTGAGTGCTTTCATTCTCTCTAAGTCCCTCTAAATCCCTGATCGACAACTCTAGAGGGCTGGAGCTTATCTCCCTCACAGCCATCCCGTGGTCCAGACACTCCTTCCCCACTCCTCTGAGTTCTTGGCAGCCTCCCTGGGGGGAAATTCGGATGTGTTCTCATTACAGCCTCACAACCTTGGGAGGAAGCTTTGTCAGCGCTCAGTGCATTTCCTGAATCCATTTGGAGAGGAACACTGGGCCAGCTCCAGGATGCTATATCATCCATCTCTGAGACCAGCCAGGTTTGGGTTGGCTCAGAAGATCTGGGACTTGTCATGATCTTTGGCATTCTAAGAATGGGCTCCATAGAACACTGTTGTTGTTGTTTTTTTTTTTTTAAATCATAAGCAGCACAGCACATCAGCCTGTTTGGCAAGAAACAAGGGAGGGGTGCAGTTTATCACATACTTGGCTGTGAATATTCCTAACAGCATAATAGAGTTTTCATGGTTCCTTCCCAAGCTTGATCACCTTTAATGTAATAAGTCATCTTCTGGGCAAGGTTTCTGCATATACATGGACATCCTGCCTCTCTGCTCTCCTTTTGCATCTTGCCTATGAGGGTGCATGCTGCCTACTTCTCTGCAAAACCAGTTGGAGGGAAAGCATACCAGTCAGTGTGCATTAATGACGGCAATACATTCCCTGAAGGAGGCAGAAACCTCAGCAGACGCCTGGAACAGATTTGCAAAATACTCTGTCTGCATAAGGCAGCTCTGGACATCCGTGTATTTCTTCGCCCCACAGCCTCTAAGCCTCACTTGAATGAATACCTTTCATGGTTTCTTTGTCCCTTTTGATTTGAAGAGTGAGCTCTTTTTATTTTGGGTCTTTTAAGGTAATTTTGGAGGATCTTTGTTTTGCTTGCTGTCTCTTTTGTTGGTCATGTGTGAAAATAAGGATATAGCTGTGAAATGGAGGAAAGAGGAATGAATGGAGAAAATGAGAAAGGGAGTGATATTTATTGGGGACTAATGATAGTATATCTATTTGTCATTTAGCCTTCATGACAACTGGATAATCAACTGGCAAAAGATCACAGAGACCTTGTGTATTCCTCTCCACATTTGTCTGTCTCCAAAGACCATGCACCACATCACAGATAAAATGATTTTGTCATTTTATTACCTCTTCTCTAAGCCAAGAATTCATTTTTGATCTTCAACTCAGCTGCCTTGTAACTTCCATGTTCCTTTGATTGAACCATCATACATCCTTTAGAATTTGGTGCATTGCATATTTTCCCCATTTGGATTTTAGTAAAGATATATTTTCTTTAAATGCCTATTCTTTTACAACACTACATACTTTGATTTACTAAACAAAGCCAACCAAGTTTTTTCAAATTTGCTTAGTTTTAGAAGTATTAATATATAATGAGGCTATTAATTCTTAAGATCGCTTTTTCCGTATTTGTTAACTTGAAATATAGCTAGAGCTTTTCTTTCCATGCATTGTTTTCCTCCTGAAAATTTCTTTTTATGGCATTCACTATTTAAATGCATTTATGCACTGCAGGATGGGTGAGAGAGCGAGATCCTGTCTCAAAAAAAATTGCATTTATCCCAAGCTAATTTTTTCATTTATATTTGTGGTCATAAATTAATGTATGGTTCAGTGTCAGCAATCACGTGGAGGGTTTGTAGACAAGTAATTGCATAGTGGTGGTAAAAGCTCTGTTTCACAGAGGATATATGGAAGGGGTTGGCGTAGTAATTGTTATGTCCACTCTAGATCTAACACCCTGTTATGCACCATCATCTTCAGGATAAAGTCCAGGCTGCTTCATGCTCTGGTGCCTCCACACATGGATCCTGGGTCCCAGCCATGGACAGCCATTTACAGCTTCCCAAACTCACCAGATTCTCTCCTTTCTCCGTGCCTTTAAACATGACGTTCCTCTGCTCAGTTCACCCTTTTCGTCTTTCTCCAGATTATGACCTCCTGTAAGGCTTGGGTCAACCATTAATTCTGTGAGGAAGCCTCCATGCCCTGAGTGGATGCGTTGAGTCTGTCTCCTCTGTGGTCCTGGCACACACAGTAAGTGCTTTGCCCTATCAGAGTAGTTGTCCTCAGATGTCACTGCCCAGTACTCATCTGCTCTCTCCACTCCGGTCTTTGACTATGAACACCTTGAAGGCAGGTGAATTTTTAATACCATTGGAAGTTGCTCATGTTATAATGCTTTATTTTCATTTTCATTTTGAAATAATATAAAGACCTCATATATTCTCCACAGAGATTCCTTATTAACATTTTACTTCATGTACCTTATAATTTCTATTCTCTTTTCCTCTCTATGTGCACACACACACACGTACACACACCCCACTTGAGAGCAAGTTGCACACATAATGCCCCATGGCTTTGTAATACTTCAGTATGAGAAGAAGAAGAAGAAGGAGAAGGAGGAGGAGAAGGAGGAGGAGGAGGAGGAGGAGAAGGAGAAGGAGAAGGAGAAGGAGAAGGAGAAGGAGAAGGAGAAGGAGAAGGAGAAGGAGAAGGAGAAGGAGAAGGAGAAGAAGAAGAAGAAGAAGAAGAAGAAGAAGAAGAAGAAGAAGAAGAAGAAGAAGAAGAAAAAGAAGAAGAAGAAAATAGTGGCCAGGTGGTGGTTCATGCCTGTAATTCCAGCACCTTGGGAGGCCGAGATGGGCAGATTATTTGAGCCCAGGAGTTCTAGACCAGCCTCAGCAATGAAGCAAGACCTCATCTCTACAAAAAATACAAAAATTATCCTGGCCTGGTGGCATGCGCCTGTATCCCAGCTACTCAGGAGGCTGAGGTGGCAGGATGGCTCGGGCCCAGGAGGTCAAGGCTGCAGTGAGCTGTGATGGTACCACGGCACTCAGCCTGGGTGACAGAGCGAGACCCCATCTCAACAAACAAACAAACAATCTTTCATACAACCAAAGTATCACCAAAATCTAGAAATTAACATTAGTACAATAATACCATCTAATCCACAGACCCCCTTCAATTTTTGCCTATTGTTCCAATAATATCTGCATAGGTCCAGGAGCTAATCCAAGAAAACATTTATTAGTTAGGTCTCTTTAGCTTCCTTTGCTCTGGAATAATTCCTCAGTTTTCCCCTGACGTTTATGATGTTAACACACTTGAAGACTAGAGATTACTTTAAAGAATACTCCTCAGCTTATATTTTTCTGATGTTGCAATGAGTTTTTTAAAGCCAGGTAAAAGAATACATATGTATGATTCCATCTACATAAAGTTTAAAAGCACACGAAAGGAATACATACTTTCAGAAGTTAGGATACTGGTTACCTTGGAGAAAAGGAAGAGCTCAAGGGGACTTCAAGGGTGCTAGAAAGTTCTATTTCTCCTGTGTGATGCTTATACAAGTGTTTTCTTTGTGATGATTCACTGAATGGCATATTTATATTTGGTACACTTGTGCATGTGTTATACATTATGATAATAACTTTTTAAAAAATAGTAAAAATTAAATTTCTCTTCTGGTTATAAATAATATGTCACATTTTCTCTTTGAGATTGGGAATGTAACAAACTTGCCCTCTACAACCTCTTTTCAATAATTCACTAAGCAACTTAATAAGGCTAGAAAAAGTAATAAAAGTTATACAATTATAAAGGAAGAAATAAAATCATCATTTGTCAGATGAGGTGATTTCAGTTCTTTGACATTGGTTGAGAATTGTGTTATGACCCAGAATATGGTCAAGTTTTATAACTACTTCATGTGTATTTGAAAAAAAAAGTGTATTTTACAGTTGTTAAGTAGGATAACAATTAAGTCACATTTATAAATGTGTTGTTCAGATTGTCCATAACTTTTTCTGATTATTTTTGTCTGCTTATACTGCAAGGTATGATGAAAAACTCTTAGTGAGATATTGAAATAATAACATAAGCTTGTATATTATTTGGTTCACATAAATGTATAATTGCCACAGCTACCTG
Organism: Homo sapiens; assembly: GCF_000001405.40. Lineage (NCBI taxonomy): Eukaryota > Metazoa > Chordata > Mammalia > Primates > Hominidae > Homo > Homo sapiens. The sequence continues at coordinate 55,183,825 of NC_000017.11, read as the reverse complement.
GCAAATTAAACCATTTTTTATTATGAAGTTTCTCTTTTATTCATTTGTGACAATTTTGGCCTTCAAGTATACTTTTCTCTGTTAATTTAGTGATACTACCTTTCTTTCAGTTTTTCTTTGCACTGTATATCTCTTAAAATTCATTTGCTTTTTATATCCTTTTACAATATCTCCATGTTGAAATGACTCTTGTGAACAAGAGTCACAGTTATAGTTGACCTTTGTTGAATTATAAAGTCTGACAATCTTTGCCTACAATTGAGGCATTTAGTCCAGTTACATTTAATCAATTGCTGATATATTTGGCTTGAATCTGTCATTTTAACATGAGCTTTCTACTTATGCCAACCAATGTATGTACATATTTCTTGTTTCTTGTCTTCTTATTTATTATTTATTTTTTATAGAGACTGGGTCTTGCTGTCTTGCCCGGGCTGGTCTTGAACTCCTGGGCTCAAGCAATCCTCCCACCTCAGCCTCCTAAAGTGCTGGGTTTACAGGCATGAGCCACTGTGCCTAGCCTCTTGTCTTATTTTATGTTAGTTGAATTTTCCATTTTTTTACTTTTACTAACTTTATGGTGGTTGATTGAGAGATTACAACATTCATCCATTACCCATTAAAGGCTAATGCTGCTTGGTAGTTTTTACCCTCTTTATGTAAAGTGCAAGGACATTAGAATATTTGAAGTCTACCCTCCTTTTGACTTATATGCTATTGTTGCTGCCTATCAATAGGTTTAGAGATATTTAAAACTCTATGAGATGTAATCATTATTGCTTTTTACAGTCAATATTCATTGAACTCTAATCACATATTTATTCTTTTATTTGATTTTTATTCTTTCTTTCATCTTTAAGCTTCATTTGGAGTAACTTGTTTCTTAAAAACTTCCTTTAACATGGGTCTCTTCAATTCTCTTGACTTTTGTTGTCTAAAAAAGTTTTCATTTTATCTTTGTTCTTAAAAGCCATTATTGCCAGACATAGAATTCTAAGTTGGCAATGTTTTTTGTTGTTGTTGTTGTTTTCCTTAGCACTTTGTAGGAGTAATTCTATTGTTTTTTGTCTCTTATTATTTCTGTTGACATGGTAAGTGGTCTTTTTTTTTCTGTCTGCTTTCAATATTTTCTTTTTGTCTTTGTTTATTAGAAGTTTTACTATGATGTGTCTAGATGTGGCTTTCTTTGTATTTATCCTACTTGGGGTTTGTAAGCACTCTTGAATTTATGGCTTAATATATTACATCAGTTTTGGTAAGAATTCAGTCAATGTATATTCAAATATTTTTTCTAACCCATTATTTCCCTCTGTATATTCTGAGACTCAAATTATACGTTATCCCTTCTCATTGTACTTCATATTCTCACTGTACTTCATATGCCCTTTAGTCTCTTCTGTATTTTTATTCTTTTGTTCCTTCTTGCATAATTCTGGATGTTTTCTTCCATTTCCCTGTTTTAAGTTGTGCCTAACTGCTGTTAAACACATCATGGAGTTCTTAATTTTGGTTATATCTTTTAGCTCTAAAGTATCCCCTTTTCTGTGGTTTCCAATTATCTGCCAAAATCTCGAATTTCGTCTTTTATCTCCTTTATAAGAATTGCTAAAGTTTGTGACTAATAATTCCATTATCTAGAACTCTCTTTTTGCTGTTTTCTCTTGATTCTTGCCTTGTCTTCTCATGTGCTTGGTTTCTTTTTACCACCTGCTGGATATGGTAGTATGAAAATTAAGAAAAAAGAAAAAGATAATTTGTGTTTATTTATGGAAGATAAGTAGGGGCACTAGAATCTTTGAGTTATATTGATCCAGTTTCAGGGACTGAAATGATTTTAATCTTGTCTTCAGTTTCTGCAAGGGTTAATCTTCCACTTTACCCTTACTCATAGGATGTTGAGCCTTTAAAGTTCCAAAGATTTATCAGTACCCCTTTGGTGGGCTCTGGACTCCTCCTACTTTTGTCTCTTTAACGCTAATGAATCTGTTAAAATTTCTGTTCAGTAACTCATACCCTTACTCACCCCTTCTAGAATCAGCAGATACCCTAAGGGTAAATAGGCTCAAATGTTTAACTTATCTCTATTGGTTTCCATCTTCTTTCAGATATCAGTCTTAGCATTTCTCATTGCCTTTTCAGCTTTCCAATGACTTTAGCGATTATTTTTAAGTCCGGATTTTCTAATTGTCTTCAGTGGGAGTGTTGGTTTGAACTACTTAGTCCACCATTTCAGATGCTATTTAATTATCTTAAAAATTAAATTTCCCTTTCTCTGTGCTTCTTATGGGAACCAAGGAGAGGGATGCAGTTCAGGCTTGGGCTGTGAATTTTAAGGTGAAAATAACATTTTCCAGGGCCTGAATGAGATATCAGCAAAAGAATTGTGACAGCACTCCAAAGGGAAGGTGAAATTTGAGTAGGAAAAATTCAGCATTACTGCTTTATCCTCTCATTGTATCATAGGTGACTCTGTTTTTCCTATAATAGAATACAATTTAATTTAAGATTTATTTAAAAAATTTGTACCTATAATTACAACTACATTCTAAGAAGGCTGATTATTGATAGCATGAGGACTTTTTCAAATTGCTAAGCACCTTGGTAGTTCTGAATATTCAAGAATGGTAGAAAAACTAGATAAGTCTGCAAAGTAGCAGAAGAATTTAGAGTCTTATGTGACAATCAGATGAAGGAGCTGAGAAGAAACAAAGGTGAAAGGTTAAGAAGCATAGGTTGCTAGTGTGATAGAGTAATGTTATGAGTTTAGCAAAGTGAACCTGCATCTGTCTCCACCTCCATTCCCCCAAATGTTAGTGAATTGAAGTATACTCAGCTCTTGTAGCAGAAAGTAAAAAATGGATTGTTTTGTGTCAGTTGACATGATGTAGGATGAAGTCTTGGAATAGGAATCTAAAAGGAATTTTGACTTCTATAGGCCATACAGAGCAGGTGCTATCCACCTTGACCTCTGAGATATGCCTAAAATGGTCTTTCCTCTTGTCTTAAGTCTCTTCATGGGAAACTCCCCTCAGTAAACCTGAGCCAAACCTAAGTTTCTCTGTGATGAGGGAGGCTTTCTGTCATATCACATTATTGTTCCCACACTGGTAATAGTGAGGTGTTACAGCTTAATGACAGAAAGCATGGTGGTCTCAGAGTTCAGAAACCAGCCTTTCAATTCTGATTCTGTTTCAAATGATTGTAGAGTTGGTTGCCTTACCTGTAAAGTCTCCATTTCCTCATCTCTAAATTGTAATTCTTTAGACTGGTGGTTTGCAATTATTTTCTGGGGATTCCTTTGTTAAAGCAAGGTCTTAAATACATACATAAAGCAAGTAAAAAGAACTCAGGTTGAAGTGTAGGGGTGAACAGGGACAGAAATCTCACCCAACCTCAAACTCCCCAACAAGGCTTCACAGAGTATCGTTTGATGACCAGTGGACTTGAAAGTTCCTATAGTTCTTTTAGTTCTAGGTTTCTCCTTATGCAAAGAAGAACAAATGGCATCTTTCAGTTGTCCCCAAACAGTAGCTATTTAAGAAAATATTACTACTTTTTCCTTATGGAGGTGAGAGGAAGAGAGTGGAAGAAAGCTCACATTTACGACGGTCTTATCATGTGCCAGACATAGAGCCAGGCACCTCCTTAACCTTCATAATGACTCTGTTGAGTTGGTTTTGTGCCCAATGGAGGAGGCACCTGCAGCTCAGAGATGAGTATTTAGCTCAAGGTAACAAAGCTAGTATGTGGCAGGGCTTCATGTCAAGCTCAGCTCTTTCTCACTCCACCACCAGACATGGAGGTGGTGGGTAGAAAGTGGGCACCTTAGTAAATGAGATATCGGTTTGAGTCAAGGAAAATTCCATGGAATATTTTGTGGTATAGATATATACAGTTGACCCTTGAATGATGCTAGTGTTAGGGGTGCCAATCTCGCCACACTGCTGCAGTCAGAAATCCACATATAACTTTTGAGTCTGATAATAACACACTGATAACATAAAGTTGATTAACACATATTTTGTATGTAACATATAGTTTATACTATATTCTTACAACAAAATAAGCTAGAGAAAAGAAAACATTAAGAAAATCATAAGATAAAATACATTTACTACTCATTAAGTGGAAGTGGATCATAATAAAGATCTTCATCTTCATCATCTTCATATTGAATAGGGAGAGGAAGAGGAAGAGGAGGAAAAGGAGGGGTTGGTCTTGCTATCTCATGGGTAGCAGAAGTAGGAGAAAATCCATGTATATGTGGACCCATGCAGTTCAAATTCATGTTGTTCAAGGATCAACTGTATATAGCTTTTTGCCTTCAGATTTGAACTCATTTTTGTTCAGTTTTATATAGGAGAGTCTAATGAGATGCCTGCAGCCCAAGGATGTGCTTTCTTTTAGTTCATGGTCTAAGCTCTTCTTTGCTTGGTTACCTATACTCACAGGTCTAGTCTGAAGGGTTGGCAAGAAGCTGTTAATTAGGCCCCCTCCTTTATTTTTTTTTCCATGCTCTAGGAATCAATATGAGACATTCCTTTATTTCTGAATTGCTATCATATATTTCCACTTTTCCCCAAGAGTATTAAATAGTCCCAGTGGTAGTAACTCTTGCCATGAATTAAATGTGCAAGATGTTGAAAAATTTCCTAAGGGAAGAAAAAAATTATATGTAGCTTTGATTTCATTATGATTATACTGATGATTGGTTTTGGTTTCGGGCAATGTGGAAAGGGCTAGACAGATGTAAAATACCAGATCTACAATAATAACAATCACAATAATATTGCTAATAAGGCACTATTTAGTGTGATTTTATATGTCAACTTGACTGGGGCACAGAGTGCCCAGATATCCTATTAAACATTTCTGGGTGTGTCTGTGAGGGTATTTCTGGGTGAGATTAATATTTGAATGGATAGAATGAGTAAAACAGATTTTCCTCCCCAGTATGGGTTAGGCCTCTTCCTCCATTGAAGGTCTGGATGAATAAAAGCTGAGTAAGAAAGATTTCTTTCTCTCTGTTTTTGAGCTGGAACATTGATCTTCTCCTGCACTTGAACTGGACCTCAGCTGTCCTGGTTCTTAGGCCTTCAGACTCATACTGACACTATACCACTAGCTCTTTGGAGTCTACTGTAGCTTGCAGATAGCAGGTCATGGGAATTCACAGCCTCTTTAATCATGTGAACCAATTCCTTACAATAAATCTCCTTATATGTATAAAACAAATCTATATATCTCCTATTGGTTCTCTGGAGAATTCTGACTAATACAGTAAGTGATTGCAGTATAGCAGGCACTGTACTTAAGTGCTACACATAACTTATTTAATGTAATCCTTCACAATCTTATGAGTGAGAGGTCTTTGATATTTGCATTCTGCAGATGAGGCTGACAGCAGGTAAGTAACTTTATTAAGGCCATATAGCTTGAATGGGGGACATTCACAAAACCACATGCCATGTGGCTTTAAATAGTTCAATGAATTTATCTGAATTTATGTGTTAAATGGGGACAATAATGCCCACGCTGAAGAACCGTCAGGATTAAATGAGATGATAGGTGTAAAGTACTTGGAACAGGGTGGGGTGCATGGTAGGGACTCAGAAATAGTAGCTTTTGCTACTTTATTTCTTATTTGTGTTAACAAAATTTAGAGGCTTTGCAGCTTGTGGAATAGATCTCATTCCTCTAACATGATATATCACCAACATCTGAATTTGATCATTTGTTCATCTCCATTAAGCTCCAATGATATTTCATGTTATCCTCGGGAAAAATGTGATTACTGTGACATTTAAAATTCTGCACAACCCAGGGAGAGGGAGGACGCACACATTTGAAAACAAGAGGAAATCCTGGTTAGACTGTCATTAGACAACTCCAGGTTGCCATAATTTAGGGAGTGGAACAGCTGCAAAGGTCACCAGGAGGTGCTTTGTTTCCCAAAAGGTGTTTGGTATTTACTTTCACTCAGGCATGTTCCTTCTGCTCTGATAACCATTGTCATCTTCCATTACAATAAAAGATGTCAGAGGGATTTTTACAGGCATATGGCATTGATTTAGTTTTCCCCTCTGCAGTCATAAGAGTTTGAAAAATGAAAACAAAACAAAGCCTCACTCAGCCATTCATCAATTCCTGTTTATTGGACAGCAATCATGTGCCACACAGCCAGGAGGACAGAATCTCCATTTCGAAAGTGATGGAATGAACAACCTCCTTTCAAAGTGTTGGCTCTGGTGTGCTTCCTTCTCCATTTCCTCTCCAGTCTTTGCAAAATGAGTCAGAGGACTACACAGATTTCCTTGGGAAATTAACAATATCAGCCACATTTTCTTTTCATCATGTTATTTGGAATTATGACTGTGCTTTCTGGTTGCCAGAGCCTGTTCACGTCCCTTCACTGCTTGCAATAATCTAGTGAGGTAGGCAAGACAGGCCTGATTATTGCTGTTGAACAGGTGAGGGCGCTAGGCTTAGGGAGGTTGAGACACTTGGCCAGGGTGTTACAGCCAGAGAAGGGACCAGTCTGAAAATTTCCTCCACTCTTGTTCCTTGCCCAGCTGTCCTCTACACCTGGGAGTTTTTAAAAACAAATCTTATTATGCCATTGCCCTGTGTTTCAGTCAGGGTTCTCCAGAGAAACAGAACCAGTATCTTCATATGTATCATTATAGGTACAGAGATAAGAGGGAATTTATTATGGGAATTGGTTTGTGTGATGACAGAGGCTAAGAAGTTCCAGGAGATGCCTCTGTAAGCTGGAGAACCAGGAAAGCAGGGGTGTAATTTGGTCCCAGTCTGATGTCCTGAGAACTGGTGGGGGCCAATGATGAGACTCTCTTCTGAGGCCTGAGAACTAAGTGGGGAGGTGGGGATAGGGTGAGGGTGGGGCTGGTGGAAGGCCCAATCTGAGTCTCAAGGCCCCAAAACCAGGAAATATTATGTCTGAGGGAAGAAGAATGATGTCCCATCTCAAGAAGAGGGAGAGAGGATTCTCCCTTCCTCTGCCTTTGCTCTGTTCAAGCCCTCAGTGGATTGGATGATATTCACCCACATTGCTGAGGGCAGATCTTCATTGGGTCTACTGATTCAAATGCTAATCTTTTTCAGAAACACCCTCACAGACACACCTAGAAATAATGTTTTACTAGCTATCTGGGTATCCCTCAACACAGTAAAACTGACACATAAAATTAATGATCACACCGTACTTAAGATCTTTTGTGCCTCACCCTTACTCTTAGGGGAATGTCCAGATTTTTTAACATAGCTTATGAGGCCTTTTGGCATCTGAGCCCTGCTTACTTCTCCAGAGTTATTTCAGGTTATTCCTACTGTCCCCACCTGGTTGCCCACCTGAAGATGTGCTCTGTTTACATGGTTACACTGAACCCCACAGCATCACTCTGTCTCATCACCCTGACATTACTCAGGAGGCTCTCTCACCTTTCCTCTTCTCCACATGCCTCGTCAATATCTACGAATCATTTACATTTCTGTTGAGGCATAACTTCCTCCAAAAAGCCCTCGCAGACCACTCTTTCCTGAGTTACATGCTTCCACTATGTGCGTCTGTCACACTTACTTCCTCCCCTGTGCTGAGTTTGCCTTCTTCTCTGCTTCACTTGACTGGCTGTAAGCTCTGTGAGAATAAGAACTGTGTATCTCATCCATGGGCAGCATCTGTGCCCCTAGAAGGTGGGCGATAATTACCCATCAAAAAATGAATGGTTTGTTTACTCACCCATACTCATCTTTCTCAGATAGCAGACCTCCTCTTGCACATGCGTCAGGAATCACTGGATTACTCCTGTGCCAATTATTCCCCACCTGCCTCTCAGTTCCATCTGTGATCTTGTCTGTGCCTCAGGAGGAAGTAGAGACCTATAGATTGTCTCCCCTGGGCTCTCCTGCTGAATGCTTTTGGGTTGGCTTCCTTCTAGCAATGGGAAGCTCTAAAGCAGAAGGGAGGATGGGAGAGACAAAGGAGGGAGTGAGATTGGGATGGCCTCATCTCTTTCTATCCTTCTTGCTTTGACACTATATTCCAATACTAGCTGCATCCCTCTGCAACTACAGCTCTGGCAGGGTGCCTGATCCTCCACGGTCTCATTTTCAGTGGTTTCCAGTGACATTATGTTCCCCTTTGTCCCCCGACTCTAAAAGCAGAGAGATAGCTTCCAGCCTCCTGCTAGTTTTTGGGTGCTTCACCATCACTTGCTTGTTCTTTGACCCCTCACCACATATCTATGAGCAGCGCCTTCATTTGGACCATCTGTGATGGATCCTATTTCCTGCAGGGTTTCTGACTGATAAACTCCTCTGCTTGGTGCAGTAAGAGAATGATTTTCAAATAGCCTGGGCTGGTTTCTGTCAACTTTAGATTCTTGAAGTTAATTCTCAAGACAGCTCCAGATTGCTGCCTTATTATACAGACATAGACAAAAATTTCCAGAAGGCTTGCAATAAAATTTCCACTCTCTGCTTAATTTTCAGCATTTCTGCTATGAGCATCAGCAGGTGTCTTTAGATTTCAAAAATCACACTGTTCCAAGCAGATTTGGTATCTATACATCTATATAATTCAGTGGTATAGAGGTCTCTCCCCATGCTTAGGAACTACTCTGCAGTGTTCTCAAATTTCCTCCCAGTTCATTTTGACTTCCTGTCATTTGACTCCCCTAATGGTTCTCTTATGAAGGCCACATCCACACTCAAAAAATGTTTGTTGGAATGTAGGGTCATTAGTGTGAAAGGAGTTGCAGATGCCATGTTTTGTTTGTTTTTTTTTTGAGATGGAGTCTCGCTCTGTCGCAGGCTGAAGTGCAGTGGCGCTATCTTGGCTCACTGCAAGCTCCGCCTCCCAGGTTCACGCCGTTCTCCTGCCTCAGCCTCCCGAGTAGCTGTTTCCCTTTAAAATCCTGTGATCTTATAAATGACATTTTTTAATAGATTAAAAGTTGCATTATCTAAGAGGAATATAGGAATGGAGTGAATTGTGATAGGTAGATATCTGGGATCTACTATAACTTGGAGAAGGCAGAGCCATTCTTAGATCTGAAAACCCTGGCTTAGAAACCCAAATCAGATCACTCTGTGGTCTAGGCCAACCTAAACAGAACCTGAGGTGCAGGGAAGTTGTATGTGTGTAAACTGGTATATAGGTGAAATATGGAAAAGTTGAATTTAGACAAGAAAATATTTGAAAATCACATATCTGACAAAGGACTTGTATCCAGAATAAAGAACTCTTAAAACCCAGCAGCAAGAAAACAACCCAGTTTAAAAAAATGGGCAAAATATTTGAACAGAAATTTCATCAAAGAGGATAAACAGATGACAAATAAGCAGATGAAATGTTGTTCAACATCTTTAGCCATGAGAAGAATGCAAATTTAAACCATGATGAAATACCACTACATACCCATGAGAAAGGTTAAAATAAAAAATACTGACAGTACCAAGTGTTGACAAGGGCATGGAGCAACTGGAACTCTCATACACAGCCGATGGGAATATTAAATGCTACAGCCATTCTAGAAAACAGCTTGGAAGTTTCTTGAAAAGATAAGCAGGCAGAATAACATTCTCCCCTACAAATGCTCATACCCTAATTTCCAGATCACATGAAGATGTTACCTTGAAAAGCAAAAGGGATTTTGCAGATGTGATTAAGAGATGAACTTTGAAATGGTGAAATTATCCTGAATTTTATCATGGTGAACCCAATCTAAGCAAGAATTCTTAGAAGCAGATAACCTTTCATGGTTGGGTCAGAGAGAGAGATATGACAATGGAAGAAAGTTCAGAGAGGATGAGAGAAGGGTTAGAAAGAGATGTACATGAAGGGACTGGACTTGACTGGCCATTGCTGGCTTTGCAGGTGGATAAAGGGGGTCAAAAGGCAAGTTCTATGACCTCAAGGAACTGAACCTAAATGGATTCTCTCTGACGGCCACCAGAAAGAAATACAACCCTGCTGATAATTTGAATTTAGCCCATTAAGACCTTTCTGACCTACAAAACTGTAAGATAATAAATTTGTAATGCTTAAGTCACTAAATTCATGTAATTTTAAAGGGCAACAATAGAAAACATATATATCACAAAATCAAGAAATCCTACTTGTGGGTATTTCATCTAGAGAAATGAATACTTATGTTCACACAAAAACCAATACGTGGATGTTGATAGCAGCTTTATTCATAATCACCAAAGCCTAGAAACAACCCAAATGACTTTCAGTGGGTGAATGGCTAAAGAAACTGTGGTATATCCATACAATGAACTATAACCCAGTAATAAAAACAAACTACTGATACACACAACGATCTGGATGAATCTCAAAGGCATTATGCTGGGTGAAAGAAGCCTGTCTCAGAATGTTACATAATACATGATTATTTATATGATATTCTCGAAAAGGCAAAACTACAGTTACGGAGAATAGAGCAGTAATTGCCAGGAGTTGGGGTGGGGAAGGGTGTGTTATAAAAGCATAGCAGGAGAGCACTTGAAATGATAAAACTGTTCTGTATCTTGATTACGGTTGTGGTCAAATAACTAGACATGTGTTAAAAATTCATAGAACTCTGCACTCCCCCAAAAGTCACTTTTTTCTGCATTAAAAAATAATAAACTTTAACTATAACAACTCAATGACAAAACAAGGCAAAACAATGAAACAAATCTCATTGCTGACACAGCTTTCTGGGAATTTCCAATCCTAGAGAATGAATGTATCACATACATGGTTGGGGAAGGAGACACAGTTACTTCTCTTTCCTTTGTGCCCTGGAAGCCCCTCAACATCTTTCTAGAAGTAGAAGGTGCTCCAGCAGGGGTTTTGGAAACTTATCTCAGTCTTTTCCTTTTCCAGTAAAAGGAGGAGCTGGCTTAGATAACCTCTACAGTCCTTCACAGCAGGTAACTAGAACTCAGCTCAGTCCTTGTGTAGGTGCAGGGTGACCTACCTGTCCTGGCTTGCCCAGAGCTGAGGGAGTTCCCAGGATTTGGGACCTTCAGTTTACAAATCAGGAGTTAGTTACTCTAACATGACTCAGGGAAGTCACATAACTCATCCGAGCCTTAGTTTTTTCTCATATGCAAATTAGAAATAATGCTTGCCCTATCTCACCAAGTTATTACGAGATGCAAACTTTAAACTGTAACTTCTATGTAAATGTGAGTTGGTGGGATTATTACTAACTTTTAGAAGAAATGACTTAGGGACAGTCTTCAAATTTGGAAAAATAAAAGTATTATTAAAGGAAGTTATGCAGTTGAAATATGTGTGTGTATCTGACTGCAGCATTGTTCAGTTTGCAGTTTCAGTTTTGAGGCTATAAGAATATATGCATCCAAGAAAGTAACTTTTGTTTTTCATAATCTGCTGAAGTTTTAGTTACCTGCATTCCAGGACAGGCTATGGCAGTGAACCTTGGCTACACATTGAAATCACCTAGAATCCTTAAAACACAGGTGCCAGGGTCCTATTCTCAGAGAGTCAGGGTTAATGGGTCTGGGGTTTGGCTAGGCTTTGTAAATTTTAAAATCTCTCCAGGTGTTTCTAATGTGCTACCAAGAGCCTCTTAATATACCAGACCTGGTCATCGCCCACATGGGCTTGCACCTTTAAGATGGTGCCACTTGGAAGTTTGTTCTTACTACTAACCCAGATGAGTCAAACCTTACCTACAGTTGAGTGAGCTCCCTCCACAAGAAAAAAGTCTTAGATATGCCTCTAAGTGAGAGGACTTCTGATCTCAATAGGGCAATAACTCACATCTACAAAGAATGACCAACAGTGGGACCAGTCACTCAGGGTAATGACACTATAATTATTGCTGTTTTTATTATCCAAAGGAGGACAGTTCTGGATTGGGGGATGTATTAGTTTGCTAAGACTGCCAAAATAAAGCACACTAACTGAGTGGCTTAAGCAACAGAAATGTATTGTCTCACAGTTTGGAGGCTAGAAGTCCAAGGTCAAGGTGTCAGCTGGGCACCGCTCCCTCTGAAGGCCCCAGGGGCGGGGGAGGGAGGGTTCCATTCTAGGCCTCTCTCCTAGCATCTCCTAGGTAGTTCCCTGGCTTATGGCAACAGTGCCAATTTTAGGACTTCAACATACAAATTTTGGGGGGACACAGTTCAACCCGTAACATGAGAGCAGTCAGTTTCCATGTACATGGCACCATGTATCTTATTCAGGTGTACTCTAAAATACCATGATGGGGTATGGTCAAAACGGACTGGAATCTGGCCTAGGCTTCAATGGGGAGGTATTCCCTGGTCAGCAAGGAAAAGCTACAGAAGGTTAATTCACAGATTATTCCTTATAGATAAATCAATAATCTTGGCTGATGTTAGATGTTTTAAAAACTCAGCCTTAAGCAAAATAAGAATTAAAGGAGTTAGTAAGTTCCCCCTCAATAAGAATATCTAAGCAAAATCTTGATGAGCTATTGGCCAGGGGTGCTTTGGAAGGATTCTTTCATTTGAAAGGTGGTTGGACTAGAGGAACTTACAAATTCACCTCAATTCTAGGATTTTGTGCTTCTTGCAAAGACTATTCAGAGGCACACCTGATGTTTTGTGGTAGAGTTCTGCACCAGGCACTATATCCAAAAGAAGGACACTTTAGACATGGCTCTAAGTCCAAAGAGTTAATGTGAAAATCCTAATGATGCATCAACTCTGCTAAAATCCATTGCTGGTTTTACTGCACAAAAGTTTTCAAGGCAGAAAAAAATAGGTCCAGGATCTTTGACAATGGCAAGATAAAGACGGTAAACTTAGATGTCCTGCAGGACTGCTCAACCAATGATACTGCTCTGAGATAAGTTGACATCCATAATCACAGAATTGGCCCCAGTCTTTCTCTGTCATGAAACTTGGCCCTCCCCAGACAATGAAAACATAAATATCACATCTGTGACAACTCTAGCATTTCTAGCAGGAAAAACAAATCCTGAAAAAGCATCAAATGCAGTGAATCTGACCACACAATGGTAAAATAGTTATTTCAATAAAGATTTTCATTTCAAAAAATGAATTTTTTTGTTGTTTCCACAATAATCAATTTAGTTATTGACAATGCAGGTCAGGCCTCATTCATGGCCATAACATAATCTCTGATCTTTCCAGTCCCTACAACACTACAAATTTTCACAGGATTATACATAGAATTCTAAAGCAAAATAATCCTAGAAAATATAAGTGGAAATAAAAATATATAATCAAATCAGATACACTTTTTTCATACACAATAAATCATTAGCATTTTTTCTTATAAAGGACAGGCTCACTGTAGAGTAGTATGCAGAAAAATATAATAAATAAAATAGATATCACAAATAATGTCATCTAATTTTTTTTCAGATCTTCTATGGTGTTTATATATACAATACTGTTGGTTTTATATTGTATACAGATCTGTTTCCTGTTATTACCACTTGATGTTATTATTGTGATACTTTCTTGGTATCATTAAACATTAGTAAACATTTTCTATCATGTTAGATACCATATTTTATTTAGACATTCCCCTGTTTTCAGGAATTTAGGCAATCATTTCTATTTTAAATCATGCTTTAATAAGCCTTTTAAGCATTTTTTTATTTTGGTCTAAACTTGGGGTCATTTGTGAGGATAAATTCACAGAAGAAGAAATTTTTAAGGCCTTTGATAGATGTTCCAAGACTGCTTTCCAGAATGTTTGTGGTGATTTATAGATGTCCTAAGAATATTTGAGGATATCTATGTCATGTACCTGCACTAACATAATTACTGTGTTTTAAAAATACTTTGGTTTTATTGTATCTTAAATAATTAATCAATAATTCTAAGGAAGCCTTATATCATAGGTGAGAAGGTTTGTTTGAAATTGGCAAGGAGCAAGGTACATGAGGGAGTTTGCATTGTCCACAGCCTTAAAGGTTCACTTCACACAGTAAATACTACAAAATTATCTGTCTTGGATTGTTTAGACATTCAATTGCTTGAATGTCCAGGGACAAACCACTTGATCTCTTCTAAGTATTTCATGTTAGGGTTTTTAGAAATAGCTTTTAACACAATTTTGATTGAAATAATTTTTCAGAAAGCCCATTTCACTTGTTAAGGCATTTCATCTTTAGCTGAATTTTAAGTATGCTATGAGATAAACCAGGAACAAGGAGACTTGATTCTCTATACCATATTTTATCGATTCTAAGACACACATTTTTCACATCTAAGCGTCTTTAGTATTTGGATGTATAATAGGCACTGCTAGCACTTTCAGATCCCTCTACCACTCTCATGCATGACAGCTCCCTGTGCTTTCACTCTCAACATTCAGCACCTGCACCTCTTTGTTGGACGGCTGTCCTCAGGCTACAGGAACATGCTTTGACTGCATTGCAGGCTGGAAGCACCTGGAAATTTACACCCACCCCCACCCCCACCCCCATTCAATAACTGATGGTGCAGAGGTATAAATACTCTGGGTTCTCTGGCCTCTGACTTGAACCTACTGTAGAACCTTTTTGTCTCTAGGGCTCTCCCGTGGGAGTGAACCAAAGTCATCTCCAGAATAGGCTTTGCTTGACATCACACTTTTTGTGGGTTTTTTTCCCCCTTTCCTTTGGATCGGTTCTATTTCTCTATTTCCCTATTACTTTTCACCCTTGGGCCACTTCCTAATTCACATAAATCCTTATGTCAGAGGAATTAAACATATTACAGGAAGTGTCTTACAATAATTGATGTCCTGCAGTTACTGTCAGCCAGGTGGTCATAGTGATATGGTTGTCTTTGCCTGTGCATGCATGAATTTGGTTGTTCTTTCCATGATATGACTGGACTGTTACTTCTTTACTTTTTGGTCAATAAACCATTTAAGGACTATTGAGAAGAGTATGAATCCTGATTGTTATCTAAAATTTTTCTATTAAGTCCTTTTGCCAAGATAAAAAATGTGCCAGCATCAGAGTTGTAGAATGGATGTCTAAGACAGGGAAAAAAATCTCAGAGACTGCAGTAGAATATTCCTTTAAGAAATGTTATTTATCCTGATGGCAGAGAGGGTGTTACCGTGAAAAATTGTGGTTTATGACAACTCTGATTCAAAAAAGAGATGCAGAAAGAGTTCAATTCTGAATGTACAGAGCTTTGTAAATATCATAATTAATATTTCATTCTCTTTTACACACATGATTTTTAAAAATCTATGCTGAAACAGTTCTCTTGTATTTACTTAAAGGCGTATAAGATAAAAATTCTAACTACTAAGTCATATTTTAAATCTTTTTTTCATTTTCAGTTACACACAAAATAATGATGGGTCTTATAACTGATGAAATACTAATTGGGAATATGGTACTTATAGAGACAGAAGAAATACAATCAATGAACAGTCTTAATTGGAAAAACTAAGGTAACTTCATAGACTTCTCACTTTCCATTTGTAGAGAGAGTTCTACTGGTAAATGAGGAACCACCAGTATTTGGTCATATTTTTGAAATTGTGTAGATTTTATTAAATATTTCTTATTCCTCCAATACGTGTGTGTGTGTGTGTGTGTGGTGTGTATATACACACAGATATATATATATACACACACACACACACACATATACTAAGTGTATGTGTGTGTATGTATGCATTCTATTTCCTTCAAATTTCCCTTATATCGAGTACTTTTATCAGAGAAGTAATCCATGCATTTAATTTGGTGCCAACTTCTTATTTTTGTGTGGTAATCACCAAAGAAAAATAAAAGCTGGCATTAGATTAAATGCATAGATTACTTCTCTGAATGATAAAACTGCCTAAAGAAATAGAATCTGCTCATAAACATCTTTTCATATTCCATTCCACAGAAATTTCTGACCTTACCTGTCTATATTACCTATTCCTATAAGGTAACTTTATTATCTACTCAATTTGTTTTGTCTTCCTGTTGTCTCTTCTCGTGTGTGCTGATGAAAGATGAATTTCTCCACTGTGAAACAGAACAGTCAAGCAATTCCAGTGGGGTTACTTATAGATGAGATAATTTCTGCAATTTCAGAGTTCTGTGGCAATACATAGCTCCCTTGTGCCAAATCAATTCTTCAGTAACATGATTAATTAACCCATAAGAACAGAAGTTTGCTGCTGCTCTGAAATGCACTAACCTTGTATTTTGGTTTCAGGCTTTATCTACCCTTCTATACCAAAATCATTCTGTGGTATTTCTTCAGAACCTTGGGCAAATCAACAATGTGTGAGTATGTGCTTTACAATCCTTTTACTGCGATCATACTGTGAGTTTTATGGCCCAACTTAAGTAGCATACACTTCCTTCTTCAGCAAAATCCATTATATTGTTCCCACATTAGTGGAACTAGTTAGTACAGACATGCTTACTTAAACCCCCACCTCATTTCCTTCTTAATTCAATCTTTGTTTCCCTGCCAGAAGCAGGAAACAGCTAAAAGAGTTTTTTATGTTAATGTTACATTTTAAATTTATTTTGTAAACTTTTATTAGATTTTACTGTGTCATGTCTTGCATGAGAAATAAAAAATAATATATGGACTCTGAGTCAGTAATAAAGGACTCACAGTCTACTAGGAGAGATGACACATGCCCTACTTTCCTATCCAAATTAATTACATATATAGTGTGATTGATACTTTATTAAAAGGTATGCAGCAATAGGGGACTGCGGTAGGATTTCAGAGTTGGAAGCCTTCCAGTTAACCTTCTCAGCCTCTAGGGTTTTAGAATAAAATACCCCAAAGCCAACAACAGATAAGAAACAACAGACCATCCTGGCCAGTATTCTGTTTTCCCATTTCCTTCCCACCTCCACCTGATTTACTCACCTAGCTACTGATGTTGAGTGGAACAGCCACAGTGAGAGAGACCACTTAGCTTTAACCAGAGTTCCGGTTTTCATTACCACATGGAGAAAGAGAAGGTAGAACCAGATTTCAAGCCTCTAAGACTCAGTAACCCAGCTCAGTAGATAAAAGTAAATTAGTAAATATAGTAACCAAATGAGTGTCCGGACAAACAGGCCAGCAACTCTCTTGAGGTGGAAGTTCTTGCTCTACCACTCCTGAGTGGGAAGTGGGGTTGGGCAGGTGTGTAAAAATGCAGGCATGGCATCCATAGAGTGCCAGCTCTGGGCATGGGGAAGGCAGCATGTGTCAAGGAGCTCTTCAAAGAAGAGGTAAAATGAGAGCAGAATCTTGATGTATGAGAAGAAATCTGATGCAGGAATGGGGCAAGAGAAGTTTCCTAGACAGAAAACAGTATATCTGAGCAACTGTTGGTGATAAGACATGAGGCTAGGGAGAAAGCCAGGGACTCAGATAGTAGAAGGTGCTAGGGAACTACTGAAGACTAGCAAGGGAGGAATAGAAGCAATTTTGTGTTATAGAAAGATAATTCTGACAGAAATGTGATGGGTAGATTGATGGGGACAGGTGTGGTGGAGAAGGAAGAAGCTATATCACCTGTGTTGAAAGCATCCAGGTAAGAAATGAGAAAGACTTGAAAAATAAATAAGCCATGTTTGCATGAAACAGAGAAAAGGGAATATATTTAAGAAATGTTCTAGGATGTATTCCTTTTTTTAATCCTAAACTCACCAATTAGGTAAATCGCTGCCTAAGGAAGAAGCAGAGACAGGACAAAAGTGTTACTTTAATGGAGCACTCTCTACAAAGAAACACCAGGAATAGGGAATAAATGGATCCTGAGCAACATTAATCTCAGGCAACTTGCAGTTCTTTCCTTTCCTTGGGGTCACTGCTAAACTCTGTGGGCTGTCTTAGTCCATTCAGGAGCTGCTATAACAAAATATCTCAGACTGGGTAATTTATAAACAATATAAATGTATTGTTCACAGCTCTGGAGGCTGGGAAGTGTACGATCAAGATGCCAGCAGATTTAGCTTCTGGTGAGGGCTTGCTCTCTGCTTCAAAGATGGCAACTTCTTGCTGCATCCTCACAAGGCAGAAGGGGCAAACAGGTTCCCTGAAGCCTCTTTCATAAGGGTCCTAATCCCATTCACCAGGATGGAGCCTCATGACCTAATCACCTCCTCAGAGCCGTACCTCTTAATACTGGTACCTTGGGGGTTAGGTTTCAATATATGAAATTAGGGGCTGGGCACAAACATCCAGACCACAGCAGAGGCTTATCTAGTGCTAAGGCACTCTGGGTTAAGATGGTCTAATGTTATTGTCCGAATTGATTTCCATTGAGAGAACATGTGGATTGAATGGAAAAGATCCTCATTCAGGTCCAGCAGGTGTTATTGCTACTCCTGTGATCCTTTTGGGTTCACAGAAATCAATCTAATCCTCCAATGTTGACCACATTGGGCTGGAGGAAGCTCACTGGCGTTGTCCAAGGTCCCACTGCCTAAACATACCACATAATCATTTCCATTCTAGGGGACAAATGTAATTGAGGTTTTGCTGCTCCCTGGAACTTGGTCCAGAAGGTTAAGCCCAGGTCCTTCTCTGTGCCCTACCAACATTTTTGTTCTTTTTTCTCCTTCTCACAGCCAGGAGAATTATTTCCTAGACAGTGAGTAAGAAAGCCTCATCTTCCTCATCATATGTGCTCTCAAATCTTTGACCTAAATCATAAATCCTTTCTAGTTCCCCAAGGAGCTAAATTTTTGAAATGCAAAAGAACATGCTTTTTTCTGCTTTCTGATATCACACTCTTTGTTAACGTAATGAACATTAAATGGTCCAGTAGTTCAAATATCTGATAAAGAATGCGGAGAAAGAAAATAAATGGAAAAAGTTTTGGTTAATTTCAATCGTATATCCTTTGCATAGAATACGAATTACACAAGGGCTAGAAACACATATATCTCACATTGTATCCCTACTACTCAGTGAAGTGTCTGGCCTCTAGTAGCTCTCGGTAAGTGTGTAAGTGAGTAAATGAATACAAGAAGACAAAATCCCTGCCCTCACGAAGCTGACTCCCATTATTACTCCCACTATTGAGGAAGATAACAAACAAAACAAGGTTAGGGCAAACTGATAAATAATGTAAAAGAAATAGGCCGGGCGCGGTGGCTCACGCCTGTAATCCCAGCACTTTGGGAGGCCGAGGCGGGTGGATCATGAGGTCAGGAGATCGAGACCATCCTGGCTAACAAGGTGAAACCCCGTCTCTACTAAAAATACAAAAAAAATTAGCCGGGCGCGGTGGCGGGCGCCTGTAGTCCCAGCTACTCGGGAGGCTGAGGCAGGAGAATGGCGTGAACCCGGGAAGCGGAGCTTGCAGTGAGCCGAGATTGCGCCGCTGCAGTCCGCAGTCCCGCCTGGGCGACAGAGCGAGACTCCGTCTCAAAAAAAAAAAAAAAAAAAAAAAGAAATAAACAGGGTAGAGTGATATAGAGAATAATTGGGTGATGGGGGAATGGAATGGGGGACAGAACTATTGATCTGATCGCCCTTTCCCTCAGAACAGTCCAACCCCCAAAAGTAAAAATTGAACTTTTGAAAAAAGTAGACAGAAACAGTATAAGTTTAAATGTTAAAAGTCATATCAAGAAAGCAAATACAGAATTGCAGTTAATATTTACAAAGTCATTATGCAGACACACTATTACATGTAGACAGTTGTAGTTAAAACACCTTGGGTATTTCATTTCTAAAGCGAAGCTCCACAGGCACATTCTGTTTAAGGTTCTTTTCATTCTCTCAAAAGTTATAAGCAATGGAGTGTGTAAGTTGTTTTAATAATAGTTCAGTTCTTTATGTACATTGTAAAAATGTCAAGCGTGTTGATTCTTCAAAAAGTTGCATTTCACTTAGCAGAGAAAATAAAAATGTCCCATTTCTCCCGAGAAAAAGGATAACATTTTCTAATTGTGCAAACACTTTATGAAAGTATCACTTGACTCTATATTTTGACAGCTGCTTTGCATTTATTATTGGAGAGGCTCTTCATACGGCATGTTCCTTTTTTTTCCTTTTCTAGTCAAGAGGTGTTAATATTATTTTGGAATTTTTCAAATTTAAGAGAGTGGTAAAGGGTTGCTCTTCAGGGGTTCTTAATAAACAACCCCCTAACTTCTTACCCCTTTAAGAGGTTGTTTAGGGGGAAAAAAAAGAAAGAAAAATGGTTTTAGACTATGAGCTCCTTGTTTTGAGAATCAGTACCATTTAGCCTCATAGCATGCAAATTTCACATTTTGCCTGGCATGTAGCAGGTGCTCAGGAAGTGTTTGCTGAGTTGAACTGGTTTGAGAAAAGGCAAGGGATTACTATCCTTATTATTCAGATAGGGAAAGTGAGGCCCAAAGAACTCGAAGATGCATTTGTATTGTGCTTGGTACTTTAGTGAACGTCTCACCCAAGTTAGCTCATTTGAAAGTTGGTCCTCGCAACCATTACATGTAAAGTAGGAAAAGAGAAGAGTAATGATGTGTTTGACATATAGTGAGTTAGTCACTACTTGACTTCCCTCTATACAGCAAGTCAGTCTCTGCTGCTAAAGGAAATCTAAAACCTAATGATTAAAAATCTCAGGTTCTTGGACTTGGTGGAAGGAAGGTTATTCTTCCAAGGACAAAAAAAAAAAAAAAACCCAGAAAATCTATAGGAACATTTGGACTAAAAAAAGTCCTATCATACATAAAAATAAGGCTCACATACACTATTGGTGGTAATGTAAGTTGGTCCTACTTTTATGGAGAATTTATGGATATGTACCAAAATTAAAATGAATGTAACTTTGACCTAGCTTTGATCAAGAAATTTATGAATGTATTCACACTATAGACATACTAGCACAAGAGTGCAAAGATACATGAGGAAAAGGATTTAATGAATATATAAATGTTCACTGTGACATTGTTAGCAATAAGAAAACTTAAAACATTTTAGTGTTCAATAAATTGCTGGCCACACAAATTATAGGTTATGTGGGTAGTGATATTTTATGTAGACATTTGAAATAAAAGATTAATCTATGTATTGACATGAAAAGATGACCACAACATAACATGTCAAAACCAAGCTGCTTAATAGTGTGATTTCCTTTGAGTAAAATCACTCACCACAGTATTAGTGACTGCTACCTCTGGAAAGTGAGACAGGCTATCTCTTACTTTATTCACTTCCAAAGTACTTGATTTTTTTTAAATAAAATAGATTAGTTTTAAAATTCAAAAATTAAGAAGCAGCTGTTTAGTCCTGGCCACACACAAACTCTTTTGTTGTTTTTTTTTTTTTAAATCAAGAGTAAGTGGAACCCAGGAAATGATTAGCAATTGTTCTACTTCACCACAGTGTTTAGCACAGTGCTTGTGACATTGTTGGTGCTCAATAAATATTTTGAGGGAATGAGTGAGTAAGGATGAGTCAACTTGGGCACTCTAGTAAAGTGAGACGGAAGGACATAAGAACATTCAGATTTTCTAACCCTAAAATCCAAGCCAGTGAGTCAATGAAGACTTCGTGATGACCACATTGCTACGGTTGATTGATGTTAAAGAAAGACTGGCTACTCGCCAAAACATAATATGAGGGTCGTATTTGCACTGGAAAAGGATTCTTGCTAAGCCCTGACCATGCTTTTTTGAGCATCTCTTATGGCACCGACCTGATGGTTTAGAAGTCACGGAAGCTTTATGAAGAGGGAATCTGAGAGAGTGGCCAACTGGTTCAGTCCATTCACACACTGAACCTCCTCAGCAACATTCCCCAAGTAAGGAATTCAGATTGCTGGGATAGTGTTTCCATTTTCTCCTGGGGAATTCTTTTCTTATCAGCTCTAATTACTAGAAAGTTCCTTATGACACTGAACTAGAATCTGCCTTTTTATAAAATGTACCCATAGACAATGAATCTAAGCAGTTCTCCATAGTGGTTTAGAGAACAGCTTCTGGAATCACAGATCTGCCTTGAACCCTAGCTTCTACACATAGGTGCTTTGTGACCCTTAGGCAAAGATTACTAACTCTCTAAAACTAAGTTTTTTCTTTTAGAATTGGGGATAATTACAGTTCCTATTTCATGGAATGGTTTTAAGAAGATCATAAATAAATATATGCAAACTGCTCATCACCATGTATGGCACAAAATGCCCAATAAATAATATCATTACAATTGTTTAGGCCTTTTTCACTAGGTATTTGACAGAAACAGGGCGGCAAGTGGTACAAAACAGCAGTTAATGGATGAGGTGTCTCTTGTCAGTGGGCTGTGTGCCTGAGTACTTTGATTTCAGTGACTCAAGCACCTTCTTTGTTTTGCTCACTAGAAACGAATTAGAAAACTCTTCAAGCAGGGGGAGAGAAATTTCATACCATTAATTTGACAAAAACAAGAAGTTTGTACTTTCACAATTATAGACACTAACTTATAGAATACCTCATTCACCTCTGGGGGGTGCAAGGAAATAGCTCCCTCTGGGGCTTCTCTCAAAACTTGTCTCCCCGAAGCTTCCTAACATTCAAATGGCTGTCAGGCAAAACACAAGTCTTCCCTAGCCATCCTGAAACATTTCTCATGGCTAATGACTACCTATCAGTCTGGAGTTGACTTTATATTATTACTCAAGACATAAATCACAAATCCTAAATGGATTCAGGAATGTATAGTTGAGCACAATGTATATGTATATCTTTACCATATAAATCTGTATTATACACCATATGAAATTCAGTAGACTAGGAGACTTAAGATCTCAGTTTACTCAACTATAAAATGGCTACAATGAATGGTTCTTAGACTATGTTCTAAGGACCTCTAGGTCTGCACAGCAGTGCTGGGAGCTGCTCGACTTGGGCTTTAGGCTTCCATCTTGTTTCGAGTAGAGCAGTAATGTTTTAACAGATACCTCTCTTCTCATCAGCTCCCCTCAAACCATCCCTCTGGGAAGGGCAACCTAAGCAGGACAAACCATGCCTTTCACTTTAGAAAAACACGAGCTGCTGAAAGAAGTCTGCTGAAACAATATCACAAAGAGTGCGCCTACTTGGCGAAGGCTTGGGTGCAGAGAAGGGGGAAGGGTTTATAGGAGAAGAATAGTGGGGTTATAGAGGGGCCATGTTTGACCGAAGAGGTGCCTTCTGAATCTCTGTGGAATGCACAGCTGTGGAGCCAGCTGCATCAACACAATCACAGTGTCCTGCGTGATGGGCTGTGACCTCCCTCCGTGGAGACAGCAGGGTATGGGGGAAGGGGGACTGCTCATGGAATCAGAAGACTTAGGAGTGAGTCTCGGTGCTGGGACAGAGAGCTTCCTCTCTCTGAACTGCTATTTCCCTACTGAAAACCAAGAATAAACATACCCACCAGATCAGCTTCACGGGCATGTTGTATGGTTTAAAGACAATGGGGTCTACAAAGCATTTTGTAAATTAGAAAGCTCCACAAAGATACCAGCTGTATTCATCAGCCCATGAGATGTCTAAATGTGATCCTTAAATTCCAAAAAGCTTGCTAAGTTCACTTTCCTAATATATGAATATAAAACATTAGTGAATTATCAAATAAATGAGGTGTTTCATTATGTTCATATACTTTTTCAATATGTCAATTATAAAAACCATTGTATCTGAGACCCTATGAAGAACTACATATGAAATTACAAAGAAAGATCTAATTATATATGAAAAAGTATATATATTATAAAGTCTAATTATATGTGATTTCAAAAAATATAACTAGATTATTCTTAAGGAACTACTGTAGTGGCAATTGATTTTTTAAATGTATACAGAAATATCAAAAGTTTTACAAAAATACCCAAAGTCCAGAGTCTCCATTTCACACTTCAACAAGTAGTGCATGCTTTACTCCTATTTTAGACTGTTTCATCTCAGAATTGGATGTTATGCGTCTCTGCTCACATCATCCATGTAGCTCCACTTCCTAAGGAAAACCATCAACTTTTCTGGTTGGGGAGTTCTCTAGAGCAATCCTCTTCATTCTCCTCTGAGCGAGATAGATTCAGGACACTCATCACGGGATGGATCCAGGATGTAGTCTGTGTTACATGACTTGAGAAGAACAAGAATGCAATTAGAATCTGAAAGACTGTCCTTCTACTCATCCATGCAAGTACTGATCCTGGTGACATTGCTTCTACCCTAGTAAAGTCCCTGTGATAGGAAGCAGTTAGAACTAGATCCAATAGCTTTAATAAGTCTTAGACACATTTTAAGCTTCAATGAAAACCATTTCTTTCTTTCTTCTTTGGTTAAAAAGGAATGCAGGTGAATGCAGCATCTCTAACTCCTTTCGTTTCAGTATCTGACATTCAGTAAGTCAGCAAGTCCAATGACTGCCTTGCTGTAACATCTCTGGAATCTGTTTCTTGCTCTCCTTTTTCAATGAAATAGTCTGGGTCACTGAAATGGTTTGCCTCCCTGCCTCTGCTCTAGTTCTTTTCTAATTCATTCTCTACTGCAGCCAAAGAACTTTCTAAATGACAAATCATACGCTGTTACTCACTTGCTAAACATTCAATGAAATACTTTGTTTTTTTAGCTGCCTCAACAATACCTGCTTTTTAAAATTTTTATTTATTTATTTATTTATTTATGTATTTGAGACAGAGTCCTGCTCTGTCACCTAGGCTGCAGTGCAGCTGCACAATCTCAGATCACTGTAACCTCTGTCCCCTGGGGTTCAAGGAATTCTCGTGCCTCAGCCTCCCAAGTAGCTAGGGCTAAAGGTGCGCACCACCACATCTGGCTAATTTTTGTATTATTAGTAGAGATAGGGTTTCACCATGTTGGCCAGGCTGGTCTGGAACTCTTGGGCTTAAGTGATCCACCCACCTTGGCCTCCCAAAGTGTTGGGATTACAGGCGTGTGCCACTGCACCCCACCAACAATATCTTCTTCTTTCCCATAATCCTTTCCCATGAGAAGTTAACTCTTATTAATTCTAAAAAACCAAATATCCCTTAAGAATCCTCCAATCTGTGCCCATGGTCTTATCTCTTATTAAATCAAATTATAAATGCTTGTTTATTTTTAGGCCTTCCTATTTCATATAAAGCTCCTTAATGGCAGGAACTATATTTCTTATCTCTGAATTTGTGGGGCCTAACATGATCTCAGAACAAATGACCAGCATCCTGAAAAGTGTTTCAGGGAAATAACACAAGCAGAGATGAGAAAGGAAGTACAAAAGATATTGGGTATGTCTAGGAAATGGTGACACATCACGAAATCATGCTCTTAACCTGGTGGATGGTATTTCTTACACTTAGTGTCCTACTCCCAGCCTTTGGCTGGATGAATCTCCTAAATCCACCACCATCTTCCCAACTCTGGAGTGCACGAATTAGGACAAGGATTTGTTTCTTCTCCTTGGACACTCTTTCTAGCCCTGGTTTACCCCACTGCCTTTATCCACCCTAGATCAGTTTCCCTAGCCTTCGTCCTCCCCAAACTCAACCTCAGAAGCAGCATCATGTCTTAGATCAAGTGCATCTGAAGGCCAGTACTTACAACGATTACTTAAGATTGTGGATCTGAAAGTGCCTCCTACATTATAAAGTAACATTTTCCAAAGTATGTTCCCGAGAGTTTTAAATAAATGTTATGTGAAGAATAGCCTGGCACAGTGGCTCATGCCTGTAATCCCAGTTACTGACTTGGGAGGCTAATATGGGAGGACTGCTTGAACTCAGAAGTTTGAGGCTGCAGTGAGGTATGATCCACTACATTCCAGCCTGGGTGACAGAACAAGACCCTGTCTCAATCAATCATCAATCAATTAATCAATGTTATGTGAAGAATATAATTCTACAGTCAAATAAGTTTGACATAATTGAATAGGTTTCTTTACTATAAGATTTCCCAGAGATTTTAATATGCTAATGTGCTCTATGAGTCTCCAAGACTATGTAATATTACTCAAAGTAACATATCTCCGTTAACAAACACAGGGCCAGTGTTCCATAGAACACAATTTGGGAACTATCACAAAAATGCATTCACTTTATTGGCTACTGATTACAATACTGAAAATGTTAGGTAGTACAAATGGTAAGTTCCACTGTTATTATTAGTTTGGTTTGTTTTCAATCCTATAGTATACATTTTGTTCATGTTCCCCCTACACAAATTGTTCAGCTCCTCTGTTTAAATATTAAAAATGTATCTTTTCATGGAAGAAGATTACTAGCGGTTTTATTATGGCATAAAAAGGGTTCAAGTTCTTTAAGAATCAAGGTGAAAGTGACAAGGCCCAGGCATCTTCACAGCTTCAAAAGCTCAGAGTGTGGTTTAGTGTACAAAGAATCATTATTCTCTTGACGATAATCCACATTACTAATATCTCTTTAAAATGGTTTAATGGAATTTCTTATTATGGAGGCTAAATTTACTAAAGTATTTGATTCGGCACAGGTTAACTTCATTTCAAGGCCTTTATAAAGCTGGAGAGCTGCCTAACTTGAAAGTGGTTTTAAAGAAATACTAATGAGTGTAACATGAGAGGGCTGGAATGCCACTGCAAGGTGAAATGAGGACACATCACCCTGTACAAAGTACATGTCTAAAACTAAAATGGAAAAGCTTGATGAGACAGCTTTGCTTATTTTAAAATATTGGTATATATTTTAATACTTTAATGTTTATCAGCACATATTAGTCCAAAGAAGAAACCATAATTTAAATCATTTAAATTCCTCCCTCTCCTTTGAAGTTCCATAATTGGAGGAGATGGGAAGGAAGAAAAACAGGAGCAATTACCTGAGGGTAAGTTCAGGTAGTATGCTTTGCTATGTGACTTTTTATAAATAGTATTCTCATGCTTGACATATTACAACTGTCCATATATGAACATTCCATTAAATTGCTAATTTAAAATAATCAAAAGGAAAATGTCTAAGAAAAAAACGTAGTTATAGACTCTGAACGGTGAATATCAGAAAGTTCTACCAGATGGTCATCTTTGCCAGTAACCTTCATTAAGCACTTTTTAATCAACAAATCACATCTGATCTTACTCCAAATACAAAAGTAATATAAAATTTGATTAACCTTATAACTTGATTAATCTTATATTCACAATATGATTTTTTGTATATGCCTAAAAACACACACGCACACACCTAAGCATCAAATATGCAATTACAACAGCTACTCACTAGAAGAAATAAAACTAAAGCAACAGAGAGACGTGTTCTGTGCTTCAAGCACACATTTCAGACCTGGGTCTTTGTTTAAAACGTCCAGAACCAATGGGACACAGTGCTTCTGAAACTCAGGTAATGCATGTGAAGTGCCTGGCAGAGAGGAGACATTCAATAAATAATCATAGCTAGTTTTATTGATAATTAGGGATTTCTGATTATTGTAAGAAAAATTTGGAATTCTTCCTATGATGCTGGAAGGGGGCCATTTGTGTGTATACCATTCAATTTTATGTCCTAGTGAGCACTGTGGCTAAAGAGCTTTGACATAATCGGTATGATGAGATAATCCCAGATTTACTGGCTTGGAGAACATTCTAGTATTAAAAACATTTCCTCTGTGATTTGTGTGCTTGGTAATTCAGCTGATAAGAGAATAAATCAGCCCTGTTGATTGTTTAATTAATAAAGACCCCATGGTTCATAAAGGGAGATGTTGCTATAAAAAATTTAGTATAAAAAATTTAGAGGTTTGGAAAATAAATGAAGCTTACTATGGAACATGAAAATTTTCCATTTGAACAAACAGTACCTCTGGCAAATTCTCCTAAAGAGACAGTGCATCTGACCTGATTTGGAGAGCAGTCAACAGCACTTCAGATATATTTGAAAATCTCAAAAGCATAATACTATTTGCCTCTGAATGGTTGCCAAATCTGTTGTTGGAAAACAATAATATTCGATTTGGGAAGATAACAGTATTGTGTGTTTTAAAAAATAATATTAGTAAACTGAAAGACACATTTTAGAGCTTATTAAAAAACCTAAGAGAACATGCTTTATATTATTGGCATAGAAATGTAAGTGAATTATTTAAATCCCATTATAATTACCCTCCTTATGTTTCTTACCTCCTAGCTAAAGGAGCAAAATGTTTTCTTTCAAAATAAAAATTAGGACAACCTGTTAAACAAAAAGGATTTAATGACAAAAAGGGCACTTGTTCTGTAGAAATTCATTCTTATAACCGTCTGTGATGATGAAAGACATTCTTTTGTTAATCTTCCATCATAGATGGCACTATTTATACATCATTGTGAATTTGCATATACTATTTTATCATGTTTAAGATAAAGCTGTGGAATAAAGAGCCAAAAGTAATTAACTTCCAGTGTCATTTTATTGGGGGGGGGGTGATAATTGTATGCATATAGTATTTATATAAAACAGAAAACAAAGACAAATAAGTAACTATATGTTAATATAATTTGTTTCAGGCACCAGTAACTTTGAATCACTGGAAAATTTTACAACTGGGCATAAACTGCAAGTAGTAATGACAATAAAAGATTTATACTTAAAAACTAATCCCAATTGAAAACAAATGAGAAGGTAGGAACACAAGGTGAACCTTGTCAATGAGATTATTAAAAAGTAACCAAACCATGATAAAGCAGCATATAATCTTATATAAACACTGGTTATGAGAATAATTACAGATTAGTAATAGGAAGTATCTATTCTAAAATATGTTTAAGAGAAAATTGCAGGCATTTTGTTCCCACTGGTATATAAGGAGTATCCTCTTACATAATTTTGGAAATATGCCGCTAAAATCAAAATAAATATTTCTCATTAGTGAACTTTGTAAATATCACAGAACACTTTGAGCATTTTGTAATTAGGCATTTGGAAATCCAGTGAGGCTCTGATCAAATATTAGCAGGATCTCATCCAAATCTTTACAGTCTAGAGGACAAATTTTATTTTTATTATATATTTATGGTAATTTCTGTTAAAAATCATTTATCTTTTAAAATCTTAAATTCCAATTAATTAAAAATATTTAGGTCTGAGCTATCAAATCATATTATAAGAATCTAAAGCTATTGTAATATATTACTTATGTATAAAAAAATTGTTGTCACTAGACTTCTAAAAGATAAACACTGAAAAGAAAATTCCTGAGGAACAAGTATGGAAAATATTAATTACATTTTTTCAAATAATATCCACAGGCTGGATTGCTATATAGAGCTAAAACATGTCAGGTACAAAGCCAATATAATTAATTTTTCAAAGAAGGAAACAACTCTGTAGTGACAGAGTACAGCCCTGGGTAACTCTTAAAAATTGATGCTGTTTTTCATCATAATAGGACAAACAAAACAGAAAAAAACAAAGAACATGTCCTACTGACACTGATACCTATACACTGAATTATCAGATACTAATAAACAATTATATAGGATTGTATAGTTGGTATATTTGTACTTTTTCATATACCTGTTGGCAGTGTCCACCAAAAATTTATGTTCTCCATTCCATACCATAGAGTTGCTGCCAGGTGGCAGCTGCCTAGGCAGAGACTACATTTCCCAGCTCTCCTCATATCTTTATGTGAGCATGTGATTAGTTCCTGTCAATAGAAGGTAACAGAATTGATGTTTATCTTTTGTGGGTCAGGGTTTTTAAGAAGCTGGAGTGCCTTCTCTACTCTCACTCATTATCCGCCAACCGAATGTAGAGGACTCTGAGGCCATTAGGGAGGGCAGAGACATGAGATGGGAGGAGCCTGGGTCTCAACATCACTACCTGAAGAAAAGCTACACCCATCAACCAGGAATCCCTGCATTGATTTGTGAGCATGAAGTCACTGAAAGCAGATGATTTGTTATTTCAGATAGCGTCACTCTAGATCACTGTCAAGCAAGACGAGAATATTTCAAGAGGAAGCCATGACTACTACTTTCTCAATAAATATATGAACAACTTCTATAAACTAAAAGCCTATCTTTCTAAAATACAGAAAATAAGTAATAGCTATATATTTTTATGCTACTTTAAATATCAATAATCAAGACTGTCAGAATACAGATTAACGAATACTAAATTTAACTGGAAACAAGTTCATAAGACCACTGTCAACGTTTCCACGTTAAATTCCCCCTGCGAGTAGAAGTGCATAAAATGTAGAAGCTACTTTAATTTTTAGTGTTCTTATTAAAATAGAATTGTATTACAAGCCATACAGGTGTTCACTTAATTTAATCAACAAAAGAAGTTTAATAAACATCTGACTAAACATTCTTCTTAATTAACAAATTTAAAACCTTAAAAAACTAAAATTTAAAACATATTTTTCAACTAATTTATATGATTCTAATGTTATGTTTATCTATCAGAGTTAAAATGACTACACTACAAATTTTAAATATAAGCATATATATTATACTACAGAATGATTTGTAAAAATCACAAAGTTGGAAGGGACTTTGAGAGGCTCCTTATGAGACCATCTCTAATGTCTTGAAGTATTTTGTCAGTATTATTGATTCCGTCATGTATAAATGCTAAAGCCACTTGACAGTGAGTGTTACAAAGAAAAGCCTTCAATTATGGTGAAAATTATGGGATAAAAACATGCCATCAACCTCTACAGTTTTCTCATGAACTTTTAAATACTGATTGTTTCTAATAGTGCCAACTTAGACTTGTGACTAAATGGAATTAACTGTCTTTTAGGACCTTAGTATAAATTAAAGGCAAGAAAGAATTATATTCTTATTTTCTGTATGAGGAACCTGATACTAAGAAAGGTGAAATAACTTATTCCAGGTCATGAAACTAGTGCATGTTAGAGCCGGGATCTAGACCCAAATCTGACTTCTGAGAATTTAACCATTATATTAAACTCCTCGCTGAGGCTCTGTTATCTGGGTTGGTGTCAGTAACAATATATAGGGAGGCTCTGGAATGGATTAAGTGACCATCTGAAAGGGGTTCTTCAGCTTTACAAGATAAAATTAATTAAAGATGTATTGACTAGTTCATTGATTATAAATGATATGTCTAAAGCTATTATATATATATTTTAAAGTATTTGCCATATGATATGGTTTGGCTCTGTGTACCCACCCAAATCTCATCTTGAATTGTAATCTCCATGTGTCAAGGGAGGGACCTGTAATCCCCAGTATCAAGGGAGGGAGGTGATTGGATGATGGGGACAGTTTCTTTCATGCTGTTCTTGTGATACTGAGTTCTTACAAGATCAGATGGTTTAATAAGCGTCTGGCATTTCCTCTGGTTGCACTTCTCACTCCTGCTGCCTTGTGAAGAAGGTGCCTGCTTCCCCTTCTGCCATGATTGTAAGTTGCGGGAGGCCTCCCCAGCCACGTGGAACTGTGAGTCAGTTAAAGCTCCTTTGTTTATAAATTACCCAGTCTCAGGTGATATCTTTATAGCAGTGTGAAAACAAACTAACATACCACGAAATGCATAAGAATTGTTATCTGGATGACCATGAATAAAAAGTACTTGTATGAAGCCTGAGTCAGAGGCTTTGTGCCAGCAGTCATATTTTTTACATCATGTAGCAACAAATTCTTCATATATCTATTTTTGTCTAATAGGCTGTTAGTTTCTGGAGGGTAGGGAAGTGTCCTACTCATCTTTATAGCCCCAGTGTCAGGCTCACAGAAAGGGGGGTCCATAAATATTTGATGCATGGATACATTTCACTGATACATTACTATTGTCATATCACTGGGTAAAAATACTCAAAAGTGGTAGACAAGCTTACTTATAATGGAGGATCAGACAAAACAATCTTCCGACTTGGTAATCCAGTGTACTGTCCTAAATTATTGAAAATATGCATAAATAAATTGATCATTATTAAAATAAGATTTAAATAGCTCCAAAGTCACCAAATAACTAACACTACTAGTCCTTCTCACCAATATTCTCATATCCAAGTAACTTCCAAAGGTCTACTCATACATTTGGTTGTATGTAACAGTTGAATCACTGTGATAATTCAGACCATTTTGACTAGTTTATTTTCTATACAGCTGGAGTTATATGTCAACCTACTCAAATCCCAGGTTTTGTTAAAATTATTTACATCAAGCAAATACTATTTTTAGCTAAGCAAATCTTGTTTTAACTATTAGAGTATAAAACTTTACTAAAGACAAATAAATATGATGGTAAGTGGCCTGGCTAACAGCTCACGCTTCCCTTCGGTCCCTAAACCGTAGAAGTGATTTTACCACACTGGAATTTTTAGTCTTTGAAATGATGAGAATGCAGCCAAAGCCATGTTTCTAGGCACCAGATACCCAACAGAGGGATGGAGATTTTCACAGAGGTACCTGCTTAATACCAGTGCTAAGTAACAAAGTGCAGGCATGATCAAAGAAGACCTCTGGCCCTGTTAATATTGAGATCATTCATTTGATACAGATGTTCAGGTATGTGGCAGCTGGGTAAGACTTTACATCAGGAAAGCATTTTGTACTTTACAACATTCTTTGATACCAATTTCCCAATTTGCTTTTCATATAAATCTCACAGACCTTATTTTTCTCTACAGTTTTTACAATTGATGAAACTGAGGCTCAGAGTATCAAAGCCCCATCCAAGGTCACACAGTAGTGGGACCACTACCCTCCCCACTCTACTTCTAACTCCCTGTAATCATTTGCTACTGCAGTAACAAATTTCCACAAATTTAATGGCCTAAAACAACACAAATTTACTATCTTATAGTTGTGTAATTCAGAAGTCCCACACAGGTCTTATTGTTCTGGAGGCTCTAGAGGAGAATTTGTTTCTTTGCTTTTCCAGGCCACTCACATTCCTTGGCTTATGGCTCCCAAATTCAAAGCCAGCAACATAACATATCCTAAATTCTGCTTCCACTGTCATATCTCTTTCTGACTCTCTTTTTCTGCCTCCCTCTTCTACTGTTAAGGAGTCACGTGATTGGACCCATTTGGATAATCCAGAATTAGCTCCCTATTTTAAGGTTAGTTGATTAGCAACCTTAATTCTACCTGCAACTTTAATGCTCCTTTACCATGTGACCTAGTATATTCACACTTACAGGTGCTGGGGAATAAGATGTGAACATTTTTGAGGGCCATTATTCTGCCTACCCTTCTCTTCTTCCCTTAAGCTGCTTCTTCCCCTAAGACTAGGGCCTAATGGAAAATGCACCGATTGGGATCAACTCTTGCAATTTGCCTAAAACTTGCTAAACGTTTAGCATGAAAAATAATACATATATGTATGACACTATAATGAATATAATCTACAGAATGAAGAAAAAAGTTGCTAGGGACCTTATGAAATGTAATTTTTGGGAGAAGCTACTATATGGACTGAACTATGTCCCTCCTAAATTCATATGTTGAATCTCCAAACCCCAGCGTGGCTGTATTTGGAGACTGGATCTCCATGGAGATAATTAGGGTTAGATGAGGTTGTAGGGTTGGCAGGACACTGGTCTGATGGAACTGGTGTCTTTGTAAGAAGAGACACCAGAGATATCTCTCTCTCTGTGTACAAAGAGAAGAGGCCAGATGAGGACACAGCCAGAGGTAGGCATCTAGAAGCCAGGAAGAGAGTCTCACCAGAAACCAACCCTGATGGCGCCCTGATCTTGGGACTTCTGTGAGAAAATAAATTTCTGTTGTTTAAGCCATGTCTGTGGTGGTTTGTTACGGCAGCCCTAGCAGACTAATACAGCAACCAAATTTGGAAGGGAAAGAGTTTGACAAAAAGTATTTGTTAGTAAATCTAAATAAAGGGTCCTGGCAGCAAAGACAATTATACACCTTTCAAATAGAAGTATTAACCCTCAGAAAGGTTACGAGTTTTCAAAGTACTTTATGAAACCCCAAATAATTTATTTTAATATCTCAATGAAATGTGAAAAAACATGCCTCATGCCTGTGTTATACCTGTCATTGGTTAAATGAGGGGGAAAAGGGGCTTTGATGCTGAATATTTAGGTCTGGATGTTCTTTTTATTTTAGTGGGCTTTGCCATTCTGAATAACCCAAGCCAGCTGCCTGGTCTTTCATTTCATGACAATTTCTCACACAGTACTTCATATTCCTACATATCTTTGTAGGTATTTACAGAAAATCCTGAGCAAGCTGTCTCAGGCTCATGATCAATGCAATGTCTCTGCTCCTATCACAGGGCTTTTGACTGGCCAGAGAGTGGCACAGGTGTAGGTTTTGGCTACTGGTTTCCATCTGCAGTTGTGTAAATACTGTCATTTTAAACTCCTCCATTGGCAAATAGCAATAGTATAAAATAAGGAAGGGGAGGGGTAACTAACAGCTGTTAAGCACTCATTATGTGCAAGGTATTTTGCTAGGTGCTTTTTACCCCAAATTTCATTCAATTCTCAAAACAATCTGGGGAGATAGATAGAAATTATTATCCTTGTTTTTGTACAAGAATAGAGGGTAGAGAGTATTGAAATAACTTACCACTACCAAGGTCACACTTAAAAGTGGTTGCATAAACATTAGAAGCTAGCTCTGTCTGATACTAAAGCCCTTATTTTTTTCCCCATCAATTGCTTCCGCAGACTGCCAACAACAATATTCATTCGATAAATATTTATCATCCCTACAAATACCAGGCCCTGTGCTAGGTAATGAATATTCCAAACCAGTTGTCACATGGATGGTTACAGCTTTAAAGTGCAATCTAGTAATTTCAATACCTTACAACTCATTCATAGCTAAGAAGTATTTGGGGGCAAAATATTTAAAAAGGTCCATATTTCATCTTTTAAGTCCTCTGTTGGTTTCTTCATTGTAGCCTCATTAAGAATAAAATGCCCAGAATTCTTATACATGTAAAAGAGAGTGAGGAGCCTACACATATTCTCCTTATCTAGTCTGAAGTTGCATAGAAATTGCCCTGACACCTCATCCAGTGAGCCTTAGATCTTACTAATTTGTCAGTAGACATTTCCTCATTCACAGAAAATGAATCAAAGCCCCCAAATTAATGAGATCTTTAGAAGGAGGGTGTTAGACAGTGTCCACTAAAAGCCAAAATAAGCTAGGTGCTTGCTCACGCCTGTAATCCCAGCACTTTGGGAGGCTGAGGCGGGCAGATCACCTGAGGTCAGGATTTCAAGACCAGTCTAGCCAACATGGCCCCGCCTCTACTAAAAATACAAAAATTAGCCAGGTGTGATGGCTGGTGCCTGTAATCCCAGCTACTCGGGAAGCTGAGGTGGCAGAATCACTTGAACCTGGGAGGTGGAGGTTGCACTGAGCCGAGACTGTGTCACTGCACTCCAGCCTGGGTGACAGAGCGAGACTTCGTCTCAAAAAAAAGAAAAAAAAAAAAAGCTAAAATAATTGTAAAGGATTTAGAAAAAGCTAAAAGTAGTACCCTTTAAATTTCTAATTCAGAAACCATTCCTTCCTTTCCATCTTCCCCTTTCCAATCTCCCTAATTTCTAATTGCATTAGATTTACCTAAGCTAGGCTCTACTTAGCAAATAAAGTTAGGGCCTAAGAAACGATAATTTAAAATTCTTGTCTTTTGTGTTTTCCTTTGTTTATAAATGAGATGACACAATGTAACTGAAGCTTTTAACTAATACAATAGGCAAACAATAAAATTTATTCACTTATAGATTATGAGCCATTCTTCCCTACTTGCAAACAAACTAACTGGCTGTCTTAACCCAAGTATAGACAATCATTTTAGGGCATTAATGAATTCTGACTGGAGAGAAATGAGAGAAACCATGCGTATTAGAACTTAGTTATGCTGTAGAGTCATAAAAACAAAGCTCTCACATACTGAACATCTTGTAAGAAATTTGGGGTAGGGGTGTTCTCATTGTTTATTTTGTTATTCCAACCTAATAGTTGCATCATTACTGTTCATCATGGCAGAGTTCCTGTCATGTGCTAGCAATACACTCTAGAAGAAAAAGATTGCAAAGATGTGGCATGTGTCCTACACACCACTTCTCCCTCTAAACCCATGGCAGACATCTCCAGTTGATCAAGGCATACATCAGTGAAGTTGAATATGTCCTCAGAATTCTTCTCAAAATAATACTTGAGACAGCTATTATCAACAGACAGAGATGGCATGAGTTAAAATCTATTTCCCTTCCCTGTTCTACACAGAAACTTTTGTTTTATTCAAATACATAGACTTTCTAGGTTCTACTGATACGCATTTGTAATGTTCTAAGAATAATACTGCCTATGTGATAAAGAATAGAATTTGTAATACGAGGAACAATATATCAGATTTTAGGATCTGATATAAAGGCATATCAATCCAAATGAATGCATGGAGAATTACAAGCCAAATTTAAGTAACTTAAAAGCAAGTGATTACATGTATTTGAAAAATCACCAACAGTATAATTCAGGGGTCCTCAACCCCCGGGCCATGGACTCGTAGTGGTACATGACCTGTTAGGAGCTCAGCTGCACAGCAGGAGGTGAGTTCCGGGCAAGCGAGTACTACTGCCTGAGCTCTGCCTCTTGTCAGATCAGTGGTGGCATTAGGATTGCAAACCCCATTGTGAACTGCACATGCAAAGGATTGAGGTTGCGTGCTCCTTATGAGAATCTAATGCCTGATGACTGAGGTAGAACAGTTTCATCCTGAAACCGTCCCCCTACCCCCTGGTCCATGAAAAAATTATCTTCTACAAAATGGGTTCCTCGTGCCAAAAAGGTTGGGAACTGCTGGTATAATTGAATATTCAAAGCAAGTAATGGACAGAGACAATTTTGTATTATTTATATAAGTCATATGAAACATATATTTTACATACACTGTGAAGTGGCATCTGCTAGGCATGCTCTAAGATGGTTCCCAATGATCCCTACCTTCTGGAATTCATACTTTTAGGTAGGCGCCTCTTACACTGAACCAGGGTTGGTCACATAGCAGAAGTGATGGTAGATCAGTCATCTGACATTGGTTATAAAAGACACTGTAGCTTTTGTCTTTCTCCCTCTCTGTCCTTTTTGTCCCTTACTTCAAGGAAGACAGCTGCCATATTGTGAGTAGCTCTATGTGTTCATGATATGGTGAGGAAGTGAAGCCTCCTGCCAATAACCTCATGAGTGAGCTTGGACCAAATACTCCAGCCAGCTCACTAAGCCACTCTTTTTTTTTTTTCTTTTTTTTTGAGACGGAGTCTCGCTCTGTGGCCCAGGCTGGAGTGCAATGGTGTGATCTTGGCTCACTGCAAACTCCGCCTCCCGGGTACACAACATTCTCCTGCCTCAGCCTCCAGAGTAGCTGGGACTACAGGCACCAGCCACCATGCCTGGCTAATGTTTTTTTGTATTTTTTTTAGTAGAGACAGGGTTTCACCGTGTTAGCCAGGATGGTCTCAATCTCCTGACCTCGTGATCCGCCTGCCTTGGCCTCCCAAAGTGCTGGGATTACAGGCGTCAGCCACCACGCCCGGCCTCACTAAGCCACTCTTGAAGTCCCAGCCCTAGCTAACAGAGTGACTACAACTTCATGAGAGACCCAGAGAGAAAGTGAGAGAGTAATCCAGTGAAGCCACTCCTGGATTCAGGATGCTCTAAAATTGAGTAAGAAAATACATATTGGTTTAAGCTAAAATTTTGGAGAAATTTATTATGCAGATATAGAGTTAATATAAGTATGATAATCACAGTAAATCTGAATCAACAGAAAGATAAAAGGATACAAAAAAGCAATTAGCAGCTATGTCTAATTTGTCATAAATTCAGTTTTACTACAAACTTGATAACTCTCATAATA
Organism: Homo sapiens; assembly: GCF_000001405.40. Classification (NCBI taxonomy): domain Eukaryota; kingdom Metazoa; phylum Chordata; class Mammalia; order Primates; family Hominidae; genus Homo; species Homo sapiens. The sequence goes on along the minus strand of NC_000017.11, from coordinate 55,146,108 downwards.
ATTTTGTTATATTATATAACATATGTATAAAGCATGTGAACTTTTAAGTGGAATCATACCAAAGACTACTATAAATCTGTAACAGTATACAACTTCAAAGGGAAAAAGATAAGAAGTTGGGTAGAAAAATGGATCAAGTTAATCAGTTAATTTCATTATAGCACTCTCAAGATCATGGATGGTTTGTTATTAAATTTAAGAATGTTGCAACTCTCTCTCTAAGGAGAAAATAAGAAAAAATTTCCTAGAATGCACAAATACTTTTTAAAACTAATAAATAATGTATTTTCTTTTTTACACATATATGAGGCAAGTGAGCAAGCTCTGCTCACCTGCATATATGCATATATACATTGGTACACACACACACACAGAAACATACACACACACAGAGATATATGTTTATTAATTCTATGAAACACTGGCTGTAGCGATGCCAACACTGATCAAATTTGTTCATCCTAGGTAAAATGCTTTCTTCTCTTGCATCAGAATTTAAGTAGATGACAAAGTATTAATATATGTGTGATGGACATGTGGATGGGCAGGGATAGTCAATGAGGATTATGTTCATCTGGACATTCTTAGGACACCACTGACAGTTATTCCCTTGCCAGAGGCTTGGCTTCCATCAGATGTAACAATTCAATTTCTGGGAAGGCAGTGACAGATGCCAATTTCAGGAAGAGATTATGTGTATATAGACCATCATCTCTTCTGGTGTTCTGGGAGGGTGATTTCAGTCACTATTCTTAAGTAGAGGTGAGAGAGCAATGATCTGAGTCCATTACTTATTATTTCTTGCCTTCAAAGCATCATCTATATGGTAAATGAATCACTCTTACCTCAAAAGCTAACACAGGCTACACAGACTCAAAATTTTTTGTTGGGGTAGTAAGAGAATGAAGATTAAAACAAAACAAAAACAAATGACAAACCAAAACGAAATAGTTCCAAAAAAGACATATAGTAGATGTCTGCTTATGCAAACTTTACTTATCTGACAACATCACCTAGTTGAATGCAGCTAAGAACCATAAAGAAACTCCCACCAAAATGTGAAAGCAAGGGGAGGGAGTGAAGAGGGCTAACCTTTGCTGAAAGTGTCTATTTTGGGCCAGGTGCTATGATAGGCTCTTTAAATACACAAGCTCATTCATTCTGGACAGGAACCCTATGAAGTGCTAATATACTTTCCTTTTTATAAATGGAGAAATTAATCCCAGAGAGGTTAAGTAAATGTGCCTAAGGTTTAGCTATTTTATTTAGCTATTTTGTGTAGACAGTGTCATTTTAATTAAAGTTTCTCCAAGTCCAAAGCCCATGCTCTTCTTTCCCTGATACCAGATGGCCTTCCTGTAATCAAATCCACCTGCAACAGAACTTATGTATCATACTTGACTTACATAAGCACTCCTGCAGAACCACATTCAAAGGCTATTTACAAGCAGTTCAAATTAGCCTCATTATCTGGCATCCTGTCCTCAAGTACAAAACTGGGGAAGAAGGTGGCTTGTGGAGAGTGGGCAAAGAGAATGGTCATGAGGAGAGGAACAGGGACACTGAGAGAAGCAAGAGATGACAGCTGTGTCTCTACTGTGTCTTATACAGCGTAATATCCCCTGTAGAACTCACTGTATTGTGTATAATGATGGATGTTCATAAGGATTTTGTTCACTGGCCTCTGTATAAGAAGTCAGGGAAGTGTGTAACATATATTAAAGTAAGACTTTCATCAAGAACAGTTAACTAAAATAAGTCTTGGTGCTTGAATAGGGTTAAGTTCCAACAAAAAAAAACTAACTTATGCCAAACACCCCATTCCTTCATGAGGCTGGGTAAAAGAAGTAATGGCATATTGTTAGATTTTCCTATTTCTACTCTTTGACTTTTTTAATCTCTGGAAGACAACTTCTTATTCTTACAACCAAGTTTCTATTCTGCTGTTTTAAAATGGATAAAGTATAGAGCTCTTCCTAAATTAAGATCTGTTTGAAGTGTCTTTCTTGTCACATGTCAACATACTATATTAACATGAGGATACAGAGGTGGTGAGGCGTGTGTGTGTGTGTGTGTGTGTGTGTGTGTGTGTGTGTGTGTGTGCAGGTGGCTTTGGGGCCAGACAACCCTGGATCTGAATCTTGGCTCTGCAATTTTATTACTGTGTGACCTTGATGACTACAGCCTCTTTTAACAGTTTCTCCTAATGAAATGGTAAGACAATAAGATCTACTATGGCCCTTTGGGGAATACATTTATTTTATCATCTCTTTTTCTGTTTTCCTTATGTGTCAAGACTAAGGTCAAGGAAACAAAAAATTGATGGACTTCCAAAACACACCCTTTGGGGGTATATTTTCCGAGCAAAGCAATGGGGTTAGGATAAATGTAGCATCTCTCTGTTCTTTCCACAGACACTGAGTTGGTTCCCAGGGCAGCCAAAGGGCTTATTGACTCCCTTTTATCTCCTCTTCTGGGACTCTATTCTCCCTTATAGTGGGAGACCAGCCCAAGGCTATTGTTCCAGGCTGCAAAGAACAGTGGCTTAAGCTAGCTGGGTAACAGGTAAGGAGACAAACCAACTCTCTGGCTGACCATCACTTGTTCCTGCTTTCTCTGTTTTGGGTAACTGTGCCCCTAGTATTTTTTTCTCTTAAGGCACTAGTTAGATTCTGACATTCAACTCTGGGTTAGGATATACTGACAGACAGCTAGGTTTAGGTAAAGGAGTTCCCCACAGGATCCAGACTCATTTACTGACATTTCAAAGGATCCTGAATGCAGAACCCCAGTTAATAATGAATGCTAATTTTCTTTCTTTTAATCATGCATTTCTTTGGGGAACCTTCTAGGAGAAAGCATGGCTAAGGGCAAGATGCAGCTCACTACCATCATAATGCCATTCCAATAAGAGCCCAGCAACACCTACTTTCCACATTGTTAAGAGCATTAAATGATATAATGCATAGAGAAATACACCTAGCATATTCCTGGCTATTAAGCACAAGCTAGTGCTCAGTAAATGCTCATGCCCTCATCTTTTCCTTTATAAAGTTAATATCAAAAAGAGAGAAAGAAAGAAATGCAACACAGATTTGAATGCATTTTTTCATTTTCCTGCCATTCCTACAGTACAGTGATTCAAATCTTCCAGAAACTAAACATGATTAATCCTGCATGCTAGAGAGCCCCTTCCAGAAGAGGTCTGATTCTGGAAGTAAAGAGTGTGGCACTAAATGTAATCTGCACATGGAATTCCTGGGTCCTCTATGCCAAAAGTTCATTTTCTTTCAAATGTTATAAACAACACCTTTGCCTGATTAATCACTTCATGCTAGAGATTGCAAGAAAAAAATTCAGCATGAAAACACTTTGCCAGGTTTATCTCTAGTTTTTCCTTAAATTTTTTCAAATACAAAGCTTTTGAATTCTCAATGTTTTTAATGGTCATATGATTGTTCAGGTTTTTTTTCCCCTCCACGATGGTTTCTCCATATTGTAAATTCATGATGGCTATTTATTGGGCATCTACTGTGTTCCAAGTTCTATGCTAGGTACTTAAGATTAAACAACTTTATAAAGTAGGTAATATTCCCCTCAGTATATGATGTGAAAGCTGAGGTTAACAGAGATGTAGGAACTGTGTAAAGTTGCGGGGCATGAGAATCCAAAATCTGGATATTGCTTTGTAAAATATTTGCACATTTGAAAGGGGATAGCAAGGACATGTCTCCCTTTTCCTCCCAAAATGCATACCAAGTATACTTTGCTAAAAGGATACACAAAGGAGTCCCCTGGGCTCTTAGGAGTCTGTTGGGATTCCCCTTTGTGCTCTCGAAATGTCAATTCTGACATAAAAGGAATTTTCAGGAAACGGTAGAAGTATATCACAGTGCTCTGTCCAGGGCAAAACTAACCAGTTCAGCATCTAGGAAATGTATTCCTGTTCAGGCTTTAAGGATGGGTCTTTATCAGTGACAGTCTAGTGCAGATAGTAGAATCTTGCGGTCAGAAGACTTTGACTCTAGTTCTGACTTGGTAATTAAGTAGTGATAGATTTTTTGGTAACTACTCAAGACTCTTATTTTCTTCATCTATAAAACAGAAAAAATGACAAGGTATACATACCTCAAGAGGTTGTTCTGAGAATCCACTGAGGTAAGGTTTGTTCATATACTGTCCTATTTATCTCAAGTTATTTATCTACTGTCTGTTTTTCCTCTCTATTATGTAAATTCTATGCTATCAAGAAACCAGTCTATATATTTCACCACTATATCTGCAGGGCGTGGAACACTGCCTGGCAAACAGCAAATGCTCAAAAAATAGTTGCAGAATGAACTGTGTGCATTTTAAAGCATTAAAAAATGTTGATATTAGCATTATTGTTAAGAACTTTCAAAGATATACAAAACGGATTTTTTTGCTAGGTATTAACTTTTCATAAACACTAATACTATTAGCCAGCAAGTGAATTTAGGCAGCCAGCCTAAGTTCAAATGATGATCCTGTTCCAATTTTTTGATGTTTCCCTAGAAATTATTACCAGGTTTTTTCCCCCAAATGATATCTGATATTAGCATTTAAATCACATGAAACGAAAATGGTGAGGCTTCATTTCTTGTTACTAATTTTTGTAACCTCCAAGAAGGTTTCTTAGTTTTGCTGATTATTCTGCAACTTCCAGGTTCTCTCCAGATGTGAAGAAAATTGCTTACTTGGTTGAGATGCTTGTACTTACTTGATGAAGTACTTGATTCCATCTGCTGTGTAAGCTTCCTCCCACCCATAAGGTAAACCTACAGTGAAAGGAAACCAAAAATATATTTAATAAGATGATAAAGATAACTTTATTTCCTGGACACAAACCTCCCTCATCTTTACAATTATTTGAGCACATTTCTTATACAAAATAATTTTCTAGAAAGGGGGAATTAAGACAATTCAGATGAGCTTTCATACTCAGCATCTTTAGAACACAATAAATAAGTCTTGAGCAGTTAACAATCTGCTTTAGTTGCAATAACTGGATTATGACTTGTCATTTACATGTGGTGAGCATTTTTGTCAGCAGGATTCAAGCAAAAATTTGTGTTGCAGTGGATGGTTTTTGCCTGAAGGCAGAAGGATGGACAAGATGGCCTCTGCTTGTCTATTCTGGCTCAAAGTTTCTTTAATTGGCTCCCTTTACATTCTTTCACTCAGCTCCACAGGGAATCAGACATGAGTGCCAGATCAGCAGGGGTTTGAAAGTAGCTTTTGGACAAGACAAAATTCCTTATTAAGTTTGAAAGTTTAGCAAAGTGATTTACAATGGATTGTGGCATTTTACTTTGTTAATTAAGAATTTTGTGCACTAAACATAAACGGCCAAACAATTTGCTAAACTTAGCTTCCATTTCTGTAATGGGATTGAGAATAGTTAGCTATAAAGAGATGTGGATTGACGTAAGCAAGCAATATTTGGCCATATTTCTGTAAATGAGTACATTTTGGCCCTCATCATACCAAGAGAACAGCCCCAAGTTGAGGCAGCCACATTCTCCTACATTCTGATTTTGGGTGTTACGTTTCTAGAACACAGTGGTTTCCACCCCTCTGTTCCATCCAAGTACTGCTAAGGATTTTAATCCAATTTTTGGATGAGTTCTTTGACACTGGCTTATCACGACTCAGGTAGCCTACCTCTCTGGAAAGTAACCGACCTTTAACAACAAATCATTGACTTCCTTTCCCCAAGTCTCAGCAAGGGGCAGAGCAAAAGTGCAGGAATGGTAACTATTTTTGTTTGCTTGCTTTTAGAGGCAGGGTTTCTCTCTGTTGCCCAGGCAAGAGTGCAGTAGCACAATTATAGCTTATTGCAACTCTGAACTCCTGCGCTCAAGTGATTCTCCCTCCTCAGCCTCCCAAGTAGCTGGAACTATAGGTACGTGCCACCATTCCTGACTAATCTTTTTTAAATTTTTTTGTAGAGACCAGATCTCACTATGTTGCCCAAGCTAGACTCAAACTCCTGGGCTCAAGTGACCCTCCCACTTTGGCCTCCCAAAGTGATAGAATTATTGTTGTGAGCCACCGTGCTTGGCCTAACAGTAACTATTTGAATGAAATAAAACCTTACTCTATCGCCATTTGCTTCTTGTGAAGTCTTTGAGAAGCAACTCTAAGGATGATGTTTTTGTAATTATGAAAACCAAGAAATACAATTTGCATTGTGTTTATTTCCAGTCTTTTACCACAAGTCATACACACCTTGAGCAAAAATTCTGTAACTATTTCCTTTGTATATTAACACAGGCCACCTTGAAGTTTCTATTCTCTCTTAATGAACAAATGTTCCTCTTATAAGTAGAAAATAAGCACTTCCTAGAGCCTGGCTTAAGCAAATGACTGGCTTCCCTAAAAGCCCCTTAGTGACTGTCACTATATGTCTCCTCTAGTGTTCACTGCAAGCACATGCTCAGCCAGATGCGCCATGATAAACTGCTCTGCTGCACCAGTTCAAGTAGATTTATTTTCTGTCTTCACACTTTCTGCATCTTCTTTTATAGATTACTTCATTCATCACTGACAAGCCCCTCACCTGGAGGGAAGAAAATGATGACTGTACCTAAGAACCTTGCTTTCATGACAAAAATGCTCAGAAATAACAGGATTTCCAATCAATAAGACAAAGGCAGCTAAAAGTTAAGTAGGAAGTTATTCTAATGTGACTACAATTTTTGCCCGCTAAATAATTTGTCTGATCAGTACAACTGTGTCTGTCCTTCTAATTTCTTAAGTCACAGATACGTTCTAATAAAAATAAAGTGGACACTTTCAAGACAGTATCTTTTAATCTACAGGATCATGTGAAAATTGACACTAACATTGGATTACCACATCCCCTGTGCCATCAGAATAGAATTTCTGCCTTGATTATTTCCTTACAATTATTAAAAAAGAATTATAACTTTATAACAGACTTATAAAGGTACTAATTCACAGGCATTTAAGTCACAATGGTTATTCAGTGACTGCAGCCATAAAGATATCCCTGCATATTAAATAACATGTATAACTTATTTTAGAAGATGTTCTCTGTTCTGAGAAAATAAGTGTTTCTTTTTAGGAGACTGAATAGTTTCTTACAGTTCATGCAGATTTCATATAATCTATTATATAAAAGACAGACCTAGAGACTAAAATGATAGTAATTAATCTCTCAGTGATAGTTCACTAATAGAAAACAATCACTGTCCAATTACAAACTAAAAACACAAATAGCCTACCTTATACAAAAATAGGACTTCTGATTTCCACCAGCTTATTGATGAACTCAGTTTTCCCTTAGTAAAGGTTTCATTTCTTCATAATAAGTGATTTGGATATGACTAACATTATCTAAATACTTTTCAATAATCATTATTGTTTTAAAATTTTCCTACATTTACCATATCTTTATACTTGGAAATATACAATGCTTCTATTTTTTCTTTTCATATTTGTTTTAAAAACGTTATGACAACTATAACTACCTGAAATTGCTTTTGATTAGAAGTATTGTCTATGAACCCTCCCATAACATTCTTTCCATCAGTGATCATCTGTTTTGAATCAATAACTTCACAGTGATGACTCCAAAATCTTCATGAGTATCTTGCCAAAGTAAGAGTCTTAAACACATTCAACTTAGAATAGTGGCTGTTACCTAAAACTCAACATATCCAAAACCAAAGTCATTACATTTCCAGACAAAATAGTTCCTTTCTAATTTCCCAGTCTATTTATGTATCAAATATTTTCTTTGTCATATCTGGCCCATGTATCATTCATTAAATATTTATTGATCCTTTATTATGTGTTCAGCATTTTGCTAGATGTTCAATATACAGTGATAAACAAATAGACATGACCCTTGATCATATGAAGCTTGAAATCGACATAAAGACATTATTAAAAATAGGAATAAGTTCTACAAAAAAAATATGGAACACGATGAAGGTAAGTCATAGCACAGAAAAAGGTTGAACTCCCTAATGCAGAAAGAATTCCTACAAATCGATAATAAGATTAATAACAAATAACAAAATAGGCAAAACGTGAAACATGTAGGGCATGAAACACAAATGAACACATGTGAAAATGTTTAACTTCATGCTTAATTAGAGAAATAAAAAGTTATTATGAGATACCATGTTCATCTATCAGATTAGCAAACATTAAAAAGTAGTTTAATTAGACACAGCATTGATGGTGTGAAGAGACAGTCATTCTCATATTGATGGAAGTATTAAGTATAACACACTTATGAGGAGAAACTTGTAAATACCTATCTAAAATTTTCAATGCTAATAATAATGAGTTAACATTTATTGAGTGGTTAGATTCTAGACACTGTTGTAAGCACCATACATGTACCAATACACTTAATACTCACAAAGAATCTATGAGAAGTACTGCTATTATCCCTATTTTAGCAATAGAGAACTGAGGCACAGGAAATTTCAATAACTTTCCCAAGGTCACACAGCTAGCAGGGGAAAGAGCCCAGATCTTCATCACTATGTTGAACGATCTCCATATAGCTTAATCCAGCAATTTTTCTTGTAGAAACTTATCCTATAGATATGTTTTATTGACAAGACTGTTCATTGTAAAAACAAAAAATTGGAAATAATCTAAATAACCATCAATGGGGGCTGATTAAATATACTATAATAACAGAGTCAGATGTATTTGAAAAACATTTGTTAGTGTTACAAAATTGTTACAAACTCAAATAGGTTTAACTTTTAGCATCCAACATGCTGAGCAGAGCAGAAGGACAGAGGGAGGGAGGGAGGGAGGGAGGGAACATGGAGGTGTGGGGGGAGATATCTCTAACTCACAATTAATAAGGCTTTGTTAAAGAATATAACATTCATCACATAAATGGAATTTTCACTTGATTTGCAGTCAGAAAATCTGAATCCATATGTAATGTTCTTCAATTGCAAGTTGAATAACCGTGGGAAAGTAATAATCTTGTGGAATCTGAACTTTCTATATAAATAGATTTGTCATTTATATAGTAGTGATGATAACAGCTACCATTCTAGCTTAGGGGGTTAGCATGATACCCTTATTAGATAACATGTAACTACACAATGATATACGAAAGGAGACCATTGTTATTAATAGTAATGAAATTAACAGCCCTTTCTTCATTGCTTATGGTTCTGGTGATTTTAGAGTATTTTGGATGCCTAACATAGGAAAGTGTTTATAGGGGAAACCTCCGTTAAGGCGTAAGCACATTTTTTTTTTACAATCCTTTCCTCAATACAGTCTCTGTTTTACTCATGATAACATTCAGCAAAAGAATAACAGAAACTAATGGGACACTCTGACCCTGATCCAGTAGTGTGATGGTAAATATTTTAACAACCAGCTATTGGGGGTGGGGGCAAGCCTTGATTTGCAACATTTGCTCAGTTTCATAGTGTAAATACTATACTATGCCTATTTCGAGCTACCAATGTGATGTCACTGAATACGGAGATGGGAAGAAATGCATAGTAATACACCATGACATACAATTCTTAGATACAACAGATGTAAATAACCTCAAGAACAAAGACAATTGTAAAATGCAGGAAAATAATTAGGAAGTGGTTAGGTTTTAAAATATTTATTACCATTTCTTTTAATATAATTTTCAGTTTAAATATTTTAATTATTAATAATGATTATGTTTGACAATTGGCTCACAAAGTTCTTGCAAGCCAGTAGAAGCCAGCTCAAACATACTACTGTGGCTATCCATCTCTTAGCTCCCTGGTCCCGTTATACAGAAAGTTCCAAAAATCAAAGGACAGCAATGCTGTTTTATCCAATAGATGATTACATGAAACTGATAGCAGCTTCCAAAGGCATAAAGAATTGTTGCCCTAACAATCAACTATGTTTATCAGATGTTTACATAGTGCTTTCTACTATTTCTGACATTCTTCTAGGTAGTTTATAAATATTATTAATTCATTGTACATCACAACAATTTGAGATAGATATTGTTATTAACCTCATTTTGCAGAGACGAAACTGAGGGATAAAGAAGTTTAAATAACTTGTCCATTGTCACACTGCTGATAGTGCAGTCATGATTTGAATGTAAGCATTTGGATGCCAGAGCCTATGCTTTTAAGCACTGTGGTGTTGCTTCTTTTCCCTAACTCCTGTTTGCACTGCCAATAGTCAAAATTAAAACAATCAAATAATACTTTTGCCTAACTCTTTGAAGAACACAAAAAGTAAACTAGATTCCCAACGTCTCAATTTGTGCATTATTATCCATTATTTGTGCATTATTATTTAAAAGAGCAATGTTCTTTTAAAAGGAACTGAAATAATTTCTAGGCTTCACCACACAGCAGTGTATTTTAGAGACATTACATGTTTACAATTGTACAAGTTAATTTGTAGGTCTGAACTGCAGTGCCAATTTAAAAAGAACTACTAGCTAATTTTCCTATGAAAAAGGAATCTAGTATAGTGAGAGATGGTTGCCACCTATAAATAACCAAATAATGCAGCATTTCAACTATTAAAATAATTTCTAAGAAAATAATTGAAAAAATGTATATATTTTCTGAATTGTGATTTAAACACTCCTTAATATTGGTCTTGCAAAAATGCTGTGTATTAACAAACATGATTTTGGATCTGTGACTTGATTGTTTTACCACCTGGTTATATACATCATTGTTGTTTGAGGAAAAAAAAGCAAATGACATATATACATATATAATTTTACATATTTTGTGCATCCCAAATTTAAAAGTTAAAATGTTAACGTAATTAGATATGAGCTATTTCTAGTTAGAAGTCACTTATCCGGCAATTGAAAAGCTATAATATATTAAAGGAACATCATTGTTAAAAATTTCTAGAGGTTATTTGGTGGTTCACAGTCTACTTTATCTGTCAGTCACTATTTCTTTTTGCCAACATATACTACACCAGTTACCAATAAAAGAGAAGGGGAAATGCCAACATTCATTTTCTGCATTTATCTTCCCAATAGATGCAAAATTCAGTATTTTTTTACAGTTGGAGTTCTCTCACTCTCAGCTACATTGTGGAGTCACTTCCTTGAACTCTGATGTACAGACATTTAAGGGGCCAGTTTAAATGTTTTCTCTTACATTCTAACTCTGATCCCATGACCTAGACTGAAGATGAGAATGTGGGATTTCCCCAGCAGTTGTTTCTGGGCATTTATATTATATAATGCTGGGGGAATGATCTGGGCTAAGGCACTTTGATTTGTTTTGCTTAAAAGCAGTAATATACAACGGACTTTATTCTGTGCACTAATGAAACTCAGCATAAAACTTGCTGAAGCTTTCCTCAGGAGAGTGTGAGATCAGCCTAAAGACAGAGCTGAATAATAGGATGAAATGATCTTCTCATACTCTCTCCTGCCAACAATCTTTGGTTATGATTAGTCATCTAATAAATTTAATCAATGTAGAGAGTAATGATGAATAACACATCTGACTCTCCTCAGCCCAACTTCTTACTTTTAAAGGGCTCCCCACCCCATACATCAATTTCTCCAGAAATTCTGAAGTTATATATAATTGTTTTGGATGAAATAATGGATCTTCATGTCACAAATCAAATGAAAATTTGATCCCAATTTTGTTTTACAGTAAAGCATTTTTTTTACATCTACTGTACATCAAGTGCTAAGCTAAACACTTTAAATTTGTTATGGTAAGAGATAGTTTTCATGGTTATCTCATAATACATTTCATATAAAATAACTGTGTACTTCATTAAAAAAAAAGCCTTTCAGTACATTCACCCTATCCTCTTGTAGCTGATGACCTTGCTTCTTACCTCACTAAGAACACAGAAGCAGCAGAAAGAGAACTTCTAGATTCCCACCATAACATCCACCAACTATTCACACACTCCGCTTTTCTCTGTGGTCATACCTCATGCAATCCTCCCATCTTACTTACTCAAAACTTCAATCCAACAATTGTCCGCTTTCTTCCCTAACATCTATGTTCCCTCCCTGTACTGGGTCATTACCATGGGCATAAAAATGAGCTGTAATTATCTTCTATCTTAAAAAAAATTAAAGACAAAACTTTGTCTTGCCCTCACATTTCCTTGCAGCTACTACTCCATTTCTCTGCTCTACTTTATAACTAAACCTTACAAAAACCTTACAAAAATGGATTTGTCTACATTCAATTCCCATCTTTTCATTTATTCTCTTTTAAATCAACTCTAGTGAGGCTACCATTTGCCCTATGCCGCTAAAACAGCTCTTGTCACTTTATGTCCAAAGGTCAATTTTCAGTCCTCAGCTTCCTTCACTTATGACTGTATGTGATGCTGTTGATCACTACCTCCTTGGAACAGTTTATTCGACTGCAAAGACACAGCTTTCTCTAGGTTCTCCTCTGTCACTGGCTGTTTCTTCTCTGCTCATTTGCTAGTATCTTCTCATCTCCCCAGTCTCTAAAAGTTGGACTGCTCCAAGGCTTGGTTCTTCAACTCCTCTGTGTCCTTCCTTTCTGTTCTTTTCCTGCGTACACTCATTTGTTAGGTGATCTCATCCAGTTTCTATTTAAATACTATTCATACGTGACCCAGAATTCTCTATCCCCAGTCTGGACCTCTCTCCTGATTTCCAAACTGGCAAATTCAGGTGCATGCCCTCTCTTCCTCTATCATTGTATCACTTTTAAACTGAAGGTGCCCATTACTGATCTCCTGACTCTTCACCCAAACCTCGCCTCTCAGCTCTCCCCATCAATTTCTATCCTTCCAGTTGCTCAGGCCTAGGACACATCCTTGACCCTTTTCATTCTTTTACATCCCATATGTAATCAACCAGCATATCTTGGTGGCTTTGTCTTCAAATTAGTTACAGAATTTGACCACTTCCCACAACTTTTAGCTTTATTAAATTGGTCCATCCCTTACCTAGATTATTCTGATAGCACTCTAACTGGTATCCCTGCCACAGTCTACTCTCAAACTAGTAGGCAGCATCATTAAAAAAACAAAAAGTCAGATTATGTTCCTTCTACATGACCTGGCTCCCCCATCTCCAACTTCTCTGACTTCATTTCTTAATTATTTATGTTCAATGTGCTGCAGCTGCATTGGTCTCATACTGTTCCTTGAACATAACAAGTATGTTCCTGCTTCAGGGCCTTTGCACTTGCTAGCCCTTCTGCCTAGAGAGCTGTTCCCTTTGAATGCATGGTTCACTCTGTCATTTCCTTTCAGGGTCTGCTCAGTGTCGTTCAATCAGTGATCCCTTCCCTAGTCACTCATAAAAGAGCCAGCTCCCTTCTTCTCCAGCCTCTGACACTCATTATCCCCCTCAACCTGGTTTCTTTCCTCTCTCTTTCCTTACTAGGATGCAAATTCCATGAGAGGAGGTACTGTTCATTCATTGCTTCACTGCCAGTATTCTTGTGGCACATGATAGGTTCTTAGTTGCTGAATTAAGGAATCAATGTTTACCAAGTATCTATATTTATACAAATACCTACTATTCAATAGGATGTAAAATTTGGGAGGAGAGTTCTTTAGAAAAAGATGTTGAAAGGGTGTTTAATAAGATAATTGGGCCGGGCACAGTGGCTCATGCCTGTAATCCCAGCATTTTGGGAGGCTGAGGAGGGCAGATCATGAGGTCAGGAGTTTGAGACCAGCCTGACCAACATGGTGAAACCCCGTCTCTACTAAAAATACAAAAATTAGCCAGGCGTGGTGGCACACACCTGTAATCCCAGCTACTCAGGAGGCTGAGGCAGAAGAACTGCTTGAACCCCGAGGCAGAGGTTGCAGTGAGCTGAGGTCACACCACTATACTCCATCCTGGGGGACACAGCGAGACTCCGTCTCAAATAATAATAATAACAATAAGATAATTGAAAGTGAGGCTGTAAAAGAATATGCTTAAATATTTGCATTATTTTCCCCAAGAGTTGATATTCTTCTTTTCCTTATGGGTTACAGAGATGAAGAGGGGAGGAGCTCTAATTTATTTCAGTACACAAAGATAACATGATGTTTTTAAAGAACTGCTGTTGCCCAGGTGCAGTGGCTCACATTTGTAACCTCAGCACTTTGGGAAGTTGAGGCAGGTAGATCACTTGAGTCCAGGAAAAAAATATGCAAAAAATTAGCCAGGCATAGTGGCATGCACTTATAGTCCCAGACACTCAGGTGGCTGAGGTGGGAGGATCGCTTGAGCCTGGAAGACAGAGAGTTGTAGTGAGCCTAGATGGCACCACAGCACTCCAGCCTGGGTGACAGAGCCAGACCCTGTCTTAAGGCAGGGGTGGGTGGGGGGAGCACTGCTGTTATTACAATAATAAAAATATTAAGGGGCCAGTGGCTGTCGAACATGAATTAATGGAACTATTGGGAAAAAAATGCACCTTCTCTTTTCTGTTCTATTCAGGAAAACTGATTTAGTGGTTAGAGGTGGTAAAGTTGCTATCCAGCAAGCTTGATTTACACTGGTTAAGAGTAATAGCAGCATGTCTGATAGTTCAAAATGGACACTACCATTTGCTTGTAACAGGTTGCCTGAGAGCAATAGGTAGACACACTTGATCTAAGAAAATAGGAACAGCAGCTTGCTAATTAAGTCAAAATGCTAGATTCAAAACTGACAGAGAAATTAGTGTGTCTCAAGGTGATTTCATAAATATCCCTATGGGATGTCATTCACTTTATACTACCATACCATGTTTCTAAGAGTACCCCATACCAGCATACCAGAATTCTAAAAAGAGGACATACAAATGGCCAACAGATGTATAAAAGTGATTCACCATGAATAATCATCAGGGAAATGCAAAATAAAATCACAATGAGATATCACTTCACACCTGTTAGAATGGCTATTATCAAAAAGATGAAAGATAAGCATTGGTGAGAATGCAGAGAAAAAAGAATCCTTGTACACTGTTGGTGGGAATGTAAATTAGTACATCCATTTTGGAAAATAGTACGTAGGTTCCTCAAAAACTAAAACTAAAATTACTATATGATCCAGTAATCCCACTTCTGGGTATATACCCAAAGAAATTGAAATCTGTATGTTGAAGAGATGTCTGAATGCCCATGTTAGTTACGGCATTACTCCCAATAGCCAAGACATGGAAACATCATGATATGGCCAAGATATCACCCATCAACAGATGAATGGATGTGATATTATGACAATGGAATCTTGTCAGCCTCAGGAAAGGATTCTGTCATTTGGGACAACATGGGTGAATCTAGAGGAGATTATGCAAAGTGGAATAAGCCAGGCACAGAAAGACAACTGTGACATGACCTCTACTTATACGTGAAACCTAAAAAGTCAAACTCATAGAAATGAAAAGTAGAATAGTTGTTACCAGAGGCAGGTGGGGAGGGACAGGGAAAGGGGAAATGTTGGTCAAAGGTACAAAGTTTCAGTTACATAGGAGGGATAAATTCTGGTTATCTATTGCACAGCATGGTGACCGTCATTAATAAGAATGTGTTGTATATTTCAAAATTGCTAAAAGTGTAGATTTTAAATGTTCTACCACAAAGAAATAAGTATATGAGGTGATGAAAATGTTAATTGGCCTGATTTGATCATTCCATAATGTATGTATATACTGAAACATCACATTGTACTCTATAAAGATATACAATTATCATTTGTCAATTAAAAAAGATAAAAGCTTTCAAGAAAACATACCTACTGTTTATACTTTTATAGCAACAGTTTTCTACTGTTGCATAACATATTACCACAAATTTAGCAGCTTAAAACAACACCCACCCATTAGATCCAAGTTCTTGAAAGTTCTGTAGGTTGAAAGTCTGGCATGGCATGACGGAAATCAAGGTGTCAGCTGGGGTAAGTTTTTATCTGGAGTATCTGGGGAACAATTTATTTTCAAATTAATTTTTTGATGTTGTTGGCAGAATTCAGTTTGCAGCTGTAGAGGTCCCTGTTTTTTTGCTGGCCATCAGCTGGGGGCCACTCTCAGCTCCTAGAAGTAGCTGGCATTCCTTGCCATGTGACCCCTCCATTTTCAGTCCATCTTAAGTGGCGACACATAGAGTCCTTTACATATTTCTAATATGACTTCTCTGTCTCTGATTTCGAGATTCAGATTTAAAGGCTCATGTAGGTCAGGCCCACCAGGATAATCTCTTTGTCTTAAGGTTAACTAATTACATATGCAAAATCTCTTCACAGCAGCACCTAGATTAGTATTTGGTTAAATAACTGACAGAAGGTGTGTGTACACCAGGAACCAGGAATATGGGTGCCACCTGAGAATTCTGCCTACCACAATGCTCCTATTATTTATTTTATACAATGTCTAAATTAGAGATGGGACACTTTTTTGTTGTTTCTAGGAAGGAAAATGTAACTAAGAAAAATATTTCAAAGGTTACATAAAAATAAAAAGAACTTAACTAATTTTAGGATTCCTTCCTTCCTCCCTCCCTCCCTCCTTCTTTTCTTTTCTTTCTTTCTTTCTTTCTTTTGAGAAATAAAATATCCCTGTGTTGCCCAGGCTGGACTCAAACTCCTGGGCTCAAGGGATCTTCCTGCCTCAAGCCTCATGAATAGCTGGGACAACAGACATGTGCCATGGCACCTACCTTAATTTTAGTTTTCTTTATTTTTTTTTGTCATGGGATTATAAACATTTTCTCCCAATAAACCTGGAACATTAAAAAAATAGTTTTCTATTTCATCTTGTGGTCAGTTAATGAGGGAGAGAAAATGATCAAAGAAAAAGAGGGGAAAAGGGAAGAAAGAAGGCAGGAGAATGAGAAGCCAGAGGTAAGAAGAGAGAGCAGAGAGAAAAAAAAGAATCCAGCCAGGAGCGGTGGCTCACGCCTATAATCCCAGCCCTTTGGGAGGCCGAGGCGGGCGGATCACAAGGTGAAGAGATCGAGACCATCCTGGCCAACACGGTGAAACCCTGTCTCTACTAAAAATGCAAAAATTAGCCGGGTGTGGTGGCGAGTGTCTGTAGTCCCAGCTACTCAGGAGGCTGAGGCAGGAGAATCACTTGAACCCAGGAGATGGAGGTTGCAGTGAGCCAAGATTGTGCCCCTGCACTCCAGCCTGGTAAGGAAGCGAGGCTCTGTCTCAAAAAAAAAAAAAAAAAAAAAAAGAATCCTTACAGGCTGGACGC
This sequence comes from Homo sapiens, assembly GCF_000001405.40. NCBI lineage: Eukaryota > Metazoa > Chordata > Mammalia > Primates > Hominidae > Homo > Homo sapiens. The sequence goes on along the minus strand of NC_000017.11, from coordinate 55,128,904 downwards.
AGTGGCTCACACCTGTAATTCCAGCACTTTGGGAGGCCAAGGAGGGCGAATCACCTGAGGTCAGGAGTTCAAGACCAGCCTGGCCAACATGGTGCAACCCCGTCTCTACAAAAATAGTAAAAGTAGCCGGGCATGATGGCAGGTGCCTGTAATCCCAGCTACTTGGGAGGCTGAGGTGGGAGAATCGCTTGACAGCAGGTGGTGGACGTTGCAGTGAGCCAAGATCGTGCCATTGCACTCCAGCCTGGGCGACAGAGCGAGACTCCTCAAAACAAACAGACAAACAAACAAACAAACAAACAAACAAAAGGACTATGAAATCTTATAGTTGTGTCCAGTTATCGACTATATTTTAAAAAGAAGGAAGAGAGAGATACATAAAAGGGATTATAGGAGGCCAAAGTTAGGCACAGTAAAGTTGTGCAGGTAAAGTGGGTTTGGGGGTGGTAGACTCAAATTTCCAGACCCCACCTCTCAATCTGATTTGGAATCTCATCCAAGCAATCTCTGGTACAACGGGTTAAAATCTCCCTCACATTCACCCAGCGTGGTAACTTCCTGAACACTCTCAGCAGTGCCTCTCCCTCCTTACCTGCCCAGACTCTGGATCTGCCAGAAACTTCAACACTTTTTTGACTTTCATTTGTTGAATGTCTACTGTCAGAGATCTGGTATAATGGGACCCAGATTCAGGACAGTATCTCACACATAGTGGGCACTCAAGAACTATCTGTTGACTGACTGTAGAAATTTGCCTCCCATGAAGACTGATGATTTAGTGAATCTTGCACATATTTGAAATTTTACTGTTGTTATGAGGTCTTTGTACTCACCAGGGGAACTTATAAATATTTGTACAACTGTTATTTGTGGATTTTGACAACAGGGTAAGGAGGATCAATAGACATACAATTTTAGAAATGCTGTCACAGACTAGATGAAATGAAGTCAAGATCATTGCTGTTTCCGACCTTGAATATAAATGAACATACATAATGAAACTCTAAACACCACTGATCCCTAATCATGTAGCATTTGTTGTTATTATCTTTGTCCTTTAAATTAAAAAAAGTTTATCTGAAAATCTGTTAACAATCTCACATTACTTTCAGGTAAAATGTGGAAAAAAATCATAAAAAATCCCTGAAGACATTTGCCTTTAAGAGGATGCTTGAAAATTTTAAATGTGTTTTTAAAAAGATTTAAAGAAAAACAATAAAAACACCTTCATAGAGGGTTATTTTTTCAAATAATAGCTCTCATGAAGTTAGATAACTCAATAATCATTACATTAAAGAGTTATAAACTTAAATAAAAGTGACCCCAATTTTGCTTTTTCTCTTCTGCAAAGAATATAGGTTCTGACTGTATAGTTTATCACTCAAAAAATTTAATCATTTAAATCCATCCATGGATGGATTAACATATGTCAATCCATGTTTTCAATAATCTTGAAAGACCATTGAAAACATGCATCCCCAGAAAGTCACATCCTTGAATGTTCACAACAGTTTTATTCATACTAGCTCCAAATTGAAAACAATTGGAAGATCCATCAATTGGTGACTGGATAAACTGTGGCATAACAATATAATGGAATACCACTCAACATTACGCATACAAGGATGAATCTCAAAAGCCCTACACTGAGTGGAAGAAGCTAGAAACTTAATAGTCTATTTATTCCACATTTCAGAAAAGGCAAAACTACAGTGATAGAAAGCAAATCAAGGGCTGCCTGGGACAAGGGATGGCAGGGAATAGATTACAAAGGAGCACATGGAAAGGTTGTGAGGTGATGGAAATATTCTAGGGCATGATGGTGGTAGTATAATGCAGCTGTCTACATTTGTCAAAACTCAGTGAATTGTACACTTACATTTTATTGTATGTAAATTATATCTCAATTTTAAAAAGCAGGGGAAATATCCTGAACCAGTAGTATGTGCAATCCCATTAAAAAAGCTGCAGTATGAGAAATCCCATTACAAAATGGCTGCAATCTTCCTTTCATCTTTATGCTGTGTCAGTCCCACTTAATGTCATCCACTGAGTTATTTCCTGGAGCATGCTATAGACTTCTTTTCGTCTCTGCTTTTCCAGATACTGTTCCTTCTACCTGCAATGCTCATCACTATGGAATATAGAAACCCAGTAAGCACTTTGGAATGATTTCAGAGACAACAGTCACGCACCAGAATCTCCTTGTCTAGCTGTTAGCAGGTCTTTGATTTAGGGATTTCTTCAGTTGGGAGATCTATCCAGAAATTCTTTCTTTTGATGTAAAATTTGCTTACAATGAAATGTACAAATCTTAAGTGTATATTTACTGAATTTTCACAAATGCTTACACCTGTGCAACCCAAACCCCAATCATGGTATAGAATATTACCACCACCCCAGAAATATCCCATTCCTGTTTATTTCTACTTCTGTGCCCCAAGAGGCAGCCAACTGTTCTGATTTTTTAAAAGGTATTATACTTTTAGCATTTCCATTTAGTTTTACACAATTATTTCTATTTCTCTGCTTAGAGATCTTCTCTTTCCATTCATTATGAGCATGTTTTCCTTCGCTTCATTGCATGTAGGTATAACAAGCACTTTAAAGTCCTTATTTTAACATCTGGTCTTTTGGAGGTTGGCATCTGTTGACTGTCTTTTCTCTTGAGAATGAGTTACATTTTCCTGTTTTTTGTTTTCACACTGAGTAATTTGGGATTGTTTTCTGGAAATTATAAACATTATACTGTAAAAACTCTGGATTCTGTTACACTACTCTGAAGCATGTTAATCTTTTTGTTTTGGCAGGTCATTTAGTTGGTTGGACTCAAGCAGTAAGTTCTATTTCTTAGGCAGCAGCTAAAACCTCAGTTCAGTTTCCCTCCCCATTCCCCTTTGCTGGGTGGTTTGCAATGCGCCCTATATTTGTGTAGTTTGGGGTCAGACCCAGAAGCTTGGACAGAGTTTATATGCAGAATTTGGGGGTCTCTGTCTCCAGTGCTCTTCTTTCCGGGATTTCCCCTCTGCCTTTCCAGTTGTCCCAAACTTCATATGCTAGTTCTATAGGCCAGAAAGACTGCAAGTTATCAGTTTTACCACTCTAAGTGTCCTGCTAGGGTTTGGAGTAGAGTGAGGCAAGTAGTGTCTACATACAAAATTTAAGGAAACACCCTCCCTCAGGCTCATGCAAGTTCAGGGTCACTACTTGAGACTGAGCCTCCTTAAGAGGGAGGTGCACCCAGGGTACCTTGTTGCCTTATCCTAGTCCCAGCCCTGGGTCCTGCCAACAATCTAAAAGTAGGACAAACAGGAAACTTATCCTATGTTGGGTCCTTCTTCCAAGTTTTGACAGATCTCCAGAATTTGCCTGGTCATATTCACTTTCCAGAAGCTTCAATTGTATTTTTTTTTTTTTTTTTTTTTGTATTTTGTCCAGGGTTTACAATAGGTTTCTGCAGGATGGTTAGTCTGTCAGGAACTTACTTAGCCTTACTGGAAGTGGAACTCTCAGATGCATAGAATTTTTGAGTGAAAAGAGATTTTAGAAATCCTCTAATTGTCTCATGTTACAAATTGGATACTGACACCAAAAATGGTTTCAGAGCTTTGCCATAGAGTCAATTAGAGGAAAACATAGTAATCTAACTTCTACTTTAGTCATCATCCACTATGTCATTCTGCAATAATGCTGAATGAAAAGAGCAGCTTCTGTGCAGAGTATAAAATGCTGCACTCAGACCTTTCTTTCACACATGAATAAATTGTACGTTAACTTTCAATGATTAATTACCACCTGCTTAACAGTTTAGTATTGGTATAAACTGAATGTTTCTGTCCTCTAAAAATTCTTATGGTAAAGCTCTCACCCCTGCTATATGGCTGCATTTGTAGGTGTGGCCTTTAAGGAAGTAATAAGGTTGAATGAGGTCATAAAGAGTAGGACCTTGATTCCACAAAGTTAGTGTCCTCAGAAGAACAGGGACAAGAGCCACCCCACCCCTCCTCTGTGTGCATGTACAAAGAAGGGTCATGTGAAGACACAGCAAGATGGCAGTCACCTACAAGCCAAGAGAAGAGATCTCGAATGAAGCTTACGCTTACTTTTCCACCACCTTGATCTTGGACTTCTAGTCTCCAGAATTGTGAGAAATAAAATTTTGTTGTTTAAGCCTCTCAGGCTGTGATATTTTGTTATGGCAGCCTGAGCAAATACAGCAATAAAAATGGATCCAAATTTTGCACACTGTTAAATCAACTTACTTGACAGAATTACTTCAGTCTGACTACACTGTAAAGGTAAACTCATATTCTTCTCTAAAAGAGGTTGAACTCAGAAAAACAAAATCTACCAATCAATGCAGTAAAAAATAAATTTGAAGGATAAATGTAGCACTTGAAGCAGATCCATTGTGAGGCTGGAAGGCAAACAGTGTTTCTAAAACCATTTAATCTCATTGTATTCCCTACCTTATTTTTAAAATGTTTATATATAACTATTAATAAATATCACAGTCTATTCTGCAAATGCCTTTAAAGGGTCATGCCTTCCAAAACAGCATGTAAACAGGTACCATGCAAAAGTAAGGCCTGAACACATATCTTTTATTTGCAGACTAAGCTTTCTGATCCATCATGAACCTCTGCTCATCTTTTCTCAATTTGCACATCTTCCAACCTCACAGCCTGTCTTATCATTTGGACCTCCATCTCATTCTCCCAAGTCCCCATATAATGCTGTTTTCCTATTTCTTCTCATGGTGTCATGGGGCCTCACTGTCCCTTTTACCTAAACACCCTTGATAAGATCTTTCCATGGTGACTGGCTTGGGACCTTCTTGTCATATCTTAGGCTGACACAATCCAGCATAGCCTAGATTTATAGCAACCAATCATTATCAAATAAAAGGTATTAATAGAAATTAGGAGGTGTTAAGTACAGTTAGAAGTGTATTATGCATTAGAGTTTCAAGTCATATTTCTCGTTTTATCTTCTTTTTTTTTTTTGAGACTGAGTCTTGCTTTGTCGCCAGGTTGGAGTGCCGTGGTGCAATCTCGGCTCACTGCAACCTCTGCCTCCTGGGTTCAAGCGATTCTCCTGCCTCAGCCTACCAAGTAGCTGGGACTATAGGCGCGGGCCACCATGCTTGGCTAATTTTTTGTATTTTTAGTAGAGACGGGGTTTCACTGTCTTAGCCAGGATGGTCTCGATCTCCTGACCTTATGATCTGCCCGCCTCAGCCTCCCAAAGTGCTGGGATTACAGGCATGAGCCACCGCACCTGGCCCATCCTATTCTATTTGTCGTTGTTGTTGCTCATTGCTGCTTGCTGTTGCAGTCAGATATAGTCCATTATTGTAACGTTAGAACACAATATTTAATTTCTACATTGCAACTCTTTTATCTCTTCTCTTCGTCTGGCAGCACTTAGTAAAGAAACCTATATAACAAGAAGCTAGGAAATATGAGAATTATCTCTCATTTGACCAGTGATAGTAATTTCTGATTAATTCAGGAAAAAAACCTGCATGCAATTATAAATAGTCCATTTTTATTTCGACATATTGATTTGGTTTAATTGATGCAGTCCATCATACCAAGTAAGCCAGACACCAATTCTGCTACCTCTTCCCTTAAATTTTCCCCTTTATTGAATTATCTTAACAAGTTACTGGACACACACACACAAAAGCTGCTATGTTTAGGGATCCTGATATGAAAAGTACTTTGGCAAGAACTTATCTAACTACTAGGTTAGATCTTGGGGTTCTCTGGGCAAATCAAGTTTTGAGATTAAAATTTGAGCATACTTTTCTTCTTAAAATTGTGTGTCTGCTTTAACTGATGACAAAAAAGGAGAGGGATAACACATTTACAAGGAATATAAACTCCCATAAATGTGAATAAAACAAAGGAGGAATTAGCAAAATCTCTAAAAGATTTTCTAATTAAAAAATTTGGTTTTCTACTTTTAAGTACACTTTGATTTGAGATAATGTTCTTTAAGGATATATTTTAATGACTGGATAAAATACTTGTAACTCAAAACTTTATTTATAAAAGAGTGCTTCAAAAGCACTTAAAAGTTTCTTCTTTTACTTTAATCCCCTTATAATTTTAATATTTTAATCTGCTTTGGAAGTCATCCATTAGCACACATAGACACATATCTCAATATGTAAGTTGACAATCTAAACTTTTGAGTGCTTCTTGTTATAATTTTTATAAATTCAAACTAGATGGAATTTAAATGGACTGCTTTCTATTAATTATAAAATTAACTGCATGGAGTAAAATCTGAATTCATTTTTAAATATAGCCATATCTGATATAAAGTAAACATAAAATGTTCCAACTCAACTTTTTGCTTTTGCCAGTGTAGACCACATTCCTTCATTTATCTCTGCATTTGTACAATATAGACTCCATTCCTTCATTTATCTCTTCCTAGAGTTACTCTTTCTTTTCATCTGCCTTGTGAGCTTCTGCTCATCAATCTAGAATCAGCTTAGATGATACTTCCTCTGTGCATACTCTCCTAATTTCTTTGGCTGACTTCATCTTCCCCTCCTCTATGGTACTTCTGTGGTTTGTACCAGTTTCTATCACAGCACTTAACATTCTCCTGTGGAAAACATGATTGTGGACAATGACTATGTTTTATCCATCTTTGTGTCATTTTCTGGTACACAGCTCAGGCTTTGGTGCATAATAAACGTTTAACAACGGTTTGTTGAGGATTTATGTCCCAAGAAGTAAGACATCTTCAACATTTTTTAAAAAGCAATATTGTCTGGAGGGATTTAGAAAAAAATGTGGCATATTAGTTAGGAATGATTTCTGGTAAAAATGACAGATAACCCAAGTAGCTGGGAAAACAAATAGGTATTTATTTTTAAGGAGCCTAAAGGTTGCTAGACACAGCATGAAGGTCTCAGGTTTTTTCATCTTTCTACTCTAGTATCCTTTAGGTGTTAAGTGGCTGATCCCTACACATTTCGTCTTGGGGGCGTAAAAAGCCCCCAGTGCTATAGGCAACATATTCGTATTGAAGGCAGGAAAGAACAAGAGGTGGTCCCAGCTCCATCTGTCCTTATCCATTAATTAAAAGTTTCCCCAAGCAGAAGTTTCTAAGCAGACTTTACTTTATAACTCATTGACCAGAACTGGGGTGGGTGGCCACTCTGTGAGGCAGGCTACCCCTGAGAGGGCAACTGTCTGACTTTACAGTTTCTAATACAACAGGCTGGCTAGGGCAAAACACCAAGTCTGCCATAGATTACAAAAACAAAAACAAAAAGACAACAGAAGAGTGGATTAAGGTTAATTAAGATATTAAGGTTACCAGGTTTGTTGAAATAAGTATGTCAGAGACCCTGGGGATTCTAGGGTATCAGCACAATTGGGTACATAGTTAATAATTCACAGAGATATTTTCTCAAGATTGTGGTTGCTCATAATGACATAATGAGATGTTTCAATCTTGCATCTCATCTCTCTCTCAGTGTGTTTTTCAATTATGACAGTTTTCCTTTATCTCCCATTCACCCCAACCTCACTTTGGTTCCATCACTGCCATTCAAAATTTCTCAGAGTCAAACATTAAATGTTTCATTCTCTATAAATGCTTTCTTGATTTTAAAATATTTTTTCTCATTTATCTGAGCTATTAGCTCTTTGTACCATTCATAAAATACTTAATATCTTAAACTTTGCATTACAATAGTTTTCACAACTCTTTTACTCCTCTCTTCCCACAGACTGCTAGCTCTTTGAGGGTACTGAATCTTCCTCAGTCATACTAGGTTCTGAAAAATTATTTTCCGAATTGAATATTTAATTCATTTCATTTGCTTAGTGTTAGAAGGAAGGAAATGGGAGGAAAAACCAGCATGTATAAACACAGGGCCACTGCTAGCCTATGTTTATGTTGCAAAAACTAAAGAAAAAAATTCCATCATGTGTTGAAAATGGCACCACTTCTGTGTGCAAGGGCTAGAACATAGTGCCTCCTTTGAGCTGATGCAACTCTGAGGGCATGGAACTTGTAGGGCTAATGTTCCTTCTGTGCAAATTACTTAAAAAAAAAACACTCTTTCTTCTAGGAAACACAGTCCTGTACCAGAGCATCCAGTTGAGTGAACACAGCAAGGGCTGGATTTCAGTCTCCAATGCACTCCCTTGACCTCTGCTTATTGCACAAAATACTCAATGCTCTGCAGCAGCCATTTAGAAAAGATTTCAGAAGTTCCATTTTTACCCAGTATGTCTACAAGTATTTTGTGATTTCTCCAGGCTCTGTTTGTAATGATGGTAAACTTGGAGCTTCATATTTTTGAATGGGTCTAATTGTCCAAGATACTTGCTCACAATTGAGCCAAAATTTGTCTTCCTATTTTTCCTATCTGATGACCTCAGACTTCTGATGCTAGATATAATAATCATGTCTCAAAGCAGTGTACATATCTCTGGCAGGAAGCTGCCTCCTAAGCAACACATAATAGAATGGAATGTAATTATTTATAGGTAGGTACTACCAACACTGTATTTGGTTATCCAACATTTGTGTGAACGTGATGTGGGCTCACTTGCCATCCCATACGGCTCACTGACAATTTGACTATTAAATATGGAATTTTAATTTGAAAACATTATTGATAAAAAACAAATGCTTGCAGCTAAATGTATAGAACAATAAAGACTGACATTTAAAAGGTAGCAGTATTAAAAATCACTCTTTCTCATGTCCTCTAAGCATCTTGGGAAAGGCTTGAAATTAAGTTTAAAGAGGATTTCAGAAAATAAGGGAAGAACACCTTTAACTTATAATATTTTCTACTTGAGAAGTACACTTTAGTAACCTTAACTGTGGCTATATGTTAACAATAAAGGTGGGATTATAATGATTTTATGTGATGTGTCATCAAATACATTTTAAAACGTTTTCTGTATAATTAAAGCAAAGAAATACAAAGGCTAGCTATAGAAACACAATATGCATATGGTTAGAAAATTCAAAATATCCAAAGACTCATTTTTTTGTTTGAGGTATTTAAATATCAGAAGCATGAAAGGAAAGGAATTAACTAATATTGTAAGATTTCATTTATTCAATGATAACTTATTAATACATTTTGGTAAAGAACATAAACTGAGTTAAAGTTTATCTGTATTAGATACAGTAGAAGATTTACTGTCAGTGTCATATGCTTATGGATATATTTTTATTTTATATACTTATATATTTTTAAATCAAAACACATAAATATATATTCATTTTCCAATCTTTTTTAGGTCAAAGTCTTGTCTTTGTTGACTGACTTCTGATTAGTGTTCTGTATTGTTCTTCTAGTTCTAGGGTTCTTGTATTGTTCAGAAATCATACTAAAAATATATCAGCTCTCATTTCCAGATGGGGTTTCTTTAAAGTGGATTGAGAATTAAGAATGGTTATAAAATAATCCAAGGGCAGAATCCTTCTAGACTTCTATAATTTTCTCCCAATCTTTCACAGATGACTCCTTTACAATCCATCAGTAGTATTAACTCACCATTATCAGATCTCTCTAAAGCATTCTACTTAGTTTTTGTAGAAACAACTTTTTCTTTGCATATTCATATAACTAATTTATAATAAGCACAAATGGCACCAATCCTTTTGAAAATAAAAATGATATTTTTTAACTGGTAGCAGTTTAAGTCCATGGTAGTACCAGGGAGAGGCTTCTTAGGCACAAGCCCATGGGCATCAATGTGCTTTATAGCGAGAATGGATGAGTTGGCTAATCTGGCAAGTGGGTTAAAAATAGAGATCAGTTAGGAGATATACCTAATGTAAATGACGAGTTAATGGGTGCAGCACACCAACATGGCACATGTATACGTATGTAACAAACCTATACATTGTGCACATGTAACCTAGAACTTAAAGTATAATAAAATATTTATATATATATATATATAAATCAGTTAATACAGCTTCCACTTTTTGGAGAAAGTGGTTCTAAAAAATACTAATGGTGATGGAGTCTTTTATAATTTATTGAGAAAATTTTAAAAAATTACTATCAGGACAGTTACTTAACTACTGAAAAGCACATGTATTTAAAGCCATTTTTCTTGGTTTCTATAATAGTACATTTGCCTAATTTTCCTTCTATCTTTCTGAACACTCCTTTTTAGTCCAGTTTCTTCTTTCAATAGACCTCTAAAGGTTCCTAGTGTTAAGTCTTGGATCCTCTTTATTTCCCTACATGTACTTTCCTCCTAGGTGATCTCACCACTTTCATAGCTTTAAAAACCATATATATGCTAAAGATTCTTACATTTATTTCTCCATCCCAGCCCTTTCTTTTGACTCCAGACTGGTATAGACAACTTGCCAATAACATCTTGACTTAAATGTTTCACAGGCAACTTATACTTAATTTTTTCCAAAGTTAAGTTTTAATTTATTTCTCAAAAGCTGATCCTGTCTGCAATCCTCCTCGTTATAATAAGTAAATCTGTTCTGGCCTCCTTTCATTTCTTTGAGTAGGCAGCTCTTTGCTTCAGTCTGGAATGCTTTCTCCTTAACTCATTAGATGGTTGGCTCCTACTCATCTTTCAAATCTTAACTTAAATCTTACTATGAAGACAGACTTTTCTTGTCCTTCCTCCATTTCTATCAGAGCAACATGTTCACTACAGTCACAGCACTTCCTCAGTTTGAAATTATATATATATTGATTTTCCTGTTTATTGTTTGCTTTTCCAACTTAAATCATAAGCTCTATAAAGGTAGGGATCATGTCTGTTTCATCCATCCTTGCATACTATGGGCCTAGCAAAATGCGTGACATATCATAGGCCCTCAAAAATGTTTGCTGAATAAATAAGTAGTGTTTTAGTTTTGCTCTTTAGAACACTTACCACTATATGTAATTACATCAGTAAGCTTTCAAAAAAATGTCCAGTTATTCCCTAAAAAGCATATGTTCCAGGAAGACTGTGTCTGTTTTATTCCTCATTCAATACAGTGTCTGACACACAGGTACTCAATCAATATCTGTTGGTGAAAGGAAGGGAGTAGAAGTGATGATACGACTGATGGAGAGAACAGAACCTAAAGGAGACTGTTTTACACTAATGCTCTGAGACTATGGCAACAATTCAAATAAATGCTAAAAACATTCTGTCCATCATTCAGTTGTTTTGCCCACATAATGTAAACATCTGTACCTTTAGAAATAGCTAGATCAGTTTTTCACTTGTAAAGCAGATGTTCAGTTATTTTAGATACAGCTGAAATTATTGTTTTTTTTTTTCGATTAGTGCAGCAAATTTGGGTAGACTTATGTTTCTTAAAGACATGTAACTTTAAATGAGAGCTGTGCTATTTAGTCAAAGTCAGGGTGTTGGGAAGCCTTGATCATGTGATGTGTATTCAGTCAAATGACCTGGAATTGATCCAGTTTCCTAACAGTAACATTATGGTACAATGGTTGCCTAAGACCTTCGGTCATCATCGAAACCTGAATGGGCTACAGAAAAAAAAATTTTACAACTAATCTTTTACACTATTGGCTGAGAGAAGAGGAAAGGCTGAAATCTGTCACATCACTTAACATGTAATAGAAATGGACAGCTGTTCTCTTTCCATAGCTTCAATACCCGTTACAAAATGAGATCATATGGTAGACTGTAATAGCAGGAAAGACTCTTCTAAGAGACAATAGATTAAAAAAATTGCTTAGTAAAATGTCAGAGTCACAGTTTTTGCCTACCAAGAATTTCAAGATTACATCAGACACAAATAAGAAATTCACGTACACACAAAAGCATATTATTATTTTTAAAAAAACTTAAGAGTAAATCTTTAAATATTTACCTCCTGAGAAATTTCCTTCTAGAAAGATTCTTAATTATGCTTATCTTATTAACTCATCTGCAGTATTATAGCACTATGTACTTGTTTTTCATTAATAAAAGGTTCATTAAAAACTTTACACAGATAGTGCCTCTATGTAGCTGACTCATTTTATTATTAGTGGTAGGTGTGCAGAGAAGGAATACATTGTTTTTCTACAGGAAATACTACAGAGATTTGAAATCTAGGTCACATAACAGAGCCCTGCTATAACAGGAGAGCACAAAGGCCCAAAGTTTTTTTGGCTTCCACTCAAATAAGATAATCGTGTTTTAACAAAACTTAACAATTGCCTCCTTTGCAATTGCATTTGTTTAACTTATATGACAGTTATAACTGCATATAATTATCCTTTTTGATCTCTTCACAGTCTTAACACGTTACAGTTATATATAAGGAAGTTTACATTCAGTGTGTGCTAAGGGTAACCACTAGACAGAAAGCCAGATACTAAAATTTGTGCTTCTGTGAAATCTTTAATCTGGAAATCCCAAACTGTTTTAAATACCAATTAAGTGTCTGTAGCATCATTGGGCAGTAGTAGAGTTACAATGGGGAAATTTGGCATGTCACATGGCAAGTCAGCAACTAAATAGAAGAGATGCCTGGTACATTCTAAAACATTTGCTTGCCTTTGTAGTTTTCTGAATGTGATATTATGGTAAATATATATCTATGTGTTGTGATTTAGGCACTAATGGTATACAGAAATAACACAAACACCAAAAACATATTTCGATGATAAAACATTTAAGTTACATTCCCAAATGCAAACATGCTCCATAGCAATGATTTGAGTACATCTATCAGGTCTTTGGGAAGTGGCGATATTTCCTTTGAGTATTAAAAATATATGTTTATAAATGTGTATGTTTCATTAAGCTTTTCAGTTCTTGAGACATAAGTAGCTCAGATATTTCAGTTAAAATGGAAGCAATCAAATAAGGCACCGCTCCCTAGAGTTTGTCTTTACACCTATACTGGGTTACCAAGTCTTAAACCAAACTACAACCTCCTCAACAATTCAGAAAAGAATTGGAAGGTAAAGTCTTACTCTGTCATTTCCAACCATGGTTAAACCTAGAACATAAATCATGTCTGATTAGTCAAATTTAGTTCAGCTTTGAATCCTGAATTGTACATTTGAAAAATAACCCTAGATGCTGGAGGATGACATTGCTGTATCATAACAAATGTTCCTATTATTCAGGTCTGCATTCCTTTGCATTTGCCTTAAAATTTAAGTTTCAGATTCATTACTGGAAGAGTTTCGCTGAGGAATTATTACTTTAAACTGTGATTGGGTTACAGATTAAAATATGCAAGTAAACTTTTTGCAGTAATTGTATCACTGCATTTTATTAAAGAGAAAACAAACAAAGGTTTACTCCAAAGAATAAAAAAGAGGGTATAGTTAAAAATTCAGAAAATATATGAACAAAATCTGCACTTCTATTTGGGAAGCATTAAATAATTACACACTCTTTAGAAGAAAACTTAAGATGAGCTAAGGCAAGTTGTTACACAAATGCAACCATACTCTTAGTCAACCCTGAACAAATGAAAACATACAAAGAACTATAAGACTGATTAGATTAGAAACAGGTGAGCTTTTTCTCTAAATCTACAGAAAGCCATATTCTATACTGATATATTTTTCCTATCTTTGGATTAAAAAAAGAGCTAGGTGGTTTTAGAACTATGATCATGTGTTGCACTTATATTTTTTAAAGTCAACGTGCTTCCTAAGGAAGTCTTTGGAGGTTGATTTACTGCAAGATACTTAGAAAAACCTACAGTGGTCTGTTTCCTTCAGTTAATGTCAATTCGCCATTTACTCAAGCAATAAAACAATAGCATTTTACGTTTTAATAACTCTCCAAGCCAAAGTACGTCAATACACTTCACAGAACCTTATCGGCACCTTATCAATAAAGAGAGATCCATTTTTGAATAACAACTTACATTACAATATTAGGACAGGGCAAAAACATTTTCAATAAAGGATATGGTTAACAAAAAACTTGCTCACAAAGAAAGGATACTATATGTACTTCAATTATTTTTTTCTGAGCTCCAATTCAGGAGAGTAATTGCAAGAGTACCAAAACATCTGAAATCAAGGTTGGCTCTGGGAGATATGAGAACTGTGATTGTCATACCCAAAGGGCCCATTGTGTTCAATGGGAAGAACTTAGGGCTTCTTTTTGTTTTCAATCATGAAGCTAAGAGGGAAGGTATTCTATCTTTTATGACCATGTTCAGCCTTGATGCTACTTGACAATGACTTTAACCAAAAGGCTAACAAGATGATCTTCCTTCCCACCCCTTTATTAAAGATACTTAAATGTTAAGCCTTTTCTGAAATAAACAAAAGAAGAAACTGTTTTCCATAGGAATTTTGATTACTTAAACAGTTAACAGTTAGGCTAGATTTAGAAACTTCTGTCATCATAGTCTGCACATAGCACACACAGTTGTAATGTTGTGCCCTAAGGGACATATTACTGTTAACAGCCCATCCAGTCATTTGATTATCACTGTATGGTAAATGGCTTTCTGGGATAATAACTGTGATACAGCCAATCACATGCTTTACTTAGTTTATTATCCTGTTTTCTTTTAGAACAGATCCAGGCCATATTTGACTTAAATATGAGGGCATACTGCAATGCAACTTTAAGGCCATTATAGACAAGTATAATTCTCAATTGGGTTCCTCAGTTTCTCATATTAGTTCAGTTTCCAGGAGTAAGGTTGGCTTCCAACCCAGATTATATTTGTAAACAATATTTGCAAATAAATAAAAATGACAGAACTACAGGACATCAAGAGAATGACAGATAAAATGATAAAAGAGGTAGGAAGCCTTCCAAATGAGTGCCAATTAAGGGAAAAAACAGAATAAATAAGATTGGAAAGGTGGAAAGAGTATAGGATCAATTCTGTTTTGGATACTGGATACTAGAATGAATAAGCTTATAAAAAATCAGTTGTTCTTCTATTTCATAGGTGAGGAAAATGAGGTACAGAGAAGTTAAGAAAGTCGCAAAGATTATGTTGATTGTAGGAGGCAGAGGTAGGATTTGAACACGGGTAATATCGTTCTTGAGCCCATGCTGTTAGCCACTATATGCTGCTTCTTTCATTATGCAAAAAACAAAAAACACCAAAAAAACCCAAACCCAAACAAACAAACAACACACAAAAGTGTTAGCAAGTTAGAAAAGGACTAAAAGTAATTAGGCCAAAATGTAAATGACGATTGCCTCTCCATGGTGGGTTATGAGCAGTTTTTCCGGCTTATTCATTCTTTCCAGGTCTTTTCAAAATAACAAAAATAAAGTTTAACACTTTTTTTTTATATCAGCAGAAAATAAAATAAAAATATTGCTGGCCTAACTAACATTTTCCCTCTTATGATAGCACTTCTCAATTTAGCAAAACTATGCATACAGTTAAACCACACTTCGATGACAGCTATCAGAGCACATCTCACTAGAAAGTCACAGAAATCTGGGCATAAGCAGGAATTTGTCCAAATCAAGTAACTTTTAACATATGTTACAGGATCAGTATAGATTCAGTGGAATTTCCCATACCTTTTTTCTTTTAATTCATTTTTATTGTATGTATTTAAAGTGTACAACATGATGTTTTGGTATACAAATACATGGTGAAATGATTACTACAAGTAAGCAAATTAATATAGCCATCACCTTCTATAGCTACCTCGTGTGTGTGTGTGTGTGTGTGTGTGTGTGTGTGTGTGTGTGTGTGGTAAGAGCACCTAAAATCTACTCTCCTAGCAAATTTTCAATATACAATATCCTATACCATTTTTCTTAATCCTGTATCTTTTAAACTGCAGTGTTACATAACCAATATTTATGAAATGACCAAGAGGTCCTAAGAGGTACTGAAATGCCATATGAATCATAAAAGAAAGATTAAATTGACATTCAAAATGGTGTTCGAGTAAATTGTATTTGTGCCCTCACCAATCTACTGAAATTTCTCTTCTAAAAGTCACAAATGTTTACGATTTCAGCCAATCCTTTTTTCACATGTTGTCCCCTTGTTATCAGCATTTATCACTCCTTCTTTGAAATTCCCTTCTCCATGAGTTTCCTCTCTTCCCAGTCATCTACTCTTCATTTGCTCCCATCGTCCTGACTGCTCCTCATCTGGCCCCTCTTCCTCCTCTGAACTGTCCCAAATGAGTTCTCCTCCCACTCCTGTTATATACTTTCTCTACAATATTAGGGTTTCAACCATCAAGACTACATGAAGAATCCCCTAAACAACATCTTCAAATACTGACCTTTCTCCCAATCTCTTTCTAGATGTCAACTGGCATCTCTTGATGTCTAATATGGAACTTCCCCCACCCTAACCTCCCAGATCTGTCCTTCCTGCTGACTCCTTGATTTTTAATGGTTCTACCAACCTCCAATAATCCAGGATCAAAAATCCAGTGTCATTTTTACTCTTCATCATTGTTTCTCTTGTCAATTATTGTCTAGTTTTATATAACCTACCTCTGCAATATTATTCATTTAGTTGTTAAATACTTATTGAATAACTACTGTAGTAAATTCTGAGGCTATAGCAGTAAGACAAGTGAGGACCTTGCCTTCCTGAAGCTTATATTCTAGTGAGAAGACATAATTTCAGGTGGCCAATAAGTCCTATTAGAAAAATAAGATCAAGAATGAGTGGTAGTGATGATGGAGTTGATCAGAGAAAGCCTCTGCAACATTAAAGCAGAGACCTGTGGCTGGGCATGGTGGCTCATGCCTATAATACCAGCACTTTGTGAGACAGAGGTGGGAGGATCACTTAAGGCCAGGAGTTTGAGACCAGCCTGGGCAACACAGCAAGACCCCATCGCTTTAAAAAAAAAAGAGTAAAATTAGCTGGGTGTGGTGTTGTGCACCTATAGTCCTAGTTATCTGGGAGGCTATAGTGGGACAATAGCCTGAGCCCAGGAGTTCGAAACTGCAGTGAGCTATGACTGTGCTATTGCACTGCAGCCTGGGTGACAGAGTTAGATCATCTCTAAGAAACAAACAAACAAACAAACAAACAAACAAACAAACCCTGAATAAAATGAAAGCGTGAGTCTTGTGAAGGTCTGAAGGAATACCATTCCAGGCAGGTGGAACAGTGTATTAGGCTATTCTTGTGTTGCTATAAAGGAATACCTGAGGCTGGGAAATTTATAATAAAGAAAAAAGTTTAATTGGCTCATGATTCTGTAGGCTATACAAACATGGCACCAGCATCTGCTTGGCTTCTGGGGAGGCCTCAGGGAGCTTTTACTTATGGCAGAAGGCAAAGCAGGAGCAGGTATGTCACACAGCCAGCCCATGAATAAGGTTGGGGGAGGTGCTGCACACTTTTAAACAACCAGATCTCTTGTGAACTCAGGTACTCTCATGAGGACAGCACCAACGGGATGGCGTTAACCCATTCAGGAGGAATCCACTCTCATGATCCAATCACCTCCCACCAGGCCCCACCTCCAACATTGGGGATTACATTTCAACATGAGATCTGGGGGGACAAATATCCAAACTATATCAAATATCAAATGCAAAGGTCTTGAGGTAGTTTGACATGTTTAAAGAACTACAAAAACACTAATATGACTGGTATATAGTCAGCAGGGGAAGAGTGGTAGAAAATGAGGTTAGACAGCTAGTTAGGGCCAAAAAGGAAGGTCTTCATAAGGAATGGTAAAGAGTTTGGATCTTACTCTAAGTGTAATTGGAAATGATTGGAGAGTTTTGACCAGGGGAGTGACATGGTCTAATTTATGTATTGAAGGCTACTAGAGAATAGACTGTAGGGAAATCTGGAAGTAGGGTGACAAGTTAGGAAGTTACTGTGCCATTTTCCTTCCTCTTCACTATTCTAGTTTAAGCTCCCATTACCTGCATCTATACCAGTGTTAAAGCTTCCCTATTCACACTGCTGCTCCCCCTTCTTTACCTTACACCCTAGTGCTAGCCAGGCAACGTTTCCTGAAGTACAGTTATGAGTCTACTCATTTCTTGCTGAAAGTCCATCACTGGCTCTTTACTGTCTACTAAAAACAATCTCCAGAACATTTTGCTATGTATTTAAGACAGTCTATAACCAAGTCCTGACTTATTTACCATTACTTTTAAAAATATTATTTATGTGCTAGGCTAGGACTTGAAAAAACTATAGCCATGGGCCAAATCTGGACTGCCGCCTATTCTTAGAATCAAAGTTTTATTGGAACACTACACCTTTGTTTACTTATTATCTATGGCTGCTTTCATGCTACAATGGCAGAGTTGAATAGTTACAACAGAGAAAATACGGCTACAAGGCCTAAAATAGTTACTACTTGGTTCTTTACAGAAAAAAAGTTTACAGAATTCAGCTGTCAGCAAACTAACTTTCCTTATTGTTCATATATCCCCCACCTCAGTTGTTAGCCTCTGTCATTTACATTATCCCTTCCATCTGGAATGTAATTCCCTGAATTCCTCCTCCCACTTCCACAAGCACACATTCTATCTATCCTCCAAGGCCCATCCCCTCCCCAAGACGTCTTCCTCCTAACTCTCTGTGATAGGCAGAATAATAGCCCTCCACGATGATGTCCACATCCTAAGCCATGGAAACTATGACTATTTTATGTAACATGGCAAAGGAAAATTAAGGTTGTAGATAGTTGCTAGTCAGTTGACTTAAGAATAGATTATCCATGTTGGTGCAACATAATCATAAGGGTCCTTCAAAGTGGCAGCTAGTGGTAGAAGAAGAGTCAGTGTCAGAGTGATGTGATATGAGAAGGGCTTGACTGACCACTGCTAGCTTTTAAGATGGAAAAGCCATGAGTCAAGTAATGTGGGCAGCCTCTGGAAGCTAGAAAAGGCAAGAAAATGGAGTATTTCCTAGAGCCTTCAGAAGAGAATGCAGCTTTGCTGACACCTTGGTTTTAGTCCAATGAAACATATTTTGAACTTCTGACTTCTAGAACTATAAGATAATACATTTGTATTGTTTTAAGACATTGACAGCTGGGTGCAGTGGCTCACACCTGTAATCCCAGCACTTTGAGAGGCCAAGACTGGTGGATTGCTTGAGGCCAGGAGTTCAAAACCAGCCTGGCCAACATGGTGAAACCTCTTCTCTACTAAAAATACACAAAATTAGCCAGCCATGGTGGTGACGGCCTGTAATCCTGTAATCCCAGCTACTCAGGAGGCTAAGGCAGGAGAATTGCTTGAACCCAGGAGGTGGAGGTTGCAGTGAGCTGAGATTGTGCCACTGCACTCCAGCCTGGGCAACAAGAGTGAAACTCCATATAAAAAAAAAAAAAAAAAAAAAAAGACATTGAGTTTGTGGCCATTTGGTACAGCAGCAATAGGAAACTAATGGACTATCCTTTAGGTTCCATAACCACTTTGAACTCTTCTGGGGCCTTACCATGTTCAGTTTATATTATACTTATATAGAAGTTTTAATTCTCATTGTAAATGGATAGATCCTTGAAGTCAGGGTGTGTATCTGATTCATCTTTGTATCTACTATCATACCAATCATAGTGCCTTGTACACAGCAATAAATCAATAAATATTAATAATTAATATTAATGAATACTTGACATTTTTTGAAAATTTGTAATGTATATATGGCATATATGATAGACAACCAGAATAGTCAAATAACCTGAATAGTCCTTTGCTCAACTATTCTGAAAAAGTGAGTTTATTTTAAAAATCAATATCTCAAAAGTGTTAATAAAATTTAAAAGACGAATAATAGTCTTAGGCAATACACATGGTAATTAAGCATTTTTCAATTCACTTTTAAAAAATGAAGGTTTCAAATCAACAAGCATGTAATTTCCTAATTCATAAATAATTACATTATGAATTGAAATACCTTTATTTGCATTAGTTTAGATTAAAATAATACTATCAATCTGAAATCGACAGTAAAAGCAATGGGGGATGTATTTTTGTCAACTTTCTACTGATAGGTTATGTAAATAAAGCCAAATTTTGGGGGCATTTTATTATCAGTAATGTCCAACAGGGCAATTAGGAATGAATTAAAACATGTATAAAGAATTCACAACTGATGGCTGGCAAGATGGCCGAATAGGAACAGCTCTGGTCTGCAGCTCCCAGCGAGATCAATGCAGAAGGCAGGTGATTTCTGCATTTCCAACTGAGGTACCCAGCTTATCTCATTGGGACTGGCTAGACAGTGGGTGCAGCCCATGGAGGGTGAGCAGAAGCAGGGTGGGTGGTCGCCTTACCCAGGAAGTGCAAGGGGTCAGGGAACTCCCTCCCCTATCCAAGGAAAGCCACGAGGGACTGTGCCGTGAGGAACGGTGCATTCCAGCCCAGATACTATGCTTTTCCCACAGTCTTCGCAACCCACAGACCAGGAGATTACCTCAGGTGCCTACATCACGAGGGTCCAGGGTTTCAAGCACAAAACTGGGCAGCCATTTGGGCAGACACTGAGCTAGTTGCAGGAGTTTTTTTTCACACCCCAATGGCAGCTGGAACACCAGTGAGACAGAACTGTTCACTCCCCTGGAAAGGGAGCTGAAGCCAGGGAGCCAAGGGGTCTAGCTCAGTGGATCCCACTCCCACGGAGCCCAGCAAGCTAAGATCCATTGGCTTGAAATTCTTGCTGCCAGCCCAGCAGTCTGAAGTTGACCTGGGATGCTGGAGCTTGCTGGGGGAGGGGCGTCCACCATTACTGAGGCTTGAGTAGGTGGTTTTCCCCTCAGAGTGTAAACAAAGCTGCCAGGAAGTTCGAACTGGCACAGGTGGGCAAAGCCACTGTAGCCAGACTGCCTCTCTGGATTCCTCCTCTCTGGGCAGGGCATCTCTGAAAGAAAGGCAGCAGCCCCAGTCAGGGGCTTATAGATAAAACTCCCATCTCCCTGGGACACAGCACCTGGGGGAAGGGACTGCTGTGGCCACAGCTTCAGCAGACTTAAATGTTCCTGCCTGCTGGCTCTGAAGAGCGCAGCGGATCTCCCAGCACAGCGCTTGAGCTCTACTAAGGGACATACTGCATCCTCAAGCGGATCCCTGACCTCTGTGCTTCCTGACAGGGAGACACCTCCTGGAAGGGGTCAACAGACACCTCATACAGGAGAGCTCCTGCTGGCATCTGGCAGGTACCCCTCTGGGACAAAGCTTCCAGGGAAGGAACAGGCAGCAATCTTTGTTGTTCTGCAGCCTCCGCTGGTGATACCCAGGCAAATAGGGTCTGGAGTGGACCTCCAGCAAATCCTAGCAGACCTGCAGCACAGGGGCCTGACTGTTAGAAGGAAAACTAACGAACAGAAAGGAATAGCATCAACACCAACAAAAAGGATATCCATACAGAAACCCCAACCAAAGGTCACCAACATCAAACGAAGACGTGGAAAAACCAGTGCAAAAAGGCTGAAAATTCCAAAAACCAGAATGCTTCTTATCCTCCAAAGGATCACAACTCCTCACCAGCAAGGGAACAAAACTGGATGGAGAATGAGTTTGATGAATTGACAGAAGTAGGCTTCAGAAGGTGGGTAATAACAAACTCCTTTGAGCTAAAGGAGCATGTTGTAACCTAATACAAGGAAGCTAAGAACCTTGAAAAAAGGTTAGAGGAATTGCTAACTAGAATAACCAGTTGAGAGAAGAACATAAATGACCTGATGGAGCTGAAAAACACAGCACGAGAACTTCATGAAGCATACATGAGTATCGATAGCCAAATCGATAAAGCGGAAGAAAGGATATCAGAGATTGAAGATCAACTTAATGAAATAAAGCATGATGACAAGATTAGAGAAGAAAGAATGAAAAGGAATGAAGAAAGCCTCCAAGAAATATGGGACTATGTAAAAAGACCAAACCTATGTTTGATTGGTGTACCTGAAAGTGACAGGGAGAATGGAACCAAGTTGGAAAATACTCTTCAGGATATTATCCAGGAGAACTTCCCCAACCTAGCAAGACAGGACAACATTCAAATTCAGGAAATACAGAGAACACCACAAAGATACTCCTCAAGAAGAGCAACCCCAAGACACATAATTGTCAGATTCACCAAGGTTGAAATGAAGGAAACAATGTTAAGGGCAGCCAGAGAGAAAAGGTCAGGTAACCCACAAAGCGAAGCCCATCAGACTACAAGCCAGAAGAGAGTGGGGACCAATATTCAACATGCTTAAAGAAAAGAATTTTCAACCCAGAATTTCATATCCAGCCAAACTAAGCATCATAAGTGAAGAAGAAATAAAATCCTTTACAGACAAGCAAATGCTGAGAGGTTTTGTCACTACCAGGCCTGCCTTACAAGAGCTCTTGAAGGAAGCACTAAATATGGAAAAGAAAAATCGGTACCAGCCACTGCAAAAACATACCAAATTGTAAAGACCATTGACACTATGAAGAAACTGCATCAACTAACAGGCTAAATAACCAGCTAGCATCATAATGACAAGATCAAATTCAAACATAACAATATTAACCTTAAATGTAAACAGGCTAAATGCCCAATTAAAAGACAAAGGTGGGCAAATTGGATAAAGAGTCAAGATCCATTAGTGTGCTGCATTCAGGAGACCCATATCAAGTGCAAAGACACACATAGGCTCAAAATAAAGGGATGGAGGAATATTTACCAAGCAAATGGAAAGTAAAAAAAAAAAAAGCAGGGGTTGCAATCCTAGTCTCTGATAAAACAGACTTTAAACTAACAAATATCAAAAAAGACAAAGAAGGGCATTATATAATGGTAAAGGGATCAATGCAACAAGAAGAGCTAACTATCCTAAATATATATGCACCCAATACAGGAGCACCCAGACTCATAAAGCAAGTTCTTAGAGACCTACAAAGAGACTTAGACTCCCACACAATAACAGTGGGAGACTTTAACATCCCACTCTCAATATCAGAAGATCAATAAGACAGAAAATTCAGAAGGATATTCAGGACTTGAACTCAGCTCTGGACTAAGCAGACCTAACAGACATCTACAGAACTCTCCACCCCAAATCAACAGAATATACATTATTCTCGGCAACACATTGCACTTATTCTAAAATGGACCACATAAACAGAAGTAAAACACTCCTCAGCAAATGCAAAAGAATGTAAATCATAACAAACAGTCTCTCAGACCACAGTGCAATCAAATTAGAACTCAGGATTAAGAGGCCAGGTGCGGTGGCTCATGCCTGTAATCCCAGCACTTTGGGAGGCCAAGGCTGGTGGGTAACGGGGTCCGGAGATCGAGATCATCCGGGCTAACACAGTGAAACCCCGTCTCTACTAAAAATACAAAAAAAAAAAAATATTAGCTGGGTGTGGTGGCGGGTGCCTGTCGTCCCAGCTACTTGGGAGGCTGAGGCAGGAGAATGGTGTATGAACCCGGAAGGCAGAGCTTGCAGTGAGCTGAGATTGCGCCACTGCACTCCAGCCTGGGCGACAGAGTGAGACTCCATCTCAAAAAAAAAAAAAAAAAGAAAAGAAAGAACTCAGGATTAAGAAATTCACTTGAAATTGCACAACTACATGGAAGCTGAACAACCTGCCCCTGGATGACTACTGGGTAAATAATGAAATTAAGGCAGAAATAAATACGTTATTTGAAACCAATGACAACAAAGACAAAACGTACCAGAATCTCTAGGACATAGCTAAAGCAGTGTTTAGAGGAAAATTTATAGCACTAAATGCCCACAGGAGAAAGCAGGAAAGATCTAAAATTGACACTCTAACATCACAATTAAAAGAACTAGAGAAGCAAGAGCAAACAAATTCAAAATCTAGCAGAAGACAAGAAATAACTAAGATCAGAGCAGAACTGAAGGAGATAGAGACACGAAAAACCCTTCAAAAAATCAACGAATCCAGGAGCTGTTTTTTTGAGAAGATTAACAAAATAGATAGACCACTAGCCAGACTAATAAAGAAGAGAGAAGAATCAAATAGACACAACAAAAAATGATAAAGGGGATACCATCACTGATCCCACATAAATACAAACTACCATGAGAGAATACTATAAACACCTCTACGCATATAAACTAGAAAATCTAGAAGAAATGGATAAATTCCTGGACATGTACACCCTTCCAAGTCTAAACCAGGAAGAAGTTGAATCCCTGAGTAAACCAATAACAAGTTCTGAAATTGAGGCAGTAATTAACAGCCTACCAACCAAAAAAAGCCCAGAACCAGACAGATTCACAGCCAAATTCTACCAGAGGTACAAAGAGGAGCTGGTACCATTCCTTCTGAAACTTTCCCAAACAAAAGAAAAAGAGGGACTCCTCCCTAACTCATTTTATGAGGCCAGCATCATCCTGATACCAAAACCTGGCAAAGACACAACAACAACAAAAAAATTTAAGGCCAATATCCCTGATGAACGACAATGCAAAAATCCTCAATAAAATATTAGCAAACCGGATCCAGCAGCACATCAAAAAGCTTATCCACCACGATAAAGTCAGCTTCATCCCTGGGATGCAAGGCTGGTTCAACATACACAAATCAATAAATGTAATCCATCACATAAACAGAATCAATGACAAAAACCACATGATTATCTCCATAGATAGAGAAAAGGCCTTCCATAAAATTCAACACCCATTCATGCTAAAAACTCCCAATAAACTAGGTATTGATGGATCATATCTCAAAATCATAAAAGCTATTTATGACAGACCCACAGCCAATATCATACTGAATGGGCAAAAGCTGGAAGCATTTCCTTTGAAAACTGGCACAAGACAAGGATGCCGTCTCTCACCACCCCATTCAACATAATATTGGAAATTCTGGCTAGGAAAATCAGGCAAGAGAAAGAAATAAAGGGTATTCGAATAGGAATAGAGGAAGTCAAATTGTCTCTGTTTGCAAATGACATGATTGTATATTTAGAAAACCCCACTGTCTCAGCCAAAAAATCTCCTCAAGCTGATAAGCAACTTCAGCAGTCTCAGGATACAAAATCAATGTGCAAAAATCACAAGCATTCCTATACACCAATAATAGACAAACAGAGAGCTGCAACGTAAGTGAAGTCCCATTCACAATTGCTACAAAGAGAATAAAATACCTAAGACTACAACTTACAATGGAGGTGAAGGGCCTGTTCAAGGAAAACTACAAACTGCTCAAGGAAATTAGAGGACACAAACAAATGGAAAAACATTCCATGCTCATGGATAGGAGAATCAATACTGTGAAAATGGCCATACTGCACAAAGTAACTTATAGATTCAATGCTATCCCCATCAAGCTACCATTGACTTTCTTCACAGAATTAGAAAAAAACTACTTTAAATTTCATATGGAACCAAAAAAGAGCCCATACAGCCAAGACAATCCTAAGCAAAAAAAAAACAAAACTGGAGGCATCATGCTACCTGACTTCAAACTATACTACAAGGCCACAGTAACCAAAACAGCATAATACTGGTACCAAAAGAGATATATAGACCAATGGAACAGAACAGAGGTCTCAAAAATAATGCTATACACTACAACCATCTGATTTTTGACAAACCTGACAAAAACAAGCAATGGAGAAAGGATTCCCTATTTAATAAACGGTGTTGGGAAAACTGGCTAGCCATATGTAGAAAACTGAAACTGGATCCCTTCCTTACACCTTATACAAAAATTAATTCAAGATGGATTAAAGACTTAAATATAAGACATAAAATCATAAAAATCCTAGAAGAAAACCTAGACAATACCATTCAGGACAAGGGAATGGGCAAAGACTTCATGACTAAAACACCAAAAACAATGGCAACAAAAGCCAAAATTGACAAATGGAATCTAATTAAACTAAAGAGCTTCTGCACAGCAAAAGAAACTATCATCAGAGTGAACAGACAACCTGCAGAATGGGAGAACATTTTTCCAATCTATCCATCTGATGAAGGGCATTTAATACCCAGAATCTACAAAGAACTTAAACAAATTTACAAGAAAAAAACAAACAACCCCATCAAAAAGTGGGCAAAGGATATGAACAGGCACTTCTCAAAGGAAGACATTTATGCGGTCAAAAAACATATGAAAAAAAGCTCATCACCACTGGTCATTAGAGAAATGCAAATCAAAACCACAATGAGATACCATCTCACGCCAGTTAGAATGGCAATCATTAAAAAGTCAGGAAACAACAGATGCTGGAGAGGATATGAAGAAATAGGAACACTTTTACACTGTTGGTGGGAGTGTAAATTGGGTCAACTATTGTGGAAGACAGTGTGCCTATTCCTGAAGGATCTAGAACCAGAAATATCATTTGACCCAGCAATCCCATTACTGCGTATATACCCAAAGGATTATAAATCATTCTACTATAAAGACACATATACACATATGTTTACTGCAGCACTGTTCACAATAGCAAAGACTTGGAACCAATCGAAATGCCCATCAATGATAGACTGGATAAAGAAAATATCGCACATATACACCATGGAATACTATGCAGCCATAAAAAAAGATGAGTTCATGCCCTTTGCTGAGACATGGATGAAGCTGGAAACCATCATTCTCAGCAAACTAACACAGGAACAGAAAACCAAACACTGCATGTTCTCACTTATAAGTGGGAGTTAAACAACGAGAACACATGGACACAGGGAGGGAAACATCACACACTAGGGCCTGTCTTGGGGTGGAGGGCTGGGGGAGGGATAGCATTAGGAGAAATACCTAATGTAGATAACGGGTTGATGGCTGCAGCAAACCACCATGGCATGTGTATACCCATGTAACAACACTGCAAATTCTGTACATGTATCCCAGAGCTTAAAGTATAAAAAAAAAAAAATGAGAGTTCACAAATTGCTAGTAACGAGATACAATGTACCAGGCATTCAACAGGAATAAATAATGCTAAAACTGTTTTCATCATGGGTGTACAAAGAAGGAAGCTAAAAATAAATGAAGAAAAAGATAAAGGCATTTCATTTTCAATTATTGTCGTTATAAAAACATTTGTACTTTTATGTGATGCAAAGATAGAGAACACAGACATAACAAATGAGTCCATTATGTCAGTATCATTTGGAATCAGACAAGCTTTTGGCATTTACTAACTCTGAACATGTCTCAAACAAAACTATATACAACTCTGTAGATCGAGAAAAAATAAAGAGAACTATGAAGTAATCAGAATTCACATTAGGTTTTTAAAGCTCCTTTTATTTACAAAAGCAGTTCACTCATGTCTGTATTCTCATGGTTCATTCATGCTTCCTTGTACATAAATAAATATCATGTATGCTTTTTCATTCCCAAAAGTCTAAGAAGGAAATGTGCTACAGCAAAGGGTGAATTTCCCTCTTTCTTATTGAATGCATGGATGAGATAACTTAATGAGGAATTCATTCATTAATCATTGAGTATCAACTATGTGTCAAGCACCATGATAGGTACTAGAAGTGTTAAGCTGAATGAGACAACATCAGATGGTAAGGAGGGAGAGCTATTTCTCTCAGGAAGATTCATAGTGGTATTTCTAATACAACAGCTGCTGTTTGGTTCTGGAGGCTGGTGTCTTAATTAAGATGGTAAAAAATCACCCTTCTAATTCCCCCAAATTTCTTTTGATTAGATAGAAAAGTGTCAAAGGGGTAGGGAGGGTGTTTATCTCTCATAAGGAGTCTGAAGAGTGCCTAAAAGCCCTAAGAATGTAATTTGTATCCCTTATTCCAACAGAAGAATATTTTTTATTCCAGGAAAAATTCTAGCCTTGCCACTGTGAAGGTCATTTTCCCACTGGGAAGACAGAGGCAAATGGCAATAGTTTATGGTGTTAATTTATATTGTGGTGTAACAAACTACCACACATATAGCAGCATAAACAATACATGTATATTATCTCATGGTTTCTGTAGGACAGGAGTCTGGACATGGCTTAGCTGAGTCCTCTGCTTAGGATCTCATAAGGCTTCAATCTACAGGTTGAGCATGGCTGTGGTCTCATCTGAGGCTTGACTGGGGAGCACTGAAGGATTCATCCGGAGACTGTCCTCAGCTCCTTGTCATGAGTCTCCTAACATAGCAGCTCATGTCTTTGAAGCCAGTAAAGAGTGCAAGATTCCAGCAAAATTGGCACTAAAATCTCATGCAATATAGTCATGTACAACCTGTGACTTTGCTGTATTGTATAGTTACAAGCAAATCACAGGTCTCAAACATACTCCAAGGGAGAGGATCACACAAAGGCATGAACATCAGGAAACAGGAATCATGGAAACCACCCAAAGAGTCTGTCCAACACAACACTTAGACTCTTCCCCTTTATATTACCTTTAAAAACCAAGTCTTCTACTTTGTCATTACTGCTTTAAATGTAGTTCTTCTCACCTTTATTTTTCAAAGTTTAAGTTAATCCTGGCCTTAACTTCCCTAACACTATGTGTAAAAGTTTTTGTTAGTTCTAGGTTGTTTCTTTGTCCATCTTTTGTATATTTGTTTAAACATGTAAGTTCATCAAAGAATTCTGTGAAGCTTCCCTTGATTTACTTGAGTACTTTCACGCTTTTTCCTTATTGAGGCTATAAGTAATTGTACACGGTAGTGTTAACCTTTTAGGATTTCTTACCCTACAAGCTACGTTCCCATCCACAGTCTCTAAACATGATAATAAATTCATTTTAGCCAAGTTTAAAACAAAACAAGACAAAACAAAACTGTGCCCATGGAGTCTGTAATATATATCCAGATATGTACATAATTAAACAATCACACCCTCTTTAGTATCTTTTGGTAGAAATACAATTCCAGCAGATAATAAAATAGTTGCAGTGCTTCAGTATTGCAACAGGTTGGCAGGCACTAATGATCCACTTTCAGAAGGCATCATTCATGCTCCTTTTATGCCTGGGCTGGTTGAGGTTCACTCTAATGGTTTTACTTTAGTTTCTCCCTTTTTTCATCTCTCATGCTCATTATGGTGTATCATCCTCACTCATAGTCATGACTTTCTGTACAGGAAACTTTGTCTGTAGTCTTATTCCCCTTCTATAAGGTGTGTTGCTCTGAAAAAAAGGTATAATCTTCGACAGAAATATTTTAATCAGAAAGTCTCAGCAGATGGTACGTGGTACCTACTTAGGATCTATATACACAAGAGTTGATTCTGTTCTTCCTCCAAGTTTTACCTACTTCAATACCGAGCTTCAGCTGCTTGCTTTGTACTAAAGGACATTAGCAAAGCTGGCCTATGTTCTTAGTGCCTGATAAATTGTATTCAACAAATATTTGTGGAAAGAATAGACTATTTGAGATCTATTTGTACATGCAAGTAGGTAGAGTCATGCACTGTATAACCATGTTTCAGTCAATGACAGACCACATTTGTAGCAGTGATCCCATAGGATAATAATACTGTATTTTTGCTGTACCTTTCCCATGTTTAGATACACAAATACTTAGCATTATGTTATAATTGCATACAGTATTCAGTACAGTTTCTGCTATACATACTTGAAGCCTAGGATCAATAGGCTATATGCCATATAGCCTAAGTAGATAGTAGGCTATACCACCTAGGTTTGTTTGAATACAATATGATATTTGCACAATGATGACATTGCCTAATGATGTATTCTCAGAATATATCCTTGTCATTAACCAATACATCATTATAATCTTTATATTTATGCATATAAATGGGTATTTCTGTATAGACTTCGGAAGTGAAACTGAAGCGTCAAAAAATGTACATTTAGATTCCTAGAGACACAGTTAGACTGCGCTCCAAAAAAGCTGAATCGAGTAAACAACTATTAACAGTGTATGAGTATGCTGGTTTCCTCACATATTTACTAACACTATAGATGACCAATCATTGTTAATATATGGCACTCTGGTGAATAAAAATGGTGCCTCATTGTTTTAAGTTCATTCCTAAGTAAATGAAATTAAAATATATATATTCAACATTCATCTGTTAAATATTAAATGTGCTTACTAAACAGATATTAAGCACAATAAAAAATATGAGTGTCTCTTGAATATGTGCCAGGTACCAGGCACTGTTCTAGGTGTTAGCTAATTGTGGTAAAGAAGACGTTCAAGATCACTGTTCTCAAGAAGCTTACATTTTACTAAAGGAGGTAGAAAATAAACAAGTAAACAAACAAAAAATAAAGTGCTGTGAAGAGAATAAAACAGGGGAGTGAAATAGAGTACTGGAGGTGGAGAGAAGGTCAACATTAGACAGGTGATTAGGTAAGGCCTTTCTGATAGTAGGCAATTAAACTGAGGGCTTAACGACAGAATGAACTGGACCTCTCAATCCAAACTATCCTCTTTGCTTTTCTCAAACACATCAGGCACACTCCTGCCTCAGGGCCTTTCCACTTGCTGTTCCCTCTGTCTGGAACACTTTTCCTTCAGAGAGCTATATGGCTTACTCCTGCCTCACATGGATGAAATGCCTGTGAATATCTAGTTTATGGGTTTGCAGAGAGCTACTGGGTATTTAGACCTCATTCCTATGCAATTTTAGTATTTCCATTTTCTAAACAAGTTCAGCAAGGCCTCCTTCATTCCATATATAAGACTGTATGAAATGTTTCCAGAGGGCCTTTGAGGCTGCTAGTTAGACATAAACTTCTTTATTATTTCAATCTTTATATCCATTAAGTAAATTTGAGTTGAAGACTGGTTTCCTACCCAAAATTACTGCCACTTGAAAGCATGAAATGTTACTTTGCAATTGCTTTCCAGGGTTTTAGCACACGGTTTCTCACGTGTTCTCAGAGAAGTAATGTAACGATAGATCATATAAATCGACATTAGTAGAAATTGTTCATTATCTTCCAGGGTTTCCAGTTCTCAAAAAAAAGGAGGTGCGGAAGAGAATGGTTTAAGGCTGTAAGGACAAAATAATCCTTTTACACAATGACAATGAACAAAGAAGATTATAATGATGATGATGATAATGGTGATATTAAGTACCTACCAGATGTGAGCCATAATATTTTCAATGAGCTGGCCACTTCAGATACATTAGCTTTAATCCTCAGGACAACCCTATGGATTGGTGATATCTCCATCTTCATAGATGAAAAAAAATGAGACTCAGCCAGCTTATAGAATTCTCAAAGCCAAATCTATTATGCCATAGAGTTGGCATTGGAACCTTATAGCGTATGATCTTTTCACTACTCTGCTTCTCTACAAGTAAAAATGAATCTACTTTTTTGATAAAAATAGAATTAGGGTGTGAACTAATTTATTTCATTTATCTGTAGTAAAAACTACAGGCAATTTTTTTTTTTTTGAGATGGAGTCTTGCTCTGTTGCCCAGGCTGGAGTGCAGTGGCACAACCTCAGCTCATTGCAAGCTCCGCCTCCCGGGTTCATGCCATTCTCCTGCCTCAGCCTCCTGAGTAGCTGATACTACAGGCACCCGCCACCACGCCCAGCTAATTTTTTATATTTTTAGTAGAGACGGGGTTTCACCGTGTTAGCCAGGATGGTCTCGATCTCCTGACCTCGTGATCCGCCCGCCTTGGCCCCCCAAAGTGCTGGGATTACAGGCATGAGCCACCGCGCCCGGTCAACTACAGGCAATTTTTTACAAATGTTACTTTATTTTTATCCTATAATGCTTAGAGACAAATACATCATTTTTACCATTTTATAAATGGGGCAAAAGTGAGGTTGAATAATTTACTTAAGGTTGTAAAATAACTTGTCTAAGAAGCAAGTTTTCTCACTCTGAATATTTTCCCTATTCTACTTTTGACTTTAACTTTCATTAGATTCTGCAGTTATTATAAAAGAAATGAGAAACACAAATAGCACTGTGTAGTCCCAAGAACTAATTGCTTTATAATTTTTATCAATAATGCTGGTTGGATAAGGTCTCACATTTTCAGAAAAAAAATATTAAAGATTCAGTTGTTGACTTTACATCTTCATTTTTTTTCATTCAACAAAGATTTATTATTTATTTATTATGAGGTCAGCACAGTGTTTGTCACTAAAGATGCAAAGCAGTTTAGGACAAAATTCAGTGAGAAGAAAAACATACAAATAGATAATTACAAGGCAATATGAAAAGAGCAATAATACAGGTTTGAGCAAAGAGCTATTAACTCTGTCTGGAGGTTTAAGCTCACTTTATGGAGGAGTGCATCCCCAGTTTTAAGGTCTTTACCTAGGAACATTTATTATTACCTTTTTATGTATTGTTACGCAAATAGTCCCAAAGAGAGCTTTTGTTTCTTACTGTGAGATCTCCATGATGCTTAAAAATTCTTTTACTTAAAAAAATAAGCTTTAAAGTTCAGCAGTAACAAATGCTTATTCTTAAAAAAAAAAAAAAGCAATATGAAAGTTTCCAATAAAAAAACAGATAATCTCCCAATCCTATCTCCTGAGAAAATCAATGTTATCAATGAGGGAGATATCTTATAGCAGATTGAAAACTACTAAAGCTTCTTGAGGCAATGCAATCTATTGCTTTATCCTGAATATTTGTAAGTCATGAAAATTAGGTAAGATGAGGTATATTTTATTGAATGATTCGAATTAAAATAAAAAGTGAACTCTAAAACATAAACTCCAGCCTGGACAACATGGCAAAATCCCATCTCTACAAAAAATACCAAAAAATTAGCTAGGCGTGGTGGTGTGTGCCTGCAGTTCCAGCTACTTAGGAGGCTGAGGTGGGAGGATCACCTGAGCCAGGGAGATTGAGGCTGCAGTGAGCTGTGATCACACCACTGCACTCCAGCATGGGCAACAGCATGAACCTTGTCTAAAAACACAAAACAAAACAAAACCCAAACACACAAAACCCCCATAAACCTATAGTTACAGAGCAAAACACTTTCATAGTAGGTCACTTAATCCTTGAGAAAATCATATGAAGACTGTACCCTGACTTCAGAGACAGGAAGCGAATACTCAGAGAGGTCATCATATTTCACCAAATCTAAGGTGCCATCAATTATAACACACCATGCTATTTCATATACTTTAAAAGAGAAAAAAATAATTACCAGTTCAATTGTGACATCATGTCTTAACTATATTTCTATGAGACTCACAGGATTTATTAGGAACCCTGGACAGAGAATTAGAAGACCTGAATTATGATTCTGACATTGTCCTTTCCAAACTTGTGACTTAAGTAAATCATTAAGTTCTATGAGCTTTGATCTTTCCATATAGTTTAAATTAAAAAGAATAATGTCTCTCTCACAGGGTTGCTGTGAGGACATATTAATATAAAACAGAACTTTAGAACTGCAAAACTGATAAAAATTTAAAACCTTCTATGTCAATGTTATTTTTAAAAATATTACCTGCAACAGTAATATTAATACTCTGTTGTTGAAGGCAGGAACTGAACTTCTGGATCTGAATTGAACTATTTTATCATGATAAATAATTATGAAGACTGTTACTGCACACATTTTAGTACTGCTGCCTTTTCTGAGATGAGCTGTTAATACTTTGTCCTCATGTGAACTCTGGAAAATACCTATTCCACTAACCCAAAATAAGGCATTCAGTTTGGAAGAGGAGATTTTCAGGCCTTGCGGGAGGATGTTTCTTTCTGGCATCATTTACATTTTGTTTGTCCAGTTATAGGACTGAAACACACACTATACTTTAGGCATTCTATCATTATAGTCAGTTCTAATTGTGAAAGGAATCAGAGTTTCATCTTTTGAAAAAGTGATAATTGACTATATTTTACCACTCATGCCTTCTACAATCTTAGAAGCAGTCCTTGCATTTTTTCTGCCTTTGTGCTTGAAACCATTTAATGTGATAGACTGTTCACCATGTTAGTAGTAAGGTATATAGATTTTACTTGATTAAGTACTAGATAGTACACATCCTGCAATCCCCTTGACAACTACTATATTCCTGCCTGTAGTGAGAATTAAGTCTTGCTTGTCTAGCTGTGCCTTCATATCTTAATGCTATCGGTATGTGATTAAAGTATCACAGAAACCTGAAATAGTTTCTTGGAAATGATCTTCTGTGAAAACTCACAATATGTGGGAGCTTTGGGATTGATTCACACTAGATATTTGTTTTTGTATGTTAAACACTAGGAACATCATGGCTTCCTGATTTTTATGACTGAAGAACTGTCTATGTTTGCTTCCTGTGTACCAATACAGATTAGTAGATTGCTGCTATGTATCTGGTGGTATTAAAGAATTTCAGCGCTTTTTAAGGAATTTGTTTGATGAAAAAAGCAAATATCCAATAGTTGATTAGTGCAGAGAAGGCACAATAGAAAAACATGGGGTAGTCTAAGATCCAAGATGACAGCAGATCTGTCTGTGCTACCGGACTTTTTTTTACTCATTGAAACAATATGCACATGAATAGGAAAGTTTAAAAATTAACACCGAATTTCAGGCGTTCCAAAAAGTTATACATGCTGACACACTACTAATCCTTTTTAAAAAATAAATATTTGTTAGCTGTTACTTCAAACTGAGCCCAAGTTACCACCATCTCCCACCTCAATCACTGCAATAGCCACCTAGTCTTCCTGCTTTCTTCACTCTTGCTACTCTTAGAGCCCAGTTTTAAACAAACACCCAAAGGATCTTTTAAAATGTAGACCATATCATGTTACTCCTTGTGCCTTCCTACGACACTTAAAATAAAATCCAAACTCCTTAGTATGGTGTTCAAAGCCTTGTATTATCTGGCTTCTTGCTACATATCCACCCTTATCGCATGCTGTTCTCCTGCTTGCTCATACGTATTAGATACACTGGCTTTTTTTTTTTTTTTTTTCCTGTCCCTCAAGTATGTCAAGTTTGTTCCTATCTCACAGCATTTGTACTGGGCCTGAAAGGTCCTTCCCATAGTTTTTGTTCCTGGCTGAGTCTGGGATGCAATGTTACCTCTTCAAAGAAGACTTATTTGTCAATTAATCTAATGTAGCATCTCCACTTACTCATCTTTCCTAATACATAATCTGGTTTTATTATGTGCATAACACTCATCACTGTCTACAATTACGTTTTCTATTTATTTGTGAACTTGCTTGTCCATCTCTGCCCACTACAATTTACCTAAGCAGCTTGATAGCAAGGGCCTTGTTTGTGTTGTTATCCTAGGGTCTGGCCCATTGTAGACACTCAACAAATAGTTCTGGAAGGAAGGAAATAATGAATGTAAATCATTACCTTTTCTTAAGCGATATGTTTTTCTCTTTAACTCATTTTTTCTGGAAATAAAATTGTACTAGGAAAAGAATTATTTCTCTTGTTGCTGGCAATAATTTGCCAACTTAAAACTCCCAAGATTAAATTTGATATATTTTCTTAATGGAACCTTACAACAGTGACCTACTTTCAGTTTGAAACAACACAGGAGAATATGTGAGTTCGCCATTTCCTTGAATGGCAAAATGCCACAAATATTTGTTGTGGTTATTATCTGGCTTTGAATAATCAAGTCACCAGAGAACAGGGCTGTTTTACAAAAACAGGTAAAATTTCTCTCAAGTGACACAGAATCATATAATAAGCTATTATCTAATGCTTGGAACATCACCCCAATTCTAGGAGAAGAAATAGCATAATTACTTTGTGTAGAGGAAAATACCATAATGTCCATTCTAAATATTAATAGTATAGCTGACTTTCATTAAAGAAACACAGTTTTGGCTGGGTGCGGTGACTCATGCCTATTATCCCAGCACTTTGGGAGGCCGAGGGGGGCAGATCACTTGTGTGTGTTCAAGACCAGCCGGGCCAATGTGGCAAAACCCATCTCTACTAAGAATACAAAACTTAGCTGGGCATGGTGGAGTACACCTGTAATCCCAGCTACTTGGGAAGCTGAGGCACGAGAATCGCTTGAACCCAGGAGGCAGAGGTTGCAGTGAGCCGAGATTGCGCCACTGCACTCCAGCTTGGGCAATAGAGAGAGACCCTGTCTCCAAAAAACAAAAAACAAAAAACAAACAAAAAACAAAAAACAAAAAAAATGTTTTTTTGTTTAATAAATTCATGCTTCTTAATAAATATATGCTCTGGGGGAAATGAGGAAAAGAATGATGAATGTCTGAGGTCCAGAATAAGTAGAATGAGAAGACGCCATATCAAGTCTAAGCTTTAGCTCCTAAAGAAGGGAAGAATTTAAAAGATAAATCCCATCAAGGCCTTTAAAATGTTACAGTACTGCCTTTCCCCTTTTTCTCATAAAACCTTTTCTAATCTGCTTAAGTAACTTCTAATTAGCTTCAGATGTAACAGAAAAAAGGCAGCTACTACTCACATTCTTCTTAAAAGGTAATATATTGCTGATTTCAGATAGGAACATCTGAAGTGATGCAGGAGACTTGCACAGACAAATACATGCAATCAGATGGTCACTGCTTGACAGTCTTATTTTTCAATTGGTTGAGTAAAAATAACATAGTTATTGAATCAACCTGTAAAAGTTGAACATCCATTTCTTTTGTTGCCTAAAATAATATGCCAAAGATTTTTCAGAGTAATGAGACCTACTAAATTACATGGTTGTTAATAAAATACAAAATCATAATCTTTCTTTACTGAGAGAAATTAGGACTTTTTTTACTGTTAATAGAAATATTTTCAAAATGTTATGTATTTCATTTCATTTATTTATTTATTGTTATTTCAATAGTTTTGGGGGAACAGGTGGTGTTTGGTTACATGGATAAGTTCTTTAGGTGTGATTTCTGAGGTTTTGGTGCAGCCATCACTTGAGCAGTGTACACTGCACCCAATGTGTAGTCTTTTATCCCTTAACCCCCTCCCAGCCTTCCTACTAAGTCCCCAGAGTCCATTGTGTCATTCTTAGTCTTTGCGTCCTCATATCTTAGCTCCCACTTATAAGTGAAAAGATAATGATGTTTGGCTTTCCATTCCTGAGTTACTTCCGTTAGAATAATGGTAACATCCATATTTTTGATATTACAGGTTGAGTACCCTTATCTGAGATGCTTGGACCAGAAGTATTTTGGATTTTGGAATACTTGCATATACATAATGAGGTACCTTAGGAATGGGACCCAAGACTACAACATACAATTCATTTGTTTCATAAGCACCTTTTACACAGCTTTTATAGAATATTTGTAACAATTCTGTGCGTGAACCAAATTTGTGATCATTGAACCATCAGAAAGTAAAGGTGTCACTATTCTGGTCACAATTCTGTGCGTGAACCAAACTTGTGATCATTGAACCATCAGAAAGTAAAGGTGTCACTATTCTGGTCACCCATGTGGACAATCTGTGGTTGTTTGGCATCACCATCATGCTTGCTCAGAAAAAAATATATCAAAGCTGAAGTGGGCTGGGAGGGTGTTTTGTTTTGTTTTGTTAGTTTTTTTTCTCTTGGGGACGCTGAATAAACTGTGTTATGCTCCTGTGTTTTGACTACCACCCATCACATGAGGTCAGGTGTGAAATTTTCCACTTCTGGGGCCATATCTGCACTCAAAAGTTTTGGATTTTGGGGCATTTCAAATTTGGGATTTCAGATTTGGGATGTTCAATCTGTATAAGAAATGCAGTAATAAAAATACATGTATATACTTATACACATCTTTTTTGCAAAAAAAATAGTAACAGGTGGGATTATTGAGTGAGAATATATGACCATTAAAAACATTTTAACTTTCAAAAAAACCTTCCAAATGGATATTTAAAAAGCTCTTGATATATACTGCAAAACGGATTCCCAAGGATGTCATGCCAATTTATATTCCCCACCTGTAGTGGATGAAATGTTTACTTTCAACTTTAATTAGTGGCAGGCCCAGATGGCTCATAAACTGGAGGGATTTTTTAAAATGCCTAATACATGAGCAATTTAAGAAAATAAAGTATATTCTCTACAGAAGGATTCCCGCTCCTTGCTTCCTTTGCTTAGGCATCATTTAGGGCCTCTTGGGTGTAGAAACCTTAGCTCCAATTGCTGATCTCAATTCTGTGAAATCTCTGAAGCTTAAAATCCTACTTATCATGATAGTTTCATATTGTTTCTGATGCAGGGTGATATTCCTTTCTTGTTTTTTATCTAAACACACACACACACACACACACACACACACACACACACAGACACACACACACACACACAATTTAAAATGTCATTTCTATGTGTAAGAGCAGAATGGGAAGGTTTTAGCATGAGATCCCTCTTCTATCTTGATCCTGAAGTCCACTATGAATCTTGAGAGCTGTATTTCCTGGCTTTATTTGTGGACCTTTTCACAATCATATATTTATATGTATATGTATGCATTTGTTTATAAGAGCTAGAATAGCCTGAATGAGATGTGTGTGTATATATACACATTATATATGTTATACATTTTTATTCATAAAAGCTTGAATTTAGAGAGCTCTCTACTCAGAACTGGTTTTTGACCTTTTAAAGAATGTGTAGACCCTTTGATTGCCCTAAAATTTGACCAAATTGTTGTTGGAATTACCCTCTCAAACCTCTGGGTGAAATGTACCTTTGCATTGTGAGTTTAAGGATGACTCAGCAGTCTGAGTGGGGTGAAAAGTGACTTAGAACAAGAGGTGGCTGCGCAGAGTGATGTGGCTTTTGGTGCTGAAGCTGTCGTGCCAACTCCTCTTACATTTAAAGCTTCCTGTATGCCCCAGTGTCTGTCAGATCTAAAGTGTGTCTCCACTTTCTAAAGGATCAAGCCCCAGTTGTCCTTCTGCTTGACAAATAATCTGTGTGAACCTGAGGATTTCAACAAATGCCACTGACTCACTAAGATAAAAAAGAGTGAAAAGAGATCGTCTGCCCCCTACCCCCAGCCTGTCTTTGACTTTATTCATTACTCCTTCAAATCAGAACATATTAAGAGTGTCCTCCTGCCAGGGTTCCTGCCAGTCAGTTATTCCCACAATCGTTACTGTTGTTTAGCAGTGGGAGTAACAGGTTGGCCCTTCCTGCTTTCCATCCATGTGGTCCTATCTCTCCTATATTAAAAAGATTTTAGGATTCACCTGTAACAGCTAGTGCTTTTGAAGATTTTTGCCCTATTTTGTATTCTAGTTATCATTTCCATGAGGCCTGAAGGAAGGTAGTTAAAGGCCTGTGCTTATGCTGTCAATTTAACAAGAAGTCAATATATTCTCTTTTTATTAAAGACCTCATATGGGTTACCTGGCCAGATTTTTTCTTATTATGCATTTCTAAAGATAGAACTGCCTCTTTATGCTTTTGTTACATAATCATTTTGTCAATCTATATGTCAGTTAAACAGAAATTGCAGTTCTGAACATGTAGTTCAAAACTATTTTATTTCAAATAGAAACTACACAAAGGCATTATAATGATATAGAACATGTAAATATAAGGAGATCAATAGAAGCATCTCCAGGGGTTCCAATACTGATTAAAAATGCCTATTCTGTTTTCAGACTGTTTTCACTGTGAATAATGACAGAACAGACAAAAGTTTCCTCACAGTTAGCAATAAACAACTGAAAGATAAGATGCTGATTAAGACATTTAGCCACAGTTTCCGGTGACAATTACATTCTAACACAACATCAATAATAACATTAAATGATACATATTATGAAAAGCTCTCATCTACCATATTTTCAAATGTATCCAAGTTGAAAGAAGCTTTAGACAATAATAATTTAATACCTACCACAGCGAGAAAGTAAAATTAAATTAATTACTTTAAATAACAATAATGTGGCACCAGCAGTAGTCATGGCAGTGGCAGCAGCAGCAACAACAACAACAACATCCATACAGGGAACATCTTACCCTACCAGAGGCTCTTTTGGGAATTTCATATGTACTACATTTAATCTTTCAATCCTGCCACTTTGATATTATGAGATCCACTTTTTATATGCAAAAACAGACCTAGAAATTAAGCAATTTGGCCAATGAAATTGGATGAACAATTGGGGTGCTCTGTGGAGCATCTCTAAGGAACATCAGAGATTCTGTGGAGCATTGTTTACATGTATTCAAACTGCTGCTTCCTTCCAGGCTGCCTCTATGATTTACACACTTCTCTACTGTTAGAGGTATTCTGGTGAGGCTGGGATGGCCATGTATGCAATGATGTGGAAAGCATTCATGTTCCTTATACATGGGAGAGTCCTAGGTCGGGGTTCATAAATACTCTGAAAATGGATCCAAAATGTGTATAATCTCACATTTCTGGGAAGAAGATTTTCATCAGATTTCAATGGAGTCCACAATCCAGGAAAGCTTTAGAATTGTCTTCTAGGCCTGGCACGGTGGCTCACGCCTGTAATCCCAGCACTTTGGGAGGCTGAGGCAGGTGGATTACCTGAGGTCAGGAGTTTGAGACCAGCCTGACCAACATGGTGAAAACCTGTCTCTACTAAAAATACAAAAATTAGCCAGGTGTGGTGGCAGGCACCTGTAATCCCAGCTACTCAGGAGGCTGAGGCAAGGAGAATTGCTTGAACCTGGGAGGCGGAGTTTGTGGTGAGCCAGGATCACATCATTGTACTCCAGCCCGGGCAACAGAATTGTCTTCTAGATATTCCTTAGAGCCTGGTTTTAAGCTGTAAGAGCCAATAAATCTTATCCTTCAGCTTTCTGAGAAAATCCCATAGTATAACATCCTAGAGAACACTTATATTAAGAAGAAAGTAGAGGCAATTACCCAAGTAAAAATTTCAAATTGTAACTTGAAATAACCAGATAGCCAAGGCAAAGAAAGAAAATGAGGGAGGGGTTGTGGCTGAATTATCTACCTCATGGTAGTAATTTTGTTTTCCATGCAGAAAAAGCTGCTGCTTAAAGAGAAAGAAAATCAGCTGAATTTAATCTGAATTATTAAACTTGAAAAGCTATGTCATACAAATTTATAAAAAGTACTGGCAAAATGTGCCAACATTAGCAATTATATTTCTAAATAAAAGGACAACATAGATTTGCTAGTTTTAAACATCAAAGCATAACCCTTGCAAGAGGTAATACCTCTATAAGGAAAACTATAAAATGCTCATGGGAAAACTACAAAATGCTCATGGAAGAAACTGAAGAGGCTATAAACAAATGGAAGGATATCCCATGCTCACAGATCAGAATAATTATTAATAGTACTGTTAAAATAACAATACTACCCAAAGCAATCTACACATTCAATATAATACCCATCAAAATACCAATGACATTCTTCACGGAAACAGAAAAAAATTCTAAAATTTTAATGGAACCACAAGAGACCCTGAAGAGCCAAAGCAAACCTGAGCAAAAACAACAAAGCTGGAAACATCACACTACCAGACTTCAAAATATACTACAAAGCTGCAGTAACCAAAACAGCATGGGACCGGCCTAAAATCACACAGACCAATGAAACAGAATAGACAACCCAGAAATTAATCCACATATTTACAGCCAACTGATTTTTGACAAAGGTGCCAAAAGCATTGGGAAAGGATAGTCTCTTCAACAAACGGTACTGGAAAAACTGGATATCCATATGCAGATGAATGACCCTATACAAAAATCAACTCAAAATGAAGCAAAGACCTAAATGTAAGATCTGAATATAAAACTACTAGGAGAAAAAAATAGGGGAAACACTTCAAGACAATGGTCTGGGAAAAGATTTTATGAATGAGACCTCAAAAGCACAGGCAACAAAAGCAAAATAAACAAATGAGATTATATCAAACTAAAGACCTTCTGCACAGCAAAGGTAACAATCAAGAGTGAAAAGACAACCTATAGAATTGGAGACAATATTTGCAAACTACTCTTCTGACAGGGAATTAATATTCAGAATACACAAGGAACTCAAACTACTAGCAGAAAACCAACAGCAAAAAACCAATCAATCTGATTTAAAAAGTGAGCAAATGATCTGAACAGACATTTCCCAAAAGAAGACATACAAATGGCCAGCAAATAGATGAAAAATGCTCAACATCACTAATCGTCAGGGAAATGCAAATCAAATCCACAATGAGTTACCATCTCACCCTAGTTAAGATGACTATTATCAAAAACACAGAAAGTAAATGCTGGAGAAGATGCAGAGAAAAGGGAACCCTTGTACACCACTGGTGGGAATGTAAACTAGTAAAGCCACTATGGAGATCAGTATAAAGGTTCCTCAAAAAACAAAAATAGAACTACAATATGAGTCAGCAATCCTACTACTGGGCATTTATCCAAAGAAAAGAAAGTCAGCATATTGAAGAGACATCCTGCCATGTGTATTGCAGCACTATTCACAATAGCCAAGATATGGAATCAACCTTAGTGTGCAACAACAGACGAATGGATAAGGAAAATGTGGTATGTGTGCGTGTCTCCATATACGAATAAAAAAGTTGATCTCACGGAAGTAAAAAGTAGAACAGAGGGTACTAGAGACTGGAAGGACACGGAGAACAGGGGGATAGGGAGAGATTTGTTAAAGGATAAAAAATTACAGCTAGATAGAAGGAATAAGTTCTAGTGTTCTATACTAGTGCAGGATGAGTATAGTTAACAATAATGTACTATATAGTTTGAAATAGCTAGAAGGAGGATATTGAATGTTCCCAACCAAAGGAAATGATCAATGTTTGAGATGATAGATATGCTAGTTACTCTTATCTGACTATTGTATATTATGTGTATCAAAATATCACTATGTACCCCATGCATACATACAATTATTACTTGTCAATTGAAAATAAAATTTAAATAAAATATAAAAAACCTGATTGCATAATTAATTTATAACCAGCCTGGAAATTACTGAGTATCATTGGGGAAAAAAAAGTGCTGATGAAATTTTTTACTTTTCTTCCAAATAAGTTCTGCAGAATTTCGAATATATTCTTTGAATAATCATGTTTGACAGATACTGAAGTTAATGTTAGCAAGATAATGAAAATTAATGATGGCAGTGTTC
This sequence comes from Homo sapiens, assembly GCF_000001405.40. Classification (NCBI taxonomy): domain Eukaryota; kingdom Metazoa; phylum Chordata; class Mammalia; order Primates; family Hominidae; genus Homo; species Homo sapiens. Next base: position 55,086,040 of record NC_000017.11, on the reverse strand, counting down.
ACTGGGCTATGTCTGTGCAGGTGTTTCCCTCCACTGTTGCCACCCCAACATAAAAATGTCTGATATATAAAATTCTGAACTTACACATAACACATTACGAGTGATTATTTTCATTCCTCCTAAAACCCACAGAATTTCTTCACATAATTAGCTCTTAGGAGTTTTTGATATATAATTTGATTTTTACAAATGTATTAGGTTATACAAATTTTTAAGTATATATTTATTGGGAAAACTGAGTAGACACTATGAGTGGCATAGTTTCCAATCCTCCATAACACAGTTGTGAAATCAGAACTTACCCCAGAGGGTCTTTGAATGTTACCCCATACCAAGCCAAGCCATCTATTACCCAGAACTGTACTGAAAACATCATTTTGATAGTTAATTAACATGGAACTTTACATCTTTCTTTCTCTCTTTCTCATTCTTTTTTCATCTATTCCCCAGCATAGGGAAGATTAAAAGTGGCAAACTAGAGGGATGGTGGAATGTTAGAAGCAAGCAGAAAGACAACTAGCAGGTAGGGTGACATTAGGGAAGAGACAGAAAAACAACCAAAATCTAACACACTAATCTACTAATATGCCATATATTAATGGGTACTTGTAATAATGATTATTGAGCCATCCCAACTAAATTAACTTGTATTTAACTTATACTAATGTATCACTTTTTTTTTATTATACTTTAAGTTTTAGGGTACATGTGCACAATATGCAGGTTAGTTACATATGTATACATGTGCCTTGCTGGTGCGCTGCACCCACTAACTCGTCATCTAGCATTAGGTATATCTCCCACTGCCATCCCTCCCCCCTCCACCCACCCCACAACAGTCCCCAGAGTGTGATGTTCCCCTTCCTGTGTCCATGTGTTCTCATTGTTCAATTCCCACCTATGAGTGAGAATATGCGGTGTTTGGTTTTTTGTTCTTGTGATAGTTTACTGAGAATGATGATTTCCAATTTCATCCATGTCCCTACAAAGGACACGAACTCATCATTTTTATGGCTGCATAGTATTCCATGGTGTGTATGTGCCACATTTTCTTAATCCAGTCTATCATTGTTGGACATTTGGGTTGGTTCCAAGTCTTTGCTATTGTGAATAATGCCGCAATAAACATACATGTGCATGTGTCTTTATAGCAGCATGATTTATAGTCCTTTGGTTATATACTGGTACCAAAACAGAGATATAGATCAATGGAACAGAACAGAGCCCTCAGAAATAACGCCGCATATCTACAACTATCTGATCTTTGACAAACCTGACAAAAACAAGAAATGGGGAAAGGATTCTCTATTTAATAAATGGTGCTGGGAAAACTGGCTAGCCATATGTAGAAAGCTGAAACTGGATCCCTTCCTTACACCTTATACAAAAATCAATTCAAGATGGATTAAAGACTTAAACGTTAGACCTAAAACCATAAAAACCCTAGAAGAAAACCTAGGCATTACCATTCAGGACATAGGCATGGGCAAGGACTTCATGTCTAAAACACCAAAAGCAATGGCAACAAAAGCCAAAATTGACAAATGGGATCTAATTAAACTAAAGAGCTTCTGCACAGCAAAAGAAACTACCATCAGAAAGAACAGGCAACCTACAAAATGGGAGAAAATTTTCGCAACCTACTCATCTGACAAAGGGCTAATATCCAGAATCTACAATGAATTCAAACAAATTTACAAGAAAAAAGCAAACAACCCCATCAAAAAGTGGGCAAAGGACATGAACAGACACTTCTCTAAAGAAGACATTTATGCAGCCAAAAAACACATGAAAAAATGCTCACCATCACTGGCCATCAGAGAAATGCAAAGCAAAACCACAATGAGATACCATCTCACACCAGTTAGAATGGCAATCATTAAAAAGTCAGGAAACAACAGGTGCTGGAGAGGATGTGGAGAAATAGGAACACTTTTACACTGTTGGTGGGACTGTAAACTAGTTCAACCATTGTGGAAGTCAGTGTGGCGATTCCTCAGGGATCTAGAACTAGAAATACCATTTGACCCAGTAATGTATCACATATTATTCTCCAAAGATGGCCACAATAATAACTTCTGACTATATGCTCTTCTATAAAGAGACCTTGTCACTTTCCCATACACGGGTGGAGTCTAAGTCCCATCCCCTCAAATTTGCATTGATGAATAGAATATGGTGAAAGCGAGGCTGTGTGACTTCTGAGGCTGGGTCATAAAAGGTGATACAGCTTTTGTCTTGTTCACTGAAACACCTATGCTGGAGCCTTGAGCCACCACATAAGAAATTCAACTACCTTGAGGTCACCATGCTAGGGAGGCCAAATATAGGTAGGTGTTCCAGTTGATAGCCACAGATGAGCTCCCATCTTAGATGTCCAGCCCAGTAGAGTCATCAGATATTGCATCCCCAACAGACATCTGACTGCAACCACGTGAGAGTGCTCTAACATGAGCTGCCTAGCTGAGCGCAATTAACCAAAAGGACCATGAGAGACAATACTAAATTGTTGGTTTAAGCCATTAACTTTTGGGTTGATTTGTTCTGCAGCAATGGTAAATGGAACAGCTTATTTTTAAAAAAGTGCTATGTACATAGTTCAACCACAATTCAAAACTTATTCCCGAGTATGTTTTTTGTGCTAGGAATGTGATAGGTAGGTGCTTCAAATAAATTATATTATTTAATAATCAAACAACTTTTTTGAGTAATATCTTCATTTAGTGAAAAAGGAGATGTAAAATACTTTTTAAAAGCTCTTTTCTGGCCGGGTGTGGTGGCTCATGGCTTTAATCCCAACACTTTGTGAGGCTGAGGTGGGTGGATTGCTTCAGTCCAGGAGTTCAAGACCAGGCCTGGGCAACATGGAGAGACCCTGTCTCTACTAAAAATAAAAAAATGCCAGGCATGGTGATGTACACCTGTGGTCTCAGCTACCTGAGAGGCTGAGACACCTGAACCTAGGGGTGGGAGTGATGGGGGATCGGGGAGGAGGAGGTTGCAATGAGCTGAGATCGAGCCACTGCACTCCAGCCTGGGTAATAAAGCAAGACCATGTCTTAAAAAAAAAAATGCTTTCTTGCATGCAACTACTTCTTGTGTTATGAATGCAATGTGTCATTGATTCTCTTTAAGGATAATAACTTCATTTTATTTCAAGAATATAATATAGCTATCTTCAGAATATTACATTATCTTTATTTAATTAAAGACTTTTTTTCTCTCTCTTCAGAATCTCCCTGTTATGCAGTTCTTCTCCCCCTGGACCATTATTAGGTGATTCTTGGTTGTTGGTTCATATTTTAAATAAGGATCAACAATAGAGGTTCCCACTAAGAATGGTATTGCACCTAGGGGGCATTTTTGGAAATTTGTGAGGCATTATCTATTGTCACAGTGTTTGGGGATATTTTTGGCATTTAGTGAAAGGGTACTAGGAATGCTAAACATCCTATCATTATTGGATACACTGAACGGTCCTGTGCAACAAAGAATTGTTCTGTGTCCTGTATAATGTTTAAATGTCCTACTAGATATTTATGGTGGTAAAAAATCTGTTTGTAATTACTAAAATCTGGAACAAAATTCCATTTTTAGATAAACTCCAAATATTTTTGCATAGTTTTAATATACATTAAATTTCCCAGGCTTGTACCTACTATATAAATTAATGGAAGATTTTACTTTCTTCTCTTCAGAACTTTACCATTGGTCACCATTTTGGACAATCATTTGGACATTACTGATGACAATCTGCTCATGCTATTTAAAATGACAACACAATGTTCCTGTATCAGTCTACATTCATGGTTGCCACATTTGTGGTGATTCTCTGTTTAGGTGCAGGCATCTGATGACTACATTATATATCCTAGTATAGCTGTACTAAAGCATTTATGTTTTGAAATATATATAATTTTATTATAAATCACCTCCCTCTTATTTCTCCTCTACAGTACATTAGCACATTGTTGATTTTTATAAATTATAGGTATAGTTAGGTAAATTATAATTTTCATTGCAGGAAAATAAAGAGTACGTAAGAAGTAGTTAGAAAAAGGGAGTTGAAATTCATAAAGAGACAAAAGTGTCTGGAGAGACACAAAAAGAAAAAGAGGAAAATGTCCAATCATTTAAGTTTTCCCCAAGGATTTCTCTGTCTGTTGGGATGATGGAAGTTACTTAGAGCATTGCCTTACTTCTCTTTCTAGCCCAATGATGACTCTAGGGGTATCTAGTGACAGTTCATGTAGTTCCTTTAGAGAGGTATTTTCCTGGCTCCAGCATAGGAGGATATGCCTGAGCCAGCAGCTCTGAAGACTAGGGAACTGGTTCAGCTATTCCAAGCCATTTAATTAATTACCCTGCTGACTGCCCCAGAGTCTGTTCCCAGTCTTCACTGTCTGTGATCCTGGGGTTTTTTCCATGGTTCTGCTTAACTCATCGTTTCAGCAGTTTTGTCTGTTATATTTGTGTTTTGGGGTCTTTTGCTCAGTTGGACTGTACATTTAATCTTATTCCACCTGTGGGATATTATTATTTAACAACAAGTTCCTCAATGCTGATTCCACTCCTCCAGTTTCCAGTGCTGCTGCGGATTGATTTTTACATTTATTCTGCCATTTCAAAGAAACTTTGGGTGGAAGTGGATGTAAAGGCATATCTTAATTAGAGCTTCATTCTGAGCCTTTACATAAAGGAAATATTCTCCTCCTATGATTGGTACATTAATATTTTTATTGATTAGGTATCAACTTTGCTGTAGGCAAGCCACTATAACGAAATTCAACTGTCTGACTTCAATTTGTTTTGTTAAATAAATTACTTTTAAAAAGTGAAAAAATGCAGAAAACTTACAATCCATATCAAGTAAGGCACGAACAGATTTAACAAGTTCCTTAGATTCAAGCGCCAGCGTTGCTGGGATGCTACGTCCATTCCTTCCCAGTGGTGTGAGGGAAGTCTGAGAAGCTAACACAGCTCTTCTTTCACTATGAAGGCAATAAAATAAAGTTGAACTTACTACACAATAAACAACATCTATCTTTACTAAATCTGAAGTTGTATCAGTTATAGATTTGTACAAAAATATTTATATTTCTGAGGAAATTATTTCATATAACCAAAATTGAAGTAATTCACATAAAACAATATTTCTGTTTTCAATTATTTACGACATAATAAGTAGAAATATTTTAAAATTAGGTTGACTTCATGTATGATAAAGAAGTAATAGAAGGATGACCTGTCTCCTAAATCATTTGTTGGGCTTATTTTGTGAGTGCTTCTCTTTTGCTAACATGATATAATTTTATTTAGTTCTGTATAAATTCAAATTAAGCATATAAACATGAATTTGTTAAAATACATTTATTATTACTTCTAGTAATATTAAATATAAATTCAATATATGTATTTGGCTCCTGAAATTATCTCTTAAATTATTCCATTTTTTGCCTCGAATCAAAAACAGCCTAGAGCATTTGTATCACTTTCAAAAAATGCAAATGTCACCTAAAATGAATGCATTCTGATCTAATTAAAAATTAAATGTTTTCTTCAAAAAATTACACTAAAACTTACTTGAAAAAAAAATTTAAACTGATGACAAAATCATCATTATTTATACTCCATCTTCCTAAGCATAATGATATTAATTCACAAAGGGTAACAAAAGCATCAGTTCTCAAATTCAAATACATAGCCTTTATTCTGTGTTGAATGACCAGGGCCAATATCCATGTAGAGGATATGCTATATTGAAATGACTGCACCAGTTTTTACTAGTGTTTAATTTACTAAGACACCATGAAATGTTGCGTGATGTAGCTATTTAAAGTTGTCTTTTTTTCCATGAAGCAGTTTAAGGCAAGGGCAGGCTCTGGCTTTTAAATAGTCATTTTAACCTTAATTTTTAAAACAAAACTTTTGAATTATTAGTCAAGGTAAAACTAAGACCTTGGAAAGCTGAGGGTGGGTGACACACTTAGCCCATAAAGAAATAAATGTGATTACTGATTATTTTAAGATCCTTACTGAGAGTAATAATCATGAAATTCACAGAGTTTTCTTGTATCATAAGCAGCAAGGAGAGTAAGAAGTTATGTCAGGTTCCTTCATCATAAGAAGTAAAACATTACTTGAGTTTAGAAGTGAATTATAAATATTCTTCTAAATTAAAAAATGCTATGTGGACACCAAAAATATCTTCACTTATTAAGCTGCTGTTTTCACAGTAAAGGGTAGAGTATTTATTTACTTTTTGAGACAGGGCATCACTATGTTATCCAGGCTGGAGGGCAGTGGTATGATCACAGCTCATTGCAGCCTCAATCTCCTAGAGCTCCTGGGCTCCAGCAATCCTCCTGCCTCAACCTCCCAAGTAGCTGGGAATATAGGAATGCACCATCCCATCTGGCTATTTCTTTTTTTTTTTTTTTTTGTAGAGATAGGGTCCCACTGTGTGCCACTATGTTCCTTGTCTCAAACTCCTGGGCTCAAGTGATCCCCCTGCCTCAGCCTCCCAAAATACTGGGATTACAGGTATGCACCATCACACCCAACCTCATTGAGTCTTCCTGTTTCTGCAAGCGTATATTGCTAGAAGTAGAAGATGTATCTAGGACTAGTGGCAGCTATTATGAGAGCAGAAAAAAATTACTTTGGAAATGCATAAACAAGAATCTTTCTTTTGTAAATGTCTTTCATCATGTATCAAAATGACCATAAACTTGTGGTTTGAAATAAATAAATTTGATTAGTATGTTTCCAGCTTCTAGTAAGAAACTTTAAATCCAAAACATATTATGAATAATGAGACAATCGAGGTATATTCTCCAAATATATTTCTTTTATTTATAGCTACTGAAAGATGAAAACGAAAGAAAATGATTGCATGAATATGTTTTCCAAAATTCTGTTTGCCAGAACAACTAACCTGCTGGGTTGAGACACTTTTAGTAGTGAACCTGTGACCAGTAACTTTGATTCATACGCAAGACAATTACAGAATTTTAAGTTAATCTCATCTTTATAGAATTTTTGATAAAGACAGGATAGGTGGTTTCTACCATAATTTTAGATTACAAGGTTACAATGATTGACTAAATACCTCCAGGAATTTCTTTAACAGAGATGGGACACAAAACAATATGTCCTTGCATCTATTTCCATATGATGGCATCCAATGGGAGTTATGTAGCACCTTAGGACTATTTAAGAGATTTTTAGTATTTGAGTCACAATGACCAGATGAAGAATTTAATCACTACCCATATTCTGCAAAAAGCACTTAAATTTTCTTACCTTAAATTTGATAAAGGAGTAGAATTATCAGAAAATACTTCTTGAATAGCCTAGCAACAAACAAGATGGTGAAGGAGATATATCAGTTTGACAGTTTTTAAAAAATATCTTTTCTTCATTAATATTTATAACCTCCTCTGTCCACGGATTAAACTGATGCTTCTATTATGTAGCGGGGGTGCAAACAATTGAACTAACATGCAGTTTTACTCAGAAATATAACAGCTATGAAAACATTTCTTTATAAGGTAAGTAGTTATCAAATAATGTTTATGCATTATCAGGATTTTTGGTAAAGTATTCATTAAAATAGTATATACTTGGAATCCCATCACCTTGTCTCAATTATTTCTCTAAACAATCTATAAAATGTTAGCCAGTCTTTTCATCATGTATGCAGTTCTAAATCTGACCATAAGCCAGCATTGCTGCTTTGAGACTAGAGAATGTTTCACTAGGTACCAAATACAGTAACATTTATCTATATGCCAGTTGCCTATATATTTTTTAAAGATGAATGTAATAGAACAGAAAAACTTACCTCTACAAAATGAAGAAGCTTTTCAGTGGATGCCTCAAAAGTTTTTCGAGCCATTTCTGATTTTCGTAATTGGCAGTCGAGTACCATGATTCTCTTTTTTAAATCCTGAACACTTTCCTGCACAGAGATATCAAAAGGAGCATTTACACATTTCTTCAGTTTTACATTACTGGTCCCTATTTTCAGTTTTTATGAACTAATATTCAATATTACCAAATTATCTTTTTCTCTTACTGTACATATGTTTTGATTTTGGGGGGCATGTAACTAACTGCATATTTAAAAGTTAATTTGCACAGAGATACTGCAAGTTTTATGAGATAAGTTGTATATGAGTTTATTGATTCTTATAGTAAAATACATTTAAATTAGTTTATGGTTTTGTTTTGTTTTGTTTTTGCAATGTGTCTTACCAGATGCTGACAGAAACCTCTACTAATTTAACATAACTAAAAATGCTGGATACACACACACACACACACACACACACACACACACACACACACACGATGTAAGACAAAGCTAGCAAGGAAGTAAAGGAATTCCATGGAGACATGCAACAGCGATGCCAAGTGAGCCCACTGGGGTAAGAGAGCACTGAAGCATTATTTGTTCGGAGGGTATATGCTGATCCCTGGTGGCCTACAGTTTGGGGTTTCAACAGTCACAAATGGAAAACAGAAGAAACTCAATGGGTGAACTGGGAAGAAGTAAACTTCACAGAGGTAAACAGTGTTTTGATGTTGGCTCAGGTGACTTGAGTAAAAAAGTTTCTCCTGAATAATTCCTAACCAAAAGTCCCCATTCACACAGGTTTGGGGCCAGAATTTACATTATCTGTGTGGCCTAAAAAGCCATATGCTGAAATTTTACTTTAAATTGGTCCCAGGCTAGCAGAAGCAAACTCAAAACTCTGGAGAGATATTTCTAAAACTCAGAGCTCAAAGAATTCCCACTTATAATGCATTGATAGAACATGATCTCACAGACACAAACAAAAATCACTAAACATATGAGAAAATAAGCTCTATGAATGAAAGCTAACTGAAGGAAATAAAGTACAGTATCAGATCTATAAAGACAGCAGATATTTAAGTGAGCAGATACAAAATATAAGGCAATTATGTTTAATATGTTTTTAAAAATAAGAGGGAATTGAAAGTATAATACACAAGAAACTATTGAAATAGATCCAGATAACATAAAAAATACATCTCAAAAATAAAAATGTAACATAACTAAATTAGAAACTTTATTTATAGATTTGACATCCAGTTAGATACAATTATAAAGAGAATGGGTGAACTTGACAACAGAGGTAAAGAAACTTCTCATAATGGAACAGAAAGACAAAAATTGAAATACAAATGGGGAGAAAAGGTAAAGAGAAAACAGCCAGAAGAAGCTATAGCACACATCCAATCTGAATTACACAAGAACAAATACAAAGAATGAAAGAGAAATCGCTCAGGATAATAGCTTAGTGATTTCCAGAAATGGCAGAAGACATTGCTCTTCGAATCGGGAAGCTCAATGAATCCCAAATAGTACACACTAAAGTAAGTTCACACATGATTCATCATAGTCAAACTGCTGAACATTGAAGCCAAAGATATCTTAAAATCATATAGAAGGAAACAGATTGCAAACAAATGACAGATTGACAGCTGACATCACAAACACGAAATAAAAACAGTGAAAGATATTAAATGCCAACTTAACATTTTAAATGTAGCAAAAATATATTTCAAGAACAAGAGTTGAATAAAGATGTTCTTCAGACAAATAAAATGGGGAGAGCTTATTATCATCAGATCCTCACTACATGAATTTCTAAAATATGTACTCATGAAGAAAGAAACCAAGTGAGAAGGTCTGAGATGTAAGAATGCTTAACAGAAAATGGTAAAAATGGAGTCTATTAAGCAAATGCTGACCACACAAAACAAATAATCAATGTCTAATTTGTGGTCTTAAAAGTAAAGAAAGAACTAAAATACTGACAAAAATGGAAATTAAGTCAGGAGGGATGACTGGATTTGTGTCCATTTTACCATAGAGTGAAAAGGCAAGCCAGAAATTTGGAAGAAGATTTTTATAACATGTAATTTAACAAAGGATTAGTAACCAGAAGAATCACTATACATCTACATGAAAAAGACAACTAATCCACTGAAAAAGGGTCAAAAGATATGAAGAAGCATTTCACAGAGAAACACAAATGCCTAATAAAGAGATAAATATATGCTCAACTGGCTACCAGGGAGGAGGAAACCTTGGTTTATAACATTTATGGGTAGAAATAACCCCATTATAGCTGATTTCAAGCTACCAACCTGATATCACTGTACATTGAGTTGAGAAGAGATGCATGCAATCAGCTCTCATGAGCTAGTGTCAGTTGGTCCCAGCACATCACTGTCTCAAAGCCATTAGTAACCAGGGAAATTCAAATTAAACTGTAATGATGTAACACTTATTACAACTACCAGATTAATAAAATTAAAATAAAACAAAGGGTCAGCAAGTATGCGGGGTAAACAATAATTCTTATTCATTACTGGTGGGAGTACAAATTAGTTCAAACACTTTCAAGCACAAGTAGGCATTACCTAGTAAAGCCAAACTTACAATTATTCAACTTAGCAATTCTACTCCTAGCAGGTAACTATTACACATGTGGAGCAGGATACATGCACTAAAATGTTTTTAGCACCATTTATAACAGAAGAGAACAGAAACAATTGGACTGTCCATCAAATGCAGAATGGATAATTACACGTAGTATATCCACACAATAGAGTACAAGAAACAATAAGAAGACACGAACTAGCTAAAAACTTCAAATAGATGAAATGCAAAAACAAAATGTCGAGTGAAGAAAAGCAGGTCAGAATGATACATAGAGTATATTTCTATTTATATAAAGTTGATAAACAGGTAAAACTAAACAACATATTGTTAAGGAATATATACACAAGTAGTAAAGTTTTCAAGAAAATGGTTAAGAATAAATCCAAGAAAGTGATTATCTCTGAGGGAAAGGGTGGGAGATGCAATTGGAGAGAAACACTGTGGGTCTTCAAAGGTACTAGTAATGTTTTATTTCTTATGTTGAAGGTGAATAAAAACTCCAAAAGGTAAATAAATAAATAAATAACATAAAGAAAAAATTATAATGAAAAATAAATGTACTGTTACAAAAAGAATCTGTTATCTTACAAATAGACACTTGAATTTTAATTCTGTAACATCTTGGTCAATGTCTCTTTAAGCAATCTCATGATTAAAAAAAAAAGGTTTCCTTCTTTTTTTCCACTGATATTGGGTTTAGAAAATGTTGAATGTTGAGATGCTCATATTAATAGCTCTTTAAAGAGACTCTTTAAAGACTGTTTTCAGAGACAGGTTACTGGCTTAGAGTCTTGTTAAGAGAAATGGCATGAGAACCCGATTATGATAAAAGAGAGAAAAACTGAATTAATTATATTACCAGGCAACTTAGGACAAAAATGTTTCTCAGTTAAGAGCTGGAAGAGAGATTACAAATAACCCAAGCTTAAAAAAGAAACAAAAAACAAGGAATAATTTCATGTGAACTTTCTTGAAAGTTATATCATTTAAAAATAAAATATTAAACACTCTTGATTTTTCACTTCAAAAGTAACCATAATAAATAGTACTTTTGATATTGTGATAAATCTCAAAATATTTTCATACTCAGGCTAAAGTTACATAACATTATCACATATCTACTTTCAGAATGTAAAAACCAGGTCACAAATAACAAATATGTAATATTCCTAAATATTGCTGATTTGTAAACTATATGTTTTCCTCTTCGCCTTGTGGTATTATCAAAGGGTGATGGGAACTTCAGCCTTCTTGTGGAATTGGTTTAAGTGAATAATGTGAGAAATAGTTTAGTGACTTTTAACAGATTTCAAATTTTCTTTGGTATTTTGCATTTGTAACACTAGTTTCATTTTCACATGCTATATTTAAAGTATTTAACTTTTTAATGTTTAAATAGTCATAAATTATTCAGATTTTCTTTATGTTCTCTTAGAAACTGATTGGATTAGAGATATACATAACCAGTTATGTTTGTAAGTGAACAAATGTATGAATATTTATTTCAATTTACTCGATTTTCTACCTTAATTCAGTGAAGTAAAAATATATGACTATTATAGATTTTTGAAGCCTCTTCACTGAATATAGTATGTATTATGTAAAAAAAAATTGCATAAAAAAGTTTGCACTGTCCAGGCGTGGTGGCTCATGCCTGTAATCCCAGCACTTTGGAAGGCCGAGACTGGTGGATCACCTGAGGTCAGGAGGTCAAGACCAGCCTGGCCAAGATGGTGAAACCCTGTCTCTACAAAAATACAAAAAATTAGCTGGGTGTGGTGGCAGGTGTCTGTAACCGCAGCTACTTGGGAGGCTGAGGCAGGAGAATCACTTGAACCTGGGAGGCGGAGGTTGCAGTGAGCTGAGATCATGCCATTGCACTCCAGCCTGGGCGACAAGAGTGAAACTCTGTGTCAACAACAACAAAAAGTTCGCACTGCCTTCTGAAAAGCATTCAGTATTTTGCTATTGAAACTGGAAAATCATCTATTGGAAACTACTTTAGTACACCTCACATTAAAAAAAATTCAAACTCAGTTTCTTCCCATTAATTATCTAGGCCTTAGGCAAACATTCCTTCACTTTAATACTTCCTTGAATGCTCTAATCAAAGAGCAAACCCATTCCTAGACTCCCCTGCTCCCATTCCCATAAAACAAATTAGCAGGTTTAGAAACAAAAGAAAAAAACCAATGTAATCAATTAAATGTTAAAGAGTTCCAGGACTTAATACCTGAACTGAACAATTTTGACCAATGACCTAAATAAATTTGGGGCACATGCTTTTCCATCCCAAAGCCATCTGGATAAAGGAAGGCTCAAGACCTTTACATTATCCCCATCAGGACACAGCATCCTATCATTGAATAATAGAAGACAAACACTGACCTAGTTTAGAAGTGCAGATGAAAAGAAAATGAAAACAGGATACATGACAACGGCAAGGAAACCATGGTAACTGGAAGAGATGACTGCTTTGCTTACTTTATTTTGGTCAGAATAATCAGCAAGCTGAGCCTTTAGCTCTGTAATCTTGGCCTCTAACAGACGGATCACTTCTTCATAGTCCATTTCCATTCCATGTGCCTGTCTCTGAGCAGCTTCAGCAAGATGAATCCGACTACGCAGGGCTCTTGTTTCTTCAACTACAGCTTTGGCTTCCTAAAGATTTCAAAATTAATGTCATTTAAAAAATACATAAGAAATAGTTCCGAGGTTTATACAAAATATTTTCCTTGCTCTGGAAGTTATAATTCCAAAAAGTCAATATACATATATTATTTATTTATCAATTTGAAAATTAATAGTTATGTTATTTTATTATGTGAGGTAGTTGCCTGATCTTACTTTTTCCTTTGTTGATTTCAGCATGGAATCTCTTGACTTCATATACCTAGCATAACATTTTGAAAATAAAGGAAGTAGAAGATAGTTGAAAATGGAAAACAGAAGAATAAGAAAGGGCTCAAAAGATAAAAAGAGTAGGCTACAACAAAACTCAAGTAGGTAGTAGGACTCATGTTCTAAAAAGGCTCTTGTAGGGTCATCAGATGCTGCTGAGAGATTTGTAGTAGTGTTATGGGGCTTCTCCATGGACCAAGCTCCAGGGGCTAAAGTTATCTCATGGACGTCAATCTATCTACTACTTCTCCCTTTTGGTTTAAGCCAAAAGGTAGCATTTAGTAGCAAAGTACATAATCGTGTTGTTGAATGCAAGGCTCACAAGACATTTATTAAACACATGTTATGTCTCAGGTGCATCACGTGTCTTTTCTCACTTAATCTTTAAAACAATATTGAGAGAAAGACATTACTAAAAAACATTTCATACATAAGCAAACAGACTCAGAGAAGTTATATGACCTGTTCAAGAACACACAGCAGTGCCAGAATCTGAAACTAGGTCTGCCTGACTGCAACATTAATGCTGTCTTTCTACTGTTTTACTCTGCCTCTAAATGAAAAAACAAAAAAACCCCATACAGGTATACCTTCCACCTTAGGAAGAGGAAAGGGTAGCCAAAACCACTTGCTCTATCAAAATGTACTTGGAGGGAAAAAAATGTACCTTGGTACTGGGTCAAAGACAGTCCCCCAGGACACCAATATAATTTAATATGGCACTTCTTATACTGTAAACCATTCCTTTTTCTTTACTTGATGCAGAAATCTCTTTTCTCTGCGATAGAACTTTCTGCTCCAATTGCCATGGCTAATATTAAACTATGGCTATTTTAATTTTTTCAGAGCTGTTAAGGGACATTTGCTTTTGTTTGAGCCTAAATACATTTGAAGTGCTGGGAGGGTTAGGAATGCTGGCATATTCTTAAGGGTCAGTTTTTCATTCATACATTCAATAATGATTTATTAAGTATTTATTATGTGTCAGGTTCTGTTTCAGGTACTGGGGGTAGACACTAAACAATATAGACAAAAAGCCTTCCCTCTTGCTCCTTGGAATTTACATTCTAAGTTTGGGGAGATAGACAGTAAATCAGGGATGAGAGGTAAATGTCTCATTGAAAAGATAACTGACCAGAGACCTGCAGGAGGAATGGAGTTAGGATTTCCCAAGGAGGAGCTTTCTAGGAAGAGCGAACAGTTTGCATGAAGGCCCTGAGATGGAGCTGTGATTTGTGTCTTTCAGAGAACAGCAAGGAAGCCAGTGTAGTAGAGGTAGGAGTAGTAGGGTCCAGGAAGACGGGAGTAGTAAGACATGAGGGCAGAATGGTAACAAGAGTGAATATAGGGATGGAGGTAGAGTGAAGTGGCAGAGGCTAAGAGAATTTGTAGGCCGTTGCAAGGACTTTGGTTTTACTCAGGGTAAGATGGGAAATGATTGGAGGGTTTTGGGCAGAGAATCGATGTGATCTGACTTAAATTTTAAAAGTGTTACTTTTGCTGCTGTGTTGAGAATAGACTGTAGATGGTGGGCAAGGGTGGAAGCAGGGAGAAGAAAAAGGAGATGGGCAAAAATTAACTGTAGCTTCAATAAGGGTGATAGTGGTGGAGTTGGTGTGAAGCAGTTAGATTCTAAATACAGTTTGAAGGTAAAGCCAACAGAGTAGTTCATCAATAGCATTTATTTAGCAGCCACTGCATCTAGCAACCATGTTTATGACAAAAATACAAAGGGGTAAAAGATAACCTCTCCTTTTCTGTCTCAACTTAGAACATCAGGTATGACTTAGATAAATGGATGAAGAAAAGAGGATGTTACAAAAAGAGAACCATGTGAATAAAGGAAGAGAGACAAGAAGAAATGTGGCACACTGTGAAACAATACTAGATCAATTATGATTGGAGTAGAGACTTGCTATAGGGGAGTAATGGATAAAAAAAGGTCGTGGAAAGGGAGGGAGTCAGGCTCTGGTAGAAATGGCAGGCATGAAGGGGAAGGAGCTTGAGTCTGAAGAAGACTTGAAGGCTTCTGAGCAGAAAATGATATGAGAAAACAGTGCTTTAGAAAGCTAAATCTGGCAGCAGGGTGCCAGATGGAGAGATGTGGCCAACCAATTGCCTTCTATGCCCTTGACTCAAAGGACTTTATTTCCTTGTATCTAAAAGTAATTGTTTTATAATAAAAGAATACTTTTAGAAAGAAATATCTGGAAAAGGTAGGTACATTAACCTAGCCTACCACACCAGTCAATTTCATTCAGATGATCAAGAGAGTCTCTAGTGACACAGCTAGATCAACTTCACACTAGACTGCTGCTGTGCATACAGGAGATAATGGCTAACTATGTGCCAGCACTATTCTCAATGTTTTACATCCATCAACTCAGTTAATCCACACACTGCCATGGATATGTCTATTATTATCTGCATTTTATAGACAGGACATTGATGCACAGGAAAGTTAAGTAACTAACTCAGAATCACAAACCTAGTAAGTGACAGAGCTAAGATTTGGCAGTCTAGTTATAAAGTTCATGTTCTTGGCTACTATGCTGTACTACCTTGCCAACTACAGAAAATGTTTTTAAAAAATCACTTTTAGATGACAATATTATCAGTGCCCAGTCCTGGATGAGCTTATGATGTGGTCATTACAAT
The DNA here is from genome assembly GCF_000001405.40 of Homo sapiens. NCBI lineage: Eukaryota > Metazoa > Chordata > Mammalia > Primates > Hominidae > Homo > Homo sapiens. The sequence goes on along the minus strand of NC_000017.11, from coordinate 55,070,001 downwards.
AGGTATATTTGAGGCTGCTTCACTCTCCATTTTTCATTCAATCAATCTAAAAAAAAAAAGACTCTAAAGAGAAAGGGCAGGAAATTCTCCATAGCTGCAATGAAGAATAACTAATTTGATGATTTGTCTTCTTCACACTCACTTCATGCAGCTTTTATTCCTCTATAAAAACAGCACTTTTATTTTTGTTCAAAGAATGCTAGTTAATTAAATGAAGACTCTGGATGGAATTTATATAGCCATTATTGTGCACTGATGGTAATACAGTGTGAAATGTAGTTGGGTGGTAAAAGATGCAGAGGTTTTGATGCTGAATAAATTCATGCTATTTCTTTTGTAAATGTGTAACTGTCAGGTTGGTGAATGTGACCCCTTAGCAAAGTTCTAGCCCAGTTACCACTGAATGGCTGTTTAAAAGATTAGTGCATTGAAATGATGACTTTTAGAGGAAGCAGTAAAGAAAAGATAACAGCAGTGTGCCGTATTTAGCAATACAAGATCACATAAATCCATTTTCTCTTTTCCTCCCAGGCTGTCTTCTAATAAATAACTGTACAGCCTCCTATGTCAGTAACAACTGAGCCAGAATTTTCCCAGTGCCTCACCATGAGACTGAAATCCCATCAGGGAAAATGCTGTCGTCCATTTACTGATTTACTATGTACTAGATAGAGTTTAATTCAGTTTAGAAGGTTAGATAATAAAAGAAAAATGAAGATATAGTAGTAAGTCAGAAAATCCACATAAGCATTATGCTTTTTAATACTAAGCAGTGTGAGCAAACATACTAGAAGGGAATCCTGAATTAAGAAGTAAAATCTCTAGCTTATTTTTTTTTTTTTTTTTTTGGCAACACTGAGGAAATGTCTTCAACTCACACTGGCCCTTTATAAAATGAGGTTTTTCTGCCTCACGATTACATAATGAAACTTCAAAGAGCAGACCAAAGTCTTCTTTGAAAATGTAATCTGAACTAATGAAAATCTTTGTAGGCTACCAATACTTTGGACTTTTGTTGGGACAAAGCACGGTAACAGCTCACACACAGGACAATAAATATACTATGTGTTTTTCCACATACAGTACTTTTCCCCCACAAGGTAACATGATCTAGAATGAAAAAACATGGGCTTTGAATGGGACATAACTAGGTTAGAATCTCAGATCAGAATTTTACACTTTTAAAAATTTTCTGGCTCTGTAATTCTCTAAGACTCAGTTTGCTCATTTTTATAATGGAAAATCACACCTATTTTATTAGATCAAAACTATTCTCACAAGAGAATTAAAGAAACTATAATAGTTCTTGGCACAATTTTTTCCTTTTCCTCTTTCTTACCTTGAAAAAATATACATAATCACCTGTGTGATCAAAGAGCTAGACAAAATAATTTATTAAGGGTTTTCCTGAGGCACTCAATTAGTAACACCAGCTCTTGAACTTTGGAGAGTTGTTTGGAAACAAAATTTGCACATGTATTTTTTAATGTTAGCAACAATCATGTAAAGCCCTTTCCTCTAGTTATGAGTTGTAATGAATGGCTCCCTATAGTAGAAGGAAAAAGCATTAATTGCAGTAGCACATCTGTAATTAGGCTAACACATTCACATCACTAAATTTAAAAGTTCTGCAATTTTTAAGTTCATCAGTAAATCTTTCAAAATGTCAATAGGTGACAGGAGAAAAATGAGACTGCAAAGAGATATAATGTTTTTGTGCAATGTAACCTATGCTACCAAGCCCTAAAGAATACTTCTCTTATCAGCTTCCTACATCCACTCTTTGGAAAGCCCTTCTTGGTCTTGGTACTATTACAGCTTGTGAAAAAAATTAAGGGTTACTGCAGGAAAAGAGCTATTGAATTAAAATGTTTAAAAGCAAGTTATATCTAGTTTCCTTGACTTATGAGTCTGATTTGTTAAAATATATATAATATACCTTTCAATGGATAATCCCAAAATGCTTTGCAGATATTGACAAATGAAGGTATAACTCACCCCTCAGGCATGAATGTGTATGGGGGAGAATATGATTCGTAGAACTTTTTAACAGACCTCTGACATATGCTTTCTTTTCTCTTTCCTCACTCCCCCTCCATGACTCATCTAGCCAACTCCTCCTCCTCCTTACCTAACCAGTAATTAAGCACTGTGAAGTCTTCATTTATAATGTAATTTGCAGCTGTTGCTTAATTTCCATTCTAACCACTGTATTACTGATTTATGTCTTTATCCTCTCATGCTTGGGTACTATGAAAATCACATATGTGATCACCCTGCCTACTGTGTTCTTTATTGTATTCTGCATACTTCTGAAAGATTGATTTCCTCAAAATATTGATGAAGTACCACCTTAGGTAACAAACCTAACAACATGGTACATGATAAAATATATCCTCATTCTTCATTCTTCAAAGTTCTCTACTACCTATTCCAAATCAACCTACTTACTAGCTTTAGTCCACTTAACTCTCACATGATTCCCATATCCAAGTACATTAACTTACCACATTTACCAGGTGAAATTCTTCTACTTCCAAGACACTTTGGGTCACATTAATCCTCTAGGTATATATATTTTTCACCTTTTTCCATCATTTAGTTGTTACTTGTCCTTCAAAATCTATCTCAGATTTCACCTTATCTGTTTTTCCATTCTACTTTTGTATAAATGATCTTTCTCTCCTTTTTTATCTTTTAGATTTGTCGTCTGTAATTAATCACATATTTAGTACTCTTAACTGCTATCTTGAACTGTCATTAAAATGCTTTATTACCCAACTTTCTAAAATCAAAGGGTCTTGACTGCCCAAATTAGAACACAATCTGTCTGAGAGTAAAAACCCTATCTAATATGAGCAGGTACTCTACTTAACATAAAATGAGATATAACTGAGTTGACAAACCATGAAAATGACTATTTCATTTTTCATATACAAAAACTGCCTTAAGGAACTTATTTAGGCAAGAAGCTTTCATAGGAAATTTCTTCAAAAAAGGGTTCAGATTTATGGGAATATTAGAACTACATTTTATTTAACAATTAAAATAACAATCATAAACTATGCTTTGAGAAACACCATATAATAATAGGCAAATTATTTCATTATATTACTTTTTTAGAGTCTCACTGTGTTGCCTAGGCTGGAGTGGAGTGGCATGATCTTGATTCACCGCAACCTCCGCCTCCCAGGTTCAAGGTGATCTAAAGACATCCACCCACCTCGGCCTCCGAAAGTGATGGGATTACAGGTGTGAGCCACCATGCCAGGCTGCATTATATTCTTTTTATATAAATTTTAAAAAATCTTTTTTACAGTATTTATCAAGCAAATAAGACTAAGTGGAATGAAGAAAATACCAATGCTAAAAATGACAATTATACTTGTTTGTCAATTTTATTTCTTGTTTTCATTAAAAATATAAGATTTTAAAATTATGAACATTAATTTATATTTCCTTAAAAATTACAATTTTTGGCCAGGCACAGTGGCTTACATCTGTAATCCTAGCACTTTGAAAGGCCAAGGCAGGTGGATCACCTGAGGTCAGGAATTTGAGATCAGCATAGCTAATATGGTGAAACCTCATGTCTACTAAAAATACAAAAATCAGATGGGTATGGTGGCAGGACCCTGTAACCCCGGCTACTTGGGAGGCTGAGGCAGAAGAATCTCTTGAATTTGAGAGGTGGAGGTTGCACTGAGTTGAGATCACACCACTGCACTCTAGCCTGGGTGACACAGCGAGACTCTGTCTCAAACAAAACAAAACAAAACAAAACAAAACAAAACAAAACAAAACAACAAAACCCACAATTTTCCATCATGAGAAATACAGTGCATGTTCTCTAAGACTAAATAATCTTGAAGGTCTTTTTCAACCTTACCTAATCCTTGATTCCACAGTTTAGGTAGCAACACTCATTTATAAAGTGTGTAATAATGATGGATATCTAGAACTTCAAGAAACAAAGATTTTCTTTAGTTTGTATGATAAAGTAAAATCCATGCTCATTTTGCAAAGAAAGATTGGTTAAGCTTTTGGAAGAAAAACAGGTCAATCAGATTATAATTAGCTCTAATTAACCCTCCCAAGAGCTTTCAACTTTTTTTACCTGCAGCTGCCTTACTCTCCAAAAGGTGCAAAATTGATTTCTGCTTCTAAGCATCAAAGAAAATCAAAGAAACAATTTTCAATCTCCTTTATAAACAGAAGTCCCTAATCAAGGACAGATATAAAAATACATCTAATTGATAAATTTTATCATATGAAACTTGTTCACAATATAAATATTAGTTACAATCCTCTTTGAAAAATATATTTAACCTTGAACATGTATTTTCTGGTTTAATGAAGACTGACATAGAAAAAAAAAAAGCTACTTTCCTAATTCTCCAATTCTGGTTACACAAAAGGGAAAATTTATAGTATTGGAAACTTCCTTTCATAATTGCAGATTAAACTCTTTTCATTGAAAAATGGTACAATTCAAAAGCAACTTCCGGGGTGTTAAACATTAGAATTCATCTGAAATTTGGGACTTAAGGGAGATCTGTCTTTAAAACAGAAATATATTCCTTCCACATTAACCTTTAGAGATTTAATTAAATTGGAATCAAAATTTCATCAAATTTTGTTTTGGAGGAATTTGACCAAGAATTCTAAATTCAAAGCGAGACATAACAAGAGCTAAATAAAAAGATTCTTAAGTTGATGTCGATGAATAAATCAGTGAAAACTGGTAAGCAAATTTTGAAACAACAAGAAATAAAGAAACAAGAGGAAACATGGCCCAAGAATTTAAGGCTTTCATAAAGCAGCAATAGTTGGTACTGGCCAAAGAGGAGTTAGATAAAACAGTCATTTACCTAATAAATATTGATTGAAAAAGCAACTAGAAAGACCAGATAGCCCCATACAGACCCTATATTATGTAAGAATTTAATCTATGATAATGATGATAACACAAAATAAAAGTGGTTGCGACAACTATTTGGAAAAACAGTGTAAAGTGTAGACCCTCATCTCATACCATATATCTAACAAAATAATTTCTTAGATGAATTAAAGAAAGATATTACAGGGATCTAGGTAAATATATATCTGAAATATGACTAGGAATGAACTTAAATAAAGTTATAAAAAACGAAAAATCATAAAGACAAAGGTTTGACAACACAAAAACATTTATGTTTAAAAACTTCAAAAAAAATTAGACTGTAATCCCGGCACTTTGGGAGGCGGAGGTGGGTGGATCGCAAGGTCACGAGTTCGAGACCAGCCTGACCAACATGGTGAAACCCTGTCTCTACTAAAAGTACAAAAATTAGCCGGGCATGGTGGCGGGTGGCGGGTGGCGTGCCTGCAATCCCAGCTACTCAGGAGGCGGAGGCAGTAGAATCGCTTGAACCCGGGAGCTGGAGGTTGCAGTAGCCGAGATTGTGCCACTGCACTCCAGTCTGGGCGACAGAGCAAGACTCCATCTCAAACAAACATTAGAAAGGCAATTTGTAGACAGAGGGAAATATGCCCCAGAATTGGTAGAAATAGGGTTAATAACTACAGTGTAAAGAGATCTTATAATTACAGTAGTGAAAGGGGAAAAACAGTGATTAAGAATATGAGAGGAGGAAAGAGGAAAAAGCAGTGGTGGGAAGGGGACACAGACAAGATAAAGGGCATGTGGCAGGGGTAGCAGAATACCACTAGCAACCACATCAGGAAATCAGCTGCCTTCAATACTGAAGAACTGTGATGAAGTTCACAGTTTAATTTCAAATCCATGGTTACAGACAATCTTTGATATCTAACATGGATGACGGTTAATCAAAGCAATATTTTCAAATAGTGATTTATTTATGTGGGATTAGGCATGACTAGAGAAGTCTTGTTTTTAACCCTAAAATAGCTTGTGAATAAATCATTTAACACAATGTCATGAGTCCCATACTGAAGTAAGGGACAGAAAGTGTTTCTCACATAGTAAACTGTCAAGATAAGAGTTTTATAGTATTAACTGCCTTATCACTACTTCCTCCTTGGGTAAAATTTACTAGTTTGTCAGCCAAATTAATTTATATTGCTCTAACATTAAGAAATGCAAAATGTTCAGCTTCTAAGTAGATGTTTAAAATATACCCTTAAAGATGTTCTCTTAGCAACTGAATAATGGAATTTTAGTGATGTGTATTTGTTTTTAGTAAAGCAAAGAAAATTATGGGGAGTAATGCCTACTTTCCTATATAGATATGCCTCTAACAACTCACCAGCCACAGGGCACCTATTATGAAATGCTTTCTAGAAAGTGACGATTTTGCTCTATTTTTATTTTTGCTTACTAGATTGAGAGCTCCTTGTAGAACTGTATGTTTAGCATTCACAATGACTCCATATAAAGCACGCATTTAGAAATGTTTCTTAAATTCTCTTACCAGGTCTCCCTTATAAGTTACTATAGAGCTTATAGTACAACTGATGCCAAAGTATGACATGTGGTCCCTAAATAGCCAGAAAATAAGTGGCTCATAGTATGGAACCTAGAACTTTAACAGCATCAGTTCTAACTAGGCCAACCTACTATAGGTAATAATCAAATGAACTGGAAGGTTCCTATGAAGAATTGCAGATTCTTCCAACATTGAAAATTCTGTGATTCTAAATTGAGTTCTATATTATAAATAGGATAATAAAATTTCTCTTAGAATCATTAACATGGTAAGATCTTTTCTACAATTAAAAAGACAAACAACTATTTGGAAATGATAATTTTGAAATAGACACCTTTGTTTGCCAATGCTTGCTTAGAAGGCTACATTCACCTCTAATGAATCACTAGGTATGGTTGGTGTCTGCGCAAACAGGAATGCCAGCTGGGCTGTCCAAAAGCTATGTGCTGGTGTTCCTTCTCCAAGCTCACTGCTGTTTCTTGGTCATAGTTTAATGGTGGAGAATACAGGAGTCACTTTCTGAATCACAAAAAAGGAATTAATGTAAAAAAAATCCAACTAAGTTTGTTTAATAAGTTTCTTCAACCAGATTGCTGTCTATCACTATAAGAGCTTTATAACTTCTTTTCTCAAAGAGATTTTTAAAAATCTTTTAAAAAAGCCTTTTCCAACTTCCAGGTACACCAATCAAAGCTCATCATCATTGGTCATTAGAGAAATGCAAATCAAAACCACAATGAGATAGCATCTCACGCCAGTTAGAATGGCGATCATTAAAAAGTCAGGAAACAACAGATGCTGGAGAGGATGTGGAGAAACAGGAACACTTTTACACTGTTGGTGGGAGTGTAAATTAGTTCAACCACTGTGGAAGACAGTGTGGAGATTTCTCAAGGATCTAGAACCAGAAATACCATTTGACCCAGCAATCTCATTACTGGTTATATACCTAAAGGATTATAAATCATTCTACTATAAAGACACACACACACATGCACACATATGTTTATTGTAGCACTATTCACAATAGCAAAGACTTGGAATCAACCCAAATGCCCATCAATGATAGACTGGATAAAGAAAATGCGGCAAATATACACCAGGTAATACTATGCAGCCATAAAAAAAGGATGAGTGCATGTCCTTTGAAGGGACATGGATGAAGCTGGAAATTATCATTCTCAGCAAACTAACACAGGAACAGAAAACCAAACACTGCATGTTCTTACTCAAAAGTGGGAGTTGAACAATGAGAACACATGGACACAGAAAGGGGATCATCACACACTGGGGCCTGTCAGGGGGTCAGGGGTGAGAGGAGGGATAGCATTAGGAGAAATACCTAATGTAGATGATGGATTGATGGGTGCAGCAAACCACCATGGCACGTGTATACCTATGTAACGAACCTGCACGTTCTGCACATGTATCCCAGAACTTAAAATATATATTTAAAAAAAAAAAAGCCTTTTAAGATAATTGTAGAGATGGAGTCATGATTGGTTGCCCAGGCTGATTTTGACCTCTTGGTCTGAAGCAATCCTCCCACTTTGGCCTCCTAAAGTGCTGGGATTACAGGCATGTATAGGAGAATGCACTCTTTATCCAACCTCCCCCAGTAGTTTCATCTTGCATGACTGTAATAGACTATCACAACTAGGAAACTGACATGGATACAACCCACAACTTTATTTAGATTTAACCAGTTTTAAATGCACTCATCAATAAGAAGGAACAACCTACAGATACACACAAGAATCTAGACGAATCCCAAGGGAATTATTGCTGAGTAAAAAGAACCAATCCCAAAAGATGACATACTGTATGATTCCATTTATACAATATTCTTGAAATGACAACATTATGGAGATATAGAACAGATTAGTGTTTGCCAGGTGTTAGGGGAGCAGGTAGGATGTGGCTGTGGCAATAAAAGAATAGCATGAGGGATCTGAGTAAAGAGGGTTTTTGGTAGAAAATAAAAGCTGGCATTCTGAGGCCACAGTGACTATCTGAAATGGAAACAGGAACATTTTACTACAGCATGCTTTTAGAACAGAAAAGACTGACAAATATATGTATTTTTCTTCTTTTTCCCTCTGAAGATGAGATAGCATCTTAAAACACCTACTAGTGCTATACTGAAAAACTAGTAAAAATTTAATCACTAAAGAAAAATAAGAGAAATCACATCAATTCTGAAAATTAGAGGCTTTGCTGCTTTTTAAATGAATACACAAGAAACACAATCTTTAAAAGTGTGAAAATGTGAAAAGTACTTTAGGAATCACTTATTATTGTTGTTCCTTTTAAAGACACATTTAATTTGTTCTTGGTTTCCTTTGTTGCTTCATCTGAAAACTAAGATAGCTCACATGTCAGCTGCACTAGCTGTTACTTGATTCATGTTCAACCTCAATTGTCCACAGAGAATCCTGTGTTGATTTGACCTTATATTTCTGCCTCAGGACTTCATGCTCTTCTCAAGAACTGAACTCAACCTTTACACAGGTGAGGCCAACTACAAGTGGGCTTATCTGAACCCAGAGAATTTGCCAAATGCTTAATATCC